>NC_000006.12:53934102-54579785 GCF_000001405.40 Homo sapiens
TTTGCCACTTGACAATGTATTCAGACTAGATTTCTCCACTGCACTTATGCATCACATCTAGTTAATCACTGGAGACCTCTGCGTGCTTCTTAGGCTGACAGAATTTCAAGCAGAACAGAATCAACCTAAGAAACTGGATTTTCCAGTACTACGGCTGAGATAAACTTGCCTGTTAACTTCTTAGACTCGGCACAGATCCGTCTTCTGAGGATTGAACACATGTAAGGCATTGTTTCCTCTTTTTTTTTTTTTTTTTTGAGACGGGGTCTCTGTCACCCAGATTGTAGTGCAATGCTGCGATCATAGTTCACTGCAGTGAACTTGCCCAGCTAATTAAAAAAAAAAAAAATTAGAGATGGAGTCTTACTATGTTGCCCAGTCTGGTCTTGAACTCCAGGCCTGAAGTGATCCTTCTGTTTCAGTCTCCTGAGTTGCTGGAGTTGTAGGCTAGAGCCACTGCATCTGGCCCTGATAGGCATTGTTTCTGAATCCTTGCGGCTACTTATTACCTGACTTTAATTGTCTCAGGTATTTTCTTTATAATCTTCGAATGAAAAACGGAAATTGTTTTTTGATCACTACCTGAAGACTTATTCTAAAAACCAATTTACTTTTTGCTTTACTGTTTTTGTAACTTGAGTCCCTGGGAAATAGACTCTGAGATGCCCATTTGGATGCAGGAGGTTTACTGAGGACTGCACTCGACAACACTGGTAAGGAGTGAGGAAAGCAAAACTGGGCAGTGGGAAAAGTGGAACTGCAATGCAATTTCAACTGAGGCTTTGAATGGTCAATAGGAGCTGGGGATCCCGGCTGAGGCAAGAAAGCAGGCCTTTGTACCCCACAACCAGTAATTAGATGTAGGCCGCCACTGGAAAGGAGGTGCAAACTTGGGCAAGGCAGTTTCCTTTGGTAGAGGGCAGTTCCTGTGGAGGGATTCATGGGTGAGCAATGAGCAGCCAACTCACTCAACAGCTGGGGCAATGAGCACCTTAGTTCTGAAAGGGGGATCTCAGCTGCACACTACAATGTGCACTACAGATGTGTTAGTCACTCCAGTCATCTTCAATCTGGTTATTTCCTGAGCATGTATTACATTTCAAATAATTTTTCTTCTAAGACTTGGTTTTTTAAAAAAACTCACTTTTTGGGCCTGGCGCAGTGGCTCAGGCCTGTAATCCCAGCACTTTGGGAGGCCGAGGCGGGCAGATCACGAGGTCAAGAGATCCAGACCATCCTGGCCAACGTGGTGAAACCCCGTCTCTACTAAAAGTACAAAAATTAGCTGGGCGTGGTGGCGGGCACCTGTAATCCCAGCTACTCGGGAGGCTGAGGCAGGAGAATCACCTGAACCCGGGGGGTGGAGGTTGCGGTGAGCCAAGATCATACCACTGCACTTTAGCATGGCCATAGAGCAAGACTCCGTCTCAAAAAAAAAAAAACAAAAAAACAAAAAAAACTCACTTTTTAAACTTTTAAGTCCAAGTTGTGCAGGTACATGTGCAGGTTTGTGAATAGATTAACTTGCGTCAAAGGATTTTGTTAAGATTTTATGATGAAGACACCAAAAACCATTCAAACAAAAGCAAAAATTGACAAAGGGGATCTACTTAAACTAAAGAGCTTCTGCACAACAAAGAAACTATCAGAGTAAACAGACAACCTAGAGAATGGGAGAAAATTTTTGCCAGTATGCATCTGACAAAGGTCTAATATCCAGCATCTGTAAGAAACTTAAACACATTTATAAGATAAAAACAAACAACCCCATTAAATAGTGGGCAAAGGACATGAACAAGACACTACTTAAAAGAAGACATATATACAGCCAACAAGCATATGGAAAAAAAGCTCAACATCACTAATCATTAGAAATATGCAAATAAAAACCACAGTGGGATAGCATTTCACACCAGTCAGAATGGCTATTATTAAAAAGTCAAAAAGTAATTGGTGCTGGTGAGGTTGCAGAGAAAAGGAAAGACATGCTGTTGGTGGGAGTGTAAATTAGTTCAACAATTGTAAAAACCTCACTTTCTATTAGTATGTATTGTTCATGACAAGAGATTAGAAATCATTAATTTATGAAACTAAACCGTCTCCAGATGCCCTGAATTATCCTGTGTGCGGAAGTACATAGTTTATATTTTCCCCATTTTTCTTGTTACATTGTTTCATTTCTAATCCAGTGAAGGCCTTTGCCTTTGCAGGACCAAACCCTTGATGATACATTTTGTTATTAATAGCGTTAAAATCACAGGGCTGGAAAAGTAGGATTATTTTACTTTTTTCAGAGAATATTTTTAGAAATTAATCTTACAAGATGGCATACAGTTGACTGACCCCATATTTCCTTAATTTCCTACATTCTCTGCTTTCCCATCATCATTGAATTAAAAAATATATAGTGTGTGCATTCAACATTTTGCTTGAGATATGCCAGGAGAATGGAGAAATAATCCTTTTCATCCTGCTGAAAAGTCCTGAAATCAAGACCTCCTTGATTTTTATCAAATATATGTAGTTACAGTGTATGTCAAATAATGTCATATGAAATTAAGTTTTGCTTTATGTACTAAAAAGGAAATAATTCTAATCACCCCTTTGCTTTCTCCCCATCAAAAAAGCTAGCTAGTTGATTGAATACATTCATGCTATTTTCATTTCATGGTGAAAGTTATCTTGTAAACAGAAATAGCTGCTCTCCTAAGCACGATCATGTGAACCACAGTGTTGGTCACAAGCATCAGTTCTTCTGCAGGGAATTCTGCTGACCACTGTCCCTATTAACCAGATTAAAATCTTTTTTATATCCTATAACAATACATTATACAAACAGTGACTGCATTTTGGTGCTTATGCTAGAAAACGTTTCCTCAAATCAAAATTTGAAGTGAAAGCTGAGATAAGATGTTGTGAAGAAGGCTATTAGTGACCATTATAATCGAAGAGAAAATTCTCTGCAAAATATTAGAGCTAATACTTAGAAAATAAAAGGCAGCAATAAAACAGGGACACTCTAAATTAACGAAAAATTTATATAGCCAGAGAAGATTGTAACCACATTGTGATATCAACCCCATCCTAATGATGCTCCAAGTTCACAATGTTTATATATTGTGCTCTGGGAAAGCATTTCCCCGAATTTAAATTTGTTTCTATTTGAAAAATTAAACTTGTCTTATATGAGCTTTGAAGCATATGAATTTTTATTTTAAGATCTCACTTTTTTGTTTTGATGCTTTAAGTTTTTGTTGTTTTGTTTTTAATGTTTTACTGTGTTAATTCCATGATGTATGAATCATTTTAGGTCATTTCTAAGAGAAGAAGCATTAGTAGATCAAGAAAGGGCTATAGAACCAAGGAAGAAGGATGGGGAGAACAGGAGGAGAAGTGAAGGAAAGGACAGAGAAACTTGGAGAATAATAAAGAGCAGAAGACATCCTGGAGACCAAGACGATAAATGGTGTTAAAAAAAGAGAAACTGTCTACCAGATGAGGCAGTCTGGCTGGTGGAAAGAGTTCTGACCTCAGTTCAAATTGGGGCTTAGTTTCTCATTATGCAGCAGACGTTTGTCAGCTAACTGATATTTACAGAGTTCCTGTTATGTGCTGGCATTGTGGTGATAATGGTGAGACCTCGAGTGTCCTTGACAAGTTACTTGAAAGCTTGGAACTTCTTTTCCACCATGGATATGATAGGTTCTTAGAAGAGTAGGAATGACAAACGTATGTTATATAACACACTTAATTATTAATGGCATTTCTAATTTTATTAAGGTTTTCAGTTGACTAACTTTGGCATGCTATTTGTATCTTAAGTTCAGGGATCTCACCTTTCCTCTATCCATTCCCAATTGATTATCGAATGGTCTTTAACATGTAAAGAAAAACTGTTTTTTTTTTCTTCCAGTGTGTTTAGGGTGTGCATTTCCTGGCCCTACTGCTTCCTTTTCCTGTTGAATGAACAGATACCTCAAATATAATCTGCCCCCTAAAAGTCAAATTTTCTCTACATCCCATGTCCCAAATCTACTACTTCTTTTTTCTGAGTGTGTTTTCTGTGCAGTTAATAGCACTGCCATACACAGAGTTACCCCAGCCTGAAACCAGGGTCACCACCATCCCTGCCTATCCATCCTACTACCTTTACCTCCTCCACTCTCATCCCTGCCTCTACATCTCCATGACCACATCTTGGTTCCTGCCCTCATCACCTCTCAGTCAAGACCATACTCAGATATGTGGCCACCACAGGCAGATGAGATGTTTGGGGACCCTACTAACTGTTATTTTACATTTATTTTCACTTGTTTTAGATGATGGGGTTGTGTGGGAGAGGAGTGGGGAAGAAGAGCTGTTGACATGCATCGTTTCTGTAAGATCTGGAGCCATTGCATGCTGCTTCACCTTTCCATACCCCACTTAGCACAACAAAATCCAGCAAAATCCAAAAACTCAGACCACCCCCATACATACCTAAGAAGGCAGTTCATGGTTCAAGCATGGCCTTCAGGGATCTCACTACACAGCCGCTCTCGAAATGCTTCTTCCAACTTCACTTAATTCTTTCATTGGGAAGAGCTTAAGTAAATATTTTGTTTTTTCCATCTTATAAAACTTCTAGTGGATGTGTTAACACCTGGAGCAAACTACTAACCTGCCCACTAGTATACATTCTCCTTTTTTATTCTTCTGCCGTGTTTTTAAAAATCAGAGACACCATTACTGTGAGATGCACCATGTTTTATTTTACCAGTAAGAAAGAAAACAAAAAACCCAAACAAAGGTGGTACATCAAAGGCTGCACCTCATTGAAGGGGAAACAAGAAGTATGCCTGCCATCCACCAAAAGAAAAAAAAAGGCAAGAAAATAACATGTCTTACACGGGTGGAGATAGGAAAAAGGAAAATTTCCCTTGAGAACTTAAACCAAGAGCTGTTAGTCATTTAGATTTGTGGTCTGAATTCATACTAACTGTGGTTTTAAAAAAACCCCAGAGAATTTTTTTGCTAATTTATTTGAGTACTTTTATTATTTACCAATGAATTCACTTACCTATCCACAAAGATATTCATTTTAAAATCACCATCAAGAACAAGGTATCTTGAGTTACTATATCGATTTCAATATGCAGGACACTTTTATACATCATTCATGGTTGATTGTAAGAAAAAGTACTGGTTAAAAAAATGAGGGTAATTATTTCCATTTCTTAGAGATGTTGAAAGATAAAATTTATACCATTTGATTCAGTCTTGATTTTAAGACTGAATTTTAAGACTTGATTTATACCATTTGATTTTAAGTCTTGATTATGAATGCATAGGCCATATAAATAAATTCTCTTGGCAATTTCACCCCTGTTTTCCAAATCATCATATACAGATAACACAAAACAGAATGTACTACCAAGAACCCTGATCCAATTCTTCTTTCTTTTAACTTTTGAAAATATTTTAGTTTACTTTCATTTGTTAAAAGTATTTTAGCTAAATATCTAATTCTAGATTTAACACCATGCTCCCTCAATAGAACTTTTTTGACTAACAATTATGTCAATTTAGATTTACATTTAATCTACAAGTTATTTTAAATGGTTTCAAATAAAATGTACACACAGATATTAGTTTGGTTACACTTAATCTTTACCACCTTTATTGAGGTATGATTGACAAAAATTATTTATATTTAAGGTACATAACCTTACTTATATGTTTTGATGTATTTATACACTGTGAAATTATTACCACAATGAAGCTAATTAAACTGTTGCCCAAACCACCTGCTGCTCATCAATTACCTCACTGAGTTACTCTTTTTCTTTTGGTGTGGTGGTGACATGATGTGGCTGTGTCCCCACCCAAATCCCATCTTGAATTGTAACTCCTACAATTCCCACATGTCATGGGAGGAACCCGGTGGTTGGGGGTTGAATTACAGGGGCAGGTCTTTCCTGGGCTATTCTCATGATAGTGAATGAATCTCACGAGTGAATGGTTTTGAAAATGGGAGTTTCTCTGCACAAGCTCTCTCTTTGTCTGCTGATGTGACTTGCTCCTCCTTGCCTTCCGCCATGATTGTGAGGTTTTCCTAGCCAGGTGGAACTGTGAGTTCTCAATTAAACCTCTTTCCTTTGTAAATTGCCCAGTCTCAGGTATGTCTTTATTAGCAGTGTGAAAATGGACAGGTGGGTTTATTTGAGATCTATTTTATTAACAAAGTGTAAGTATACATGACATAATTCACTAGAGTCATTATGCTATACATTGAGCCTCCAGTTCTTACATATCTTTTAACAACAGGTTTGTATCATTTGATTAGTAATCCCAATTTCCCCAGCCCATGGGGGTGTCACCATTCTACTTTCTGTAACTATGAGTTCTATCTACTCTTTTGCAGATTCCACATAAAAGTGAGTTCATGCAATTTTGTATTTCTATGACTACCTTATTTTACTTAGTGTAATTTCCTCAAGATTTATCCATGTTTGCAAATGGCAGATTTTTTCTTTTTTAAGGCTGAGTAATATTTCATTAGCTAGAGAGATAGGTAGATAGATATAGATATACACACCTCACTTTTTAAATTCATTCATCTCTTAATTGACAGCTAGGTTGTTTTCATATCTTGTCTATTGTGAATAATGCTGTGATGAACATGGGAGTGCAGACATCTCCTCAAGATAGTAATTCTATGTCCTTTAGGTATTGCTATGATTTGAATGTTTGTCCCCTTCAAAACTCAGCTGAAATTTATTTGGTTGCTCTTGTGGCAATGTTAGGAGGGGAGAGCTTTGGGAAGTGACAGGACCGTGAGAGCTCTGTCCTCATGGGCGGGTTGAATGCCATTATAAAAGGGCTAGTTTTTCCCCTGTTCCTTTAGTTTTTTTGTCAGGCAGAGAATTTAATTTAAAGTAGTCTCATGTTGGGAATGTGCCTAGATTACTGGAAGAAACAGATGCAAATCAACTCTGGAAAAACACAACTTCAGTCCGAGCTGAGAGTGATTGCAAAATGAATGCTGGTTTCAGAGATGTCAAAATGTGAGTATGTATGTCTTAGAGTAGATAGCGGCGGTGACGTTTCAGCTGGACCTATGGCCAAGTCACTAGAGTCTGCATTTCCCAGTCTTCTCTGCAGCTGCCTAGGGCTGGGTGACTTACTAGGCTGAGAGCAACCTGGGGTTCCCTGGCTGGGAATGGTGACCATTGTGGTAACCTCCCTGGACCCAGGGTGGAAGGTCCGGGTTGGAGATAATTGAGCTCACCACCCCAGCCTGGATTCCTGGATGATGTGAAACTCAGAGACAACTATTTGTCCCAGACCAGGGGTTTACTGGAGAGCTGAGGGTCAGACAGCAAATATTTTAGGCCTTTTTCACCATAAGGTCACGGTCGTACTACTCAAGTATCTATGTAGAAGGAAAGCAGGTATAGCCAACAGGGAAATGAGTGGGCATGGTTGGGTTTCTATGAAACTTTATTTGTAAAACAGGCAGCAGTTTTGATTTGGCCCCCAGGCTGTCATTGGTGTCCCCTGCCCTAGCCCACCCACACATGTTTGGAGTACTATGAGACATTTAAGCTACTATATTTTGGGTTTCCTTGTTATAGCATCTTAGCCTACATCCTAATTAATGCAGCCTTCATTATGGATTAATTCCCCGAGAAATTTTTTAACTGGCCCAACTTTTCATCTGCTTCTACTCTCACCTGAGCTAGCAGTGGTCTTCACTTGTTGTCCCTGCTTCTGGTCTCGAAATCCTGTGTGTCACTCTTCAACCTGCAACCAAGATGGGTCTTTCAAGAAATATTCTCATTTTCTCCTCCTTAAAATGCTCTGAATTTACTCATTGCAAAGAGTAAAATATAATCTCCTAGAGAAGCAGAAGAGACCTTGATCCAACTACCGCCTGCCTATCTTTTCAGTTTATGCTACAGGCAACGTTAATCTTCAGAAAGATTTTTGCTTGTGTCACCCCTTCTTGCTGGAATGGTCTTCCCAACAAGAGCCTTTCATTGCACTTCAATTACCTATCACAACTCACTTCCAGGGTTTCCTTTTCTAACAGGCCCTTCTAGATTCCCCCCTGCTAAGAAATGAACTACCTGCAAGTAGAGGCTGTATCTTATTGGTTTTTATTCCTCTAGGATCTGTCACAGAACAACCTCTGTTCATGCCTAAATGAGTGAGCACCTCTTTCCTCTTCTGTCACTACTAGTAATTAAAATGATCTCTTTACTTAGGAAATATATAATATTTATAAAATCAGCAGAATAGGCCATTCTATTTGGAAAGGATAAAAGGAGGCCCACAGACTAAGTATACTGCACAAAGTTTATTTATCTAAGATTTGTTCATTTTCATATTTCACTTGTGAAAGGCTACCCTCCTCCTTTCAAGCATCTGTTCCTTCTCCCATCTGTACAATAAAAATCCTCTCCTATGTATTTACTCACTTTTGCCTTCATGTCTGCAATGCTCTTCTTTGAAACACTGTTGCCCAAACCACCTCCTGCTTAGAGGAAATCTCACTCTGTCATTTCTTTTCTTAAATTGTATGTCCAGTTGCTCTGCACAAAGATGCAGTCACCTTGCTCTTTACTGGGTGGAATAGGATGTTAAATGAAATGTTTGTATGAGATCCTTTTTGAAGTTAGTTGTGTGAGAGACCATCCCCTTTTGTAAGATTTGTCAAAAGTGAGTGGGTCAGAGCTGGACTGATAACTTCTAAACCTTGTTCATACACCAAAGGTGTGAGATATTGGGTGATAAGAGAGTTGGGGAGGCTGTGTACAAAGAGCTGCAAGTGTGCTGTGAGTCAGCCCTTGCCTCAGCAACCCCCACCAGGGAGGAGGAGTGAGGGGTGCCTGTCCCATCTTCAAGCCCTGCAGAAGCTTCAACAGACCACCCCCAGAGAGCTAGATATGTGCCTCTTCGAGTTATAGGGTCAGCATGGCCTGAAGACTGATGCTGTCCTGAGTGAAGGTCCAGATAGTGGCTGGGCAGAGCTGTGAAGCAGAGCGGCTTCAGGGTTGGGATGGACCAGACCTTCCAGAGGTTGTCAGGAGTTTTCCCCTGGATGACATCCAGGTGCAAATGAAAGATGCAGCATGGGGTCACTTCAAGTCCTAAGGGGGCTACTTGGAGAGGCTAATACAGCTCAGCAGAGAGAAGCCGAAGATGGAACTGGATATCTAAGAACCTCAAACAACCAGCTGGGATAGAGATGCACAAGCCTGGGTCAAGAGAACTGCAGGGAAAGATCCACATTGATGCCAAAAACTTCCACAAAAGCTCCAGCAAGAGAAACAGCTCTACTTCACTGCCAGGCTCAGAATGCATGAAGCCAGCTTACAATAGTGCCAATTGGGAGAACTTTCCTTCCCCCCTTGTCTCCCCTCCCTCTCTCTTCAACAACAGAGGGGCAGTCCAACACCAGGCAAGAAATCTGGCAGAAGCAGAGGAGAAATGCTGGCTGGTGAAAGGGGAGAGATGCTGACACTGCCCTTTCTGCAGGACTGGAGTCCTGCCCAGGGCCAGGCCTCACTGGAGGAAGGGGAGAAGGCACAATTGTACATCCTGTGCCTGCTTGGATTCCGATAAAGTCCCGTAGTTTCAGATTTCTGCATTGAGGATGTTTGCATTAGCTATGAGTGACCAGAAAAATCATAAGAACAGCCTGCATTCTCACCAAGGGCCTGGGGGAAGCACAGAACATAAACATAAAACTGTTTTATGATTACATTTCCCCACATCAGGCTTGTTCAATAAGTCAATTAAATTTTTTCACTTATATTTTTAACTTGTGAAGACAGTGGCATGTTTATTATTCCCAGTAATTTTTGCCAAAATTAAAGGAAAGAAAATTGGAAGGCAAAATGACGTGCTTTTGGAACTGAGGTTGTGCTGGGAACAAAGGCATTATTTGCTAAGAGTAAAAAAATACGACGCAAGGAAATTAAGAACTGAGCCTATTTTCTTGTTAGCTACTTTCTCATGCACTTTAATAGTATTTCATAAAAGTATCTTTCATGCTTCAGACATCTCAAGATTAGGAATATGTGTTATTTTTCGCTCCTTCTCTGCAGCTTTTTGGAGAGGAAAGCAAACAGAATCACGGGGAATCTATTCAGGTAGTGAGAATCTCATGAAGTACAGAAGACACTCTGATTAAGACCAAAACCTCCTGAGGAGTTTGGCTTTAAACCCCATGTTCTCCCTGGCAAAGTGTCTTGATCTGAAATCCATGTTAAGCTAAAATGCCAAGAGGATAAAATATCTTCAGACGTAGCTTTAGCTGGGCTGCTAAAAGGAGCCAAGTGGAAGAAAACTGGCAACCTGGAATATTACAGCCGAGGTTTGCTAGTGGCTGCACAGGTATGGGAGTGATAGTGATGTCAGCGGCTAGAACATCGCCTTCATTTTCCTACAAATCAATTGCAAAATGGCTTCCTTTCACCACAAGGTATATGTGGAATAAATACTCCTGTTGCTATGAAATTAAATATGGGCAAGCTTGGCTTCAGGGACTGAGGTCTTGATTTTAGAGGGCAGGCTCAGTGGGAGTGAGTCAGAAAGAAACAGCTTTGTGAAAGGGCTACTTATTTGAACTGGGAGTGGGGCCACAACCCCCACCATCCTCTGGGAATGCGATAGGAGGCCTCTGCTCTCTCTAGCATGTTGCTTCTGGAGCCTGCCAACAACGAACCTTTCTAAGGCATATGCCTTACCTCTAAACTTATGTTTATATCAAGAAATATGTGAGGGTGGCTGGGCACGGTGGCTCACGCCTGTAATCCCAACAATTTGGGAGGTGGAGGCGGGTGGATTGCCTGAGGTCAGGAGTTCGAGACCAGTCTGGCCAATATGGTGAAACCCTGCCTCTACTAAAAATACAAAAAATTAGCCAGGCATGGTGGTGTGTACCTGTAATCCCAGCTACTCCAGAGGCTGAGGCAGGGGAATTGCTTGAACCTGGGAGACGGAGGTTGCAGTGAGCCGAGATCGTGCCACTGCACTCCAGCCTGGGTGACAGAGCAAGACTCCATCTCAAAAAAGAAAAAAAAAAAAAAAGAAATACGTGAGGGTACTGGGCAAGATGGCTGACTATGCAGACAGGTGGAACAGCTGCCACTGAGGGACCCAGATGACTGGCACACTCCTAACAGATCTTCAGAGGGATGGCACTGAGAGTTAACAGAGGGAAGACTCAGAAGCTGGGCTGAAAGTGGAGGAAGCTGGGAACCCTGCATGGGGTTACCATGTACCAGGACTCATTCCTGGCCTGCAATGACTCCACGGGAGTGACTGAATTGAACTGGTAAGGAGCAACCCACTCTCGCCATAGGCCTCTGGAATCCTGGCAGGAGGAATCCCCTTGACCACTACAGACACTTGCCACACAGAGTTGGCAAACAGACTGCTTAGAGAAGTGGTAGGGGCGGCACACCAGCTGATGTGGAGCCCAAAGGTTTAGTGCAGCAGCGTCTGTAGCAGAGCACGGCCAGTGACACTCATCCCCCTAGACTTGACTTGCTCCCAGAAGAGACTCTGGCCCTAGAGGAACTGTCAAACCTGAACTCTGCAGGGCAGTCTTGCCCATCAGATGGAGCCAGTCCAACCTGAGCACCCGTGGTCTGTTGGCCTCTCCCTGGGCCCCAGGTTGGCCATGCCTGCTTGCCAGGCAGCTTCAGGTGCCCTGGGGGCCTATATCCTAACTCCTGTGCTGGCAGACAGTGCCTGAGAAGCAGAGAGCTCCAGCAGGGTGGCCCCCATGGCCATGCACCAGCCCGCCCACTCCCTCCCTCCACTGCAGCTTCCCCCAGGCCCATGGACAACCCCCAACATTGCTTTGCTGGGGTGTGTATGCAGTGGGGTGAGGGGGTCGCCTTTCCTGCCCTGCCAGTGTGTATGTGTGCATGTACCCTGTCCTGCCACTGTTGTGGTGGGAGTGCACTCCGCACCACCACCCCCACAGAGGAACTGCCATTGCAGTTGGAGACTGGGTGGGCACACAGCTAGCCAGCCCCACCCCCACCAGCAGTCTACTGCCTCAGGCAGCACCAATACTGCCTCAGGAGTGAAACTAGGAACAGAGAACAGCAGATTCTTTCACCTCTGAGTGACCACCCCTGAATGTGGTTCACAGAGAGTGCACACATACCTGTGCCCACCAGTGCCCTGACCCCATGCCATCACTCCCAGTGCATCTGTGGGCAGCCACCAACAGGGGCCCCCTGCCCCCTGAGCCATGCTGCCTCCACCACCGTTGTGAGTGCCCACATGGAGGCAGGCACCCTGGGACCCACTAGTACCCTGCTGCAGACAGCGAGTGTGTACCCTGCTGTGTTGTCACTCCCACTGCTGCTGGCACATGGAAACGAGGATGGATCTCACTGCCACCACACTACAAAACCCTTTAGCTGACACCACACATCAAGGTGTAGTGACCAGTGGTCTAGGAGCACCTTGGCTTCCATAGTGCAGATAATTCCTAACCTTAAGGAGTCAGAGAACAAAGTCAGGCTTGATACAAGTCCCCCAGAGTTAGAACACACAGTCCAGGAGTTTGGAAGTGAGTGTTGGCACCCTAAAATCTTCCAGAAATGAAGCCAGTTGACTGACTAACTTATGGCACAATCAAACCCACAAGGTCATCAAATAAAGATAAAAGAAAAAAAAAACATCTAAAGGTCACCAACTGCAAAGATTGAAGGAACTTCAGCCCACAAAGATGAGAAAGAACCAGCACAAGAATTCTAACAACTCAAAAAGCCAGAGTGCCTTCTTTCCTCCAAACAACCACGTTATCTCAAGGATAGTAAGGATTCTGAACAAGGCTGAGATGGCTGAAATGACAGAAATATAATTCAGAATATGGACAGAAACAACGATCATTGTTTTTAGAAATACATTGAAAACCAGTCCAAGGAAGTTAAGAATCACAATAAAAAAATACAGGAGCTGACAAACAAAAGAGCTACTATAGAAAATAATGTAACTGACCTGATAGAGTTGAAAAACACATTACAAGAACTTCATAATGCAATCACAATTATTAATAGCAGAATAGACCAAGCTGAGGAAAGAATCTCAAACTTGAAGACTGGTTTTCTGAAATAAGAAAGTCAGACAAGCATAGGGAAAAAAGAATAAAAAGGAACAAACAAAACCTCTGAGAAAATACAGGATTATGTAAAGAGATCAAATCTATGACTAATTGGTGTCCCTGAAAGAGATGGGGAGAATATAAGTAACTTGGAAAACATATTTCAGGATATCATATATGAGAACTTCCCCAACCTAGCTAGAGAGGCCAATATTCAAATTCAGGAAATGCCAAGAACCCGAGTAAGATACTTCACAAGAAGATTATCCCCAAGATATGTAATCATCAGATTCTCCAAGGTTAAAATAAAATTAAAAATGTTAAAGGTGGCTGGAGAGAAAGGTCAGATCACCTAGAAAGGGAAGCCCATCAGACTAACAGCAGACTTCGCAGCAGAAACCCTACAAGCCAGAAGAGATTGGAGGCCAATATTCAACATTCTTAAAGAAAAGAATTTCCAACCCAGAATTTCATATCCAGCCCAACTAAGCTTCATAGGCAAAGGAGAAATAAGATCCTTTTAGACAAGCAAATACTGAGAGAATTTGTCAACTCCAGGCCTGCCTTGCAAGAGCTCCTGAAGGAAGCCCTATATGGAAAGAAAAAACCATTACCAGCCACTACAAAAACACATTTAAATACATAGACCAGTGACTCTCTAGAGCAACCACAGAAACAAGGCTGCACAATAAGCAGCTAATATCATGATGATAGGCTCAAATCCACACATATAAATACTAATCTTGAATGTAAATGGGCTAAATGCCCCAATTGAAAGGCACAGAGTGGCGAGCTAGATAAAGAACCAAGACCAATTGGTATGCTGCCTTCAACAGACCCATCTCACATGCAATGACATATATAGGCTCAAAATAAAGGAATGGAGAAAAATCTACCAAACAAATGGAAAATAGAAAAAAGCAGGGGTTGCAACCCTAATTTCAGACAAAACAGACTTTAAATCAACAAAGTTTAGAAAGGGCAAAGAAAGGCATTACATAATGTTAAAGGCTCCATTCAGCAAGAAGAGCTAACTATCCTTAATATGTACACACCTAACACAGGAGCACCCAGATTCATAAAGCAAGTTCTTAGAGACCTTCAAAGAGACAGACTCCCATAAAATAATAGTGGGAGACTTCAACACCCCACTGACAGTATTAGACAGATCATCAAGGCAGAAAATTGACAAAGATATTCAGGACCTGAATTCAGCCCTGGATCAAATGGACCTGATAGACATCTACTCTCCATCCGAAAACAACAGAATATACATTCTCATCTGTACATGGCACATATTCTAAAATTGACCACATAATTGGACACAAAACAATCCTCAGCAAATGCAAAAGAACTGAAATTATAACAAATCACTGTCTCGGACCACAGCAGAATAAAATTTGAGATTAAAACAAAGAAAATAGCTCAAAACCATACAATTACATGAAAATCAAATAATCTACTCCTGAATGACTTTTGGGTAAATAATGAAATTAAGATAGAAATCAAGAAGTTTTTTGAAACTAATGAGAATAAAGATACAACATACCAGAATGTTGGGACATGGCTAAGGCAGTGCTAAGAGGGAAATTTATGGTGCTAAATGCCCATATCAAACAGAAAAATCCCAATTTAACAAACTAACATCAAAACTAAAACAGCTAGGAAACCAAGAGCCAACCAACCCCAAAGCTAGCAGAAGACAAGAAATAACCAAAATCAGAGCTGAACATAAGGAGATTGAGACAAGAAAAACTATTCAAAAGTCCGCAAATCCAATAGTTGCTTTTTTAAAAAAAATTAATAAAATAGATCACTAGCTAGACTAATAAGAAAAAAGAGAGGATCCAAATAAACACAATTAGAAATGACTAAGGGGATATTACCACTGACTCCACAGAAATACAAATAACCATCAGAGAATATTATGAACACCTCTATTCACACAAATTAGAAAAATCTAGAAGAAATGGATAAATTTCTAGACACATACACCCTCCCAAAACTGTACCAGGAAAAAATTGAATCTCTGAACAGACCAATAACGAGCTCTGAAATTGAATCACTAATAAATAGCCTACCAACCAAATAAAAGCTCAGGACCAGATGGATTCACAGCCAAATCTTACCAGATGTACAAATAAGAGCTGGTACTATTCCTATTGAAACTATTACAAAAAATTGAGGAGAAGAGACTCCTCCCTAACTCATTCTATGAGGCCAGCATCATTCTGATACCAAAACCTGGCAGAGACACAACAAAAAAAGGAAACTTTGGCCAATATCCATGATGAACATTGATGCAAAAATCCTCAACAAAATACTAGCAAATGAATCCAGCAGCACATCAAAAAGCTTATCCACCACCATCAAGTAGGTTTTATCCCTGGGATGCAAGGTTGGTTCAACACACGTAAATCAATAAATGTGATTCATCACATGGACAGAACTAAGGACAAAAACCACATGTTAATAGATACAGTAAAGGCTTTTGATAAAATTCAGCACGCCTTCATGTTAAAAACTCTGAACAAACTAGGCATTGAAGGAACATACTTCAAAATAATAGGAGCCACCTATGGAAAAACCCACAGCCAAAATCACACTGAATGGGAAAAAGCTAGACAGAAAATCAGAAATAGACAGAGATTCCCTCTCTCACCACTCATATTCAACATAGTACTGGAAATCTTAGCCTGAGCAATCAGACAAGAGAAAGAAAGAAAACACATCCAAATAGAAAAAAAAGAAGTCAAACTATCTCTGTTTGCAGACAATATGATTCTACACCTAGAAAACCCCATAGTCTGTGCACCAAAGCTCCTTGATCTGACCAACAACTTCAGCAAAATCTCAAGATACCAAATCAGGTACAAAAATTAGCATTCCTATACACCAACAACCATCAAGTCAAGAGCCAAATCAGGAATGCAATTCCATTTACAATTACCACAAAAAGAATAAAATACCTAGGAAAACAGCTAATAGGGAGATGACAGATCTGTATAAGAACCATAAAACACTGCTGAAAGAAATCAGAGATGACACAAAGAAATGGAAAAACATTCCATGCTTATGGATGAAAAGAATCAATATCATTAAAATGGCCATATTGCCAAAAGCAATTTATGGATTCAAAGTATTCAAAGCTATATCCGTATAAAACTACAAATGACATTCTTCGCAGAATTATAAAAAATAATTTTAAAATTTATATGAAATCAAAAGAGAGCCCAAATAGCCAAGGCAATCCTAAACAAAAAGAACAAAGCTGGAGGCATCATGCTACGCAACTTCAAACTATACTACGGAGCTACAGTAACCAAAACAGCGTGATGCTGGTACAAAAACAGACACATAAATCAGTGGAACAGAATAGAAAACCCAAAAAATAATGCCTCACACATAAAACTATCTGATCTTTGACAAACCTGAAAAAAACGAGCAATGGACAAAGGACTCTCTATTCAATAAGAGGTGCTGGGATAACTGGCTAGCCATATGAAGAAGATTAAAACTGGACCCCCTTCCTTACACCATATGCGAAAATCAACTCAAGATGGATTAAAGATTTAAATGTAAAACCCAAAACTATAAAAACCCTGGACGACAACCCAGGCGATACCATTCTGGACATAGGAGCAGGCAAAAATTTCATAACGAAGATGCCAAAAGCAACTGAAACAAAGGCAAAAATTAACAAATAGGATCTAATTAAACAAAAAAGCTTCTACACAGCAAAAGAAACTATCAATAGAGTGAATAGACAACCTACAGAATGGGAGAAAATTTTTGCAAATATGCATCTGACAAAGGCCTAATATCCAGCATCTATAAGGAACTTGAACAAATTTGCAAGAAAAAAACAAATAACCTCATTAAAACTGGGCAAAGGACATGAACAGACAGTTTGCCAAAGTAGACACACATGCAGCCAACAAGCATATGAAAAAAAGCTCAACATGACTGATCATTAGAAAAATGCAAATCAAAACCACAATGAGATACCATCTCACACCAGTCAGAAAGGCTATTATTAAAAAGTGAAAAAAAATAGATGCTGGTGAGGTTGCAAAGAAAAGGAGACACTATACATTGTTGGTGGGAGTGTAAATTAGTTCAACCATCATGGGAAGTGGTGTGGTAATTCCTCAAAGACTTATAAACAGAACTACCACTCCACCCAGCCATCCCAATACTGGATATATAAGCAAAGGAATACACATTGTTTAATCATAAAGACAAGTGCATGCGTGTGTTCTTGCAACACTATTCACGATAGCAAAGACATAGAATCAACCTAAATGCCCTTCAATGGTAGACTGGATAAAGAGAATGTGGTACATACACACCATGGAATACTATGCAGCCATAAAAAAGAACGAGATTATGTCCTTTGCAGGGACATGGCTGGAACTGGAGGCCATTATCCTTAGCAAACTAATATAAGAACAGAAATCCAAATATCACATATTCTCACTTATAAGGGGGAGATAAATGATGAGAACAGATGGACACATAGAGGGCAACAACAGACATTGGGACCTATTGGAGGGTGGAGGGTTTGAGGAAGAAGAGGATCAGGAAAAACAACTAATGGGTACTAGGCTTAATACCTCGGTGATGAAATAATCTGTACAACAAACCCCCATGACACAAGTTTACCTATATAACAATCCTGCACATGTAGTCCTGAACTTAAAAGTTATTAAAAAATGTAATGCACACATAGCTAATTTTTATTTAAAAGAATAATAATAGAAATCTAATAAGCACCCACATACATCCCATCCATCTCAAGAAACAGAACATTGTCAATGTTTCCGAATTCCTCTGTCTGCCTTAACTGATCATGTACCCTTCTCTGCCCACACTCCAGACAGGGCAAGTCTCCAGAATTTTTATCCGTCTCTTGCTTCTCTTTTTAGTTTTAACTCACATACATATTCCACTAATTGACACATTAGTTCTGCCTGTTTTTGATGTTTATATAATGTATAGTCTGTGCTCTTTTGTATCTTGTGCTTACACATATATTTTTGAGATTCATCATGTTAATATTGGTAGTTGGCCTTTTGTTCACCACTGTATAATGTTCTGTAGCATGAATGTATCAAAACTAATATATTAGTTCTACTCATGATTGACATCAAGATATTTTTTCTATTATGAATGCTGCTTCTATGATTATTCTTTTTCTTATTTTTTATTTTTTTGTAGAGATGGGAGTCTCACTTTGTTGCTCAAGCTAGTTTCAAACTCCTGGCTTCAAGCAATCCTCCCACCTCAGCCTCTCAAAGTGCTGGGATTACAGTTGTGAACCACCACAGACAGCCTATGATCATTATTCTTTTTTTTTTTTTTTTTGAGATGGAGTCTCACTCCGTTGCCCAGGCTGGAGTGCAGTGGTGTGTGATCCCGGCTCACCTCAACTTCCGCCTCCTGGGTTCAAGCGATTCTTCTGCCTCAGCCTACCGAGTAGCTGGGAATACAGGCATGTGCCACCATGCCCAGCTAATTTTGTATATTTAGTAGAGACGGGGTTTCACCATGTTAGCCAGGCTGACCTCAAACTCCCGACCTCAGGTGATCCGCCCACGTCGGTCTCCCAGACTGCTGGGATTACAGGCGTGAGCCACCGCGCCCGGCCATGATCATTCTTAAACACGGCTTCTGAAGTGCTTCTGCAAGAGTTTCTCTTTGGTTACAATCCTTGAAATAGGAATACTGAGTGGAAGAATAAATGCATGCCCAATTTACTAAGGGACACCAAAATATTTTTCAATGTATTTTCCTATTAATAATCACTTCAGCAGTGTTTAAGAATTCCTATCGCTACATATCCTTTCTTACTGTCAGTACTATCTTTTATCTTTTTTTCAATCTGGTGGTCATGCATATATGCATATTTCACAATATATTTGTGAAATGATGTCTGATCTCTCACAATAAATATATGAAATTATACCTGATATTTAATTTGCATTTCCTGACTAATCCAATTCCTGACTTCATAAGGTTGAGTCTCTTTTTAGGAATTATAGGTACTCTTCTCCTCTTTTGTGAAATTCCTATTCCTGTCTTGCCTGCTTTTATGGAGTTTATTGTTCTCATTATGTAATAGGCATTTCTTATTTGAAGTACTTTGTCAAGTGTATTGCAAATGTTGTCTCCTGGTTTGTGGCCTGTCTTTTAACTTGGTGACGTCTTTGATGAGTAGGATATACAGAAGTTGTTAAAAATTTAATGTAGTCAAATATACCAATGCTTTCCTTTATGGTTTGCATTAAGAAATCCTTCCCTTCTCTGAAGTCATAAATCCATTCTCCTAGATGCTCTACTAAATATTTAAAAAATTACATTTAACATTTTAATTTCTTAATCCATGTGGAATGTCTGTGTGTGCATGTTTGTGTGTATAATACCCAAAATGCTTGATCAGGTAAGCATTTCATATCTGAAGAGGCTGTCCTGGCACCAGGATTCGGGACAGGAAGCATGGCATGCCAGAAGAGTACATCTCTGTATCTCTTTAGTTGGAGTCCACCCAGGATTCTATGGTCCTAATTAATATAGTGTTATAAGCCTGGATACCTGGGGAGTCAAGTCTACCTATTTTGGTAGATAGGCCTTGTCTGTTTGTGATGGCGCTTTTGATCTGTCAACCTGGTCAGGCTACAGGCCAGTTATACAAACATAATCCAGGTACTGCTGTGAAAGAATTCGGCCTATGGAATTACAGCTCTTAAGTCAGTTGACTTCAAGTAAGGAAGATTATTCTGGATTATCTGGGTAGGCCTGATTGAATTGTTAGAAGGCCTTAAATGCAGGACTGAGGTTTCCCCAGGAGAGAGAAGAAATTCCACCTGTGGATGAGAGCTGTGGCTTGTTCCTGTGAAGTCTCATTGTGCTCATGACGACTTTCTGCATGCATTTGGGACTTGTTTAACCAGCCCCTGCAATCATGTATGCCAATTCCTTGCAATAAATTTCTGTGTCTCTCGCTGTTTCTCTTTGTCCCTGTCTGCCTCTCTGTTTCTGTATTTCTCTCTGTATGTATGTGTGTATACATACACACACACATATATATTCATATATATATATATATATTTCTTCCTCTGCTTCTCTGTTTGAACCTTGACTTAAGCATTCTTCTCTCTTTCATATATATTACAAAATCAACTTGTCAGGTTGATTTTGTAATTTATACATGTTTGGGTTTCAATGTATATTACATTAAATCTATATGATAATTTGGATGGAATTGATATCTTCACAGAATTGAATCTTTCTATCCATGTTTTTCCACTTAGGTCTTTTTAATACCTTTCCATAGAGTTATAATTTTCTGCAAAAGCTTTATTTTTGTAGCTGTTACAAGTGTCAATTTCTAAACCTTGTTCTTATAAAAGACATACATAAAAATTGCATGGCTTAATGAATTATTATAAACACGCATATAATCACTGCTCAGGTTAAGAAACAGAACATTGCCTGAAGCTTGCTGAGTGCCTCTGCCTGTTCACAACCCACTTCCTCTACCTGAAACACAATCATTATTCGGACCTTAGAAAACTGCCTCACTTCCTTTTCTCCCTCTTGTCCTTCCACAATTTTGTCACTTCTGTAAGAATTTCTAAATAATATGATTTAGCACTTTATAGAAATGGAATCAGGCAGCAGTGTGAGTCCATATTATTATTTAAACTTTACTCTTTCTCATTAAATACGTGTTTATCATTATGAAATGACCCTCATTGCCTCTTAAAGTCTTTTTTTTACTTTAATGTCTACTTTGTGTGATATTAATAGAGCACACTAAGATTTTCCCCATCCTTTTATGTTTTGCCTTTCTGAATCCCTATTCCTGGTGACCACTGTGGTTTGCCACATCTTAAAAATATTTTTGCAGAGAACCCTTTACTATGTTATTGCCCTCTGAGCTACAAGACATTATATATTTGGTACAGATTTTCTAGTTTTTTTAAGAGGATGGCGAGTGCAAATTAAATTCATCTGATTTGCTTTTATTAGAAGCAGAGTCCCCAGTTGTATCTTCTTTTAAATTGCTTTTTATTTGTGGATGGCTTTATAAAATAAGTTTTTGTGCATTGATCCTACACCCTGCAGACTTGCTAAACTCGTTAATTTTTAGCTTTTTATATATAAATTCTTTCAAATTTCCATGTAGATAATCATATTATTAGCAAATGATGAGAGATTTCATTCTTTTTGATCCTTACACCTTATATTTCTTTTCCTTGTCTTGCACTGGCAAGTATCTCCAATACAATAAATATAAAATAGCAATTAGGCTTTGGTTTCTGATTTTAAAGGGAATCCATTTAATGTTTTGCACTAAGCAAAATATTTGCATGTTTTTTAAAATTGGTATGCTTTATCAGATCAAGCAAATTCCTTTTTATTCCTAGTTTGCTAAGAGATTTTTTAAAAACATCATAAAGTGTTATTGAGTTTTATTAGAGCTTATTCTGAATCTATTAAGATGATCATACGGTTTCTCTGAATCTGTTATTGTGGTGAGTTACATTCTTAGGTTTTTCTAATGTTGAACCAATTTTGCACCTTGAATAAATTCTACCTGATTATGTGCATTATCACTTTTATACATTTATTGATTTGGTTTATTTAGAGCTTTTGCATCTACGTTCTTAAATGGCCTGGAATTTAACTTTTGTATAATGTCCATGTCTGATTTGACAGCATGTTTACACAAACCTCATTAAATGAGTTGGGGAGTGTCTCCTGTTGTTCTTTCTTTGAAAGAACTAGTATAAGCTTGGAATTATGTGTTCCTTGAATACTCAGGAGAGCTCACTTGTAAGCCCTCTGGGTTCTGTGTTCTCTGTGGGAAGACTGTAACTACTGATTTAATTTATAGGCTGGATCTACCATCATTAAAGATTCTCACCATGGGAATGCCTGCTGTACCAGCAGAGCCCAGGCTGTGTGACAGCTGGGAAGTCCCTATTACCTTGCTGTCCTCCTGTCCCTTTCCAACTTTCCTGGAGGCAAAATCCACAGGGGCTGCAGCTCCCCCCAGTGGCTACAGAAGAGCAGCTCTGAAGGAGAGCTTGTTAGCGGTGGGCAGCTGCAGCCTGGGGAACCACATAGGCTCTGGGCACTTGCCTGCACCGTCCAAAGGCTGCCATCTTCTCCATCTTTGAGTAGGCTTGCTCGAGTCAGGAGGAAATAAGGACCGAGAGGGACAAGTGAGAACCAAGAAAGGAGGGCTAGTGAGAGTGTAATGGTTCTGTAGGCTCCCCATTGTACGGCTCACTGACATTTAGTTGCTAGATAGGGGATAGCCCAGGGAGGGGGCAGTGGTGGCAGCCATGTGGTGGGTGCCTGGTCAGAGGGCGGGCTCAGTTTGGCAGCTCTTTACCAGCCAGTAAGGACAGAGATCTCAACATTTTAATGTCTGTTGTAGCTGTTCTACTGTGCACCAGCTCTGAACACTGGATTTAGATTTCTGGATTGACATTATTTTCTTTCAGCTCTTTGAAGATATTATATCACAGGCATCTGGCTTCATTATTCTGTGAGAATTTAGCTATTAATCAAACTGTAAATTCTTTGTAGATAATTTATCTTTTCTCTCCAACAGCTTTTGGTGTCTTTTTCCTCTTCTAGTGTCTTACAGTTTCATGATAACATATCTAAGTGTCATTTCTCTGTATTCAGCCTGCTTGGCTTCCTGATGGGAGGACTGGACTCTTGCATCAGTATTAGGAAGTTGTCAGGTGCTGTCTTTTGATTGTTGCCCTCCTCATTCTCTCAATTACCTCCTTCTGAATTGCCTATTGTGCCTTCTCACTTTTTCCTCATATCTTTCCATCACTTCATTTCTCTCTGATGACTTCTAGATAAATTCTTCAGATCTAACTCTCACTTTTTTGATTTTCTATGATAATTCCAGCATTTGAAGTGTTTGTGAGTCTACTCTTGGGATATATCACTTTGCTGATTCTCACTCAAGTGACTTGTTTCCTTTGTGTTTTCTGGTTTTTAATTGTAAGGTCTGAATTTTTTTTTCTTTAAACCTTTATCTGTGAGAGATATTTGAGGTTCTGAATTTGAAGTACTTGGGTCAGGGATCTCTTTAAGCTAAATTTTCATATTGGGGGTTTGCAGTAACCATGAAAGTAGTGTGAATTCCAGACCCAAACCCAGTTTGTTATGATATTGTAGTTACTAATTTTGCAGAAAAGATAGCCCCACTCCTGCCAGTTTACCAGAGACAAGGCAAAAATAACCAAGTGAATATTACTACTTGCTTTCTCTATGAGGGATGGAGGTTAGAGAGGCTCTATTTTACTCACTGTAGATGTCAGCCTTGAGAATCTCAGCGTTGAAAGTCATGGTTCTCTTACCCAGTCTCCTATGTGTCCTTCTTGACTTGGGCCCAGACATTCTCCAGGCTCTGGTGCTTGGCCAATTAATTTTCTCCAGGTTTTTCTGTAAGCTCTGTAAGGTAAGGTTTCACTTCATGTCTAGCAGTCATATTGCCGGGAGTGAGTGTACACTGTACTTGAAAAGAAACCCATTTTACAATTAGGAAACTGAGGCACAGAGAGATTAAGTAACTTGCCCAGGATCATAGAACTAGTAAGTGGTCAAGTTGGGACTGAGATCTAGGCAGCTGACTCTGCTGACCAAGTACTTAAACCAAACACAGGCTGCCCTATGGTAATTCTTCATTCTTCTTAATCTACCTCCACAAATGTTCTGTTGGGCTTTTTTTTTTTTTGATGAAGTCTCGCCCTGTCACCAGGCTGGAGTGCGGTGGCACGATCTCAGCTCACTGCAATCTCTGCCTCCCAGGTTCAAGCAATTCCCCTGCCTCAGCCTCCTGAGTAGCTGGGACTACAGTCACGCACCACCATGCCTGGTTAATTTTTTGTATTTTAGTAGAGACAGAGTTTCACCATGTTTGCCAGGATGGTCTTGATCTCCTGACCTCATGATCCTCCCGCCTTGGCCTCCCAAAGTGCTTGTTCTGTTGGGCTTTCTAAACATTTTTTTCCTAGGCATTACATTTTTTTTTGGAAGTAACTCCAGGAAGCTCACTATTTTGCAAACACTCTGGATGTATTACCCTGGTTTAAGGTACCTCATAAGAAACGGGAAAGGAGTAAAGCTGGGAAGGTGGGAAATGGAGTTCTGTTGATTCATTTGAAAAGGCATTAATACTGTGAGAAGGTGACCAGGAAACAGCCTCTCCAAGCACCTTGAGAAGTTTTCTGAATGAATGTAGATAGCTAATGGGAATCTCAATGGAAACAGAGGGACAGTCCCTGATGCTTTATACAGGTCACCTCTCTCTCTAACAACTCTTGGGGCTTCAATGCTCGCTCCTGGTGAACAACTCTTGGGGCTAGATGCTCATAGTTCTGTAGGGTGGGAAGTCCAAGATCAAGGCATGAGATCAAGATCAGACTAAAAAACAAGAGAGCTCTCTGAGGCCTATTTTTTAAAGGCAATGGTTCCATTCATGAAGGCCCCACTTTCATGACCTAATCAGCAACCCAAAATCCTACCTCCTAATACCATCACGTTAGTGACTCAGATTTCAACATAGGAATTTCGGAGGGCACATTTGGTCTGTAGCATGAGTATATGGTGTCTATTGTATACGTCTTTCAACATTTTAATATGTTTGAACATTTTCACAATTAAATATAGACGAGAAGGGGAAAAAAGTAGCCTGGGGTCGATCCCTACCTCATTGCAGGTTCCTTTCAAGTGACTTCTCACTTTTGTCAGCAAATATACTTAATATAGTACTCTGTACACACAGCTGCTCATGAAACAGAAAACTAACATCTAAATTATCATCTAAAAGTATATGGTGCTCCCCATCCCCATCTGCCACATATGATTCAAAATAAAATAATACAAACCTGAAAAAATATGCATGAAAAAGTCTATCCAAGTTTAGACTTTTCCCATTTTAGAAACGTGATAACATTTCTAAATATTTTCTATATGTGTTCTTGCTTTGCTGGTTCTCTAAGCATGGACTTACTATGCAACTTGGGCAGTCTAGCACTGGTAGGCTCTTGCATTTGTTAATTACGGAAAAAGTAGCTTTTTTTAAAAAAAAATATTTATTTATTTATTTATTTATTTATTTATTTATTTATTTTTGAGATGGCGTCTTGCTCTGTCGCCCAGGCTGGAGTGCAGCGGCACAATTTTGGCTCACTGCAAGCTCCACCTGCCAAGTTCATGCCATTCTCCTGCCTCAGCCTCCCGAGTAGCTGGGACTACAGGTGCCGGCCACCACACCCAGCTAATTTTTTTCATATTTTAAGTAGGGACGGGGTTTCACCGTGTTAGCCAGGATGGTCTCGATCTCCTGACCTCATGATCCGCCCACCTCGGCCTCCCAAAGTGCTAGGATTACAGGTGTGAGCCACTGCACCCGGCCGGAAAAAGTAGCTTTATAAGGGACTGAAGCTTGTCCATGCCTGCAGGTAATATCCACCTAATTTCATGGCAAGCTAAACTCTCTTTTATCACTATCTAGATAAATTCGGCATTATATTCTCATTAAAACCCATCTTTGCTTAAAATACTGGCTACCTTGTGTGTGTTCAATTCTTTTAGTAACTGGTACTTTTATTGCCTTGTCATGTTTACCTTAGTCACTTACTAAAATTCCTTTTGCAAAACCTCAACTGTCTGGTTACTTTCCAGGATAAGAAGATTTGCTTTAGAGAGAGAAGATTTGCTTCAGAGACAGATTTGCTTCAGAGAGAGAAGGTCCTCTCTAATTTCTTTCTCTGCCTTATATCTGGTTTTGCTGCTGCGTCAAGCTGTTAGCCATATTCTTAAAAACATTTACTTTGGGCATTTTACTTTTCTTATTAATTTTTAGTATTTCTATTTTATCAGCATGTTGTTACAATATTGATTAATATTGCTTACTAAATGTGATTTTGGGATATATGGGGTCCAGTGTAAGGGGTCTGCCTTCTCCTCATCCCTCTCCTTTCCTTGGAACTGCCTCCCACCTCTTAATCCAGCAGAGGAGTCACATTCCTACATAGTTCCAGGCTTCTAGTTGAAACTAAGCTAGGCCAGTCGAAGATGGAACCAAAAGACGCAGGGATCAGTTGACCTGTTTTTTCAAATGACCAAGACATCAATTCAGGGTGTTGGTCATAGCTGCTTTCCTCCCAGATGGCTGGGATGGAGTTTCCATTTTCACTAAAAACTTTTCTGTTAGAAGCTTATGTGGATCCCTTCAGTGACTCATATTTCAAAACCACAGTAGGATGATAGGTTGCCCATAATTGGTTTAATTTGGGAGGTATCCGCGGGAATGCAGCTGCATGAGGAATCCCTGGTTATCATCTATCAAGGTTGCCTTTGATAGGAAAATCACACTTCCCCCAGAAACTAGAATATACTATCCTCATTATGCAACATGTGAGGCTTCTGGGCTAAGCAATAGCTAGGAAAAGATTTTTTTAAACTTGACTAGAGTATGCAATTATTTAAAACAATTCTTGGCCGGGCGCGGTGGCTCAAGCCTGTAATCCCAGCATTTTGGGAGGCAGAGGTGGGCGGATCACGAGATCAGGAGATCGAGACCATCCTGGCTAACACGGTGAAACCCCGTCTCTAATAAAAAATACAAAAAATTAGCTGGGCGTGGTGGCTGGCGCCTGCAGTCCCAGCTACTCAGGAGGCTGAGGCAGGGGAATGGCGTGAACCAGGAGGTGGAGCTTGCAGTGAGCCGAGATCACGCCACTGCACTCCAGCCTGGGCAACAGAGCAAGACAAACAATTCTTATTCACCTATGTTGACTACACAGTATTTTGATTTAAATATAATTAATATATACAAACATAAAAAACTCATTATATACTCCTTGTATGAGTTATATACTCACAAGTGTTATATGACTATAAAACTAAACCGAATGTACAAATAAGACAGACAATACTGTGTGAAATGGATAATAGTCACATTTGTAAAGTTTTTCCTGTGTTCACAGTATAGTCTAAGTGCTTTACATTTTGCTAATTTAATTATCACAGAGGCAGGTCATCTGATTTACAGTTGAGAAACTGAGGCATACAGTCCACACAACTGTTAAGTATTAGAGCTTTGCTTTGAACCCAGGAAATCTGGCTTCAGAAAGTGTGCACTTAATAATTATGTTAAGCTGCCTTTCTAAAAGCTAGTGAATTGCATTAAAGTGACAGATAGTGTGACTCAGTTAACACTTATTTGCAGGTAGCTCGTTTAACTGGGTTGAAATATATTTGTGTATCAACCTGAATCTTTTGATTTAGAAAATGATGGCCCATCATCTGAGTCATTACTATGACTCCTGTCATTATTTTCTCTTTTTCACAATGAATGTTTTAATCACACATCTGTTATTTGAATGAGCCAATTTAGCAGTGCACTACAAAACACATTTTTATTCTGTAAAATAAAACAAAATAAATTGGCATGAAAAAGATGTGATTAGAGGAATACATTTATACATTGTAGGCCAAATGCTGTGGGTTCTTTTGATGAGGCTTAAAAGAACTTGTTGCTCAATTTTCTTATCATTTTTTCCCCTCATTTAACTGGAAGGAAAACCTCCATTTATGGTGGTGTTTGCCTTCCCTGGGCTTCAACGTGATCATAAACATAAGAGCAAAGGGGGGACAGCCTGGGACATTTTGCGAGGAGATTGTTATGCAGATTCTTTGGAATTTAAGCAAATTTAAGCAATTTCAGCATGGCAATCTTTGAGATGAAAGCACAACCTTAAAATTTTTTAAAAGTTATGTTTTCTCAAAAATATCTTCATAGGCGTCTATGGTCTTCAGCTGAAAAACCACTGGGCTGGAGGAATGTCTTAGAGATTGGAATTTAATCTGATGCTGAAAGGAATGTGGATGAGCAGAGCAGGCGCCACTGTAGGGCTTGGCTGTGGAATTCTCAAGCGTGAACGACTCAGTGCTTTGAGTGCCATCCACAATCTGTTGCAGTAATTATGACCTTGGCTCTGTTTATTTGGGATTGTGCTTGTTGTGTTGTCACAGATCTCCGGTGTTGTTGCTGAAGCCCAGGCTTAATTTGTATTACTTTAATAAATCTGTAGGTGGGACTCAGCCTGAACTTTTACTATTTGAGCCCCAACTTACATGTTCCACATAAAAAGAAGAGTATCTACTGATAAGAGTGCCCCGATGTGGGATTGTTGGAAGATACTGGCCCATACAAATTTCCTGGCTTCCTTGCCACTGCTGGGTCACCAATACCTGGTGGGGATCTGCACGCAGTTAGTGTTCAAGGAGTCCATGTTGAGTGAAGAAATGCCATTCACTCTTCTAAGGTCCAGAGAGATGTTTTCAGTGCCTCTGAGGCACAATATAGTTTCAGGTATTTTATAAATATGATCCAATGATTTAATGGCATTGAAGAAAAAATGACAAGATGAACTTTTTTAAAATCAATGAATTCTTTTCTTTTTTTCCCCTTCTCTGAGTAAGGGCACTGAACATCTGCACTTCTATTTTAATAGGCACTTCTCCGTAAGTGTTCTAAACTCTGCTCAGCCTCACCCTCAGCTGGATCTGGTGTCAGTAGCACTCCATGTAGGATGATATTAGTGAGGAGGCCAATCACCTGGTCGTGTCTGTCCTCTCAGGACATGCCTAAGAGGCTTCTGAAATCTCCTTAGAGCTAACTTGCAAGGTTCCTGCTGGAACTCATTACAGGGAAAGAAAAATTTTCATGATGCTTTTTTTGGACAAACTCAGATCAGCTAATGAAAAATGAAAGAGTCAGTCAAGAGGAAGTAGCTGAGGAGAGAGAGCACCCACGTGAGAACAGGAGAGAATATTTCCTTTAACATAGAACACACTAGGTTTAAAAAAATAGTTCTAGACCTTTCTCTTTGCAGCTATACAATTAAATAATAATGAAAGAAATGTATGTTCCAAAAAAGTATGGTGTGGAGATGGTAGTATTGCCTAGCTAGCATTTTGAGTATTTTTCCTCTAGTTAGTGGTGGGTTGCATTGATTCTCTCCATTCTCTCAGGACTGGTCTCCTTTGGGTTTGACAGCATGTTGCCATGGTATCATCAAGATCTGCTTTCCTGCAGATGGACCTGTAAATAGGCTCAGTATCAGCAAGGGAGTGGAGAGGGGGAAGAATATAATTTAACTACTCTAATTCATGTAATGAGACTCATGAATGTTAGTGAAGTAATGGTGAAAATATTGGCTAGTTGTATGCAGAGGAATTAAAAATAATCCCCTGATCAAACACTATTCATGCACACTGTACTCACTGTTGTGCTTCTGAAATATTTTAAATTTATATTTTAAGTGTGGTTTGAACTTTCCAACACCTGATCTAATACTGAAGTTTATCTTAGAGGACTTAGACATTTATCTTCTTCTTAGATTGCATGTAGTCAGTTGGTGTAGTATTGTTTTTTACAGGACCTCACTTTTAAGATGAAGCAAGCCCTTTTGGAAAGAAAGGTGCTTTCTTTATAGTGGTTTTCTATGTATCCCAAAGAAGTTTATTGTTATCATTATTCATTATTCTCAGCATTACCTAGCTTTTAAAACTGTTTATTGATTATTGTAATAGATTGCATGCCATTTTGGTAACTCTAGGTTTAAAAATTCTACAGATAAAGGCAGCAAAATTCCCCCAAATAATTACCTCTTTAAATAGTTTAATGGAATAATTAAATCTAATTCTAAGCAGTACTCTTCTTTTTGGGACCCTGTATTCTAAATTTTTAAAGTACTCAGTACAAACTTTAAACTTGAATGTATCAAAAAAAAAAAATAGCTGCACCTAAGCATCTCTCTTCCAGACAGGATGAAGCTGTGGAAAGAAGGACCCTTCATGAGGGGCAGAGTGCTGGCAACTTCAGAATGCTTGAAGGGGAGGAATGAAATATGGCAGAGAGTGAAAATATCAGATTAAAGATACTCTCTATGCCTTAGAATAGTGTTTACCAATATGGTCGGCAAATATGGTTCAATGAATGTCATCACTCTGCATAGGTTCAGAAGTGGTATGTCACTTACCTTTCCTTTTAAAATCCAAAGCAGGAGCCAGTACCTGGCAGCTGGAATCAACACCAGAGACCAAACAAATCTCTGGAAAGTTTTTCATGGGAAATCCAAGAAGCTACATCTGAAGAAAATACTTTGTCTGTGACCAACAAGAGAAGGACAGTTTCTCTGGTTTCTATTTCTACCAACATTCCATTAGGGTCTAGCGACATCTCTGGAGAAACTTAAGGTTACTTGGATCCCACAAGTGACAGAACAAATGTAGCCATCCTTAAAGGTAAAGCAATTCACTCAGAAATATGTGGCCATCTTGTCACTGAGAAGCATCCATGTAGATGGCAAGTGGCCTCACTGGTGTATGTATATGGGTATTAAGTATGTGTGCATGTATGCACACATGTGTGCTATGGTGTGTGTGTGTATGCACACATACATGCACATATACTTACTATCCATAAGCATTAGGGTACTTATGGGTATTAAGTATTAATTGTGTGTTTAAACTCAGAATTTAAACACACAATTTGGCCAGGTGCGATGGCTCACACCTATAATCCCAGCACATTGGGAGGCTAAGGAGGGCGGATCACGAGGTCAGGACTTTGAGATCAGCCTGACCAACATGGTGAAACCCCACCTCTACTAAAAATGCAAAAATTAGCCAGGCATGGTGGCACACGCCTGTAATCCCAGCTACTCAGGAGGCTGAGGCAGGAGAATCACTTGAACTGGGGAGGCAGAGGTTGCAATGAGCCGAGATTGCACCACTGCACTCCAGCGTGGGTGACAGAGCCAGACTCCTTCTCAAAAACAAACAAAAATACAATTTAACTAATATTACTGTTGTTTTCTCTGGAACCACATACTTAGAAACTACTAGTGATATGGTTTGGTTGTGTCCTCTGGAACCACATACTTAGAAACTACTAGTGATATGGTTTGGTTGTGTCCTCACCCAGATCTCACCTTGAATTGTAAAAATACCCATGTGTCAAGAACAGCGCCAGGCAGAGGTAATTGAATCACGTGGGTGTTTCCCCCAATACTGTCCTTGTGGTAGTGAATAAGTCTCATGAGATCTGACAATTTTATAAGTGGGAGTTTCCCTGCACAAGCTCTCTTGCCTGCCACCATGTAAGACGTGACTTTGCTCTTTGGTCACGTTCTGCCATGATTGTTAGGCCCTCCCAGCCATGTGGAACTGTGAGTCAATTAAACCTCTTTCTTTTATAAACTACCCAGTCTCAAGTATGTCTTTATTAGCAACATGAGAACAGACTAATACAACTAGTTATTTTCAGTGTTCAAAAATGAAATTTTCTTAGTATGATAGTATGATATAGAAAATTTATCTTGTATTGTAACATCTGATGTGAGGTTATTGATGTTTTCACCACTTATACCCAGAAACATCTTCATTGTCTACCAATTTGCATACATCTGCCTATCATGAGGACGACAAGAGCAGAACTGGCTCAGGAGACAGTGACTCAGTCTTTGTCTGAAATTAGTTACTGATTGGCTGTGTTTCCTGAACCAGGTACTTAACTGCTCTGGATTTTAGTTTCTAATTCTTTAAGAGATTTAGAGGCTGGGCGCGGTGGCTCACGCCTGTAATCCCAGCACTTTGGGAGGCCGAGGCAGGCAGATTACCTGAGGTCAGGAGTTCAAGACCAGCCTGGCCAACATGGTGAAACCTTGTCTCTACTAAAAATACAAAAAATAAGCCGGGTGCAGTGGCGCGCGCCTGTAATCCCAGCTACTTGGGAGGCTGAGGCAGGAGAATTGCTTGAACATGAGAGGCAGAGGTTCGCGGTGAGCCAAGATCACACCACAGAACTACAGCCTGGGTAACAGAGTGAGACTTTGTCCCCCTCACCACACAAAAAAAGAAATTTAGAGCCATATGATATCTTATTCCTCTTATCATCCTTAGGTTCCATAGGTCATGATAGAATCTCCAGGGAATAACGGTCTTTCTCTTAAGTTATGCAAAGCCCTAGAAATGGTAATCATTTATTGGAAAAACATATGAATATAGAAGATATCATCGTACCGAGTTTTATAAAAACTCTTTAGCAATCTATGCATGGGCTGACTGACATGTTTGCCTTGCCACTATCCTGGTTGTTTTCTCCTTTCACTTAGGAATAAGCTCTGAACATAAGGATCTATGTAAAAGCTTTTAGGTCTGTTAGGAAAATGCTGACTCAAATTAGCTACAAGGGAGAGAAGAGTGAGAGTCACTTGTAGTTGTTTCTTTCTTAAATTCTTAGTGACCAAAAATATGAGAGAGATGGGGAGGTGAGAGAGAGAGAGAGGGAGAAAGAGGCAGAAAGAGAGAAGGGAGCGTGGGAGAAGAGGGAGAATATTTGCTGCTGCAATAAAACCAGTTTTTTTGTTCATATAATAATTTTTAAAAACTTTTTGCTCAACTTTTCCTTGAATAAAGTACCTACAGCTACTTTAAGGATTTTGAGTTGAAGCAGAATTACTCAATGTGGAAAGGGTTATTTTATAACGGAAACTGAAAAAGATCAAGAAAGAGGGATGCATGGGTAGGAGGAGAGTAAAGGAAACGTAGGAGCTAATTTACTTGGTTTCAGAGATGATAAAATTTTAATGTCAATCAAACCTTGTATATTATTCTTCTTATATTATGTATATTTAGCTTTCTTGAAGTTGACTAGTTTGGAGACAGGCAATGTTATGCTTTGTTGACCAGTTTAAGATGCCGTGAACTTTTTTGAAAGCAATTTGGCAGCATGTATCAATAATTTAAAAAAAATTATACCATTTGATCTAATGATTCTACTTTTAGAAATCTATCCTAAGGGAAAAAACATAAAAAATGAAGAAAAAATAATAAACAAAAGATGGTTCTTGCTAGGCTATTTTTAATATCAATCTGTCCAAAGTAAAAATATGTTTTTACTTTGTTCCTTTCCAGGCCAGATTCCATAATCTATTATTATAATTACTCTCTTGTAAATACTTTCATTCCTCTGTCTACCTTTCTTTTGTGTCTCTCGCCTGGCTAACCCTAACACTGAATAAGCCCAACTCTTTACTCTCTGTCAATTCCTAATCTTGGCAGAGAGAACCACAATCCAGTGGAATAATAGCACTATCAATTCATGATTATCAACCTCAACCACTATTTATGTGCTTGATATATATGCCAAATTCAGTGACAACTTCTACTCCTTCTCTTAGTGAATCTAAGCACCAACACTCCCTTTTTCATGAAACACCCTGAGGACATTCCTTTGGCTTCTGTAGCATCATGGTTTCCTTGTTTCCTTCCTGCATTTCTGGAGTCTCCCTTATCTTTTACCTGTCCTTTAAGTTTTGCATTTCTTTAGACCTCAGTCTTTGAGCTTTTCTTTCTTCACTGTGTTCTCTTGCTTTCAGTGACCGTAGGAATCCCCTTGGCTTTAAATGCAACTTCTATAACACAGATGTCCCAAATGTATCTCTTCAGCCCAGCCCTTTCTCCACGTCTCAGACTCCAACATCCAAATACCTGTTTGTCAGAGCCACTTGGACCTCCACTGTCATCGCCGGCTCTTGCTATTCCCTCCAGGTCTGCTCTTCTTTTAGAAAATGCAGATTCCACATAAAGAAATTAACAATGTCCCCTAATATTTTGGTGAATTTCCTATTAGGTAAATCATAGCTATTTGTGAAGAGAAATACAAATATTAGAAAATAAAATGAACCAACTTAGAATCAAAATCTTCAGAACTTTCTTATCCAAATTCATGACTTGGGTGTTTGCAGTTTAAGCTTCTGGCTTAATAAATGCAAATGTTAGAAAATACAAAACATGGAATACTATTAGGAGCTCATAGTGTACCTAATGTAATTTGAATATTATTTTTTAAAAAACCACAACACAAATCCTTGCCGGTTTCCTAGGCTTTTACATCTATAATTTAGACAAACAGAACACACAGCAGATATAAAAATGCTTATTTCTCAGAGGAATGGATTCACAGAAATCCCCATTTGCAGAAATGCACCTGGGATTAGTAGCATTAGTGCAGATATTCCACTTATGTATATATACTTTAAAAACATCCTGAGGCCTACAGGAAAAATAACTGCCTCTATTTCATGTGGTTGTCCTTTGGGAGAAGCAGAGTTGATATGTGAACATTAACAAGATGCATTCACTTTTGAAAACTAGATCAGCTCAAAATTGTGAGTCATAAACAATTTTCTAGCTCAGTGGTTCTCAGCTTTTGGAAATATGAGAACAACTTTTTAACATTAAAAAAATTATAGAGATCTCCTTCTCATAAAAACAAAGCAACGCTAAACAAACACCTCACACAAAATCACAGTAGCTTTTATGTGTTCACTTCTTTCAGTTGAGGAGAGAGACAAAAGTGTTACTATTAATTTGGAATTCTTTAAGAAACTTGTATTCTTTCTCCTTTCTCTTGATTTCCTTCTATATTTGTGCTTACTTTTTTGTTTATGAACTATATTTTTGATATTAACTTTAAATTATTTGTGGTAAGAGTAAGAAGAAAATTAATTCAGTAATTTTTTTATTGGATAAATTATTTTTAAAAAGAATAAGTACTTTATATTTAAACTATTTAAAACTACATATGCACATAGGTTAAGAAATGAGAAATCCCTCTACAGGGATTTTAACAAAAAACAGCAACTCACTGGTATCCCTAACCATTCTCCCAAATTTCTACTCCTCTGCAGCATTTTCAACTAATAGAGCTATTCTTAAAAATACATTTTCTCCATATCTCTATATAGCAGATTTATATTGTTACTTCTTTTGCTACAACTTTATTGTTACTACACTTTTGTAGTTTTAGTCGTAATGTATTGCTTGATATCCTTTGCTTCATAGCTTCTCTTTTGACCTATCATACATGTTTACTTCTATTCCTCTCCTGCTCTCCTAGTGAAGCGGAGCACAATTTTGGTTAGATCAATATTCAATGTTATTTTGACTATAAAAATGCTATTTACAGATAAGCCAACTGGTATACTATGATTACTCTTTCTTGTAAAATACTTTATTTTCCTTGGAGTTAATACTCATTATTTACTTAGTTGTTTTCTATGTTTATTCCTAATTCAATCCTAAATTCTGTCAGTTGTCCAAATTTAATCAGCCACATTAAATTTTGTCTAGTCATCTTCTTGAAAAAATTCCTGTTGGGGCCTTCCAACTTGTCCTAAACTCTCCTAGTTACTCTCAAGACTTGGTCCAGAGTTATGTTCTTGGGAATTCCCCCCATCTCCCTACAGATTTTTTAAACTTCTCTATTATGTTGGATTGCCTGTTTTTGGTTCCCTTGTTTTCCTGTTTCTTAGTTTACTCCTTTGTTTTGGTTGAACATGTTCTTTGGTAGTTTTCTGAGAAAGATGTATTCAAAAAAAGATTTTTTTCAGATCTTACATTATCAGAAAATATTTTTGGCCAGGCACGGTGGCTCACGCCTGTAATCCCAGCACTTTGGGAGGCTGAGGTGGGCAGATCATAAAGTCAGGAGATCGAGACCATCCTGGCTAACACGGTGAAACCCCGTCTCTACTAAATATACAAAAAATTAGCTGGGCGTGGTGGTGGGCACCTGTAGTCCCAGCTATTTGGGAGGCTGAGGCAGGAGAATGGCGTGAACTGGGGAGATGGAGCTTGCAGTGAGCCAAGATTGCACCACTGCACTCCAGCCTGGGTGCCAGAGTGAGACTCTGTCTCAAAAAAAAAAAAAAAAAAGAAAAATATATATTTATTTTATTTGGATATTTTTTCAATAGTTTAGATACAGAATTCTAGGTTGAAAATCTTTTCCCCTTATAATTTTGGGTTCTAGCTTCTAGTGTTGTTGAATGATGCAATACTGTTCTGACTCTTAATCAAAAAGAACAAAACATTGGTGTTTTTAGGCTCTTCTCTGCTTTACTCTTGTTCTGAAATTTCACAATGACATGCCTTCATTGAGGTCTATATTCGTTCATTATATTAGAACTTTGTATCCCTTTCAATGTGAAAACTAATTTCCTTCAATTACGGGAAAATTATTTTGTATTACTTTCTTAACTATTTACTCTCTTTTTTTCTCTGTGCTCTGTTTCTGGATTTTCTGTTATTTGGATCTTTGACCTACTGGACTTTCCTAATTTTCTATTTTTTATTAAATAAATTTCCATTTTCTATCCTTTTGTCTTTTACTTTCTGGAATATATTACTTTCTGGAATATTTCTTCTTCCTTCTACTGAGTTTTACATTTATGCTATCATATTTTTGATTTCTCAGAACTCTTTTTTAGCCTCTGCATATATTTTTGTGTCTTATTCTTACTTCATGGATGTAATACATTCTCTTATTTCTTTCAGAATATTAGGGATATTTTTTGAAGACTTTTTTTCTTTCTGTATTGCATCTATCTCCTGTAAGTTGCTTTTTTTTTTTTTTCTGTTAGTTGCTTTGATTTCTGTATTTCATATGAGGTGCTTTCCTTACACGCCTGGTGATCATCACCTGTCTAGTCATTTTTAAATGGGACATTAAAAAGCTGATTGGGGAAGGTTCATGCCTGTGAATGGGACTGGCTGTCATGGCCATCTTTTTATATCAGTATAAGGCCATCTTTTTATATCAGTATCCTTAGGACTTTCCTGGTATGTTTGTACTCAATTTTCAGTAATGGGGAGGGGAAGTGTCCTCAAATTTGATATGTAAACTTTTACTTAATTCTACCCATGTAATTGCATAGGATGAGTTTTCTTAGGTTCTTTCAATGTAAAGAGAAGGGAGGGGGGACCTCTGAGCTCTGGGAGAATTGTTATGATCACCCTGTAAAAGAAGGAGGGATTCCAATCTAAAGTTTGGTTCAGATGTTGAGACTGATGATGCCACACACGCAAGAAAAAGCTATGGAAAGGTTTATTACTTACAGAATTGAGGTCTCTAGGAAGAGTAGGGCAGACCTCTCAAGCAGATCCTAAATGGCTTGAAAGAGCTAGGAAAGGAGACTGAAATGGGTGTTTATTGCTGTTAGGGGATGATAGCCCAGGTGAAGGTTCACTTGCAAAGAGGATTGCATGGTTTGAATCTCCCACCAATGCCAAAGCAGGGAGCCCCCGAGCTTATCAGCTTGTGTAGATGTGGGACACAAGAGGAAGAAGGAAGGTGAAGGTTAATGAAATTAATCCTCATTACAGGAATGCTCTGGACAGAGGGCAGAACATTTAAGAACAGTTTCCACTTTCAGAAAATGTTACAAGGGGGGATTGTCTTACCCAGGTCTGAGATAGAGAAAGACTTTCATTTGAAAGCTCCAATTTTCCTTTTGTATGGCTAATGATGAGGCCAGGAGTATGTAGGTGATTCTACTGCTAGGACAACTTGTTAAATGACCTTTCATATGCAGTGGCTCTCAGAGTGTGAGAGATCACCAGCAGCATCAGCAGCTCCAGAGAATTCATTACAAATGCAAATTCTCTGGGGATGAGGCCTTACAATATTGGTTTTAACAACCCTTCCCGTGATGCTAATACTGTGCTCAAATGTGAGGACTTTAGATGTAGAGTATGCAAGTTAATCCGAGTCTGGGAAGGAGCTGGAGAACTAAATGGCACAGTATCATGGGCATAATGAAAGAAAAGGACTTTTGAATTTTTTTATTGGCAGGTAGAAGAGACAGAAAGACAGGTCATGTCCCTGGGAAGAGCAGGTACAGGGGAAGATTCCTGGAGAGAGGAGAGGAGCCCCGCAACATAGCAGGAGGCTAGGGTCTGAGGAGGAAGAGAGCTGGTGAGAATTTCCAAGAGGTAGGGATGGTTAAAGAGGTCTTAAGATGGTGATGTGTGACACTCTGCTTTATGCTTTCTATGTTGTAATATTCCTCCCTCAGTCATGAGTGGTCAGTGGAAGTCAATTATACTGGCCAGGCGTGGTGGCTTACGCCTATAATCTCAGCACTTTGGGAGGCTGAGGTGGGCAGGTCACTTGAGGCCAAGAGTTCAAGACCAGCTTGGCCAACATGGCAAAACCCCATCTCTACTAAAAATACAAAATTATCCAGGCATGGTGGCACATGTCTGTAGTCCCAGCTACTTGGGAGGCTGAGGCATGAGAATTGCTTGAACCCAGGAGGTGGGGGTTGCAGAGAGCTGAGATCGTGCCACTGCACTCCAGCCTAGGCAACAGAGTGAGACTCTTTCAAAAAAAAAAAAAAAGAAGAAGTCAATTATACACAACTAAGCTGTATGTATTAGACAGGGAGGAATGAAGGAGAAGAGGTCAAGAAGGAAAAAAAATTACCATTACTCTGTGCAGAGAGAGGATGTCTTTTTAATTTTTTCTTATCAATGCATTCAGTATTCACTGACTGACTGACTAAATAAATGAAATGTCTGAGTACTTTTAGATTTATGGAAAGGACTTAGGCCTTTTCCAAAAAAAAAAAAGAAGTAATTTGTTGCCTTAAGCATATCATGTATTAAAAATAGAAATAAATAATGATTATTATGTATTTTATTTTTTAAAATGCAGATAGCAAAATATGTGAATCCCTTTATATAGACTAGCTGTATAAATTATGTATGTAAATTCCTTATAGAGTGTACCTATTTCTATAAATGTTTATATAAACTATAGTGTCTACATTTTCTTTGAAAGTTGTTAAACTCTTATTCCTATAAACAGATGTCTTATAAGCTTTTAGAATACTTTTTCTCATTATTTTAAAAAGTTAAACATTCTTATTAGGGATTATTGGAAAAGAAAAATAATCCAAATGGAATAATTAAAGTTATTCATAACAATACACCTAGAAATGACAGGAATCATGTAGAGTTGTATAGTTGGAAGGGCCCCTCTGTGTTAATTACATACCTGTTATTTTACAGAACTCCTTGCCATCCTAACTTCCAGTTCAGGGTCTTTCCTTCCACACATTTGTTTATTGATTTAGACCAAAACATCAGCATTAATTGTTATCCCTCATCACTGTATTAGTCTATTCTCACATTGCTATAAGGAAATACTCGAGACTGGGTAATTAATAAAGGAAAAAGGTTTAATTGACTCACAGTTCTGCACGGCTGGGAAGGCCTCAGGAAACTTACAATCATGGCGGACGGGGAAGAGGCACGTCTTACATGATGACTGGTGAGAGAGAATGCACATGTAGGAGAAACTGTGAAACACTTATAAAACCATCAGATCTTGTGAGAGCTCACTATCACAAGAACAGTATGGGGGAAACTGCCCCCATGATCCCAGGTCCTGCCCTCGACACGTGGGAATTATGGGGATTACAGTTCAAGATGAGATTTGGGTGGGGAGACAGAACCTAACCATATCGATCACTTTGCATAGTTCTCCATCATTACCATTGTGGTAGGAAAAAAGGCCCAAACCCCTTCATTGAGGAAGTGATGCTCTTGCACGTGTGACTTTTTTTTTTTTTTTTTACTATGTCTTTCTTGGTACAGATGGCCCCCAACATTTGGTGGTTTGACTCATGATTTTTCAACTTCATGATGGTGTGAAAGTGATATACATTCAATAGAAATGACACTTAAAATTTTGAATTTTGATTTTTTTCCTGGGCTTGTGATAGGCGGAAGGATACTTTTACACAATGCTGGGCAGCAGAAGGGAGCTACCATTCCCAGTCAACCAGCTGATGATGAGGGTAAACAGTAATTCCATCTTTCACTTTCAGTAAAGTATTCAAAAAATTACATGAGATATTCACACTTTAGTATAAAATAGGCTTTGTGTTAGATGATTTTGCCCAACTGTAGGCCAATGTAAGTGCTCTGAGCATGTTTAAGGTAGGTCAGGCTAAGCTATGATGTTAGATAGGTTAGGTGCATTCAATGCATTTTTGACTTACGATATTTTCCACTTAGGATAGACTTATCAGGACATAACCGCACTGTAAGTTGAGGAGCATCTGTATCTGTGGATCTCACTCTGTGAATTCATCCACTCTTCTGGCTTCCATGAGCTGAGGATCCTCAACCTATTTTTGAAGCCCAAATTTCTCTTCTGCAATAATTTATTTCCATCTGTCCTTTTGAGATTTCTTTTTGGATGTTTTTCTGTTTCCCCATAGTCTTTATTTCAAGAATGGAATTCTGGTTTCCTCCAGCATGCTCCAAAAGAGTTCAGGTCTCCTGACTTAACTATTTGTGTTTGTGTCACTGCCATTGTGGTAGGAAAAGAGACCAAAATCTCTGATGAGATTTATTCTCATCACTCATGTGGTCTTCCAACTATGTCTCTCATCTCTGATCTGATCTACTGAGGCCCCTTGATTGTTCTTTCATACTAGCATCTGTGCTGATTCTTTTCTGTTTTTTATTGATCCCCTCACACCTGGATCATTGTGATTGTCTCATGAATGGCCTCCCTACCTTGAGTCTCTCTTCCCCTCCACACTGCACTTCCAAGTGCTGCGGAATTAACCTTGTAAAAATATTACTCTTACTCTGTAATTAACCTGTCCAGGAACCCCTGGGGGCTTCCTATTGCCCAAAGGGTAAAATCCACAGTCTTTGTCCCGGTGACCAGCTCTTCTGCAATGGACTGGCCATCCATCCTTCAACCTCATCTTCTTCTATTTTTCAATGAAAAAAATCTCTGTAACTAGGATGGCCTGCTTCTGGTTTTTGAATTCTCCTGGCTTATTCTCTCCTTCATGGGAGATTATATTGAATAAGGCTCTCTTCTTCAATTCCTATTCTAGATGCTAACATTGTATTTCTTCTGAATAACCTTTTCTGATCAACTAACCCACAGATATTTGTTTCTCATTTGAGCTTATAAAGCACTTGTTGTTCCATGAATTGGCTCTTAATCATAGAATAATAACACTATTCTCTGAGTAACTACTATGTGCCAGGCATTGTTCTAAGTCTCTCTTAGTTCATTTAATCTCAGTCAATCAGATGAAGTAAGTATAATTATTATATCCATTTTGCAGTTGAGAACAGAGGTACAGACAGGTTAAGTAACTGACTCAAGGTCATAGGATGGTAGAACTAGGATTTGAATCAAAACAATCTGGTTCAGAATCTGCCCTCTTTTCCACCCATACTGCCTCTCAGTCTACACTGCCTTCGATTGTTATTTCACTCTCTGTTTGTGCGTGCCCATTTTTATGTGTGTTGCCTTCCTAAAGAAAATGAATGCCCCTTGAAGGCAGGAACTATATCTTATATGCATTCTCTAAAAGGCTAAGCAAAGAGCTATGTGCTTAAATAAGCACTGAATGTGTGTTTGATTTGAATGGATTATGGAACCTTTTTTTTTCTTTCCTGAGATGATATAGCTAACTTTTTTTTTTTTTTTGAGATGGAGTCTCACTTTGCCACCCAGGCTGGAGTGCAGTGGCACGATCTCAGCTCACTGCAAGCTCCACCTCCCAGGTTCACACCCTTCTCCTGCCTCAGCCTCCTCAGTAGCTGGGACTACAGGTGCCCGCCACCAAGCCTGGCTATTTTTTTGTATTTTTAGTAGAGACGGGGTTTCACTGAGTTAACCAGCATGGGCTTGATCTCCTGACCTTGTGATCTGCCCGCCTTGGCCTCCCAAAGTTCTGGGATTACAGGCATGAGCCACCGCGCCTGGCCAATATAGCTAATTTTTATGATTTGAAAAGATAGTCTCAGAATCAGATTTGACTAAGTCATGATGAAGAGAAAGGTAAAAATCAAGTGGTGAGCCAATGTCCTGGCCTCACCTCTTGGGTTCAGTGAAGTTAGATCATTTCACAAATTACACTGTGTCATGTCTGAAAAGTAATGAGGGCTTAATGAGCCCACACAGTTCTTGCCTTTTTTTTTTTTTTTTTGTAGTGGGTGAAATGTGAACTTGGTTAAGACCTGTATGTCGGCAAATAAGAATTAACTAGCCTTGACTCTAGAAGTTGCAGCTGAATAACCATGATTGAAAATGCAATTACTCTTTCCCCCTGTGTTTTTTTTTTTTTGTTGTGTTTTTTTTTCTTTCCTTCTGAAGCCAAGTATGAGTTGGAGGAAATGTTTGATAAAATTTTCCTGTATTCTCAGTGGGTTCTCACTGACAGGCTGTTCAAGGAAAATTCAACAAAAATGCCTGCCATACCACGAAGAGGCAAACAGCCAGAGGTATGGTGGACAAGATATGTCTTTTAACACTCTGAATTGTATGTATTACATGGTTACTTAAAGCTGTGTCATAACTTGTAACTTTTGTTTTTTTTCTCTCTTTAGAAGGAACTTTCCTCAGAAGCGTTTCAGATTACTTTAAATTACTTATCAGACCATGCATACTGGGTAAAACTGTCTTTCTTAAGAGCCATTCACGTTTAAAATGTGGACATGGAGCTCCAACCCCATGCCAGCTGGGTGTTTTAATAGCAGTTTTCTGGTATTTTTCTAGTACTTTATAAGTGAAAGGGGATTCTTGTATTTATTTTGTGATTATTATTAGCCCAAATAAAATTTGCCTCTTGCAAAGCACCAGTAGAGAAAATAAATCATTGAACATTGATTGCAGGTCATGAACTGCAGAGCCTATTGGGCAAAATATAGGGGATCAAAAGAATGTGAGCCTGGTCTTGCTTGGTAAAAAAGGCATTTACCTTCTAGTCATGAAGGCAGGATTGGAGCTGAGGCCCATCTCCTTCAGCCACACATTCTTCTTTCAGACATCTCAGCACTCTTGATAATATTCAGCCTTTGTTTATACTCGGTAGAGCCTAGATTTGATTTCCAGGGTTTGTCTTCCTTCCCTGACCTGAGAGAAAATCACTCCCAAGGCTGCCAGTTGTGGTCTGTAGGTTGTGCACCTGACTGGGACTGTGTAAGGTTGCCCAGTGCCCAGCCTGCACATCGACACATGTGGGCCCTGACCATTGTGTCCAGATGATTTCTGCCAATCACCAATCTTACTTATTCTGTGTTGATGTCATAGATTTAATACTCAGAGTTCTAAAGGAGGATGGCCTTACTTTTAACCCCATGTACTAACCATAAAAGATACAAAGTAAACGCCAGGCACGGTGGCTCACACCTGTAATCCCAGCACTTTGGGAGGCCGAGGCGGGCGGATCACGAGGTCAGGTCACCAGCCTGGCAACATGGCGAAACCCTGTCTTTACTAAAAATACAAAAATTAGCTGGGCATGGTGGCGCGTGCCTGTAATCCCAGCTAGTAGCGGGGCTGAGGCAGGAGGATCACTTGAACCTGGGAGGTGGAGGTTGCACTGAGCTGAGATTGTGCCATTACACTCCAGCCTGGGCAACAGGGTGACTCCGTCTCAATTAAAAAAAAAAAAAAAAAGATACAAAGTAAAAAAAAAAAGCAGAAGTTAATTATAAATAGACAATAATATACTAAAGATTAACTGACCTGGAAAATGTATCCTCAAACTTTGGGCATAAAACCACAATAGTGAAAATATGCTCTAAGAATCAGAAGTTTTTTCTTCTCTTACTGGTTTAGTTATTTATTAAGATGCTGACCCTGAGTTATTTAACCTGTTGAAGTCTATAAGAAGGGGAAAAACACCTGGCCTACCTGCTTCCCTGGGTGTGGTAGACAGAAATGCTGGCAGCATATGTAAGGCCCAGTTTTCTTCATGGACACAGGATGTAGGGGTGGTCTGGGAAGAGCTTCTCGGCGAAGGAGAGTCTTGAGCTAGTATTAAACTTTGAATCTTGTGTATTAGACTGGGGCTGTTGGAACCCAGGAGCCACATTTCATAACCCTCTCTGCCTCAAATACTCAGCATGTAGTTCTGAACTCCATGTTTTTGGAATGAGTGGAAAAAATACATAAAATTGAGCATATATTGATCTGAGCCCTCAAATTGTTCAAATGAACAAATATATTCTTAGAATCCTTACTATGCATTACTTACTAAATGCCAGCCATGGAGATAGGCGCAAAATGTGAACAATGAGCAAAACAGAATAGTCTTTGCTCACTGTGCTGGTAGGGCAGGATGTTTAAAAAGTGATTCAAAAGGTGTCAAGTATTACAAGGAGATGTCCAGTTGCATAATTAAGAGTCTGACAATTGCTGATTTTAAGACTATTATTTAAATACATTGAAATACATGAGCATAAAACTTACCTCTAAAAGGAATTGTTGAAACAAAACTAGGTAATTTATATGATTTACCATAGATTCTTATTTTCCTCTTAAGGAGAGACTTGACTTGATTGTAGATTCTTCTTCTTTTCTTTTATTTTTTTTTGATACAGAGTCTTGCTCTGTCACCCAGGCTGGAGAGCAGTGGGGCCATCTTGGTTCACTGCAACCTCTGCCTCCAGGTTCAAACGATTCTCATGCCTCAGCCTCCTGAGTATCTGGGATTACAGGTGTGAGCCACCATGCCTGGCTGCTTGTAGCTTCTTTATGGTATTTATTTGTAGAGACCTAATGCATGATAGAGAGAGGATAGATTTTCCCAGGAACAACTAGTGGAATTGTGAACTTAAAGTTATTTTTTAAGCATTTATTGAACATTCACTAAGTGCAAGAAGATACTAGCCTTGCCTTTAGAACTGCACTGTCCAATTCAGCGACCACTAGACACACATAGCCATTGTGCACTGGAAATACGGCAAGTCCCAGTTAAGATGTGCTATAGATATAGAACCCACTTTGAATTGTGAAGTCCTCATACAAAAAAGTAAACTATTTCATTATTAATGTTTTATACATTATATATTAAAATGATGTTTTAGATATATTAGATTATATACAATATATTAAGATAAGTCTTACATATGTATGTATGTATACTATATACAATATATTAAGATAATATACAATATAAAATTAAGATTATATACAATATATTAAGATAAATCTTATCTGTTTCTTTAAGTGTGGCTACTAGAAAATTGAAAGTTATGTGTGTGACTTGCATTTGTGGGTCAATTATCTTCTTACTAGACAGTGCTTCTTTAGAATTTAATAGAAAGAATGACATGTCACATCATTGTAAGTCAATGGGACAAGTGGTTTAAGGGGGGTACCTATGAAGTATGGAGAAGGGTGCAGCTAATGAGCTGGTGTGCTCAGGAAAGGAGGCAAAGAGGTGGACTATGAGATAAGTTTTAAAGGCAGAATAAGATTTTCCTAGATAAATTGTATAGGAAGGCAAGTCAGGAGGAGAGAGAAGTTGGCCTAAGAACCTAGAAGCAGTAGTAGGAAACAATAGAAATACTATTTTCACAGTTGCCCATGATTTAGTTAAAATGGTGTATTACTAATTTAGAATGGTTATTATTGATTTGTCTTGTTATCTGAATGACAACAATATTTTTCTTATAAAAACTACTCAAATATCATGCATGCATTATCTCAGGATACCACCAGATGGTGCTGTGTTCTAGGATTGAAAAAGGCTGGCAAGAAAAAGTGGCTCTCTGTCTTGACTATCAGTGGTTCCTAAACTTTTCAAAAGGGCACTGTGATCATTTTTAGGCTTGCAAACCCAATATGTATATGTCCAATTAAAAATAAATTATATACCTAATATTGCACTAATATATTGTGGCAATTATAAGACACACCTATAGAAAAATTGAAATATAAAAGGCTATGATAGACTGAAGTTTTAATATTTCTTTCCTGCACTACAGTGAATCTTTTTTGGGGGTTGCATATCCCTGAGGTGTGTGCATCTGCCCTTTGAGAACACTGGTTTATTTTACAATTGTTATATAATTTAATTTTTTTTCATCTTTATAAAGATAAAGGTAACAACAAAAAATATAAAACAAAACTTTTTTTACTACATGTACGTATTCAAATATGGATCACAGTTACATATCAAACCATTTAAAGCACTGAAACTAGAAAAAGTTAAGACTTTTTTTGCTTGGGGATATTTATATTTTTCAGTTTTAAACCAGATTTGGTGTAATATATCAGAATCATAAATGGAATAAAATAGCAGACCAAGTCTAAATTTTTTTCTGTTATATATTTTTTTGTTTAAAAATCAAAAATGTTAACTTTAAAAAGCATTAACAACCAAGGCAAACAAACAAAAGAATGGGTATGAATGCCAATGGTGCCCATATCAAATAAATATGTAGAATTGAATTTTTCTTTGACTGCTAATTTTCCTTTTGTTTTATTAATTTATTTATGTATTTATTTGGAATTGAATTTTTTAAAACCATAAAAATCTCCAAACAAAGAGGAAAACGTTCTGACTTTATCAGAGGAATACAATTGCAGTTTTCCCTGATTTTACAGAACTATCTCTGTATAAAGTTTTTTTCTTGATTTATTTTTTTTGGTTTTTTATTTGCATACATTTTAAGAAGTACAAATGCAGTTTTATTACATGGATGTATTGCATAGTGGTGAAGTTTGGGCTTTTAGTATAAATATCACCTGAATAACATGCATTATATCCACTAAGTAATTTCTCATTCCTTACCCCCTCCCACCAACCCACCCTTTTGAGTCTTTAACGTCTATTACTCCACACTCTATGTTCCTGTGTACACATTATTTAGCTTCCACTTATAAGTGAGAACACGCTGTATTTGACTTTCTGTTTCTGAGTTGTTTTACTTAAGATAATAGCCTCCAGTTTCTCCATGTTTTTGCAAAAGACATGATTTCATTCTTTTTTATGGCTGCCTAGTATTCCATGCTGTATATATACCATGTTTTCTTTATCCATTCATCCATTGATGGATACTTAGGTTGATTCCATAACTTTGCTATTGTGAATAGTGCTGTGATTAAACTATGAGTGCAGGTGTCTTTTTTATATGATTTCTTTATTTTGGGTAGATATCAGTAAATCCCAGTAGTGGGATTGCTGGGTTGAATGGTAGTTCTATTTTTAGCGCTTTGAGAAAGCTCCATACTGTTTTCCATAGAGGTTGTACTAATTTACATTCCTGCCAACAGTGTATAAACATTCTTTTTTATCCCTATCCTCATCAACATCCATTTACTTTTTAGTACTGGCTATTCTGACTGGTGTAAGGTAATATGTCATTGTGGTTTTAATTTGCATTTATCTGATGATTAGGGTTGTTAGGCATTTTTTCATATGCTTGTAACTTTTGGATTTCAGAGAACAGGTGATCCTTGTTAGTTAGGTGATCTTCACTGGCCAGATGATTCCCCCGGGTCAGGCCATCCCCTGGTCAGGTGATCCCTGCTTGTCCAGTCAGCTGTGGTGGAGGCAGAGTCTGGATGACAAGAGTATAAACATGAAACCCAGATTTCAGGGAATAAGGATTATGGGATAGGTAGAGACTCCAGCAGGCATCATCTAGAGCAGGGGTCCCCAGCCCCTGGGCCTTGGACTGGTACTGGTCTGTGGCCTATTAGGAACCAGGCTGCACAGCAGGAGGTGAGCGGCAGGTGAGCAAGCGTTACCACCTGAGCTCCGCCTTCTGTCAAATCAGCTGTGGCATTAGACTCTCACAGAAGCCCAAACCCTATTGTGAAATGCGCATGCGAGGGATCTAGTTTGCATGGTCCTTATGAGAATCTAATGTCCTAATGCCTGATGGTCTGAGGTGGAAGTTTATTCCTGAAACCAACTCCCAACCGCCACCCCTGGTCAATGGAAAAATGGTCTTCCATGAAACTGGTTCCTGGTGGCAAAAAGGTTGGGGACCACTGATCTATAGTAACTCCTGGTAATTACATCTGTATGATATTTTAAATCCGTTTTGTAAGACATGTACAGTGTGGTATCGATAAGGATGCTGGATTGCAAGCTATTGACCTTGGTAATCATTATGATACTCATGTGACCACCTTACTCATTAGTCTGAATTCATCTAGATACAAGCATAACACTAAGTCTCCCCATTAAAATCAACAAATCAATCAATTCATCCATAAAAAAAAGAACATTAAGGAAAGCCAGATAAACAAAAACTGGTTACATGAGTATCATAATGATTACCAAAGCAATGAGTAGACATGGTTTATCAAAGTGAGGGGCAGAATGTAGGGAAGAAAGCAAGCTGAGGACTCACTGAGGCCAATAAAGGATCTACTTTTCTGCCAACCACAAACCAGGGTAAGTAAGAGTGTTAGGCCATTAGGTTGATAAGTAGCAATAACTTATTGTCCATGTCCTTGATCAATCAGTTGTGTATTAATAAAGGAACAATTTTGAAAACCTCTTGCAATTGACCTCTGGAGTGCATTTGCTGTTTGCTTTGGTCCTTGGCAGTAGCTGAGGAGTGGAATTTACCGCCCTCTTTAGCAGCACTTACAGAGAAAGTCATGCCCAAGGGATTCTGTCATCCCAATTTTATTCATTGAATCAGGAGGAAGTCAACATCTCCATAGCTTTGGGGGTTGGATTCTGTCAGAATGAGGTGAATGGAAGACCATGTAGATCATTTCTATTTATTTAAAATTCAAGGCCAGACATAATAAAATAAGAGGAGCTTGATAAATTAATTTTTGCTTCCTAGGAAAGCACTGTCTTAGAACCTGGCTCACCTGATTTTGCCGATGAGTCAACTTTGAAGTGTGCCTCATTCTGGAAAGTGAATCACGTAATCACAGTAAGTTACACATATACAGGCATAGATGGCTCCTTGATGCTATATTTAAGCCAGTGTTGTACCATCTTTTCTGTCTGCAATTCCTGACATTTGTCAGATGAGGTCAATATAAAGGTATGCACTTTTTGACAAGGACGTGGTTGTCATGTTAGCTTCTTATGCCCTTAACTGCCATTTTGAAGATCAAGTTTAATTTCCCAGTCTTTGGATTGAAGAAAAGCTCAATTCCCAGTTAGCTTTACATGGCTACAATGTTATGACACACTTCTATTGAGAAATATAAAGATAATACCTATGATTGACATTAGTACTTTCATGGCTTTGTGTGTAGGTTACATGGGTGTTATACAATGATATCTGTAATGCCACTAGACCAGTCTCCGTTACTTCTGCTTTAGTTGTTTTATTAGTCTGTTTTGCCTTGCTATACAGAAATACCTGAGGCTGGGTAATTTAAAAAGAAAAGAGGCTTGTTTGGCTCACAGTTCTGCAGGCTGTATAAGCATGGCACCAGCAACTGCTTGGCTTCTGTGGAGGCCCCTGGAAGCTTCCAGTCATGGTGGAAGGTGAAGGGAAGGCAGGTATGTCACATGTTGAAAAAGGAAGCAAGAGAGAGGGGAGGGAGGCACCAGACTCTTTAAACAACCAGCTCTCACATGAACTAATAGATCAAGAACTCAGTTTCACAGGGAATTCCTGAGGGCTCCACCCTCGTGACCCAAACACTTCCCACCAGGCCCACCCTCCAACACTGGGGGTCACATTTCAATGAAATTTGGAGGGACTAACATCCAAACTATATCAGTTGTAATTGATTACATTAATGGATTTTCACTATTTTACTGGTTGCACTTAGGATAAAAGTTAAAGGATTTTAATATTAGCCTATGACACATGTTAGCTTGGGACAGAACCGAGCCTTTAGTATCAACCAAACTACCAGGCAACATGTGACTTTTTTTTACATGGCAGAATATACTTCATTGTATTTCCACGTTCTGCAAAGTTTTTTGGGGATAGGGCACTGATATTAATGAAAATTTTTATTTATGTATCATGTAAATATTTAAATTGTTTAAGTGCATTTTGGCATTATGCACTTCATAAATATACACAATGTTATAATTGTTAAAAATATTAGGTAAAAAATAAATATAAATTGTAGTTATGATCATTTCTTTTTGCCTACTCTGGGGGTATGTGCGCTCTATTTGGACTTCTCTATCAAGGTCACAAAATCATGATTAGATCCACCTTTCATATAACTAGGGAAATAAAAACAAACCAATATTACCATTCTGGAAGGAACTTTTCTGAGTCTTTTTGTCCAACTACTTGCTTTTTAGGCACAATTAGGAGGTTGTTTCTAGATAACATTAATAATTGATTCTATGTGGTTTTCAAAGTTCTAAATTTTAAAGAACTCACTCAATCATGCGTCAGAGTATAATTATCCCAAATAACTGGAAAAGCATATAAGTGATGACATGACTGTGATTCATTTCCTCTGTGTGGTCATTGTCTGACTCTGTGGAATCAAATGTTCATTTGAGAGCCAGGGGTGCCTGGGACCTGGGAAAAATGCACCCCTGCCCAGGATCCTCATTCTGTGAGTCACACACACAAAACCAAGGGTTGGTGAGTGACAGCTAAGACCAAGGTTGGAACCTACTCATAGGAGAAGCTTCATTTTGTTCTTCTCCAGCAGCGCCTATATAGCCACTTCTAATCTGCAATTCGAGGGATGGAAGGGTGTATTCAGTTTTTCTTCCCTAGTAATTTGAAACCAACTTGATAACAGCTTGTTCAAATGAAGAATGGATAGAACATCTGTTTAAATCAACTCTGAGAGGCAGAAACGGAACTTTTGTGTGCCTAATATTCCCATTGGCTAACCCTGTCCCTAAGCCTCCGTACCATGGCTTCTGAGAGTTTTTGGCCAAATGCCTAGTGGGAGGGCATGGTCCTGTTGGGAATGGTTTTTCTGCTTGGAGATGGCTTTGGCTTAGCATCTTTCTGTTCTCCAAGGCTGTTTACTCTGCCACCTATCCAGAAAGAATTTTTTTTTATGAGTCCACAATTTTTCAGTCCTGGAAAATTTTACAGTGTTTTCACAGACATTATTTCATTTGATGTTCATAATCCTTCAGGGTAAATAGGGTAGGTTGCTGGTGTCCGCGCATTATGGATAATGAATCAGAGATTCAGAGAGGATAAATCTGACTTCTACTCCAAACAAAAAGCAGAAAAATTATAGCAGAAGAAGCATATATCATTCTAGTTTTCAGCATATCTAGATTAATTCTGATTCATTTTTAATTTCAGCTGAATATGTTGTGCTTTCTCTATTGCTATCCTGGGGTTCATTTAGGGTGGAGCCACCTAGACATCATATACATGCCTTGGCTGCATTTACATCTCACCCCTCCTGCTTCCCCAAGTATAATCACCCCAGTGCTATGAAACCGATTAGAAGAAAATGAAGTGTTCAGTGCTAACTCCAAAATTCCAGGTGCTATGATACTGCTGCATACATCCAAAGGGACTTCTTACTTTAAGAAGCCCCCTTTTAAATGAAACTCTTGACTTCTTAGTGTTGCCTCAGAAATGTGCTCTTCATTGCAGAGAATATTACAGAGAATGTTCTGCTGCTTTGTGGAGGAACCATAGGAACTGTGCACGATCTTTCTTACCACAGAGTCACAAGGAGAAAATTGGCAGCTTAGGAGACCAGCCAGCTAAATGAAATGTCAGCCAACAAACAACTTAAATGCTCTTGGATCATTTTTCCTCTACTTTATCAAGTAGTTTTAGTTTGGGGGAAGTCAACAATCTTCTATGTTGCTTCCTTACTCAAGATTTCTCTGTCTCTGTCTTCTGAGGCATTTGTTTCTTTATGCCTGGATCTGCCACTTCACGTTTTGCCTCTTTTTCCATATCTACCTCTGACTCTATCTTCATCTTTTTCTCTCTCCCTTTATTTTCTTTATTTTTGGTTTCTCTCTTTCATTTTCTCTTATATTGTCTGTCACCTTGATTTCTATAAACACGTAATTATCACTAACAGATTAAAGAGCTTTATAAATGATGGTGAAAATTTGAAACAAATTTCTTAAAGAATCTTTGAATCATTGTGTGTGTGTGTGTGTGTGTGAGAGAGAGAGAGAGAGAGAGAGAGATTTAAGAGAGAGAGAGAAAGAGAAAGGTATTTATTGTTGACCTGTGATTTTCTCAATCCTAATCCTCAAATGAGAGTTGTAGAACTGGGATTGGAACCTGCAGCCAGCTAGGGACCACATCACACTGCCTTCCTCCTAGTCTCCAAACATATAACTGAAATATTATTGTATCTTGCTCTTAGTACCTCTCCTGTATAAATGCGCTCATGCATTTCTTTTCAAATAACTGTAATTCTAGATACATTTGCATAAATAGGATTAGAATCTTGCAAAAGTGTATTCTATCCAAAGGGTGTCTGCACAGGAGAAGGAGGCCAGCAGGTGTCAGTCTCACCTCAGAAGAAGAGCTGAGAATAGTTTCATTGTGGTTTTTCTTCATCGGAGTTTGCTTTTTTGAATGAACTTTCAAATAACCTAAGTTAAGTTCTTGTTTGTTTTAAGCAAACTCTGGGTTGATTTAAAAAGAAAGTAGGCTATCTCAACCTCATACCACCCCACAACCTGAGTTGTATACGGATTATTCTCTTGTTAAAAACCCAGCTATTGGATTGGGATATAATTTTATTATTGCTGGGCATCTGGGCATCATTTAATAGGTACTTTGAAATTTTTTTAATTGCATGGTAATTGAGTCATGATAGAGAAGTGTCCCTTTGGATGAGTGCAGCAGTATCATAGCACCTGGAATTAATTTTGGAGTTAGTCATCATCTGTACCAACCACACATTCTCCCACCCCATTTTCAGCTGAGGAAACAGGTTCAGAAAAGATTTGTTCAAAGACTCATGGCTGTGAGGAAGAGGGTCAGCATTAGGACTAAAATCAAGAGCCAAGTGGCTGAGTCTTTAATGAGCATATTCAGATTGACGGGGCAAAGCAACATCAGGCCCTAGTGGGCTGTCTGGATCTGCAAATGTTCACAAGTGATTATCTTCAGTGTAATCCCCATGGCAACATAGCAAAGTGCCTGCCGTAGCTGGATGAGAACTATGATTATGCTAGAGAAAGAAAGAAACTCCTAGGGACAGCTTGATTGAGGAGGGGTTGTTATGCATGTCGCCTCGCAGTGTTGTTTCTCCTTAGGCAGCAGTGGCAGCGATGTTTGAGAGGGGCCTATGGAGCTTGTTTACATAATCAACCGGAAAGCACTTGTCCATGTTGGTCTGTGCCCAGGGGCTGACAAGCAAGCCAGAAATCACTCTGGTTTGTGTTTCTGTAGTTCTTGAAGATGTTTAAAGATGGTCACTCCTCCAGATGATTTCTGCCATTTGCTATGGGGATCACCACACCCGAGCAAGCTGCAGAGCTTTAGGGTAAGGAACAGATGTGATGGTAGTTTTTCCAGAGTAAATGCTTGCCAACCTTGGCTGACGAAACTAGGCTTAACAAACATGCGGACAAGCTCAAGGCAGGCCTCCCCACGAATTACTTTCCCTGGGTTTTAAAAATTGGTTTACAAATGTTAAATGTTTTTTGTTAAAAGACATGTCTCTATAAATCAGAGCCTGCAAGTGCCTTTAAGAGAGGCAACTAAGTAGCACCCTAGTCTAGTCGGTTAATACCACTGCTGTAGACAAGAAGGTGTGTTGCTGGATTCTGCTTCAAGGATGGGCTTGCTGGCCAGCTGTGGGGGGTGCAGGCATCAGGCAACCCATAGTCTTCATAGCCTTCTGTGTCTGCCTCAGCTGCAGAGAGACGCCTGTCCTTTCGCCCTCAGCCTGAGCAGCCCACCTCCATTAACTGAGATGGAGAGAGGGATAGCGGCCCAGCCACTTCTGCCTAAAGGGGCCATCTCTGTTGGATCCTACACTTCTGAGCTCCCAGTTGGGTTGGTTCAGGCTTGTTGGGCCTGCATGGCAATCCTTCTTTTTCCTTTGCCAAATCCATCTTTGTTTGCTGCCATTCACAGGTGTTGATCCAAAATCTATCTTAGTATCTGCTTTTAGGAAACTCTGCAACAATCAATCTATCTTTTCTGCTTGGAAAAGAGTAGAAAAAAAGAAATAATTGGACCCTTAAAGTAAATGCCTAAAAGCCTTTTCAGATAACTTACCTTTTCAATAATTTTTATATAAGAGAGGAAAAGATTACAAGTTTTTTAGTCTCAGGAAAGAAAAATTATCTAGTATTAATACTATAAAAGTAGTTAGTTATGTAGTAAGTTGACTCTTAACATAGCCCACTTAACCACTTTTTACAATGGGAAGAAAAGTTTCCTGATTTCTTGATTTATGAGGCTCCAAAAACTCTTGTTTTGAAGGTTTTCACACTCAGTTCCTGTTTAATTAATAATTGCCCTGAATGTTTTCCCATGTATCTAATTATGTTTTGCAGTTCCATCAACCTTCCTAGCTAGTCTCAAAATACCAAAACGTTGCCTTGCCCTTGTTGTGGGTGTGGTCAAGGTTTCCTCTCTTGGGATTTCTTGCATGGGGTATGAGGGGTGGTGTTGTGGGGGAGAAGGAGAGGGATGCATAGAGTGGAGAAGAGAGTGTAGGGCGCTCATCCCTAGGGCACCAGCCTCTACTCTGTTGCCCCAGAAATGTTTCCAGACGTGTATCTGGACTTCACCCTTTAATTACCTAATTGGGTAGGTTGTAGGTAGTATGGAATCTAATGAACTGGATCAGGGAAAAAAAAATCTGAAGGAATAAGTGATCTCTCCTTGAAGGTGCTGCAGAGGTAATGAGCAGAGTTAATGAGTGACTGATCCATGGTGGTGGTCAATTTAATTTGAGTACTGAGGTTGAACACATGCTAGATGTAATAGAAAGCAATATTCATATGCAACACGTTGGGTTACATAAAATCTGGAAAGCTTATAATTTAAAAGATACAGACACACAAAGCAACGATTCAGGCCAAGCCAGATTTAGAACTGTTTTTTAATATGAGACTGAGGGATGATATCCTGGATCTCACAGGGGCTGGATTTTGCCTGAGTGTTAGAGCTAAGATAACATCTTATTCTTGTCTATATTTCAAGAAGCATTCTTATTAGGACCATCTTCTAGAAGAAAGAAAGTTACATTTAAGAAGATTGAAACGTGAGTCAGTTTTCCGTATTGGAGAACGATGAAAAACCAAATATATGAATTCTGAAAATTTTGTGAAAGTAGACACCTTAAAAAAATAAGAAAACATTATGAAACAGAGTTGGTCTTCATTTTTAGGTTTAACCAATCCTATTAATAATATATAGATATACTTTTGTCATAAAAATATTGTTTAGGTTTTACTCAGTAAGTTGTGAAAGCTATTTTGCTTGCTTCTAATATAGTTCTTAGATTTCATCTCATAGTAAAAAAAATTACAAACTTCTTACAAAATGAAAATATCCTTTCCCTCGGTGATGATTCAAAACAGTCAATAATATTTTCTCACAATGCTACTGATGGGGTATTCTCAGAACTCTCCATTTTTAATTCAGATACATTTCTAGTCAATTTCTTTAACCTCACAGTGGGAGGTTTAAACTAAGTGATGTCACTTTAGGTATACTCAAATTGGCAATGCAAATATTTCCTTTGTTGGACATTGGGTTCTCACAGCATCTCCTAAACAAAATACATTTGCTTTAAAATTAGTGGCTTCCATCATGCATTGGCTGGACTGTTTTGTAAGTCTGTAGTATAAAAATCCAAAAACATTTGCTTCCAGCTGGCCTGTCTTGAACTAACACTGTTTTTTTTTCCTTTTCTCACTTCACTCTCTGACCTTTTAGAGGGTTTTCTTTTTTATGCTGCTGTTAGCTTTCATCTCTGCTGGTCATTCTTTCATCCTGTTTCTTCTGGGTTTCATTAACCTGTTTGTGTGAATGTTCCTTTTTTTTGTTTGTTTTTGTTTTTTAATATGTACCAGAAAAAGAAAGACTTCTTATAGTCGTGGTCACTCAAAAGTGTTGGTGGTTTTTTAAGAGGTCTTAATTGGACTTAATCCATATTTAACTCCCAGCATTTTATATAAGATACATCTTATTGTTCAGACTCATCTTTTCTAAAAGATAGTAGGGTAGGGAGAAAAAGGATACAATTTTTGAGCAATTACCAAATCTCAGAAAAAAATGTTCTTACCAGGTCACCTGGGGATAACGAAGGCAGTTTGGAGATTTTCTTCTGATTGTTTTTCGTTTATTTATGCTTTGAGTATCAGTGTTCAGTTTTAAATTCCCACTGAGAATGTTCTCATTTTGTCATTAAACTTGAATTTAGTCTCTGAATTTTTCTCTTGATGTATCACACTAATGTCCAGAAGAGTCATTAAGAAATTGTAAAGAGACCCCAGTGCTATCTATATTTATGGTCTTCTTTAGAATGTGTTTATCAGATATTTGTGACTCTCTTCATAGAAGTAAAATACTAACATTAAAAAAGAGATTACCCGAGGGCTCAAAGGTGCAACATTATCTTGGGTTTTATTTGTCAACAATTTGAAATGTAAGAAAAAAACTGAATGTATGAATGTAATCCTTTGAAAAGGTGACTCTTACTGGTGGACTTGGTCCTCTGGAGTTGAATGAATGCTTCTGAGACATAAGTACTTTTTCTTTTCCTCCCTACAGGTTGGTAGGACAACGCTTTCCATTAACTTTGATTTTACTACTCCTGATAGTCTGACCTTTATCTTCTAATCCAATTACATATTCAAATTTCTTCCTTCTGTTTATTCTATCTACCTTTAGATGAGCCAACTGAGAGATGAACATTTAAAATGCATAAATACGTATTTTGCCATACACTGTTTTTTTTTACTTTATGCTTTATACATCATGAAATTTACTGGTAAGACATCAAACACTTATTGAAGGCTGATATGGTCTGGCTCTGTGTCCTCACCCCAAATCTCATCTCGAATTGTAATCCCCATGTGTCAAGGGAGGGACCAGGTTGGGGGGTGATTGGATCGTGGGGGCAGTTTCCCCTATGCTGTTCTCATGATAGTGAGTGAGTTCTCATGAGATCTGATGGTTTTGTAAGTGGTGGTTTCCCCTGCTCTTTTCTCTCTCCTGTCACCTTGTGAAGAAGTTGCTTGCTTCCCCTTTGCCTTCTGCCATGACTGTAAGTTTCCTGAGGCCTCCTCAGCCATGCGGAACTGTGAGTCAGTTTATAAATTACACAGTCTCAGGTATTCTTTATAGCAGTGTGAAAACGGACTAATACAAAGGCCTGTGTATATTTTTGACTTTTTATTTGGAAATAATTGCAAACGTATAGAAGTTACTTGAATAGGAATAGTAGAAAGAACATCAGTTAACCCTTTACCCAGCTTCTATTGTCAACATTGTAGTCAATTTGCCTAATCATTTGTGCACTCTCTGTTCTGTTTCTTTCTCTCTCCACATAGCATATATATGTGCATAATGTATATCTGCACACAGATATATAAATACATGTATAATAATGTGTATATCCCATAAAATATTTTGTTTTTACTAAAGAATTTGAGAACAAGTTTTACATAGCATGGTCTTTTATGCCTAAATAGTTTAGTATTTTTTATATATAGTTATATTCTCATAAATAACCACAGAGAAGCCCTCAATATCAGTAAATATGACATTAATACTTTAATTTGTATTTCAATTATCTCATTGGCCCAATGTTTGTTATAGCTTCTTTTTCCACCAGTACTGGATCCAGTTTAGGGACAGATACTGCACTTAGTTGTCATGTTTCTTTAATCTCTAAAACATTGCCATAGCCTTTAAAAAATTTTTTTTTTTTGCCCTTTGTGACAGTGACAGATTTGAAGACAGAGTCCCCATACTTTTTATAAACAGGAGTCTTTGTATTTTGAATTTGTCTGATGTTTCCTCATGATTAGATTTAAGTTCTGCATTCCTGGCCAGGATATTGCATATGTGATATTGTGTGCTTCTCAGACAGCCACATCTGGAGGCACACGATGTCTATCTGCCCCTCCCTGGTGACACCAGTTTTCCTCACACAGTAGGAGTGTTGTCCTATTTCTCCAACTGTAAATAGTTACTATTTTCTCCTTTGCAAAATAATGAGTTTGAAGAGAGACACTTTAAGACCACCCAAATATCCTGCTCCTCATTACAATTTCCCCTCAGATTTAGCATCTATTGGGATTCTTACCTGAACCAATCTTTGCTGTGATGGCAACAAAATGACAAGGATCACTTCAGCACTCCCTCCATGTTTACCAGTCAGCATGTGACCTTCTACTTTAACCAAGGACCCTGCCTTTTCCTCGTGTATGGATGAATGTGTCTTAGTCTGTCTATAACAAAATACCTTATAACAAAATACCTTACACTGGGTAGTCTATATATAGTAGAAATTTATTACTCACAGTTCTGGAGACTGGGAAGTTCAAGTTCAAGGCACCAGCATATTTGGTGTCTTGTAAGGGCCCTTTCCTTATACATGGTGCTTTCTCTCTGTCCTCACGTGGTGGAAAGAGTGAACAAACTCCCTCAGGCCCCTTTTATAAGAACATTAATTCCTAATCACCTCCCAAAGATCCCACCTCTTAATACCATTACTCTAGAGGTTAAGTTTCAACACATGCATTTTGGGGGGATACATATATTCACACCATAGCAGTGTGTATTATCTGTATGAACCCACGGATTTCTGTTTCCCCACCCCACCTTCCCCCAAGTGGTATATAATTATTATCCTTATTTAGCTTGGTGCTTGGATTATCCCAAATTTGGCCAGTTGGGGTCCTTTCGAGCTGGCTAGGTATGCCTGTGCCATATGTCCATTAATCTTTGGAGCACATCCTTACCTCTGATATAACAAAATGTTCCAGGCTCATCACACTTCCCCAGCCCTGCTTTCAGCGACTTCTCTAAGAACCACTTCTCTAAAAGCCCCTTTTGGTGGGGAATGGTGTTAGAGATAAAAATCCATGCACTAGCTGTGCTGTTTGCTCCTGGAATATCTCTGCTTCTACACCTTTTTAAGTGAACAGAGCTAGGAGATATATGCATGCATATACACACTCTTACATACATACATATAAATGCACATACATACACATTATATGCACACATACATGTTTATACACATACATGTGCATATTTTAGGTATCATAAGTGTACACCAATACCTCCATTTTCAATTCATCTTTTTTGCCTTCCTCCATTCCATATTTGCATGTACCTTCTTTCACAGTGAGAGTCTTGGCTTCTAAAATCGATAGATTTACACATTTGCTCAATCTCATAATACACCTAAAGTAGTTTCAGAATGACTTCACCCATGTCTACAAAAATGCAAAGCTACTCAAAAGAGTTCAGGATCTCTAGTTTCCAGTTTTTCCATCTCCCTACCCTGCCCAAGGCTGAGGGCTGTAGGATGTGCAGTCAAAACTGTTGTAAGTTATGAAAATTAGTTATTTTTTGCCCTGCATTGTAATTATAGTATTCATTTGAAATACAATTGGGTTCATTGTTTCAGTTTCTCCCTTTCCTATCCTTGTTGATTTAATTGTTTTGGATATGTCAAGCATTAACATGCTTTCAAAAGTCAAAACTTACAGAAAGATATACTCAGAAAAGTGTTCCTCCTTTTTACAGCCCTGGCACTCTCATCACCTTCACCCTTTGTGGGTAACCAACATATTAATAATTGTTTCTGGCTTTTCATTCTGGTGAATTTTTGGTAAATATAAGATATATGTATGTTTTCTTATTTTTCCATCTTTCCTAAACAAAGATAGTGGTATTACATACAGTCTCTGGTGCTTTGATTTTTCACTTTACAAGATCTTTTGACCATCATTCCATATCAGTCCATAGAGAGCTTTCTCATTCTTGTTTACCATGACAGAGTATCCATTGTGTGTTTGTACTAGAGTTTATTCAACAGTGTCCTATGATTAGACATATAGGCAGTTTCTAATATTTGCAATTACAAACACTGCCACAATGAATAAACTTCTGGATATGTATTTTTGCAGTTGTAAGACTATCTTTAGAATAAATTCCTAGAAGTGAGATTGTTGGGTTTATGGACAAATGCATATGTAATTTTGGTTGCTATTGTCCAATCCTCTTCTGTGGAGTTTGTATCATTTTGGATCCTCAACAGCAACGTATGAAAGTGCCTGTTTCCTCACAGCCCCAGCAATGAACTGTATTGTGACACTTTTGAATTTTTCCCAATGGGATGGGTGAGAAGTTGTATCTCATTGTAGTTTAATTTGTGTCTACTATTATCAGTGAAGTTGAACATCTTTTCAAATGCTTAAGGACCATTTAAAATATCTTTCTGTGAGTTGTCTACTTATATTTTTTGCCCATATGTCTATAGGATGTTTTTCTCCTTTAATTTGTAAAAGTTTGTTTTTATATTAAGAATATCCATCCGTTATCTATGAGATATTCAATATTGCTTATATTGCAAATATTTTATCCTGGCTTGTACTTTGTTATTTGACTTTGCTTGTATTTTTTCTTTGTAAAATTTTAATTTTCATTTAGTTAAGTTTATCACTCATTTCTTCAATTACATCTGAATTTTTAGTCACAGTTAGAAAGGCTTTTCTTATAGAGGAATTCACACATCTTTTTCCCCTAGTACTTGCATAGTTTTATTTTTTACACTTTGATTCATTTTGAATTTATTTTTGTGTATGGTGTGAAGAATTGATCTAATTTTATCTTTTTCCAAATGGCTAATCAGTTGTCCAGCATGACTTATAAAAAGCCAATCTTTGCTTTAATGATTTGCAATACCAACTTTATCATATACTGAATTTTTTTTTTTTTTTTTTTTTTTTTAGATGGAGTCTCCCTCTTGTTGCCCAGGCTGGAGTGCAATGGTGTGATCTTGGCTCACTGCAACCTCCACCTCCCAGGTTCAAGCAGTTCTCATGCCTCACCCTCCCAAGTAGCTGGGATTACAGGTGCCCACCACCATGCCTGGCTAATTTTGTTTTTTTTTTTTGTATTTTTAGTAGATACGGGGTTTCATCATGTTGGCCAGGCTGATTTCGAACTCCTGACCTCAAGAGAGCTGCCCGCCTCGACTTCCCAAAGTGCTAGGATTACAGGCATGAGCCATCACACCCAGCCTCATATATTGTATTCTGTATATAATTAAGACCTTTCCTTTTCAAGGCAATATATATAACAATAAAAAGATGAATTAAGTAAGCCCTCTGAATTAATATATTAAGTGGTCCCTCAGAAGGGAGAAATTTTGAAATTAAATATTATCTAAAGATTTTGATATTCACTTAATGGGAGTATCTGAATTAAGTGTCACAACTAAAATAGTAGAGTGGTCACATTCCCTAGCACCAGTTCTCAAACTTTGTTAAAAATGCAGATTCCTGAGCTCTATCATTAAACATTTTTATTTAGAAGTGGGGAGTGTGGCCTTCGTATTTCAGCTGCTTAACTAGTAGCACAGCGAAGACGGTATAAGGGTCTTTGGATCACTTTTTGAAAAGCATGGTCTTAGAGAGAAGGAACAGCCCACACTCGTTCACAGTGTAGCAACACGCGGGAAAGAGAACAGTCAAATTGTTTTGATGATGACGAAAGGAAATGCAGGCTTTCTAGTATATACAAAACATATTCAAAAATCTAGAAGTTTATCACTAAGGTTTTTGGAAGTAAATCTACATTTAGCAACTCAATTTTTTAGATTTTATTCTCAATTATCTGGACATGAGATTTAGGTCTGTGATTCTCAGGTCTTCTTAGTTATACATATCACTCAAGGAGCTATGGACTCCAAATGACTTATGTTTGTGATAAAGCCTCATTTACCCCACAATAATAGGAAAGCTGCTCTGATTTTCTGAAGTTAGAAATGAAAGATTAAGTAAGTACATTTGTTATAGTTTAATATTACACATTGTATGATGAAAACATTGTCTCCTACACTGCCTCCTATTATCTGGAAAATTAGTAATACTAAAGTGTTCTTTCAAAACCAGAGACCTAAATGGCTGGAAGCAATAATTGCTAGAGCTCTCCACCAAGCTTTGACTATAAATATTTGGCCATATTGTGTGTTAGAAAATATAAGACACACTTGCTTTCATTTTCTGAGCCTGACTCACTGAATTTTCTTGTCCAGATTGGTTTTCATCTGTTTATTCCTTTAGAGCATAGATTAGAGTCCATTGTGGTTCTCATCTCTGTTATGCATGTTTTTTTATGAATAAAATGCCAGGCACACAGAGCATACATATGCACATTTTACTACGAGATAGTAAAAGCTCAATGTGCTGGGACTGCATTCCCAATGTGACCTTATTTTCCCACTCTTTGCAGTTTTAAAATGTTACGTTAATCTGGCGTTCTGGACGGGGATTTTCTCTTCTTTACAGTGAGTCCCAGCAGTATATAGCGGCCATAGAATAGCTAAACTTGAAGAGGCTTTTTGGCAAAGATTTGAATATATGTCCTTTGGCCTTTTCTGGTTCTTGTCTGTATTTCATAATACAAAACTAATGAGGATTTCACTTTGGTGAAATCTGCCTTACTAAATGATGCTTGCAAATAACACATTCATTTGTTAGCATTTGGGATTCTGATTAAATCATTTTGCTTTAGTAGCTGTTAAAGATTATAGTTTGAAAGAAAAAAGTGTTTTGGCATTGAGTACTTTGAGACCCCTGTACAGTGTACCAAAATCTATGCAAATTGTTACGAGGCCTTTTAATTACAGGTGAACCCCAGCACTTATTATCATCTGATGCACAGATTATGCACATGTCATATATTGGTAATAAAATATCAAAGTTAGACTGACACTCTTAAAGTGCTTAACACTGTTTTATTGGCTTACTAGCCCTAACTGGATTCATTGCATCCATTTTTTTCATTCTGCCACTTAAAACATTTGCCACGTTGTTTTATTCATGCTTTTATCACAGCTTTGTCTGTAACTACATTGACTTGATTACTCATATTCTATGGCAATTCCTGACATTTGGCTTATTTTTCCACTAGCCTCCTTACTTTTAAAAACCACTCCATCTCATTTTTCAACAACCTCTGATTATCTCAAAGTTACCTCGGATTATCCTGACACGTCCTTCGGCTTCTGAGGATATTGACTCAGTATTTCAAGACTGAGGTGACTCTGAGACAGAAGACGGAGCCAGTGGTGATGTGCTCCCTTATTCAGACTCTTTGAATAATGCTTTTTACTCAGCTATGGACTCTGCTAGAAAGACACTTTAATATTTTTGCCATTTATATTTTTCTGTTGTTGAAAAATAATAGAAACCAGTGCCTTAGTTGGTTTAACAATTCAACAAAGTTGTTTTCAAAAGAAGAAAGAAAATGTAACTCCATTTAGGTTGTCTTTCATTTGCAAACACTAACTGAAACTTGAGTTAGGGATTGTATAACTTGGAAACAGTATTAATAAAATGAAGTCATTGTCATATTAAAAATGTCCTAATGTTCACTTTAAGTGTATTTTTAAAAACCTCACAGGCAATGGTGTGAAAGAAACCAAGGAGATGTTTACATTCATTAGTTCCACTGGAAAAAACTGGTTAATGTAATTGTATAGATTTTTCCCTTCTTGTTTTGTGTGCTGTATAACCCAGTCTTTGCTTTATGTACAAATACCCTGGTTTCTAAATGCTACTTATTTTCTTCAGAAATAAAGTATGCTTTCAATTTAGTGAGTAACTTTATATGTATGTGCATTTGTTTGGAAGAGATAGTAAGTAATAATAATTTAATTCATGTAGGGCAGCCTTTTCTTCTAAGAAGCTTCATTAATTCACATATGGTATAATTATTTTTTATTTCCCTTTACCAGAATAAATCTTTCCTTCTAGAATGATGCTTTTTCCTTGAGTGGATACTGCCTCTCTTTAAAGTATCTTAGCTTAGAATTAAAAAAAAAAAAGTTAATTTTTCTTGAAAACGAATCCCAGACATTATTGGATGGTGGAGTTGGCTCAATGACTTAACTATGTCAGGTCTGACATCTCTGTTAATTCTTTAAGCCTTTTCCTTGTGATTAGAACATGGCTGTCATCAATCCAGCCATCATATCTACTTTTAAGTCAGGAAGAAATGGAAAGGACCTGCCTTTTGCTTATAATTTTAAATATAAAGGATTCTCAGGAAGTTCTGTAAACTGAAAATAGAAATGCTGCTCATTTTCTACTTGAAATAATATTTTTACCTTTCAAATTGATTATCTGAAAGGTTATAAAAATATATCTTTATTACATTATTTCACATATATTCATTTAAGAAATATTTTTCACTAACTATGTTCCATACAATGTTTTAGAAGTTGAGACTACAAATGCTAATAAAACAGGGATTTTGCCTTTAAGTCGCTTCTGGATTCATCAGGAAGAAATACAAGAAAACAGACAAGAATAGTACTGTGTGAATCACAAAGCATAGAGCTTAGCACTACAGAAGCATCAGATAGGGTGTGGAGCTGCTCTCTATTAGCTGGAACAGATGAGACTTGACCTGTGATCTGGAGCATGAAGATAAGGTGATTGATAAAAGCAAGAGGAAGCTATGGAAGTTATCTAGACACGAGGACCTGCATGTGCAAAGGCCTGGAAGTGACAGAGTGTATGGTTTACTCAAGAACAAGTGATTGCATATGGCTGGATCATAGGCACAAAGGGTGGAAATTTAGGCAAATACTTTACTCAGGACTTTGGTCTTCATCCTATCCATGATAATTGTGCTATAGCCTTCTACTTTTACCTGATGCTAATTCCTTAGAACTTAGTTTTGGTTTCACTTTTCTGCAACTTGTAAACCAATAAGTCAAATATTTTTCTTGTATTAACACTAGTATTTAGTAGGAACTGTATATTGGTGATCTGCTGGCCTACTCTGACCTACGGGCATGGATAGTGGGATATTTTTGTTTTGTTTTTTTTCTTTTTTTAACCTGTACAGAATAAAAAATTGAATTAGTTTCCAACATTTCACAATCAAGAGATTTCACAGATGAAACTAGTTTTTCTGGAAAAATGAGAAGATCTGGAAATCCTGGGCCTGCATTCCCATATGGCAACAGTAAGCTGGAGCTGAGTAAGGGTAGGTAGTATCTGGTTCACTACAGTCTTCATTTTCTGTTGTTTTACAACATACTCACCTAACTAATTAAAAGTGCTTGGTTGGCTGATGAAGACGCTTATATTTGCTATCTCTAGTGCTGATAGAGACAGGAGGCAGCCAAATGCCTAGGCAGATAGGAGCGGGTACACAGTGAAACCCCACCTTCAAGTGGAAGGTTTAAAGCCTGCGACCCAGCCACATGGGGGACTTTCCTGCCTTTGGATTAGGTAATCACCCACTGCTTCACCATTCCACTGAGAGCTGTTCCATTGCTCAATAAAAATATTCTCTGCCCTCCTCACCCTTCAATGTCCAGTGTATCCTCATCCTTCTTGGGTGCAGTAGAAGAGCTCAGGAATCACCAAACAGGGGTACAAGCTATGACACAGGCAAGCTGGGGCATGCCAGTGTGGCAGAGCGAGGCCTGGAAAGGAGTTGCCAGCTGGGGGCCCCCGGCTTGCAAAGTGACCTAGAAGAAAAGTCCCGCATCTGTGCAGGACATAGAACTACATAAATTTAGTTAACTTGCACAATAACAGTTCTGGACAAGGTGCAGTGACATAATTCTGTTTTCGTTTATGCAAGCTGACCCTGTGGTCAGTGGGTTCACAATGGCCAATAGCTTGCTTCAGCGAACAGAAATGAAACACCTCTGTGTTATGAATCTTGTTTCTAATTATCTTATACAATGTTTGTAACTCTCAAAATGGTTGCTCCCGATAGACATTATAATCTAAAAATCCCTTCAGCAAATTATAAGAAAAGGAACATAAGATTATGAGTCTGGAGGCATGATGACTTCACAGTAACAAACATCCCAAATGGCATTGGTTGACCATTTAATTTCCTTGGCCCTCAGAAACTTCCATTAGAAAATGTCTGTAATGTCACCCCCAATATCTATCTGAGAGGTTATTACTGGCATTCAAGTGAAACAGGGTGTGTTTCAGAAAGAAAAGCAGGTAACTACTGAGGACCCACAGATGAAAGGAAATGTTGCTCATGGTTAGGGGTCTTGGGATCTTGATAAAATGTCTGACCAGAAAGTACTATTGGCTAAAGGAAACTGTCCAACTTTAAACCAAAATATGATTCCATATGGAGACTTTAAGGGATGTGGCTGGTAGACAGACTAGCAGTAGACAAAGATTTCAAGAACTTTCTGCATTATGTTTTGCTCAGAGAGTGGATGGAATTTATTGAGCCTATTACTGTATGGTCACTATTAGATTTAGTGGCAAAACCCCGTCTTTACTAAAAATACAAAAATAATTAGCTGGGTGTGGTAGTGGGTGCCTGTAATCCCAGCTACTAGGGAGGTTGAGGTAGGAGAATTGCTTGAACCCGGGAGGCGGAGGTTGCAGTGAGCTGAGAGTACGCCACTGCACTCCAGCCTGGGTGACAAAGTGAGACTCTGTCTCAAAAAAAAAAAAAAAAAAAAAAAAAGATTTACATAACAAAAAAAAAAAAGACAAAGATTATATGGCCTAGTTCACTCATTTTAATGACAAAAAGTAGATTCTCAGTGAGACAAAGTAACTAATTAGTATCAGAGACAAAACAAGAAACATTGGATATCTAAACTCTCAATCCAATGATCCTTACATTATGCCTGTGGTGTCACTTAGAAGAGAGAGATTTTGATGCTCACACGGGGTTTACCTGAAAAGCTGTTGGTTTTTCTGTTTCCTAAGAAAGCTAGAGAAGACCCTTTTCTTTTGTATCCTTTAAGGCTTATTTACTTTGTGGGTCAGTTAGGGGAGCCTCAATATGTTGTGATGGATGGATTTGGGGGTCAACAGGGATTCTTACGATATTTGATTTTTCAGTAGTTAGAGGAAATAAGAGCAAATTGCTTAATTGCTTCAAATATTCTGGAAGGCAAGCATTCCAAGCACATCTTACTCTTTTGGCTGTTGGAGTCATAGGTCTTCAATCCTCCTAACACAGGAAGAATCTTCACCGCTAAAAATCTGGCATAATTTTTTTACACTCACAAGAAAACCTGTCGTAGGTGAGTAAAATCATGTATCACCTCTAATAAATTTTATTTTTATAAAGTTTTGATAGCATTTCGTATGAAAAATATTTTCATACATGAAATTTTAAAATAGTTTATTGATGGCTTTTTCTGCTCAATGTGCTGCAAGAGGCAAAAGTTTCCCAATGTAGGTTTAAAATCCTTTGATAATGCTAGAATTGGACTATTAGTGTGCTTGTGTAAATCATTGTTGCCAATTACAATTTATCTATCAATTGTGATAGTTCTAATTTTAGCTAGTGTTAACCTTAAAAATAAATTCTTTATATTTGTTTAGTGCATTGCCAAGTCCACTTGCATTTTTTTCCTGTTTCTTAAATCATTTTTTTTCTCTCTACTGGTCACATCGTGCATGGACTTCTATAACATAGCTTCCTAACTGATTTTCCTGCATCACTCTTTGTCTTAAATTGTGCCTATTGACAGCTTGATTAAGCTTGGAAGTACATTAGGAGAATCCCCTTCCTGTGGAGTTTCCTGTAGCATTAGTCAGGAGAGGAACTTTAGTGGAAATACACTATTGGAAGCACACCAGATACAAAGATGAATAGATGCAGAGGTACCTGGTGGGTCCCAGTTTATCCTCACTGTCCTCCACATGGTGGTCCTCTCATCATCCAGAGTACAGGACCTGCTGACCACTGTGGCCCCAGGCCCACCACCAGATGCTTGATTCCAGACCCACAGAGGCAGTAGCTGCCAAAGGCAAAAGCTCTCCTGAGGTCTCCCTGAGCGCCTGCTCACAGCCCTGCTTCATAGATTGGCTGTGCTTGGCTTCTCAAGTCTCTCTGAAAGCATTGTCTTGCCAACCTGAGTCAGTGCTTCCTGACTTTTCCATCCTCCAACTCCCTCTCCCAGAACTTTCCTTTCCTTGCTCTTCCCACAATTCTGTAAACTCTAATTCCTATGGTAAATGCTTTATGGATTTACCATAATGCTCATAGTGACTCTGCTTCCACTACCAAAGCCCAGCTGATACACCCTTGAACTCATCCATTGCCTTTCCCAGAGCAAAACTTTTACAGTGAAAGTGATCATGAACTGACTTAATTCCCCTCTCCCCTTTCCTTGATCAATCCTTGATCCTCTTCATCTCTTTCAAAACTCTCACTTCCTAGGTTTCAGAGCTCCGTCTCCCTGGATTCTGCCCTCCTGGGCCACACACCCACATACTTTTGAGTTCAGGGCTTTTGCTCTGACTCACTTGCTAATATAGCAGGCTAGGATTTTATGTGGAGCAGATCTCAGTTCAAACTCTTGTGCTGCCCTTTCTAGCTGGGGACTTAGATAAGTTATTTGACATTTGTTAGGTATAACTTACTCACATGTAAGAGGGGGATAATGTCATAGTTATCTTATGAGGGTGGTAGGAGATGTAGATACAAAATTGAAAAGCATCTAGCAGTGCCAAATACCTGTGAGTGCCTCCACAGATGTTGACTTGCTTCCTCTTTTTCTTTATGCTGTGAACAATCCTCCATTGCCTTCCAAGGAGAAGAAGTGACCTCATGGTCCAGATGTTTTACTGCCTCTAGTATTGCAAATCCCAGTGGAGAAGGTTCCTGGTTGAACCATGAATTGAAACACCTAGCATTGAAGTAAGAACATCTTGGTTCAAGGGCAAGGGGCTTTATCTTTTAATGTGGGTGATTGTTCCTGTGAGTGATTATAGTGAAGCTGTACTTTGAAAAATTGCTGATGTTGATGCTGATTACAGATATGGAGAATGGACAAAATGAGAAAAGAAAAATGAAAAATTGAACTTTCCTGTAAAAGCAACACTAATTATAGACATTTATATCTATGGCTTATTATTTATAACTAATTAGTATGCAGCACAATGGCAGTGATGCAAGTCATTACATATATCACACCACCAACTTGTTTCACTCAATTGCAACAATAATTTCTCTCCATGGACACTTGACTATTGGTTTGTTGTTCAGGTTTGTTCATCTACTGATAACATAGAGTAATTAGAGGAATAGCAGTTTCCACAAAGAGAATACTGATGTATAGTGATAATTTTTTGCACTTCATCCCTTAAACAGTACTGTGGCAAAGTTGCTATTCTTATCTGCATTTTTCTGATAGGAAACTGAGGCCCAAAGAATGTAAGTAAATGCCAAAAGCCTTAAATATAGACGTTGGACTCAAACACTTTTCTCTTCCAAGCTCTTACTTGGACCTATGCGGCAAAGCTGATCTGTTGAAAGACGTTTAGTGACACATAAATGTCTTTAATTAATGGAATGAAAATGACATGAGATGGATTTGTAAAATCAAGATTTGTAGGTTTAGGCTTGAGTTCTACATCCTAGGGCAAAGGATGTGACTGCTTATCTGCCCCTAGGGTCAGAATTCCTGACATTCTTGTTTTTTAATGCTTGTGTCTGCTTGCACTTTGTAATCTGTAGGCTTCCTGAAAGCTCCAAAAATCTAAAAACAATAAATCATTCAACATCTTTTAGCTTGTTTTTCTTTTTTAGAGACAGAGTCTCACTGTGTCACATAGGCTGGATTGCAGTGGTGCAGTCATAGCTCATTGCAGCCCTGACACCTTGGGCTCAAGGGATATTCCTACTTCCACCTCCCAGGTAGCCAGGACTATAGATGCACACCATCATGCCTGGTTAGTTTTTTTTTTTTAATTTTTTAATTTTTTTTTTTTTTGTAGAGACAGGGTCTTGCTATGTTGCCCAGGCTCATCTTGAACTCCTGAGCTCAAGAGATCCTCCTGCCTCAGCCTCCCAAAGTACTGAGATTAAGGGTGTGAGCCACTGTGCCCAGCCATTATTGCATTTTTGAGCTACCCAAATGGCCTAGCACTATCTTCAATATTTCAGAAGTACCATACTGTGTTCCAAACAAAACATAGCATTCCCTATGGACAGTGTGGTTTCTAACCGAAGTGGACAGTGGGTCCTCATGCCTGATGGCTCTAGAGAAGAGAAGGCTGCAATTGGACCCAAGTTCTTCAGTTAGGCCAATAAATACTCCCTGTTACTCTGATCTGATGATTTTGAGATTTATCTGCAAGGTGTAGGGGAGAAGGAAAGTCAATTTGCCATGCTTAAAGGAAAAGATAATGGGTTAAAGAAGACTTTGATGAAGCTTTGAAGTCTTAAGAAAGCTAGATTATATCATTCTCTCCAAAGGTGTTTCAGTCGCCCTTTTTACCTTGGGGTTTGGCGGTTATTTTATGCCCCCTAAAAACAATGTACCAATTATCCAGTGACTAGTGTTCCAATTAATTTATGGACATGAAGATTAACATGCAATCTGCTAATGCATTAATGAGTTTGTAATATTTAGAAATAGGAGGACCAAAACTGGTAGACCAATTCTGAGTTTTATCAACTTCAGTGGTTGAAATTAAAATGAAAATAGCAACATTTGTTTTTATTCTCCCTACAAAGAAACTAATTATTTTCCTCTGGGTAATGATAATTAACAAAATTCCTATTGTGTTCCTGATCAGTTCACAGCTGGCACTTCGATAATTACAAAGACTTGGTTTTATGAGGTGACATTAAACTCCTGCCTAACTTGGGAAGTACATTAATTGTATACTATTGCCTGAGCTTATTAATTCTAAATTATGCCTCAATGAACTTCTCAAATTGGGAGCAACATTTATATTAATAAACTAGTCAGTGAGAGGGAGGGAAGGAGGGTGCGAGAGAGAGAGAGAGAAAAAGAGAGATCATAAGAATCTACTACTGAGTGTAGATTTTGTCTGCTCCAGATGTTATAGCTGGGTTTAAAAAACTTTGATATGTTTGAATAAATTCCAAAGGAACGTCTCATCCATTCTTTTTTTTTTTTTTTTTTTTGTGACAGAGTCTCACTCTGTCACCCAGGCTGGAGTGCAGTGGCATGATCTTGGTTCACTGCAACCTCTGCCTCCTGGGTTCAAGCGAGTCTCCTGCCTCAGCCTCCCAAGTAGCTGGGATTACAGGTGCCCACCACACACACCTGGCTGTTATTTTGTATTTTTAGTAGAGGCGGGGTTTCACCATGTTGGCCAGTGGTCTTGAACTCCTGACCTCAATTGATCCGCCCACCTCTGTCTCCATCTCCCAAAGTGCTGGGATTACAAGCATGAGCCACTGCGCCCAGCCTCATCCATTCTTATAACACATTTTTAGCCATTCTTTTTTCATTTAAGCAGGAAAAGCGAAGTGCTAGGTAAGCCTGGGATTTGTGGTTGAAATGTGTTCAGAGTGCTACCCTCCCTCATTCCTTGGAACTTTCTGAAGGACCAGAACTGACCTGAGGACCTGTCGGGTGTGTATCACTGAGGGAGTTCCAGGGCTATGCAGGGAAGCCCTGAGTGGGATGCAGTGATTCCTCTCTATTGTGTCTATTTCCATGAGGGCTGCCATCCTTCATGTAACAGTACCTTTAGGAACAGGGACCATATATCTATATATTTCTATTTCTAAGTTTCAAACAGTGCTTGGCAGCTAACAGGTGGTCAACTAATGTTTGTCGGATGAATGAAGGGTGGTACCAAGGAAGAATGGTGCGTTTAGTCCTGGCTGCTAAAGGAGGTTTAATGATAATTGGCCAATGTGTGGTGATTAAGCCTCAACAGTTACATAGAAGAAACCATGTTTATACTCATGTTGCTTTAACAATGCCATTGAAGTCTGGCACCGTGTCTCATACCTGTAATCCTAGCACTTTAGGAGGCTGAGGCGGGTGGATCACTGAGGCCAGAAGTTTGAGACCAGCCTGGCAAACATGGCGAAACCCCATCTCTACTAAAAGTACAAAAATTAGCCAGGTGTGGGGGCACACACTTGTAATCCCAGCTACTCTGGAGGCTGAGGCATGAGAATTTCTTAAGCCCAGGAGGCAGAACTTGCAGTGAGCCAAGATTGCACCATTGCACTCCAGCCTGGTGACAGAGTGAGACTCTGTCTCAAAAAAAAAAAGCCAGTAAATGTTACTTCTATCTTAAATTTCCAGTATAGCAATTTAAAAGATGATCTTTAATTTTTATGGATACATAATAGTTGCACATATTTACTATTTATGGGGTACATGTGATATTTTGATACAAACATACACTGTGTAATGATCAAATCAGGGTAATTGCAATATCCAACACCTTAAACGTTTATTATTTCTTTGTGTTAAGAACATTCCAATTCTACTCTTTCAGTTATTTCAACAATAAATTATTGTTAACTATGGGAAATTTTTAAATACAATAATGTCTTATGCTGATGAGGATATGTGAAAGACACATTCATGCAACCCTTTCGGAAAGAAATTTAGCAGTATCTATCAAGAACTTGGACAATTTTCGTTATCTTTACTCTGGTAAAATTCAGCATCTGGAAGTCAGTTTTAATGAAGTAATTCAAAATAGAAAAATAGCTTTCTGTACACAAAGGTGGTGATCTCAGATTTATTTGAAATCATGGGAAATAATTTGAGTTTCCAATGAAATGGGAATGGTTACAAAATATTGCACATTGACTAATTGGTGCTTTGCTGATTTAAAATATTTTTCAAGACTTTACAGTAATATGAAGAATTCTTATATTAAGGTATAAAGTTTATACATCATTATCACAACTAAAATATACTATATATAGAAAAGCCTAGAAGGAAATATTATTAAATGTAAGAATAGAAAACAGATTGGGATAAAATCCAGGAAAATATTAACATTTTTAGTTGTATTTTTGGTTTGTTTTTGTTTTCCCAGTTTTTAGTAGACCCTTTTAATGATGCCTCCTCAACTCCCTTGTGTTGAGAATATGTGACTCTGCCCGGTCTCCTCCTCCCTTCCTCACCTACCACCACTTCTAACCTCCCACTACCCGTTGCAGATTGGATCATGATGGACACCTGACTCATGGTGGGCAAACTGGATCTTTTCTTCTGGGAATTAGACTTGGAAATTCAGAGAAAACAAGTCAGTTTGTATGCATGCCTTGGATTGAGAGACATGAACATTTTGGACTGGAGGTGCGGGCATCTTCTCCCACTTGCACAAAGAAAGCAGATTTTCAGGAAAATAAGACAAAAGCAGATATACAAAGAAAGAAAAAGACAAGAGTTCATGAGATCTAACAGAGGAACTGGTTAATGATGACTTTCCAGTTTCTGGTTGTAGCCTTCATGAAGCCTGGCTTATAATATACAGTGTTATTATTATTTATTCTCAAGTCAGTTTCTGTTCCTGCAATCAAGTATTACTATATAAGATGGCTTTACTTTTGGGTGTTTTTGGAAATATCTCTAGTGAGCATGTATTACTACTAGAATATTATAGTGTACATAATGATTGATGTATTTTTAAAAAACAATAGATATTTTATCAAGAGCTCCTGCTGACACACCATTTATAGCAAGTAAGAAGCATAGATTATTCATGGACGTAGAATTACAGTGCTTCACTGATTTTGTTTTTCTTACTTTTGGGAAATTTGATAATTTTATTTGCCTATAATATGCAGTTATTTGTTATTGTAAACAAACTTAATGTGACCAATATCAATTTTAAAATGATAAAGGGAAGAACCAATCATTAAGGTGGGTTGTGTCCAGCCTGTTCTCTGCACTTGTGCCATTGTCTAGCCTCTGTTCCCTGACTCTTGGCGAGGCCAGACAAAAATTATATTGCCACCATCTAACCTTTAGGAATACTCATGAATAAAAGCATTAATGACAAGGAAATTGTTCATAATGTGTTGTTTAATAAAAAAGTCACAAAACAGGATGGACAGTACACTACTAATTATATAAAGTATTAAAATATATAAAAAAGCCTGGCAGGAAATATATCTTTTTTTTTTTTGAAATGGAATCTTGCCCTGTCACCAGGCTGGAGTGCAGTGGCGTGATCTTGGCTCACTGAAACCTCTGCCTCCCGGGTTCAAGCGATTCTCCTGCCTCAGCCTCCTGAGTAGCTGGGACTACAGGTGCACACCACCATGCCCAGCTAATTTTTGTATTTTTAGTAGAGACAGGGTTTCACCATGTTGGCCAGGAGGGTCTTGATCTCCTGACCTCATGATCCGCCCGCCTCGGCCTCCCAAAATGCTGGCATTACAGGCATAAGCCACCACGCCCGGCTGGAAATATATCTTAATGTTAACTGTGGTATATTTGAGTTGTGGTTTTACAGATAATTTAAAATTTTCTGTTTGTACCTCTTTGTGTTTTCCAAAATTTCTGTGGTATATATAAATTTAGTTGGTAATAAAATAAAACATTTATTTTATTTTATTTTATTGGGGGTGGGTTTTGGAGCGGGAAGTTTAATAGACAAAAAAAAAAAAAAAAGGGAGAGGAAGCTGCCTCATGCTGAGAAAGGGGGTTGCCCAAGAGAGTCTCCCAAAAGTTCTATTTTTAATGAAAAAATAATTACCTTAGTCACCAAAACAGTATTGTCAGTCTTCCCTTCTTATTCCAACAGATGTGGAAGTTTAAGAAAGAAAGAAAGAAGGATGGAAGGAGGAATAGAGTGTGGGCTGCCTGGGATGCTCTACCTGTGGGCTTCAGGCCCTCTTATTTTTCTCTAGGGGAGTGTTGATAAGGACTGGGATTTGTTCCTGGTGGAGAAAATCCAAGGCTTAGAGTAGGTAGTGGCTGAGAGGTCTAGTTTGGAAGTAAATATTAGTTTTGAATCCTGGCTCTATCTACTCTTTTCTCTCTATGTAGACTTGGAAAATTACTTAACCCTTGCTAGTGTTGGCTTTCTCATCTGTGAAATGATGCAGCTAGCTCAAGGGATTGTTGAGAGCACAAAATGAGATAGCATAATCAATCATTTAGCAGAGTTACTGGGTCATAATAAGTGGTTGTGGTGTTTTTTTCCCATTACTGTTAGGTGACAGACGTAAATCCTCTGTAGATACTCTATTAATCCTCTATTTCTACTGGCTTTCATTATTTTTGTGTACGCAGACATGTCCTTCTTTCTATATCTCTAGCCATTCTAAAAGTAGATAAATCAGTGCTTCTGAAACTTGAATGCCCATATGATTAGCCTGTAGACCTTATTAAAGTGCAGATTCTTTCTCTGTATGTCTGGGGTGGGATTCACGTTTTTAATTTTTAACAAGCTCTCACATGATGTAAATGTTGATGTCCAAAGATCACTTTTAGCAGCAAGGATTAGGATAGCCCAGCTCAAATCTATCATCTGTGTGAAATCATGAACAATGTCCCCAGACAGAATCGTCTTTTGTTTCTTTGGCTCTTAAAGCACATCATTTATATTCCTAACTTAGCACTTAGCACATTCAGCCTGCTGTGATGTATACAATTCTGTTCATTTCTAACTAAATTCTTGACAGTAGACTGTGCGTTCAACTCCTGAAAGCTGTCAGTGTCCACACAGGGATGTTGACATACTCGACCCATGATTATCAAATTATTGAACTGGATAGAAAATAATCGAATAATGTCCTAAAATAACATTGTTTTTTGCATAAGCATTCATTTAGAAATCACCAACATCAATCAACTCAACTAGTGCAAATCATGAAAGAGAGTAGTGGTGTGACCCACACAATGGATGGTTTTGGTCGCTTGGCAGGTGTTAACCCAATGACCACAACCAAGGAGGATTTACCAAGGGGATTTTTGTTACTTGCAACAAGTAAGGAGAACACTGGGGATAGTTCCCAAAGCAGTGTGTCTCTCCAAAGGAAGATGAGAGCAGGGCTTTCATTAGGCTGGTTGGCTTAGTCATTGTATGAAAGGCAGGGTAAAGGCAGTGCAGGCACAGTCCTGATCATGCTTCTTCATATATTGCAGGTATAGAAAATGGTGAATAAGCTCCTCCCTAGGTGGGGTTTTTAAGTATGGTAATAGGGAGAGTTCACCAAACTTCATCTCCAACTCAGGCACCTCTGGTTTTACCTGGTTTTTGTTTTGCTATAGCTGGGCTTCTTCCTGGAACCTTTTGAAACAGCAGAAACTCAGTGTGCCACAGTTACAAGTTACTAGGGAACCCTGAGTTACAATGTGAATGATCCCAAAAGGCAAATAAATTGTGATAGCTTCCTTCTTTTAAAAATACACTATAGAAGGCAGGTGGGATGATTTACAGGGTGGGATGACAAAGCTAATCTGAGATGATATATTTTCCACAGATAATCAAGTAAATGAGCAATAATTTGCTTTTCAAATTCTGAGTCTCTTCCCTGGCTATGCTTTAAATGGGACTTCCACATGGGCCATAGCCCAAAGTTGGATCCCTTTGCACAGAGGCTAGACATTGAAGTAGTGGCCTTTGGGGTAACGCAGACTCACTTCTGTTGAGAGTAATTAGCGAAGAAAATTTGTGGGAACTGAGGAAGGTTCAGCAGAAGTCTGCCCTCTCTGGACATTTTTTGGTGGCTGGGAAGCAGGGCAATTGTCCTGCCTGACTGTGGAGTTTGTTCAGCCTTGTCATGGACATCTATTGCATAATTCCGACTTTCCTTCTCTGGAGTAATGGACATTTCACTTCAGAAGGACTTTTAATTTTACTTAAAAAATCCAGTCAACATAATAGAAGATAAATTCAATTTTCAGTAACATTTTACTCTGTTACCACTTATGTCCTTAGGGAAGCTTAAAGAATTTTCATCAGTACACTAAAAATTAGATAGTTGGATATGTTGCAAAACTTTCAACACTTGACTCAAAATTCCCACTATTGCTAAGACATTCTTATAAAGAAATATTTTGGGGGGAACTTAGCAACTACGGTTCTTGTGAAGTGGTCCCAGTGGGAATGAGGTTTATGCCAAACTCTTTTTTTAAAATTTGGTTTCTGCCTCTTGTGCCTGGTATCCAGTATTAGTTACAGAGTAAACAGTATTTTCCGAAGACTGACAGGGTCAGCTGTTCTGGGAATGTGGCCGTTGACCTCCCTGATGGATTACTGTCCTGCAGACTGCTTCCAAGTCAGTAGAAAGGTAAGCATTCTTTCTGTATAAGTGCAGATTGCTTTGGAACATGTTACAATTTCAACTGATAAAACTGAAAGTACATTTTGGGCACACTGTCTCAAAGGGCACCGAGCTGTTACTTTGGGGGCAAAGTGATTTATCATGTCAACACAACCATGACAGTTAAGCTGCTGGGTTTGGGGGAGGGGTGAGCTAGGTGTTGAATCTGGTTGTATTGATTAAGTCAAAAAGACCCAGAAAAACTTAAATCCGGAACTCCTTTCCAAAGTTAGAAAGACACATTGTAATTCTGCTTCTGAGTCCTTTTCCCTAAAATCCTGTCAGTTCACCTTGGTTTGTTGTCTTTACTCCTGAAATAGCAACGGTGTGTGTGTGTGTGTGAGAGAGAGAGAGACAGAGACAGACAGACAGACAGACAGAAAGTGGCTACTAGGAACTACTAGGAAGTGTATCGACCGTTGAAAGGGCCTAGAAATATATTGACTGCAAATGCAAGAGCAAATCCTGTTCAACCAAGTACCTCTGTGGATGTAACCATGCACAAGAGAAAATAAATTGAAAGCCCCTTGAAAACGTGCTATTATATAGTAGTTGAGAAAACGGAACATGCTGGACTTGATTCTCAACTGATTTTAGCCAGTTTGTTTTACAGACTCTGAAGGTATGAATTTAGTTTTATATCCGAATTACTATTGCTATGTAGAAATTGTCACCAATGTTAATAGCAGTAGTTTTTTAAAACCTCACATTTTACTTTTCAATAAGTTTCCAATAAAGGAATTGCATTTTTTTAAGATGGTGCACAAATTAAAAAAGCACTTTTCAAAGTTCTTACAGTTCTCACTTGATTCAAATATTTTCTAATGCTTCAAAAAACACTCTGCCTCAGAAGTAATTTTAGAAAGAACATGTTTTCTCCCTTAGATGGACTAAAATGTATTTTTTATAGTCATTCAAAAAATATGGCCCAGAACCAAAATAAGGGGACAACCAGTATCAGAAGAAGTTAAAAAACTTACATTCCAGTAGAAATAGTTTATGTTTCACTGAAGAACAGTAATTACAAAGGTACAAGTTTGTTAAGCTGTCATTATCATAATTATCATCTACTGATATTTTGGGGTTGGCTTTTTTATCTGCTTGGCAGCTTCAACTTACAAACAATATTTGTTGTATAGTGACGAATTCAACTTTAAGAAATTCCTCTATAGACATTATCTTTTCACAAGCTCTGAGTACCCACCACAACTTTTAGAACTCAGTACTGCTTGCCTACAGAAGCCATCACGGATGCCTTAAAAAGGGTGGTGATGGGAGGTTAAAAGTCTTCCCGTAGAAGAGTTGACAGCTGCTCCTTAAGAGTTTGCAGCTGCCAAAGCTGATAAATAGATTCAGGTAAGGATGCTGAGACAACCAGAAAGAGCTGGGAACCATTCTCTCGCTTGCCTACAGCCACCTCCCTCCCCAATGCTGTGACCACCAATTGGAACACAGCTTTCTAGAGACAAAGGCATAAGCTCTGAACTAAGAGCAACACCAACAGATCAGAAGTTAACTGTTTGAGATCAGTGCTCAATGCTGGGTCTGAGCTACATTTGGATTAGGCCCTTGGGTACCTGAAGCATGTGCTGAGTATAGTATCCTGGTCCATCACTAAATGGGTGTGGAGATTACGTGGGCTTCTGAATTGATCAAGGGGGGAATAACGGACTCATGTTCTGGATGGGCTATGTGGAATGATAAGAAACCTTTATAAAAGCATCAATTGTCCCAGAAGATGACCCCTGTCTTAGTAAAAAGATATTTATCCTTGGAGCATGTAATGGGGAAGATTCTGGGTTGTCTATGCCATGTTTGGCAGATTGTCATTCTTTCAAAAGAAAACAGCATTTGTTTTCATTCGTGCCTTGTCTACCTTGTGAGGTTTCAGCAGTAGAGCACCTATCTGTGCTTTTTTTGTGGAGAAGGAAGTTTTTTAAATGGCAGGTGAGGGAAAATCACCACAATTAAAGTTAATTTACATTTGGATCTCTGATCCAGTAAATGAACAAGCAATTTTAATTGCTGCAAGTTCCACTTTCCCCCAGTTTTTGAATACAGGCACAAATTCATCAGGCACTTATTTGGGAAGCAGGTGTATTGAATGCAAAGGAATGAAGTGAGGTGGCAATATCTTGAACCAAATATTATGTGCCAGCGGTCATTTGTTTCCATTTTGAATGGAATTCTTGCTTGGTTACTGCAGTTTACATTTTAATTTCCTGTTTGGAGGGACCCTATGTGTGTAGTATATTCCTGGGAAAAATAATAAATTTCCAGCTTAAAAAGGAATTACAAATCTTTCTTTGTCAATTTTTTTTAAAAAAGTAATAGCCTTCTTAATGTATAATTTATATGCTATAAAATTTATCCTTTTACGCTGTACATACACTTTGGTGATTTTTAGTATATTTTCAAAGTTGTACAAAATCATCACCAATGTCTAATTTCATAACGTTTTCATCATCCAAAAGAGTAACTCTGTTCCCGTTAGCAGTCACTCCCTGTTCTGCCTTCCCTCCTACCACTGGAAACCACAAATGATCTTTCTCATTCCATGAATTTGCCTATTCTGGACATTTTATGTAAATAAATCATGTAATAGGTGGTCTTTTGTGACTGGCTTCTTTCACTTATTGTATTTTCAAGGTTCATCCATGTTCTTGCATGTATTAATACTTAATTCCTTTTTATTGCTGAATAGTTTTCCCTGTATGGATATACCACATCTGTTTTACCATCCATATACTGATAGATATTTGTGTTTTTTCCACTTTTTGACAATTACAAATAATGCTGTCATGAACATTTGGGTAGAAGTTTTGTGTGGACACATGTTGTCACTTCTCTTGTGTATATACCTAGCAGTGGAATTTTGGGGTAATATTGTAATTCTATGTATAGCATTTTGAGGAATTGCCACACTGTTGTCTAAAGTGGCTGTGCCCCTTTATGATTTCAGGAGTAATGTAAGAGGGTTTCAGTTTCCTCACATCCTTGCCAATGCTTGTTATTGTTTGTGTTTTATTTTAGCCATCCTAATAGGTGTGAAATGTTATTTCCTGGTTTTGTTTTGTGCTTCCTAATCACTATGATGTTGAACATCTTTCCATGTGCTTGTTGGCCATTTGTTTTCTTTGGAGAAATGTCTATTCAAATCCTTTGTCCATTTTTTTACATTGGGTTATTTGTCTTTTTATTGTTGAGTTGCAAGAGTTCTTTATGTATCCTGGATACAAATCTTTTATCAGATAAATAACTTGCAAATATTTGCTCTTATTTTCTATTTCAGTGGTTTCCAACCTTTTTGCTTCCCAGAAGACAATTTTTCCACAGATGGGGCTAGGGGTGGGGGATGGTTTCTGGATGAAACTGTGCCACCTCAGATCATCAGGCATTCGTTAGATTCTCGTAAGGAGCATGAAACCTGGATTCCTTACATGCGCAGTTCACAATAAGATTCACGCTCTGATGAGAATCTAATGCTGCTGCTGATCTGACAGGTGGTGGAGCTCAGGTGGTAATGCTCGCTCAGCTGCCACTCACCTCCTGCTGTGCAGCCCATTTCCTAACAGGCCACAAAGTACTGGTTCATGGCCCAGGGGTTGGCGATCCCTGGTCTAGTTAATTTTTTTGCCACACTTATTAGGGTTTGGATAGTATCTTTGAAGTCACCTTTTTCCTACATAAATGTCATGTCGACCAGGGAAAAAATGTCACACGCTTTTACTGAGAACCTGCTTGTTGCCAGACATTCTGTTAGGTTCCTTACACACAAAATTTACCACACTTAATTTTCGTAACAACACATGTGGTTGGTATCATCCTTCTATTTAGGGGACAGGGAACTGAGACTCCGATAATTAAGTAAGTAGTTTGCTCAAAATGAGCCAACTAGAGAGTAGCAGAATCTGCAAACAAATTCAGTTGTCCCTGCTTCCTAAATCCATTTCTTTCTCCCTTAATAGTTACGTGAGTAGGATCTGTGTCTTGAACAATCAATATGGTATTCATTGTAGTATGATTTGTGTTGGATTAATATAATTTTATTCCTGTTTCCTATCAAAAGTCTTATAAACGATTATGTATTAAGTGTCTCAAGTCTCATTCATTGGATCCATTTTCTTCCCTGCCCTCCCTCTCATTCTCTTTTCCTTCTTTGATTTTTTTCTTTCCTTCCTTTTCCTCTTGCCCTACTTTTTTTCACAGGTATTTATTTAGCCCACACTACATTGTACGTGCCTGAATAATATGATGAATAAAGCACAGTTTCATGCTTATACTCTAGCAGGGAAGGCAAACTACAAAGAAGTTCATATGGATAAACTTAACATATAATGTGACATAATTTAATACCAAAGATGATAGGAGCTATGAAGAAGAAAACAGCAAGTGAGTGAACAAAGAGTGATGGGTTTGCTGTTTGTGGTGGGGAAGGCCTGGATGAAGTGAGAAGGGAGCTACGTGACTATCTGCGGGGAGAGCACTCCAGGAAGACAGCTCCCAAGGAAGGAACATGTTTATTGTGACTGACAAATGGAAAGGACACCAGAGTGGCTCAGTCTCTTTTCTGTTTGACCAGCAAGTAGATGAGAGCTAGCTTTTGCCTGGGCATAATTTCATCTAAAGAAAGCTTCTGTGCCTCAGTCGTATCTAAAATATATTCAAACGTATCTCTGAAAAGGCATGGAAGAGAGAGCATTCACCACACAGTGCTGGTGCTGTTTACCCAGTCTCCTGCTACACCTGTAATGAAGTGATTTGTTCAGAGGAGAAGCTAAAGTGCATAGCGGCTGGAGAGGAGCTTAGGCGAGGGGCCTTGATGGCTGCTTATTAGTTGTGTAACTGTGTCTTGCTTTTTCAACTCTGAAATGGGTATGTTAGTTTGATTTGGCTGTCCTACCAAATACTACAGACTGGGTGGTTTAAACAACAGAGGTTTGTTTCCTCAAAGTTCTGGAGGATTGATGACTGAAATCAAAGTGTCAGCACAGTTGGTTTCTTCCTTTTATAAATATTTGTAAATTTATTTTTTATTCAAAAAATTTTTCCACCTCTAACTTCGTTGTGAAGACTATTTAGTACAGCAAATGTTATGGACAGTTTAAAGGATTGGGGCCAACGTTAACTGACCAAGAACAACTTCCATCTAAATCATCACAAAAAATGTTTAAATAAAGAAAGAAAAAAGTAAAAGTAAAAAAGGGGGACAACAGGAGCTTCAGGTTGAACAAGACCCTCACGTTTATCTAATACATTCAATCCTAGCTAGAGTGTAACAAAATGGAAACAGGAACACTGTAATCCTAAACTTCCATTACAGCTCATTCTTTGTACACACCTGTGAAGCCCACCCTCATTTCTCTAGTGCTCCCAACTCAATTACATCCTAGTCTGTTGGGACTGCTGACTCAGGAGCATATAGAACTCTTTAATCCTATCTTTGTTGTAAGGCTGGCATGTCTGGGTATTAGCTCGCTAAACCAGGCAGCTGAGGTCTGCCAGATCGTCCATAAAATCAAACAACTGATGATATCAGTGTGACAGAGGGGCTGTTGGGATCATTCTCTTCAGATATTCTTCATTTATTTTACAAATGCCGTCCATGCATTTGTTCAAAGATTCATAGTCAGCCTCAGTTCTGTCTTCTGGCTTTTTGGTAGGCTGTGCCAGCAAGATGGTGTGAGATCGCCCACCAAACTCTTCTCACGGTAGCTGCTGCTTACCCTGCAGCACCAGGGTTGGTTTCTTCTAAGGCTGCTCTCTTTGACTTATAGATGGCCATCTTCTCAGTGAGTCTTCACAGGGCCTTCCCTCTGTGAGTGCCTGTGTTCTAATTTCTTCTTAGAAGGAACCACTCATAATGGATTAGGGCCCATCCTAATGCCTTCATTTAACCTTAATTACCTCTTTCAAGAACATTCTTTACATACAGTCACATTCTAGGGTATTGGGGGATGAGAACTTCAACATATGAATTTTGGAGGCACAAATTTAGCCCATAACAATGGGGAAGATAATAATATCTACCCTCTAGAGTGATTTTAAAAGGGAATTGAAATAACATTTGGAAAGCCTTAAAGCGGTACCTAGCGCACGGTGAGTATGCCAAGGAACTGTGCTATATGAGGGTTATTATCCTGCTACTATCCAGTCGCACCTCGGTTGTGAGTTTGTTGAGGGCCAAAATCCAGGGATTGTATTTGTAAATTGTATTATTATTTTCAATTATTTTATTTAAAAAAAACTACCTGCCCCTAGGATAATCTTTATCTATTACAGGCACTCAGCACATGTTTGTGTAACTAAAACTTTTCATGCCTACCACATCTCTTCCAAATCACTACCATATTCTCATCTGCCAACCAACTCTGCATCACACACACCATTCCTTTTCCTCCTAACCGGATCCTGGATTCAGTCTTCAGGCATTAAACTCGCATGCTGAGCACGAATTGAGTTTCCTTTTGCAGCCACAGCATGATTCTTTTTTTTTTTTTTCTAGAGAGGTTTAGGAAGTTCGTTCACTTAAGATTTTAACAATTGCCTTACTTTTGACACATACCGATCTTGCATGTTAATCAATCTTTAAGACTTTTGTTTTCCAACTTGTTAGAACAATAACCAGCATAAATAATTTCCTTTCTGGAATTTACATTTGAGTGAAAAGAGGAAGCCCCTTTTGCCCATGAATCTAATATGGTGTTTCTGAATTTATCATCCTGAAGGATAGGTTTATTGCCTACTCAGTGTTTCACTTCTGGAGTCTTCAAACCTTCCATCATGATGCAGAATAAATTCTGGAGCAACCCTGCCTGACAACAGAGGATTGACTGCAATCGTTTGAAAGGACAGAGCTCCACAACACATTTTCTGAAATGTTTTCTTATGAAGGAAAAGCTGATAGGGAATTTGAGTTAAAGTAGACAAAACAGAACAAAACAAAACCAAAACCAAAAAACAGGTGTTAAAAGGATGTTTTAAACAGGCTGAAGTATTAAATCACCATAGAGAGCAGTCTTAGTTTACTCTGAAATCCGTTTCTATTCTTCTATTACCTTCCACATATTTTGTTTTGCTGCAAAACACAGGGAGAACTATTTACCATTAAGTTGCCCAATTAATTTTCTTTAAGGCATGTAACATTTTCTAAAGAAATCTGAAAGTACTTGTTCCACTGAAAAAAATGAGATTTATCTTCTATATCATAACTTTGCTCCCAGTGAAAAAGCCAGGATAATGAAGAACAAAATCCATTTTTGTGAAGGAAAACACTTTTATTTCATGGTATTTTTAAACATCATTTTGTCAACTCTCCATGGAATAAAGTTGACAACACCCCTTGAATATATATTTGCATGTCTTTATAGTTTTAATTTGTTATACTTTTGCTCTTCCTCTTTAAGCAACATTTTGAAAAATCTACAAAGTAATACAAACATATCTACAGTACTAGGTTGCAAATTGGAATTTGGAAGCGCTAGATCTGCTGATTTTATTTGCTATCTGACTATCACATTTGTTCTTTTTAACTGATTTATTAGGTCTGTATTCTAGAGTATATTTTATTCTGTTGCAACAGCTATTAATGAATTCTTTGATCGTGGATTTTTGTCACATACATCTGTATTGGTTCAGGGAGCCTAACCTGTTGGAACATTCTGCTGAAGAGTTTGCTTTTATATCTAGGGACATTTATCATTATCTAAGGCCAGCTGCCTGACTTCTCTTCAGTGCTCTGTTTATAGGGTTTGAACATCTATAAATGGAAACACTAGCTAACCAGAAATTATCGCTAGGGCTCTCTGATAGTGTCCTAGGCTCTCACAACTTGGAATGTCCTGCAATATCTAACATGTAAGCACGTCGAATCATTTTCTAGACAGAATCTGAACCTCTGTGTCTCTCAGTCTTTCTCTCTTTCTCATTCTCTTTCAATATGGAACTTGAAAAGCGTGAAAAAAGAAGCTTATTAAACAAGAATTTAGAGGAGAAACTGACGGTAAGACATGAGATTTAGCACACACAGATTTATAATGAAATTGACAGGGTAGTAGAGCAACTGTCATAGACTGGAAAAGTTGTGCTAGCCGGCCTCTGTTTCCATGTTTTGCTGGTCAATAACTTTAAAATTAATGAGTTCCATGGGCTTTCCTGAAAATAATGTAATAAAGTTATATATAAAATGCCATTACACAAATGAGGGCAAATTTGATTTAGTTAAATGATGTGGTTTATCGTCATTTTAAAAACTGGAATCCATTTATTTTGACCTCTCATTGTGATTGCCTCAGCACTGGAAGATTGTTTTATTTACGTATGCGAAGCTTAGCGAGTGTTCAAATCCATTTTTTCTCAGAGATACCAGGAATATATGCCAAGAAAAATAAGTATTATAGAATATATTAATGTTTTATTAAGTTTAATGAACTTCTGGTATAAGGATAAAGTTTTTTGCCATAGAAGTTATACAAGTAATTTTGCCTTGATACTAAGCAATTAAATGTCAATGATTAATATGGTGACTTACATTTGCTCAAATACAAAATAGACTATAACCTTGAGTTAAATGTGCTGTCCATGGCTCATCTGATGAGCATAGGTCACTAATTATGTTTGTAAATTTACTGTGGTTATAGAGTTAACATTGGAACAGGTCATAACTAATGTTAATATCAGCATAAATAACAAAAAGTAAGATAATATAGCCCATAATAAGACCAAATTCATGGGAATACATTGTTCTAGATGTATGAAGTTGAGGTTTATGGACTATTCAAGATATTAAAACTAGAAAAATGGAAAAAAGAACCATACTGGGTTGAAAACTCTTGAAGTGTATTAGAATTTCAAGGTCTTAAAGTAATATATTTAATAAAATACACAACCTTTTCTTAAAGGAATCAGGTCATCATTTTCAGTACCCACTTTGTACCTCTGCCCTAGGTGATTGTCCAGACATGTAATGGCCACAGAGTATTTTCCTTTCTGACTATTTGGAAAGGCCATGTGTCCTTGTAGAGCTAACCAGGGATTTTGAATCAGAAAGGGCTTGGTGAAAATTCTTGCCCACAACTACCAAATATAAGACCATGGTTTTGTTTAATCTTTCTGAGTCTCAGTTAATTCATGTGTAAGATAGGGAACAGTAATAACTAATCTGAAGGCTTTTGTGAAGAATAAAAACTATAATGTATGTGAAGTCCCTAGCCTAAGCCTATTTTTAAACTGTTTTTGGTCTGATTCACTTAAAAAGCACATGCCCAAAGTTTACTAATATGGAAAGAAAAAAGTTAAAATGCATTTAAAAGTAAAAAGGAAACCCAGATATGGTAAGCATAAAGGCTTAGTGGTCATAAAACCTTTATGAAACCAGATAGGGAGTAACTAAATACATGAATAATTGGTTGCTATGAATTAGTGTGAAATTTGACCCTGAGCTTCCTGGCAGTCTTTTACAGGAAGTTTTGCGAGTAAACAGAGGACATGGGGCAAGTGCACAAAGTGAAGATGGACTCTTCTTATTCGAAGTGATTCGATGTATTAGCATTTCACTTTCTGGAAAGTCAGACATTGTGCATGCCTGACTCTATCTTGAATACAGCTATAAATCTAGAAGTGAGCAAAAACCTTTCCTTAGAGGAAGTAGCTGTCACAAAACTCATGAACATTACTCTGTAGCAGAGGCCTAGGTCTAGCCTCAGATTGACTTCCAAAGATTGCGGGGAAATATGGCGGCACATCAGAGGCATACGAACATTCACCTGCATTGAGAAGAGAGGCTGTTCTAGGGGTGGCAGGAACACATGAAAGCCCAGTGTCTGGGGTAGTTAAGTGTACAAGCAAATAGAGTTAAGGAACCTGGCACCTTTCAGATACAGGAGTTCTGATGACACTGTTATCAAGAAAAGTTTTGCCTATGCTTAGTATTTTCTATTTAAGAGAGTTGGAAAATCTATATCTTTGAGGGTTTCCAATAAAAGTTATTTTGGCTGTTTATGTGAATAAATATCCAAAAACTTCAGTTCATCGAGCATTATGTTTCATGTTAATACCAATGTAACACAGTATGACTGGCTAGGTTGCTGAAGACAGTTGAAAAATGTATTTTTGTGGAGTTCACTATTTTCTGAAATTTATTCAATTTATTTATTATAAATAGTAAAGTTCGTAAAAGTCTGGTTTTTAAAAGAAGAAAATATTTTTTCCATTAAAATATTTAAATATGTGTACATTATAATATTGTGTTATACGTTTGTTAAAATTAAAGCTGTATCTCTCATAAGGATCTTTATTATGAACAGTGCTATAGTATGTGTCACGCACTTAAGCAATATGTATTATTGGGTTTATTTGAAAAAATTTCTAAGGTAAGATCTATAGTAAATAAGTAAGAAAGTCACCAGTCTGCAGAATTTAAAAATTCATCAGTTTATTACACACAAAGATAAAACAAGACAAAATAAGACAAAGGCAAGACACAAGTAAAACAAGATTCTTTGCTACACATCCAATATAAATCTTATCTTACCCTGGGTGAGTGAATTGCTACTTTTAAGTATTGATTTTTGCCCTGAGTTTATTGCTGTTTGCTGATTAAAAGATTGCTAGGTACTTAACCAATTCAAGGTGACTCTTTTACATCTATTAATCAATACATAATCAGAAATAAAGGAATGATATCAAATTCTTCAAAATTTCTTAAATCTACCAATGCCAAGTGAAATTTCTCATAATTTGGTTGATGTTATTCCAATATTTCAAACATGAGAAGAAAAATCAATTAACATGGACTTAAAAGGACATTTCCACCTCTTTGAAAACCATCTATTAAATCATGTGGAATATCTTAGTCATTGATTCTGCTAGATGACAATAAAGCTAATTTTTGTGGGAAATGGTAGAGAGGTGCAAGAAAGGAGGAAAGTATTTTGTAACAATATGTTTCAATTTGGTTAGTTCCACCATAATTGCTGTTGAGGTTGAATGGATCTTTTGTTTTTCCTATCATGTATTTTCTAAACTCTGTTCCTGGGAATTCTGATTTTCCAAAATGCTTCCCAAAATGTAGTTCTGGTTTGTGTTCAAGAATATTCAGAAAACACTGAGCAGGAAATGCACTATACAACACATTTCCCCTTGGAGACTCGTATCTGTATTGTAATATACTAAAGACTGTGAGGCACTCTGGAGGTTAATCCAGTGTTTCCTAAACTCGCCTATCACTGTAATATATTTTAATGTGTGTGCAATAACAGTGAATATTCTGAGGAACTAGCAGTGTTCTCTGCAACATATCTTAGGAAATGACCTGTTAGCATATGAATTTGTAGTCTGATTTTATTTTTGAGTTGCATTTTTGGAATAATGATAGACAAAGAGATACATTCAAGCTGGGTATATTTGTATCTATAACATGAAGTTACTTCTGGAATAGTTTTAAGAAATAGGTACTAGTTTCTATGTATTATGTTAAGTAAAACTAAGACAACAAATCTTGACTATTTTCCAAATGTCTTTAAGACTATAAGTGCATCAACAAAGAGTATTACTTATATTTACCTTCTACTGAAATTTCATAATGAAAAGGAAAAAAAAATCATTTATTACTATAGTAAAAATGATCATGTACCTCAGGGCATTCTGATAAATAATGGTTTCTTTAAGAGATTATAAGAAGAAACAGATCTCATGCATAAATTTAATAATTTCTATTGTATTAACATAATATGTCTCAAGACAATTTTATCTTCTCAAATAATGAATGTTCAGTAATATTACAAAAATAATGATAATGGCCGGGCGCGGTGGCTCATGCCTGTAATCCCAGCACTTTAGGAGGCCGAGGTGGGCGGATCACGAGGTCAGGAGATCCAGACTATCCTGGCTAACACGGTGAAACACCATCTCTACTAAAAATACAAAAAATTAGCCGGGCGTGGTGGCAGGCACCTGTAGTCCCAGCTGCTCGGGAGGCTGAGGCAGGAGAATGGCGTGAACCCGGGAGGCAGAGCTTGCAGTGAGCTGAGATTGCGCCACTGCACTCCAGCCTGGGCGACAGAGCGAGACTCCATCTCAAAAAATAATAATAATAATAATAATAATAATGATAACAAGAAGAGTATATGATTCAACTTATTTTATATTGAGACTTGGTACAATCAAATCAACACAGTGGTCAATTTCTAAATGCCATAAATATTGCTACCTTGAGTAAAAAAGCAACTCTTTGAGATTGAGAAAGAAAACAGGTCATCTGACATTAGTTTTCTTTAACAGCATATATCTAATATAAGGAGCTGAACAATTATATTTTAAATAATTTAAATTTTACTTTTTGTATTTAAAAATTTGATATATTTTGAATTTGAGAGCGAAAGACTTATCCAATGATATGTAAATTTACTTATGATCTCATAATAACATTCTTCTTGATTTCAGAAAAAGGAGTTCATACCATTTATTTATTTTTTATTTAATTAATTAATTTATTTTTTGAGACTGAGTTTCACTCTTGTCGCCCAGCCTGGAGTGCAGTGGTGCGATCTCGGCTCACTGCAACCTCCGCCTCCCGAGTTCAAGCGATTCTCCTGCCTCAGCTTCCCGGGTAGCTGGGACTACAGGCGTGCACCACCATGCCTGGCTAATTTTTGTATTTTTAGTAGAGACTGGGTTTCTCCACGTTAGCCAAGCTGGTCTCAAATTCCTGACCTCAGGTGATCCACCCGCCTCAGCCTCCCAAAGTGATAGGATTACAGGCGAGAGCCACTGTGCCTGGCCCATACCACTTATTTTTAAATACAGCAAAAGAGAAAAGAAATGGAAAACAAACAAACAAACTGTTGTTAAAATGTAAAGCTACAAAGAATTTTAGAATTCTGTGATAATTCAGTGAAGGATAGCTCTTTAAATAAGGTTAATTAAATTATTTATTTATTTTGAATTCGAGTTTCACTCTTGTTGCCCAAGCTGGAGTGCAATGGTGCAATCTCGGCTCACTGCAACCTCCGCCTCCTGGGTTCAAGCGATTCTGCTGCTTCAGCCTTCTCAGCAGCTGGGATTACAGGCATGGGCCACCATGCCCAGCTAATTTTGTATTTTTAGTAGAGATGGGGTTTCACCATATTGGTCAGGCTAGTTTCGAACTCCTGACCTCAGGTAATTCGCCCACCTTAGCCTCCCAAAGTGTTGGGATTACAGGTGTGAGCCACCATGCCCAGCCTAAATTATTTATTAATTCATAGCTTCATTAATACAAATAAAATTAATTACTTTCTAAGAAGAAATCTGTTAATAAACAAAAAACATGAGATTCGTGCTTGGTTCTAATTCCTCATATCATTATCTGATGACAGGTCTGGGTGTTGTTGGTGAGTGTCTTCAGAGATGCAACCTAGTGCCTATTGGATGACAATGTACTCAGAAAAAACAAAACAGACTTTCAAATCAGTATACATCACTAGACACTTATTTTGAATAAGACAGAGTACTAAGGGCTGCAGTGGGAACATACATAATAAAGTCCTAGCCCTCAAGGCAATTATTACGCTTTGATTATTTTTAAGTACATTATGATATAATAATGATAGGTTTTAGCCGCTCAGAAACATTCTAAGTGTACAAACCATTGACACCTCAGTTTCTCACATGGACCTGTGGTAGCAAGTCTATAATTATTCTTCAGAATGTCTTAACAATGGGAATGATTGTAAAGCATTTTATGCTGTAACATGGTAACATGATTATTATTATTATTATTATTTTTGGAGATGGAGTCTCACTCTGTCGCCCAGGCTGGAGTGTAGTGGCATGATCTCGGCTCACTGCAACCTCTGCCTCCCGGGTTCAAGCAATTATCCTGCCTCAGTCTCCCGAGTAGCTGGGACCACAGGCACATGCTGCCATGCCCAGCTAATTTTTTTTTTTTTTTTTGTATTTTAGTAGAGACAGGGTTTCACTCTGTTGCCCAGGCTAGTCTCGAACTCCTGGGCTCAGGCACTCTGCCCGCCTCGGCCTCTCAAAGTGCTAGAATTACAGGCGTGAGCCGTTGCGCCCGGCCTGTAACATGTTTTATTCTGCCATAATATCTACTTATATATTTATTTCTCTTTCTAATTGTGTCTAACTAGAGTCATTGGTAACAGGCACTCACTCAGAAGGCCCTGACATGCCCCAAAACAAGTCATCTATTCTGCCAATGTTTCTGATGTGTTATCTAGATATTACTTTCCGTATGGCTTGAATGTTGCTTCTGATCTATATGTTATTCCTTACAAGGCAACTTCACATAATAAAATAAGTAATAAATGCAAATTAAATTTAATAAGTAGGAAATCTCTGGCGGTAAGGTACTGGATGTATGTATCTTTATACCACAATTGGTTGCATTCATTCTTAATAAACTAATTTTGGTGATGACCTAAATGAAGGAAAGAAAGATAAAAACATGCAAACGATGATATTTTATTTTTTTGGCATTACATCATTTATTTTGGAAACCTCCTTCCTTGTCTCTGCTACTCATAAGAGTAGCAATGACTCTTGCTGTGTTTTGGATTCAACTGATAAAGTTGCCTTAGATGTTCCTTTTGTCTGAGGGACAATTTTGATGGTAGAGGATGTGAGTGAGTTGCTTTGCCCCCATACGTTAACTCCCCTAAGCTGCCGGCTCATGTTTGATTTTATTGGTGACATTGTCATGGGCCATGGTAGGCACTTCAGCATCTTTAAGACTGCAGCTGCCCTCCCTAAGGTATTTGTGTTGCTTACTGTGCATTCTACGTCTCCACTTGGCACATCGCCCACAATGGCCCATTCATCATTGGTATATTTTAAATTTATTATCCACTTTTCTCCAGAGATAGCATCCAGAGTTGACATCTAAAATACCCTGTGGAAATAATTATTTTCATAAAACAGATGGGTGGTAGAGACCAAAATTTCATGTTAAGTTTCTCAGTAAGCATCCGTCAGCTGGAAGGCAACTGGAGGGAATTCGGAACCAGGATTCTCTGAGTTTCTGAACAGTGTGTCACTCCTGAATTTTTAGTAAAATTAATTAATTTTTCCCTTTCTTAGGGAGGTAAGACATTTCCGAGATGTCAATAAGAGGATTATATGGTTGATCTCTCTGCATCAGATATTAGAGATTTGATGATTAGGATAATGTTCTCCAAATAACTGAGACAACCCTTAAGCATTATGAGTAATTAAAAAATTCTGGTCTTACCCCAGGTGAAGTATAGTAGTAAATAGTAACCGTGAATCCTGATCATTTGGCAGACCAAAGTGAAAAACTAAGTAGTTGAAAAACTTAAATCTCTTTTGAATAAGAAATAATTCCATCTTAATTTCTTTCTGGCCTCTTCTCCTTTGAGCCAATAACAAAAATTTAAAAATTGCAAAAGAATCTATAGCAAGAAATTTTAAAAAGAGAGAGGAAAGGAAATATGCTATGATAGTGGTGGACCATGAGGATCATTGGGAAATTGCTAAGCAGTGAGAATTAAAGTCCTAATGTGCATAATGGCAAAATGAGGAGAGACTGGAAAAATGAAAAAGCGAGTGTGTACAGGTGTTTAATTCACATACCTATGAAAATCTAAATGAAGAACCTGTGTCTTCAGTGTGTGTGTGTGTGTGTGTGTGTGTGTTGATGGTGACAAGGATTCTTATTCCAAAGAGGTTTTCTATCTCTCCCTAAGTGCCAACTAGTATGGTGAGGAGCATGTTAGATCTGATTCCAGGAGACTGGTAGGTAATACAGTTAAAGTTGTGCTTGTATGGCTTTGACAAATCACTTAACCTTTGGCTTCTTTATCTACAAAGTGAAAGGTTGGATTGGATTTGAAAATATTGCTATGCTCTTCATTATTTTATACATCTATCAAAAGTGCTCTCTGGCTGTGGATTTATTAAATTCTTTCCATACCAAATGATGCCTATTTATTCAAACATTAGGAATCTTGAAATAGTTTCTATTTTTATATTATCACTGATCAAATGTAAAACAGAAGTCCTTGTTATTAGATGAAACCTTCCTTTTAGAATAGAAAGTTCACAGTTCAGTACTGATCAATTAAATTGCATAGTTTTCTATGTTTTCACTGAGAAATAACAAAGATTCAGGAATTGGATCATGGGTAAATATTGTGAAATAGATGAAAAAAGTAGCATGTAAGTGCCTTAATGTTTGTATTGAAATGCCCAAAATAAAGCATTATATTTTCTCACACTTAACCTAAAATAAAGTGGATGCTATGTTTTTATTTGGAATAAAAAAAATACACACACACACACACACACACACACACACACACACACACACACACATATATACATAAAATCTGTGTGTTAAATGTTATTTTAAAAATGGTTTCTTTTATTCATTCTCTTTCTGTCATTCCTACCACTCCCTGCAACGTACCTGACACAGATATCTTAGTTCCTTTGCAACCTTAATTTTAGCCCCTCTGCATCACTGGTGGTTGAGGAAAAAGTGGACGCACAAGTATTGCCAAACTCTAGCCACCATTTTCATTTTCTTTCTTACATTAAGGAAAATGAGGGCTGTATCTATTGGAACCCAGGGAGGGGAGCTGAGAGTTGAAAAGTGAAACTGATAAGGATCCAGATTTCTACTTTATGGTTCAAATCAAGTTCTCGAAGCCATCCAGCCCTTTGAAAACCACTGCTAATTAAAGCAGTGTCTGCTGATAATGTAAGTCTGAGACTCACTGTTTGAATGGATCTTTTGATATAGCTCTGTGTGATGGCGAATAACAGAAAGGAGATAGATGGATTGCAGGCTTTAACCGAGCTGTGCTTTCACAGTGACATATATAGCATACTGTACGTGTGGCGAAATATTTTCTAGGTTCTCATTGTGAGAATTACAATTATATATCTAGTTGTTCTGTCTCAAGTACAGCTCCCCTAAGGGAATGACAAATAGACTGTGGTATTAGTGATGGAATTGTATTAGAGAATCATTTGCTTTATTTTGCTACATGACCTTCATGAAAATAAGGAGATGATTTTTAAAAAAATGGTTAGAGGATGTTTGTAGTTCAATTGCTGGTCTTTTGTTATTATTTATAACCTAAAAATTTCTCAAGGGTCCTTTTATTAATTTTCTTCTCAGTTAATGGGTATTTTCTTGCATGGGTAGCTTCTGGGAAGACACCCCCCTCCACCCCCAGCTTGGTCTTCAAAATAGGCCTAGTACCCTTATAGCTGTCAGAGCGTAGCAATTTAGAGACCACCTCGTGATTTTAAATACCAACTTGATGACATTCGTCTTAGGAGCAGTTGAGAGAGCTCATAGGATTGCTTTCCTGAACCTGTTATAATTTCTCTGGGGATATCATGTCATAGTGGGAGGCTGAAGGAAGAAAATGTTAGCATAAATTAATACACTTATCACAGAGAGTGGGGCATTAACTTAGAATGTGAAGGAAATATATGGGAAATAAAACCTTTTTTCATCCCTATTTTGTTTTTCCACTTGAACTCAGCTTTCAGTTTTGGAATTCTGGCATGTTTTGTTGTGCCACTTGCTTCTGCTTATTCATTCATTCAGCCCAGCAATCCTTTGCCTACAGCTTGTAGACCTCCTGCCTGCTGGTCCATCTTTGCATGGGGTGGGGAAGGAAAAGAAAGAGCTGGTTTTAGAGGCTTTCAATGAATCTCCTTCTTTTCAGCCCTTCTTTACAGTCATGCCTTTGCCTTTGTGGAATTTGTCTTCCTTGACTCTGGCACCCTCCAGGGTTTGCAAAGTCATTTATACTAAGGTCTCTTCTTGGCAGCTCATCTTCATCTGGCTGTCTACCTCTATCTCCTTTTCATCTTCCAGAAATTTGCAATGTGCTTTTTCACACTGATTTTTCTCTTTGCCAGGTCTCTTATTTTTGTGGGTTTATGGTTTAACATTCCTTTACTCTCATTTTAATAGTGTCCAGAGAAGAATATAAAATGAACATGTGTGTTCCATTAGTGATCTTGACCCAGAAGCCCCTCAATTTATTTTAAAAGCTTGCTCTCAATGCTGTATTTGTGTTCGAAAATCATTTCAATAAATGATGGGTGCTATGGAACATCTTTATTCTTTTTTTGAGGGATGCTACGGTCTGGATGTGTCCTCCAACATTCAGATGTTGGAATTTAATAATCAACTGATAGTATGAAGAGGTGGGGCTTTTAAGAGGTGATGAAGCTGTGAGGTTGGAGTCCTAGTGGATGAGAGTAGTGCCCTTCTAGCAGGGCTTGAGGGAATGAGTTCATTCTCTTCTGCTCTTCTGCCATGTGAGGACACAGTGTTCCTCCCTTTTTTGCCTTCTGTCCCTTCCACCATGTGAGGATGCCTAGAAGACACCATCAATGAGAAATGAGCCTTTACCAGACACAGAACCTGCTGGCACCCTGATCTTGGGCTTCCCGGAGTATATTTCTGTTCTTCATAAATTATCCAGTCTCAGATATTTTGTTATAGCGGCAAAAATGGACCAAGACTAAAGATTCAAATACATTTTAAACCCAGCAACTTTTTTTTTCTGTTCAGGGTATCATACTATATACTATGTGAAATCATTGCATAAGTTATGTTATTTGGCATGCCAGAAATTTTGATCATATAACCAAAATTATGTCATTTCTAAAAGCTTGAAAATTTCAGCTTGTATAACGGGTTATAATCTTTACTCTTTTTCTTAGCATAAGAAAATCATTTGCCATAGTGGTTTTGGTGGTTAAATGCTGGGATGCGGTGGTAAGAATCAAATCTGGGCTCCTATGTGCTTAACCTAAATGAGCCACCATTTTCTCATGTGTATAATGGGCTATGACTTGCCTCACAGAGCTGTCAGATGAACTAAATGTAAGCACTCAATAAGTGGTATGGTAGCCATTAGAGAAATGAGAATCACAGTGGTATACAAATTACTTCTTGTGTCTGGAGAAACCCTGGACTTGTGATTGGGGATTGTTTTCTTCAGAAAAAAACCACATATGATTTCAAGCAACTATCAGACCAGAGACAATGCTTACTTTCCCACTAGGAAGTGTGCCTTGAAAATTTTATTAACTTTTAATTGTATTTTTGTTCTGTGAAGTGACAAAGTTTCAAAAACAAGAATGTTTAAAAGATCCTGCCTATTCTGAAAGATGTTATGTCCTAATCTCAGTGGAGAATAATTATATTACAAGAATGCAAGCATTACATAGAGGTAAAAATAAATGCTAAATTGTGAGGTACAAATAATTAGGACTATACCTAATATGTGCTTCATAGAATTAATTTAAAAATCCCCAAAGCTGCTAGATTTGTCAAGTTGGGACATTTGTAGGAGGTAAAGAATATAGGTAAGAAGAAGGAGAGTTAGGGAAGGAGTCCTGGTACATGCGTGTGTGCACAGAATGTTCAAAAGAAGAACATAAGTACACGATTGACAGCACAATCTGATTCAATACATTTTAAACACAGCAACTATTTTTTTTTTTCTGTTCAGGGTATCATACTATATGCCTCTTACCTTCATCTGGCATTTTTATTCCTTGCACGTAAGATATTTTCCTAGGAAAGCAACACTTCCAATAATTAATTAATTTTTTTACTTAAGAATTTTTCTAAAAAATATGCAGTCTCATCTGCAGACAGGACTATAAATTGCTACCATTTTTCTGGAGTATAATATGTATGGAGACCTTAATTATTTACCTACCTACAGGCCAGATAATTTTACTCCAGACATTTATATGAAGCAAAGAAATATACAAATATTTAGTTTAATGATGTTTATTGCAATATTGTTTATAAAAGTAAAAATAGTGGACACAGTAGGGGAATTAGTTACTAATCTATGATAACATGATACAAGGAAATGTAAAGGCCTTGGTATAGTGGACAGTATTTTCCTTTTTTCCACAAAAGTACAGATGTTATGCAAAGTGGAATGCTTCTTTTATAGATCATGCATGTTGACAGAACATTAACATGTAAATCAGTGAATATATTTGTGCAGCCCTATTAGCCAAACCCTAGAATCTTAACAACCCAAATAAAGGCAACAATATTATGGGTTAAACTGTATTTTTCAGTTTTACTAAGATTTCAAATAGCTCAGAGTAATTTTTTTTTGTAAAAAAATTGTACTGTAACCTCACATTTTTATTATCTTGCTGACTCAATGAGATTGTGTCAGAGAGGAATGCAAGGCCATCTGATTTTGGTGCTTTACTCCTTATCCGAGAGCAGATTTATGGAAGCCTTGAGTGCTTACATCCTTCTGCCTGTACCACCTTGGCTACCAGCAGACTGCAGGCTCCTCAAGGTCAGGAACTCTATGTTCTTGGCACCTTGTAAGCCTGATACGTGGAAAGTGGTACTCAAACCTTGTTTGAACTGTCTAGGATGGGTTTTACATGTCTGAGTGTGTGTGCGTGTGTGTGCACATGTGTGTGCATGCGCTTTATCCGATTTGTTATGACGGGGATCCCAAGCTAAGTCTAAATTAAATTTACCTTGATATTCAGCCACATCTGGAGAGCTGGTGGTTTGGCACTTTCACAGACCGTTTTCAAGAGACAATGAAGAGCTTTTCAGGAAGGGACTTGTCCTGAGGGAAGAGACAGATGAGATATGGTTTTTGTTCATGGAAAATGAGAGACCCTGAGCATGGCCGACTGCCTCCACCTTCTGATTGACCTCCAACTTAACCTCATCAGTCATGCTGAGTAAAAAATTTTCCATGAAATCTTTGTGTGATATACAAAGCACTAAATGCTGGCATGCTTGTTGCTGGCAGATTACCCCCTATAGTGTGGCCATCAGTAGGCAGCTATGGCATTGGTGGCAGAATTGCAGATTTTGTCATTGGAAAAGCATCACCAGAGTGTGACAGGAGGAGAATGGCAGTCTCCCGTCACTTAGCCAAAGTGCTAGTTCACAGAGCAATGACAGAATTATGGAGACTATGGAACTTTCTGAGAGTAGGTGAAAGTGGAACAGGAGAGTTCTATTTTTTTCATGCTATGTTTGATGATTAATTTGGCCTCATTTTTTGCCTCAAGAATAACCCAGTAAAACTCAATGAGAGGTTATATTTACAATTCCCTTGTGAAAATTAAGTAATATAAAAATGGTTTTTAGTATCTATTAGATATTTTCAGATATCATGAAATTCTTTACCACTGGCAGTTATGATTACAGAGATACTTATGAAATCAATAAAAATTGGGTTATCCTTTGAAAATTTTCATATTTATTTTGAAGGAATTTATATTTTGCTTACATTTTTATTCTTATTCTACCAAAATCCTGTGCTGAGGGGTAGCTTCTCCTCCATCACAGCCTGCAATAACAACCATACACAATAATGATGAGGTAGGGCAGAGTACTTCTGAATATCTGGAACTTTTGTGCATTTGGTTTGGGTTTGTTTTTATAATACTCAAGAAGTAAAAGGGATTTTATTTATTTTATTTTTTTGAGACAGTCTTACTCTGTCGCCCAGGCTGGAGTGCAGTGGTGCAATTTTGGCCCACTGCAACCCCTGCCTCTTGGGTTTAAGAGATCCTCCTGCCTCAGCCTCCTGAGTAGCTGGGACTAGAGGTGTGCACCATCATGCCTGGCCAATTTTTGTATTTTTAGTAGAGACAGGGTTTTGCCATGTTGGCTAGGCTGGTCTTCAACTCCTGGCCTCAAGTGATTTACCCACCTTGGCCTCCCAAAGAGGGATCATTTTTTGGTTTCCCATGTGTTTAAAGTTGTAGGTACAATTTTAGATTGGTATCTATCAATAATTGTGAGAAGGAATAAGCTGTCTGTCATTCTGAAAAGAAGCATGCTGCCATTTTTCTTATTACTCAGATTGTATTGATGTCTTACCATTAATAATAGGACAACTATTGATGTTTTGATCCAGTAGTCTAAATATTTCAGGACATTACTTTTACAAAACATCTTTAATTAAATTTTTTAATGTAACATCAGAATTGAAAACCAAATCCCTGTTGATTGATAGTTTAAGATAAACTGAGTAATCTTGCCTGATGATGATCATGATATAGATAATAGGCAGAACACGTTCCATGTTCTAAGAAATAGGTAAAGTACTTTGCGATCATCACCACGAATCTTGGAGGTAGTTGCTATTTTCCCATTTTGCAGTTGGAGGAACTAATTTTTTTTTTTTTTTTTGAGATGGAGTCTCGCTCTGTTGCCCAGGTTGGAGTGCAATGGCGCAGTCTCAGCTCACTGCAACCTCCGCCTCCCGGGTTCAAGTGATTCTCTTGCCTCAGCCTCCAGAGTAGCTGGGAATACAGGCGTGTGCCATCTTGCTTGGCTAATTTTTGTATTTTTAGTAGAGACAGGATTTCACAATGTTGGACAGGCTGGTCTTGAACTCCTGGCTTCGTAATCCACCCGCCTTGGTCTCCTAAAGTGCTGGGATTACAGGTGTGAGCCACCACGCCCGGGTGGAACTAAGTCTTAAGTCAGTGGCCCAGGACACATAGCAAGCCAGTGGAAGAGTTGGCCTCAGGACAGCCTGAATCCAGGTCTACTCTCCTAACCCTCACCTATATCCCTCTCATGACAGGCCCAGAACCTCAGCTCCCCATCACCCCTTTATGATGATTTCCTATTCTCCTCAGAGGAAATACATACTTTGTATTTACCCCAATGTGTAATAAACAAATAGTCAAAGATGACATTTACCTCATGAGGTCATTATTATTCTTCATTCTTGAAAAATTGGACTAATGTTTAGGCATCATGGAATGGAATAAAATCTTACTACTATAGACTCTAAGTAAGTAATAGTACTTTAACATTCTTCTAAATTTACCTAACATCTTGTTAATAACATTACTTAACAACTTGTTAAAACAATTTCTCTTTAAAGAGGGAAATATATTTGGATTACACGTTAAAATGTCACTAGAAATGTAATTAGATAGGTGATAACTTTTATATCACATATACAAAGCTGTCTTGCCAAAATTTTGACTACTTTTTGGGGACCTACTTTGTTGGTCAACTATTATTGTCTTGTCTTGATTGCAAACGAAAAACGAACCAAAAAGAAAATATCTAACATAATTTCTCTTCAATTAATGTTAAATAATTCTTTCAGATTTCTATGTTAGTGTGTAAACCTAGGATACATGAAACCCCTGATAATCACTAATCTGCTCTTCATCTATATTCATCAACAATGTCATTAGCAAATATAATTATATTATTTCACTAACACTAAATAAATGAAATTTTGCAGTGCAGTCATGTGCTGTATGATGATGTTTTGGTCAATGATGAACTGCATATATGATGGTGGTCATATAAGATTATAATGGAGCTGACAAATTCCTGTTGCCTAGTGGCATCTTAATGATCCTGCTCCTCCTGCGTAGGCCTAAGCTAATGTGTGTGTTTTTCACTTAGTTTATAATAAAAGCATTTAAAAAGTTAAAAAACATTAAAAATAGAAAAAAGCTTATAGACTAAGGATAAGAAGAAAATACTTTTTGTATAGCTGTACAATGTATCTGTTTTAAGCTAAGTATTATTACAAAAGTCAAAAAGTTAAAAAAATGTAAAAAGTACATAAAGTAAAAAAATTAAAGTAAGCTAAGATTAATTTATTATTGAAGAAAAAATATTTTTATGTATTTAGTGTAGCTTAAGTGCACAGTGTTTATAAAGTCTACAGTAGTGTAGAGTAATGTCCTAGGCCATCATCCTCATTCTTCACTCACTCACTGACCCACCCAGAGCAACTTCCAGTCCGGTAAGCTCTATTCATGGTAAATGCCCTATACAGGTGTGCCATTTTTTATCTTTTATACTATATTTTTACTGTACCTTTTCTATGTTTAGATACACAAATATATACCATTGTGTTACAGTTGCCTATAGTATTCAGTACAGTTACATGTTGTACAGGTTTGTAGCCTAGGAGAAACAGTCTATACCATATAGCCCAGATATGGCCGTATACTATAACCTACTGCTAGGTGTGGTAGATTATACCATCTCAGTTTGTGTAAGTTTACTCCATGAGGTTTACACAATGACAAAATTGCCAAGGACTCATTTCTTAGAATGAATCTCTGTCATTAAGCGATGCCTGACTGTATACAAGCATTTTTGGCTTTTTTTGACTTAGCATCACTTCCTTAAAGTTAGTCCAAGTTGTGAGGATCCACAGTTTCTTTTTGTTTCTGAGTATTATTCCATGTTATAGCTCCAGCTATATCACAGTTTAATGATTTGTCCAGTGAGGAATATTTGTGTGGTTTCCAATGTTTAGCTATTATAAATAAAGCTGGCACAAATATTTGTGTATATATTTCTGTGTAAAAATGGGTTTTCATTTCTCTGGGATAAATGCTAAAAGTGTAACTGCTGAGACATATGGTAAGTCCATTTTTTTTTAGTTTTAAAGGGAATTGTCAAATTATTTTTCTGAGTAGCTGTACCATTTTACATTCCTATCAGCAATGTATGAGTGTCACAGTTTCTCTATGTCCTCACCAGCATTTGGTATTATTATTTTTTGTTTTAGCTATTTTAATAGGTGTGTGGTGGTATCTTATCATGGTTTTAATTTATATTCCCTTGATTGTTAGGGTGTTGAACATCTTTTCATGTACTTATTTGCCATATGTATATCTTTTTTGGTGAAGTGTCTGTTCAGATCTTTTGCCTGGTTTTTAATTGGGGTTTTTGTTTTCTTCTTGTTAAGTTTTAAAAGTTTTTTAAAAAATATATTCTAGATGCATGTTCTTTGTTGGATATGTGGTTCGCAAATATTTTCTACCAGGTTGTAGCATGTCTTTCATCCTCTTAACAGAATATTTTGCAGAGCAAAGATTTTAATTTCTCAGAGGTCCAGTTTACCATTTTTTTTCTTTTACAGATCATGCTTTTGGTATCAAGTATAAGAACTCTTCACTGAGTCCTAGGTCTTGAAGATATTCTCCTAATTTTTAAAGCTTTATTGCTTGTCATTGTATATTTAAGTCTATGATCCAGAATCCTCATCTATGAAATGAAGATAATAATACTACCCATGTCAAAGGGTTATTATTAGAAATAACATGTGCAAAAGTCTTGACAGTTTATTTTCCTGTGATTTTAGTTAGTCACCACTGTTTTTTTTTTTTTTTTTAAATCTCCTTAAGCTCATAAGCAACTTCAGCAAAGTCTCAGGATACAAAATCAATGTGCAAAAATCACAAGCATTCCTATACACCAATAACAGACAAATAGAGAGCCAAATCATGAGTGAACTCCCAGTCACCAGTGTATTAATGGGAAAAATATTGGGCTAATTGACTTGTATTTGTAGAGTAGTCTAAGCTGCTGTTATAAGTTTACCCAAATATATTGATAACTTAGCAGAAAACTATTGTTCTTTCACACAATAGCTCTGGAATGGCTGTTCCCAAAAAGATCAGCAATAATGAGTGTTAATGAGAATCAAAAAAGACCAACGATAAGTGTTGTAGACAATGTGGCAAAAGGAAACTTTTGTACATTTCTGGTGGGAATATGAATTGGTACAATCAATATGAAAAACAATATGGAGGTTCCTAAAAAAATGAAAAATAGAACTACTATATGACCCAGCAATCCCACTTCTGGGTATATATCCAAAGGAAATGAAATCAGTAGGTCAAAGAGATACCTGCATTCCATGTTCATTGTGACATTATTCACAATAGCCAAGATATGGAAGGTTCCAGGCTGGCTGTGGCATGGGAAATGAGAGAAGTTGGGTCTCTGATATGTTTTTCTGAGTAACTACCAAGTGGAAGTTAATACTTCATAACTGGGGTGTTGGGATTAGGGGAGAAACACATATACCTTCTTGGGAACTTGTGGACAATGGCAGGACTTAAAAATATTCTTGCAGTATTACCCTTTGAGAAATACAGTAGATGTTTGTGATATTTATGAATCTTGTCCTTGGTCCACACATGGGACTATGACTAGTCAGAGTTTGGGCAGTCAGAAGGGGTCTCTAACCATTTGTATTGCTTTTTTACATGTCGTGCTGATTTTATCTTCTTTGGTGGATACTTCTATGTAAACTCTGTGAAGGATTGGTGACAATGCTTACAGTGTCTCTACAACCCTAAGAAGACAGGGGTACATCGTACAGCTGCAGCTCTGCATGCATCAATTCACATATTTGGTATCTGAACTCTTGCTAATCTTCTATGGCTTTCCTGGACTAACTCTGTAATCCAGCACAATCAAATAAGTCCATATATGGGATTGCTTCTCAAAGGATGTTTATAAGACACCAAAACTGAGTAGATGCTTGTGTGTCAGTGTGTATGTGTGTTAGTGTGTGTGTGTGATAGAGAGGGAGAAAGAGAGAGAGAGACAGGGAGAGAGAATGAGATCTAAAGCCTGTGAAAGAGGCTTAATAGATGTCTCCAAACAGTAACACTGTTCTCCATCATGGTTTTCAGTAAAGGCATTGCTGTTGTGAAATGATGTCTAAGGGGAGGAGTAGTCTGCTAGTCTTTGGGAGGTGTTTGTAAATTTGCAGAAGTTTATCAGATTTGTTGAGAAAGCAAAGGTCAGCAGCCTAGGGTTACATTTTGACAGGAGAATGATTATTCTAGAAAAGAGATACATGAGTCCTCACAGGAGAGGATAGTGAGTAATGGTAAAAACAAAGTTACCAGTGCTGAGTGCTTAAGGCATCATATTGGATTCAAACAATTAATTCCAGTTCTGATGCCCTCCAGTTGTGGGGTTGTCTTTGGCAATTTCTCCTCAGTGAACCTGAAATTTGTTAGTGTATTGTAATCTCAGTATTGTTAATAATATCTACTGATGATATTTTTGTGATTTAATATGAGATTAAATAACAAAATCGTCTAGATCAATATATATGCAGTTCAGAAAATATTTATTCACACCTCACCTCACTCCTTAATGCACTCAGTGTTTTACCACGGGTAGGATCAGGTCCTAACATGTGGTATGAGTACCCATAAAAAGATCCTGAGTAAGGGGACATACTAGACTATTCAGTATGCCCTCTGATAACTAATCCATCAGTAGATATTTGTTCTTTGATATGACTTTGGCATAAATTAAGGTTGTTAGTTTCACAGTGAGGTTTCCCCTTATGTTTGATCAGAAGGCCTGAAACTTCTTGAAAAGAGATTTTTAAGACTGGGAAAGCAAATCTCAGAAGCACCTTGTTCATTCCTGAGGTTCTCTAGGAGGCTGATGTCAAAAATGGTTTGGATTAGTGTTTGTCTGTGACGAGGTTTTACTCACTCGAGTAAATGAGGAGAATAAGAACAATTGTAATTTCTTTAATAGAATAATTTATGTTTATTCAATTTATTAAAAACTCTGTTCTTTATAAGAATAATTGTAATTTCTTTACTAGAATAATTTATGTTTATTCAATTTATTAAAAGCTCTGTTCTTTTGAGATTATATCATTCCTCATTTTTTTGGCTTTAAGATTTTTTCTTTATATTTATGAAGTTTTGATGATTCCTTAAAAAACAATTACTGATCCTTGAAGTCCAAATGTCTAGAAAACCATTCTTTCTGACACTTTGCTCTCTGCTTTCAGATGTCCTTAAAAAGTCTCCTGAACTTTTGTTTTCATTACCAATCTCTAATTTCTTAGCATGTATTATATATCGCTTTCTTTTGTTTCTTTTTGGAATCTAATTTTCTTATCCAGCAAACAAATCAGTTTTTATTACATAAAATAACTCAAATTAAAATTGTTTTCTATTTTATCACATGTGTAAGTAACCACATTTACTTTTCATATAACGAAATTAGATTGAAAACTAGCAAAAATTTTGAGCACATTCTCGCCAAAGACATCATATAATTTAATAGACGTAGAGTTTACTATTGAGAAATTTTTCTCTGGTTGAACTGGGAGACACATAATCTCCACAGAAATCTATATAACCAATTTAAGTAACTTTTTAAGATTGCCATCCTTTTGATTTTTGAACAATAAAAGTTACACTAATGAAAGGTATGAGCAAAACTATACAAGATCTTTGGAAATTGGAATTTCTAGTAATTTTATGTCATGTTTTATAAAAAGTTTAAGTGATTTAAGTTTGACTTTCATCTTGGTTTCCTGGGTAATGTGCTAGAGAAAATGGAAATGTGTGATGACATTTTATGAACTTTAAATCATTCTTCTCTGAAAATCACTCTGGGAGTTGCCATTTAAAAACAAACACAAATAAAATAACTGAAGAGGAATAAGTATGTTGGATTAAAATGGGTGAATGCTACTGAAATGTATTAATGGTCAAGGCTGATCTCAAAGCCAGAACTCTCCTGTCTTTCAAAATGGAAAACACCATGCATCTTTGGCATAGTGCAAATGTGGGCAATTGTGTCTCTCAGATTTAAAGATGGAATGAATACACAGATCAGAAATTTTTGATATGGTGCTCATCTGTGAATCTGGTTTCAAATGAGCACATGAGAGCTAGCCTCATGTGTAAAACTGCACAATGTTGGTTTATTCTCTGACCTAAACAAGCAAGATATGAAAACTAAGAGCAGTGAAGTTTAAGTTTTCCCTAAGATCACTTAGTGTCTTTTGATTTTTTTAATCTGTAAAATGAAGTTGAAAAGAATAGAGGTAATGTAACATATAAAGCAAGCATCATCTATGTTGATTTCTTTGCATGTTTTCTGTGTTGTACTGAGTTGTAGGCTGAAATGTTCAGCCACGCTAAAATGTTAAACATTTTAGATCAATACCAAATAATAACTGCAGAATTCTCCACCTACAGAGAGCTAGAGAATTTAAAAATCAGAAAGTGTCTTCTCAGTAGACAGTGACTATGGCTGTGCAAACCCAATGCATTTGGCCTGAAAAAGGATTTAAGAGCACAGGTACTTGTTAACAGGACATATTTTTGTGTTGAACATTGTAGAATTATAGAGGTTGAGATATTGTCTCTCATCATTTTTGAGCACTTAATGTGCATCAGACTATTTACCTTCTTCATTAGTAATTCATTAATCTATTAAAATATCCTTTGAGCATCTACCATGTGTCAGATATTATTTTAGGTACTGAGGATACAGTAGATCACAGTCTTCATGGGACCAGCATTAAGGTGGTGGATGGTGAGAGGACTGATGATAACCCATTCAACAAATTAATAAACAAGGTAATTTCAGTTAACAATAAATAGAAAAAGAAAATAAAACAATGAAAGAGTAGAAATTTTTTGAGGTAAGAGAGTAAATGGTGACTGCTCAAGAGTCTTCAGAATGGCTAGTATTAAAAGTCAAAAATAACAGATGTTGGCAAGGCTACAGAAAAAAGGGAACACTTACACAGTGTTGATGGGAATGTAAATTAGTTCAACCACTGTGGAAAGCAGCTTGGAGATTTCTCCAAACTTAAAACAGAACTACCTTTTGACCCAGCAATCCCATTACTGGGTTTAAATGCAAAGGAAAATAGATTGCTCTACCAAAAAGACATATGCACTCATACATTCATCACAGCACTATTTCATAATAACAAATACATAGAATCAACCTAGGTGCCTATCAGTGGTGGATTAGAGAGAGCAAATGTAGTACATACATGCCATGGAATACTATGCAGCCATAAAAAAGATAGAAATCATGTCCTTTGCAGCAACATGGATGGAGCTGGAGGCCATTATCCTAATAGAATTAATGAAGAAACAGAAAACCAAATACTGCATGTTCTCACTCATAAGTGGGAAATAAAGAACAGGTACACATGGACATAAAGACAGGAATAATAAGCAGTGGGGACTACTAGAGGTGGGAGAGAGGAAGAAGGTCAAGGGCTGAAAAACTACCTGTTGTGTAATAAGCTCACTACGTGGGTGAGGGGATCAATCATACCCCAAACCTCAGCATCACAAAATGTACCCATGTAACAAACCTGCATATACACCACCTGAAGCTACGATGAAAGCTGAAATTAAAAACAAAAAATCTGTCATGGAGACAAAATATGAAATTTCAAACTGCCCTTTTTTAGTTATATCTTTCCCTACCCCCAACTCCTGGCAACCACTGATTTGTTCTCCAACACTATGGTTATATCTTTTTGGGAATGTTATAACAATATTGCTCCATGCCTCAATAGACTAATACTTTGTTTCTGTATTATTGAGTAGTATTGCATTGTATCGGTGTTCCACAGTTTGTTTAAACATTCACCCACTGAAGAACATTTAAATTGTTCATGATTTTTGGCAGTTAATAAATGAAGCTGTTATATAGTTTAGTAGGTATAGATTTTGTGTGAACATAAGCCTTCCATTTCCAGGGTAAATAACTAGGAGAGGACTTTCTGAGTCATATAAGTATATGATTAACTTTACAGAAAACTGCCAAACTGTTTTTCCAGGGTGGCCAAAATATTTTGTATTTCCACTAGCAAAGTGTGTGTGAGTTCCAGTTGGTCTACATCTCTACCCACACTTGATATTTTCAATATTTTTTATTATAGTCATCCTAATAGGCACGTGCTGGCATCTCATCATGGCTTGAACTTGCATCCCTCGTGGCCAATAATGTTGAGCATCTTTTCATGTGCAGACTTTCCATTTGTATATCATTGCTTAAGTACCTATTCAAGGATTTTTGTCATTGGCAAAGTATTTTGCTGTCGATTAGTTTAGGCCAGTGTTTTTTTCATCAGCCCACAATTGGCATTTTGGCTGGTACAATTCCTGATTATATAGGCTGTTCTATACCTTGTAGCTAATTTAGCTTCCCGGACCTCAGGCACCAAATGCTCATTATGACAACCAAAAATGTCCTCATATATGTTCACATTCCACTGGGAGGATGGTACCACTTAGTGAGAACCACTAGCTTAGAAGTTAGCATTTTTCCCTGTTGCTGGGATCAGGTCAATTTTTCCTAATTCATATAGGGTTTGTGGGGGTAGGGTGGATCCCTTAACAATATCAGGTTCTTCTACATAAGAAAGGAATAAATCTTAATCCAGAAACCAGCAGTTCCCCAAGAGTTTTACTCAACTTCTTTCCCAACAGCCTATGCAATTTTTGGCTTTTACTCACAGCCTTTCTGTGAATAAAACTGAAAAGACTCTCCCTAGATGTAATAAATGTTGTCTGGACTAAGTTTTCCTATTACCTAAAGCATCTCTTGGAATTTTCACTAGGACAGGTAGAAGAGGGATGTAGCAGTTCCTATCTGCTTTCTTCTTCTCCTGCTCTACATTCTCCTCCTCCTCATCCTCCTCTTCCTTCTCTCTCCCTCCACCTTTTTCTTCTTTGATTTTAATAGATATATTTACAGATTTATAACTGAGTTTTCAGCTTGTTTCCCTAGCAACTGATTTTAGGGTACCAAACATATTTTTTTAAAGTCATGATTCTATCACAACAGAAGGTATATCACCAGAAAGTCACAGTCTAGTTAGGATAAAATGTGAAATTATGTAAGAACATTTAGAAAACATCTGTGAAGCAGTATTCTGTGACATGAACTAAGCATGTTGAGGAAACAAAGGACAGAGGAGTTGAAGACAGAGTCTTAGAGTGAAAGGGCAGCAGATCTGGAGTCATAAGACTATCATCACCAGGGACAATATACCTAATCTCTCCCTCAGTTTCCACATGTGTAAATTAGGAATAAAGTTCCTCCTTAATAAAGCTAACATCAGTTGAGTAACGTATGTCACAATTTCTTGAAATTTGGAAATGTAGGAATCTATTCATTACTACTGCAACCACCATCATTATCATCATCGTCACTTAGTAATGAAATTTTTGCTGACATGGGAGGTAGGGAAGGAACCACGAGTAGTAAAGGAAACATAAATATAAAGGGAGATAAGTGACATCTGGGAAGATTTAGACACAGTTGTGTCTGTTTAGGATAAACTGTAGGCAAAAGTCTCAAGACTCTCAGAGATTTACTATTCATTCACTTTGAGATTTCTGCCAGCACAGCACCTCATGACACTCCTACAAACATCCTCGAACCTTCTTTAGACCCAGTGCTGCTCCCTTTTAGCAGTTAAGTCAGAGGAGTGGGAACAAGTTCTCCCAAAGAACTTGGGTATAGCCTGAGGCCGTCTTCTCCCATCTGGGACTTCTTAGATAATGTCTTCATTTTATATCAACAATGAGTGTGAATACTGTGCTTTATTCCATGATATGTTTCTATTTGTTTTAAAGTAAAAATGATGTTTTAAATGAATAAGAGCTGCTTACCTATTCCCCTTGTGGCTAGTTAAGATGTAATGAATTGAAATGATCCATCTTGAAAGGCTGACCTGAAACAAAGGAGCTAACACAGCATGTCATCTATGTAATTTCTCTTGGTGCTTGGATTTATCCTACATGTTTTCGTTCTTGCCACCCTCAACCCTCTCTAAAGAAAGCTGCTCCACCCACAGCCTGATGACTTTCGTGTTTTGTGCCAAGTATGTTCTCTACCCACTTCTGTGTAAAGCTAACTGAGCCAGAGGAATCAGCCTGCTCAGAATTAACACTGTGAATTATGTCTGGTACAGAGATAGGATGGGGCTTCTCTTATAATTAGGGAATAGGATGCCAATTAGTAACGGGAGTTGGCATGTGAAAGAAGTTGGGAGTGACATGGGGGAAACAAATCTTGATCCAGTAGTGGAAGCCCACAGTCTTAACTAATTTAAGGGAATGTCAGGTGACCAAAATGCTGAAAAGACATTACAGAAAATATGTGTCATGGTGACAGTGTGTGGAATGGATGAGAATGAGGAGAAATCAGGGAGCGAGATAGAGGTTTTCTCAGCTCAAAAGTGTGAGGTGAAGGTTGACTGGAGTGGGGTGTTGGCTGTGGAACCAAGACGAGTCAGATCTATAGGAAGCTGTGGTTTGCTACTCTATCTTAAAGTGTACCAGAAATGATGACTTTAGTGCTTCTTTATTCCTTTGCAAATAGAATACAACCCAAATTTCTCAGACTTTTTAAAAAGAACACTTATCATTTTGTTGCTGGTGCAGACTCAGTGATTCATAGCAAACACAGTAAACAGTCGGGTCATCTAAGTATTTAGTCCTTAAATTTGACAAATGTGCCAATTACCATGGTCTTTGGTTTCTGGTTCAAGAATTAAAAGCCATAATCAATTTTAAAAGCTGCCACAGTTCTTTAAGAGTGAATGGAAACAGAATGTCAAGCAGCTGTCCTCCACTGATGTGCCTTGAGTTGCCATCTCTAAGCATGATGGATTGGATGCTATTTGTGTGATGTGGCACCACATTCTTTTCCTGTATAAATCCGATTGCTGTGGCCCAAATGGGGCACTCTGTGTCCAAGATCTCTCAATACTACTTAAAACATACTCTTGAGGTTTTTGTCTTTTTGTTTTTGAAATAATGCAATGTTTAGGAAATATTTCAAGCACATAGGCCCTTGTGTATTGTTGTTCAAACACATAGGTAGGTCAAACACATGGCTGCTTTTGCCAATTTTTAGATATTTGAAAGCAATCTATTCCAGCCGTGGTAGACGTTTTTTTTTTTTTCTTCAACGTCACCTTATTTCAAAAGAAGACCTTAAGGTTTACTGTAAAACCATTACCTAATTTACTTCCACTATGAAGACTTTAGGTGGGTGTTAGGTCGGTGAAATTAATGCCACATATATTGGAAAGAAATAGCAAGGGCCGATCAATGGAAAGGACAGAGGGAACTAAGAGCTCTTGCTTGAAAATTTTATCTGAAGGTTTTTCTCTAGCACTGATGAAACATATCAGTTTGCTTTCAATTTGCAATAGGCAGAACCACAGTACAATTTCATATTGAAGTTTAATATTTGATATGTAGAAAATTCTAGATTTTTATTTAAAAATGTTATATTTACTTTAATCATAGTAATTTAAAACTTGGCTTCAAATTGTTGTTATGATATCTCTTCCTTCAGTAGAAATTCATGAGGAATGGGCCCGGCACGGTAGCTCATGCCTGAAATCCCAGCACTTAGGGAGGCCGAGGTGGGCAGTTCACTTGAGGTGAGGGGTTTGAGAACAGCCTGGCCAACATGACGAAACCTATCTCTACTAAAAATACAAAAATTACCCAGGCATGGTGGCGGGCACCTGTAATCCCAGCTACTCAGGAGGCTGAGGCAGGATAATCACTTGAACCCGGGAGGTGAAGATTGCAGTGAGCCGAAATCCGCCATTGCCCTCCAGCCTGGGCGGCAGAGTGAGACTCCTTTTCAAAAAAAAAAAAAAATTCATGAGGAATGGTGATGCACCATGCATGATCAAATTTTGAAAGTTTTACCCTTCTCAATGAACATGGTAGTGGCAAAAATGTAAATTTGATTTTCTTGTGAGTCGTCGTGACTTTTATGATGCTGGTAGACTTGTCATGAATGTTAAGTGAATAACAGCATATTCAGCAGAGACCTTGATATGGTTTGGATTTGTGTCTCCTCTTGAATCTCATGTTGAATTTTAATCCCCAGTGTTGGAAGAGGGACCTGGTGGGAGGTGACTGGATCATGGGCGTGGATTTTCCCCTTGCTGTTCTTGTGATATTGAGTTCTCACGAGATCTAGTTGTCCAAAAATGTGTAGCACCTCCCACTTTACGCTCTTCCTACTTCTCTGGCCGTGCAAAACGTAACTCCTTCCTCTTCACCTTGTGCCATGATTGTAAGTTTCCTGAGGCCTCCCCAGCTGTTTCCTGTACAACCTGTGGAACTGTGAGCCAATTAAACATCTTTTCTTTATAAATTACCCAGTCTCAGGTAGTTATTTATAGCAGTGCAAGAACGAGAACTGTGAACCAATTTAACTTATTTTCTTTATAAATTTCAGTTTCAGGAGGTTTTTACAGCAGTGCGAGAATGGACTAATACAGACCTCTAGTTTTACATTTATTTAAGGTTAGTTGTTGGTACCAGCCTCTCTCTAGGTAAGATTATTCGTGGGGAAGATAATATTTTCATTCTCCCCTTCCTTTGATCAGCCCAGCCACTGGTGGCTATATTTCCCTGAGTTCCAGTGTCTTCAGAAACATGTATCTCTTTTCCCCCAAGAGTCCATTAAAATACCCTTTCCATAAATGTTGAATAACCTAACTTATATTAACTTTAAATTTGACCAATAAAGGCTATCCTTAAAGGGATGGACATTACTTTTTTTTTTTTTGGACTGTTATTTCTAATGATAAGAAAACTCATTTTTTATTTTTATAATTTAATACATTGTCATTATAGAATATATAGAAAATAAAGTTAAAAGAAAAATGTTCCCACAATTTCATCTCTCTAAGACTTCTTCTACTACTGTTGATATATATTCTTCATATAAAGAAATGGAACTATCCTGTGTGCAAGTTTCAAACTGTATCTTTTCTTAATGTATGATGGTATTTTCTACCTTTAAACATGCTAATAAGCCATATTTAATATCTCCATGGTTTTGTATTGCACAACTGTTCCCTACATCATTTAAATAATACACTATTATTTGACATTAAGACTGTGTTAATTATTTCACTATTATAAATTGTCAGAATTAACATTCTTTTGTTGAGTTCTTCAAATACTATCATGATCACAGAAGAATAAACCCTGGCTGTGATACCTCATTGCCAATGAGCCAGGGACAGAGAAATTTCTTGTCCCTTGAAATTGTATCTAGTCATTCAGAAATTTTTCTGCTTGCTGCTGAGGATAGTCTTGATTGTCAGACCTTGCAAATTAACTAAAATTGAGCTAATTTGGCACTCACTGAGGGAGAAAAGTAATAGCAAATGGCAGAAAGTTTGGAGGTGCTTTATATTAGGTTGAAAACAAAAAAGTAAATTATCTGACCTATATACAACCCAAATAACTCTAAATTTGGAAATACAGTAATGAAACAGAGTTCACTGCACTTGAGATTAGCTGCAGAGCCTTTCACATAAAAGTTATTCATGACCAAGATATTAATGATCCTCGAATGATTTCTTTGAAGCTGTAATTCTTGGTCAGCGTCAAAGTTACGTGGTAGATGGATCAGAAACTTTGTTTGAGGCAGGTGCTGGGAAATTGAACAAAAGACATATTCAGTGAATGGAAAAAAGATGGGTGTTACAGAAACAAAATTTGTGGGTTTTGACACTTGATTGGCTACTAAGAGAGAGAGGAAGATAGAGGGATGAGTGATACAAACCTGGAGGTAAGAGGATGATTCTCCCATTTGTTGTGGAGGAGCAAGTTGTATGGATATGGGACAAATTCTGTTGCAGGCACTTAGACTGAGCTTCTGCCAATTTAATTTATTCCCAGCAGGGAACTGGAAATGCAAAATTGGAGCTAGAACAGTAAGTGCATAAAATTAATAATTTTAACTAATAAAGAGAATAAGTACCGCTTTAGAAAAAGAATGGCTACATTTGAAGGTTGAAGCAAAAAACTATGATGGCAGAGAGTAAGCAGGCAGGGAAGTAGGAGAATGCAGAGTCAAGCGGAACCCAGGAAGAATGGAACTTTGGGGACAGAAGAGGATTGAGACCTGCTGACCTATCGACGTGATGTCACTGTTGAACTTCAACTAAGCAGTTCCGCATGACTGTGGGTGTAGAAGCCAGATAATAATGAAAACTAATATCAACAAGAAGAGGCTAGAATGTGTTAAGAGTTTACTCTGTGACAGTTACTGTGCTATGCACATAGATTGCATTAAATCATTTAATCCTTACAGCAATGGCCATGAGGCAGAGATTTTCATTGTCCCCCTTTTCAATAGTCTACAGAGATGAAATATTTTTTCCAAGATCATACAATGTACTATATGTAGGGCACAAACTCAGGACTGTGCTCTTAACTTCTCTGCTGGTTTAATTAGCTATACATGTTCCAAGGAATTATATAGTAAGTGGTTGATGAGAGAGGGGGAGCAGTGCATAGGACCCCTCTTTGAGGAAGCTTAGCCCTGTAGTAAAGAAGACCATGAGAGTGTCCTGAGAAGGGAGGTGGTACTGTAGGAGAGGTATTTCTAGATTTAGGCATTGAGAGAAGAGCTGTTCCCAATGGGATGGTGATGTCTGTCAGTAGGTGGCTGAAGTACAATGGAAATAAAAGCCATTTTTGCTGAAAAGATCAGGTTCTACTTTGAGGCTAGGGTTCTGGAAAGGTTATCAGCATTCATAGTAAAGGGATAGAGAAAGGAATGAGTCTCATGAGGAGTAAGATGCTGAAATCATTATGGAAAATGGGTGATGGTCCTGTAGCCAGGCAATGACAGATACAGGGCTGGGAAGATTCAGTGCTTGGGGAGAATGTGCATTTTGAGAGAGCAGAGGTTATTCAGAGATGGCAGAGAACAGTGATTGCAAAGGGTATTGGGGGTTGAGGGGTGTTTGGGCATGCACCCAGTTTACAGTGGGCATGTGGTCATGAAGGAGCATAACTGCAACTGGCTTCGATCTACTCTATTCGAAAGATGTTTATGGGAAACAAAGCCATTGAGGGAAGGGGCAGCCATCAGTTATTGGGGAGGAGCTAAAACGAATGTTCAAGGCATAGGTTAAATATATGTTTCCCCTGAAGAGCAGAGTGGTTCCATAGGGCACAGATGAAGGCTCTGGCCTGAGCCTCTGGTGACATTATTATGTTTGAAGTATCTGTGGGTAGGAGGCTGGGAATGGACTGGTGACAGGTTTTAGTGATGGAAAGTGTAGAATGGGGAGGAGTCTTGTATTGGCTGAGTTTTAGATAATATCCCCCTTGCTGAAATTTCTAAGTAAGAGTTGAATTTTTGGTGTTTGCAACCTACTCCTCAAAATTAGGACTCAGTACTCAAGGCTGGTCTTGAGAAGAAGTCAGAGATAGAGAGAGTTGGTGGCACACTTGAGATAAAAATGCTGATGTCCTGGGTCATCTGGCTACTTTTAGACTTTCCTTGAAAGTCTATGTAGTAATGTTACAAACAAGATTTGTTTTAAAGAAAGAATAAGACATTAATGTCTTAAATGTGGATATACATAAACCTAACACTGAACCAGGGCTCTTGACCTTGGCTAATGAACTAGAATCCTCTGAGGATTTTCAGCAAATACCTAAAGCCCACAAAAGATCAGTGTAAAGCTAATCTCTGTGGGTGGGGCCCTGTTATCAATATTTAAACAATACTCCTCAGGCCTTCCAACATACAGTAATGGCTGAAAGCATCTGCTTTATATAAAGAACAGAAAAGAAGAAGCATAGCTGCATAATCTTTTTGTAAATGTGAACCTACTTGCTTGCTCACACTTCTGCTGGGTCAGTGCTCTAGTGTCATGAGTAAGTCTTGGTGTCACTTATTGCTGGTTCGTTATGAAGCTGCAGAAATACTGACACAAATGCTAGATTGATGCTGATGGTACTTGTTTTACAATCAATAGTACTCCTTCATCACCCACAAAGATAAATGTTAGGTGAAAGGAAGCAAATTGGGAAACACCCTATTTACTTGTAGTGAGAGGGTCAGGCATAATTAAGATACAGCTTTATTATGTAGAGATGCTTTCTTACCCTACAAGATGGGCTCTGTATGCTCAGCTAAACACCACTACTTACCCCCAATCTCCAATTCTAAGTCTTATCTTTAAAGCATTATTCACAATATATAAATTGAGCTCTTCCATAATTTACATCTTGCATATAATTAATAATCTAATGTAAATTGTGTTTTCAATGAAGTAATCATTAAATAGTTTTGGAATGTCACTGTGAAGTAATATCCAAAGGAAATTAAAGAGTTTAATCCCTTTCTTTGGGTTATCTAAAAATATATTGTGTAAAACTTTATTATACTAAAGTGCAACATTGTACGTACTCTGGTTGAAATGTTGGTGACAGTTTAATAATTGTCTCAGAATTAAACAACAAATTTAAGTTTGATTACATGATTTGATACATTGCAAAGTGGGTAGAGAGGGTTTTTCACATGGGAGCTCTTGTTACAGAAAAAAAGAACATCCATTCATTGATTTATTCATTTTCTTTTAAAGTAAACATCTGAAGCTCTAGTGTCTATTTAAATTCACTTCCCCTCATGTAAAGGATTAAGCCTTGTATATACCTAAGTATATACACATACATATTATTTTTACTTTATAAAAGTAATACATATTTCTGTAATAAAGGCTTAAAGCACAAATAATCAATGGAAAGAAAATGAAAACACATATAGTATTTTTTACCTTACCATCTGCCAATAACCATGACTAATGCCTTAGTATATTATCTTCTTGCTTTATACAAACACATACATGTACATGTACAGATATACACATTTGCACACCATGAATTCATTCTGCATATAGTGTTTAGTACTCTTTTTTGGGTCACAGCACATTTGAACATTATTGTTCTCATTAAATATTCTTCACAATGTTAATTTGTCTGGATAGTATTTTATGGTTTGGATATTATCCTTATTTGACAGTCTGCTGCTAGACATTTAGATTGTTTATAATTTGAGTTTTTTTGTTTTTGATTTCCATTTTTCCTAATATAATCATTGTTTGATTGCATATCTTTATAGCTAAATTCAACGTTTTTAATGATGAAACATAAAATCGTGGAAGAGAATGTTGTTTTGCCCCAGCTGGTTAAAATAGAGAAATGAGTGCAGTTTTTGTATTCTGGCAAGCTGTATGGGCATCATGGTATTATTCCCCTACACTCTGAGGTTTTGAGAATTCTGAAAGGCTATTAAAGATGGGAAGTTCTTCTCCTGATATTCTTCACCTAACACTAACTATTTTTATACGCTTATCTTTCACATGAACTCACAGGTCCATCTGTGTTTACAAAACATACTCTGAACTTTCTGTCCTCATGCTGTTTACTGCATCTGGAATGTCTTTGTCCTACAGACGTTTCCAATGCAGGCTTTTGAAATCCAACCCAACAATAAAACTAGCTCAAGGCACTTTTTCAAGAAGGTCTCCCCAAGTCCTTCAGGAGGTATTTGTTTCCATCTCTTTTGTGTTTCTTGCTCCACTTTCCCTTCTCCCCACTCTCAACCTCCTTGTTGGACCTCGAGCAGTCTACTAGTATAAATATTTGTATATTATAAATATATAAGTATTAGTATAAATATAATATTTGAAGAACTATCCTGCAGCAAGTATGTTTTAGTCATCTTTGTTTTGTTTATAATACATTGTAGAGTGCTTTTTGAGTGCTTAGAATCAATGCATTCTTTGAATTAAATTGTTTAATTTAATTTAAATATGCCACTTCAAATATTAATTTTTTCTTTTATTTTTCCTTTCAATACAAAGGCAGGGAATGGGTAGTTGTAACATCAGTGGAAAACTCAAATTTACTGATTATTACTTTAATGTTGTCTGAAAAATGTACCAAAACCCAAACGTACAAAACTCCCAAACTCAGCCTAAAGGAGACTGCTTTTTCCTCTTTACCTGTGTTTGAGACTTTCAGTGTCCCTCCCAGACCTTAATTAATCCTGATAGTCTCTATATTGTAGACAATTTTAGGGGACTATGACACATAGGAAAAAGAAAATCTGGGATTCTGATCCCAGATGTGCAAATAAAGAGCAATTTGATTGTGAGGAACACTTTATCCTCTCTGGGTCTCAGTTTCTCTAGAAAATGAGGGAACAGGAATGGAAGATCTTGATGGTCTTATCTAACCATAAAGTTTATAATTTTTGAAGACACAGTTTTTGGGCTATATAAATAAAGTTTAGAACACTTAGTACGGACTGGCATTATGGCAAGCATTTTACATGTTTCCTTTTGTTGTTTGCTGGTAACAAATACAATTCAAATTGCCTTTTAAAAATGGGAATTTATTGCTTGGTATAACTGGAAGACCAAGGGTATATGGACTTCAGGCAGTGCTGAATTCAGAAGCTAAAATGATGTAATCAGTGTCTGATTTTCTCCATCTTACTGCTGCTCTGCTTTCTCTCTTCTGACTTCTCTGTGTTGGCCTCACTCTTAGTCAGGCTCATGGATTATGATAGAAAAGATAATGGTAACAGCGTTAAGCTAGAAAATTATGGGTGAGAACGCTGACTTGCCTAGTTTAGATCACAGGTGTAGCCCTTTGCTCAATTACTGGGTCCCAGAGAAGAAATATATGATCCTCTTAGGCTCAGATGAACATCTACCTGGATGGCTATAGGACAACTATGATAAATTGGACCAGGACCAATGGCATCAGGAAAGCACATTAAACTCCTATGAAAATCATGGCACTCCTAGAGCAGAAGGAAACTTTTAAGTTCGTCTACCTGTTGTTCAACCATCTACTGAGAAAGCCTGAATTGTTTCTGCAATTCTGGTAAGGAAAGGAAAGGTTTAGATTATGTTTAATAACACTGATTTTAGAGAATTAGCATTTTTGTTTTTAGCTAAAGTTTGAAAAGACACAGGTAGAGATCTATTTTTCTTTTACACAAAATAACTGAAATGGTTCATAATTATCCACATAAAAATGGACACACATTGTCACAATTGTTTATATAGTGTCCTAACAATCCCTGAGTTATAATAATTAGTTTTAGCACACATTCAAGAATGCTCTTCTTTCACTGTTTTTTTGGAGATAAATTATAAGGAAAAAATTATACTACTTATTGAAAAGGGGAGAGTGATAGTCCAAGATAGAAATATGAGAAAACATTGTGACAAATTATAAATATAAAATTCTAGAATGAGGGAATAAATTGGAGTGCAGAGCTGAATCTCTATTGGTTTCTAAAGTGAATCTGAGGTTTATTTCAGAGGATAAAGGAATAGTGGTGAATGAGGTCTCATATTAATATGCTGGTCTACTTTGAGGTATTGTAAGAGGGAGATATGTGGATTGGGGAAATTGTTGGCTCAGTCTGAAAGTAAATGAATAAAAAATATGGTGGTCATTTCAGAGCATTGTTGACTGCTAAGTGCTTTGTGCATCATCTTCTCACAAAAGTGAGCACTTATATTAGCCCCATTTTATAATGAAAGGACCTAAGACTAAGAGCAGTGATAGTGTGCTGGGAACACAGAACTAGAAAATGGCAATAGCAGGACTTGATCCTAGGTATTCCTGGCTCTGATACCCATACCTTAAGCACCACTATGTTTTGTACTGGGTTGAACCATGTGGAATTCCCATTTTGTAGTTCAAAACAGTCAAAATGTCAGCTATTTCACAAGGTAAAAGAATATGCTCAGAACCATAATTTTGGGATGTTAAAGAGATGATATTTATATTTTTCTACCTTTAAACTTCATATGAAAATGAATAGCATTTATGATGTCTTTTCTTTCATGGTTTAGAGAAATTATCTTTTTTCTCCTACTTCTCATTCTGGGAAAATGCAATATAAAGTTTAAATTAATAGTCTTACTTACATAGGCAGGGACTTGTGCAAAATCTCATTATAAAGTTCAAGTGACATGATATTAATTTCTTGATTTACCATAGCAGGTGGTTGTGAAATTAAAATGAAAGAAAGTAATGCCAAATTGCAGAATGCTATCATGATTACTAGCTTTGTGACTGTGGGCAAGTAACTGAACTTAATTTAGTCATATTAATCTAATATACCTTGTAGAGTTGTTGTGCAAATTAAATTAGAAAATGCATGTAAAGAGCTTAGCACAGTGCCTAGCTGAATAAAATTTCCTTGTTACAATTTTTATTTTATTTCCAGATTTTTAAGTGTCTATTTGAGAATTGAATCCAGGTGGGAGATTCTGAGATGTCTGACTGATACAAGTGCACTAGTGGCTAATATAATAAATAATGCAGGAATGACTTTAAATGAAGCATGGACAAGTACTCTCAGGCTGTTTAAACCTTGGCTCTACTATCTAAGCCTGTGGTGCTGTTTATGAGCAAAGCATAATTCAGAGTTTAGATTTTCTTTAATGGAAACCATCCAAATTTGCCATCTGAGCCACAAGGGAGAAATGTACCTATGTGCCACTCACTGGTGCTCAGGAATGTGGCATATGTACAAGTTTGCTTTTTTTTCACAAAAACACCAAAGTGGTGAAAGTTCTTAGCAACCCATTAAAAAGGCTCTCTTGCTGAAAGACTCCTTTTCTTATCAGCGCTCTCACAAGAATTTACATCCCACACTGAGTCATGCAGTAAGTTTAGTGCTTCCCGGCAAGCAGCTTAGAGTCAAGTTCTGCAGCTATTCTTAGCTGCTCCACACCCTGTAATAGATGGAAGACACTGTATGAACTTGCAAATGACACATTGTACCGATGACAAACAGGGTGGATTGTGTCAGATTGAGTTTCGAAGTCTCTACTTTCTTTCGTGTATTAAGGACAGTGGGGAAAAAAAGGCAAAAAAAAAAAAAAAAAATGACGGGTCTCCTTGAGATTCAGTACTGTATCGGATATAGCATCCTGTAATGGAATGTGAACTGAAAGCAGAAACATACATTTTTGCAATTCACTGAATTTTCACTCTGTTCCTATCCATATTCAGGGCTAGATTAAAGATATCAAAGCAATAATAGTCAATATTTCACTTGCAAGATCTCATTGTGATCATGAATAATATAGAAATCATGCTTTGCTTTTGAATGGTAAGTAGAACGTTGCATTATCATGTGCAAGATAACATTTTCTCTGGCAGCTTCCCGTTAAAGTCAGTGTGCTTGTATAAAGCATCTTTTCTCTAACGAGGTAATTGTTCCCACCCTTTCCTACCCATTTTCTCAAGGAGCCAGACCTCTCCTAACGCAGAAGTAATTCACATAAGTATATTAGTTACAGTGCTTATCACATTGTTTCATCACTATCTTTTTTTTTTTTTTGAGACGGAGTCTCGCTCTGTCGCCCAGGCTGGAGTGCACTGGCTTGATCTCGGCTCACTACAAGCTCCGCCTCCTGGGTTCACGCCATTCTCCTGCCTCAGCCTCCCGAGTAGCTGGGACTACAGGCGCCCGCCACCACGCCCAGCTATTTTTTTGTATTTTTAGTAGAGACGGGGTTTCACTGTGTTAGCAGGATGGTCTTGATCTCCTGACCTCGTGATCCGCCTGTCTCGGCCTCCCAAAGTGTTGGGACTACTGGCGTGAGCCACCGCACCCGGCCTCATCACTATCTTTTTTATATGTCTGTTTCCTGAGTACACTTTTTCCTTCTATGTGTCCCCAATGTGTAACATGATCCCGGGCACACAGCAGGGATTATTTATCAATATAAGCATACAAATATGTGTATATATATTGAAAATGAGGTTATATCATATATGTTTTCATAATGTGGTTTTCAAAAATCTAACAGACTTATGGTAGAAATTTTACATGCTAGTAAATGTAGAAATCTATATTTTCAAAATATCTTATTTTATGGAAGTATCATAAACTATTTACCTAGTCCTCTCTTATTGGGCACATAGTTAATTATTCAGAAAAAACTACATTGAAGTGTGTTTTCATTCAGTCCCTGTTCATTCATTAATTTAGTCAACAAATATTAGTTGCCTTATATTTTTCAGGCACTGTTTAAACTCTGGGAATATCATGGCAAATCAACATTTGAGTGAGGGGAAAGAGACAATAAAATAAACAAAAATATAACAAACATGGAACACATAATAAATATGATTATTAAAATATATATTCTATATTCAAAGGTGATCAGTAGCATGGAGAAAAATTAAATGGGGAATATTGGAAGGACATTTATAATAAGGTGATCAGGGACTGCCGAGAAGGTGACATTTCAGTAAAGACCTGAAGGAGGAGTGCCTGCTAAACTCCTTGAGGGCAGAGATCATGTCTCTTTTGCTTACCCTTATGTGGCAATTCCTGCTTTCATGAAGCTTAGAATCTAAGGTCTAATTTGATGTGGGTTATCTGTGAGTTATTACCAGGTAAATGGTTGTTGCACTTTACATATTTATATATTTTTTTAATATTTTAAAACTTCTCTACGACAACCATATGCCACTTTTAAATTTTAAAATGACATCTTAATTTTAAAAATATTTGGTTAAATTATTTTGTTAGAGTCATCATACTGTGGACATGTCATGTCTACAAGCATCCTACCCATCAGCTTTGTTTACGTGAATTATTTGAACTAAAACTCATCCATCATGCACCTAGGTAGTCCTTTTCTTGACCTAAGTGCATGACTTTGCCTTTTCATCTTTCAGTTTTGGCTCTAAGTTGACCAAGTTTGAGGAATTGAAAGATTTCATGAAAAGCTGAAATAGGACACGCTGTACAGAGGCTTGAACGTGAAAGGTCAAGCAGACCTTTGGGAGCAATTCATAAAGGCTTTTGCTAATCTGTTTTAGCTTCCCTTCCTCATTTTTGGGAAGATGTTGCTTTCTCCCTTTGTTGGAGGTCATTCTGCTCCCTGTACCTGTGATAGATTGCTCTATGAATTGATGCACTAGGGAATACTTGCAGAAGTAAACAGTAGGAGACCCAGGAGTGAGAGACCTCTTCTACTTCTGAGAGAATACTTTTATATTTTCGTGTCGTGTGTTTTTAGTTTTCTCTGTGATACTGAAAAATCCCCAATCTTCTATATGCAGAAAAATGCTAAAACCCATCTCTAGAAGCTTGCCAGCAAGAATGCCTTTATTTCCACAGCTATTATCCACATCGATGTACAATTCCTAGCTCTTTTTAGTGAAACATTTCTCTTATGGAGTGAAGAAGAAGGTTTAAAAAGTATTTTCAATTGAAGGAAGAAAGAAAAGAATTTTCTTAGTAGTTCATAATATTAGTTTAATTCACTTTTGGTATTTGCATAGAAGTTAAAATATTCCAAAGCATTTTTTACATCTCTACCATGATTTGTACAATGTTCTAAGGTAGTAGGGTTATTTTTGCTTTATAAATGAGAAAAGTAAGTCACAGAAAAGAAAAGAAAATTGCTTAAAGGCATAGGGTTAACATTTATTGAATGCTTACCTTTGTCAGACATGTTCTAAGCATTTTATATGTATTCACTCATTTACTCCTCACAATAGCCCAGGTGACTTTGGTATTACTTCTATCCCAGTTTTTCAGATCAAGAGACAAAGCACTGAGAAATTAAATGACTTGCCCAAAGACATGCACAGCTAGTTGGCACCAGAGATGGCATTTATCCACAAAACTCTGGTTCTAGCACACAACACATAACAATTCCATATGGCTGCTACACTGGGTAGATGGGAGGTTGGGACTATAATTATGCAATGTGAACTTTGGAAGGTTTCTAAGTTCAGTAGTTACAACTGCATACGACTACTGCCCCAGGATACAAAAATAAACCAAACTTGTCTCAGAATATTCTTAACTATTACAGTAAATTCACAACAAACTATCTTGCTAGAAATTTTGTTACATTCTTTTGTCTGTAAGGGTTAATAAACTTATAAAATGCTTGCATATTTGCATTCAGGGGGAATAGTAGTTGCTTTTTGTTGTAGCAGAACCTGCATTCTTAGAAATGCTGAGAATATAGACCTTCTCAAACTTTTCTCCTTCTGCAGAAATCTCTTTGCAACATCCATGACAAATACTAATCGATTTCTGCTAGATCACGTCCAGTCATGGCAAGTCCACTAATTTTTTTAAGGCAGTTTTTTCCATTTGAGATAACTGATTGTTGGGAATTAATTTTCTTTTTCTTTTTAAACATTGGATTAATTTTTTTTCTGAATGTAGTAAAATGTTTTGCTTTAAGAATTCCAAGATGCAGTATGACATTTCTGCCATTAAATAGAGCTCCTGTTTTACTGAAGAAATGCAAGAGACCTTTACAAACTGTTTGAGACAGAGAGGCAAAAATAGAGACTAAAGGTTCAACAAATGTATTGATAGTATTTAACAGGAGAAGAAAATCTGACCTGTAATAATACACCATGTTGACTTGCATATTTTCTTCCACTTTACCCCTGAAACTTTAAACAGAAAGCTAAGTTATAGTAGTCGGACTTTCTAGAGGTCAAATTAGGCAAATAATTTTGGATCACAGGCTTAGAAAAATATACTCTGTATTTTGTGTAGAGACATTATATGTGTGTGTATGTGTATATTTTAGGGGGAATAGAAAAAAAACATGTAGGATAACTAATTGGGCAAATGAATGGAAATGCTGTGTTTATAATTGGGTCTTTACTTCCCTTTCAAGTATCAAAATTCAGTTTGATAAATAATTATTAATCATCTTCCAGGTGTCAGACTTTGTGTTAGATACTGGGGTTACAGTGGTAAAAATAAAGAGGTGATCTCTGCATTTTGGACATTGCATGTGGTTGTGCATGTTTACTGCCAAGGACTTGAGTGGGAACTGAAATGCAGGCAGCATTCCACTTGATAAGCTGTGCACTATGGCACAGGGTTGCATCTGTCTGGAGAAAGGGTAGCCTTTATCTAACCAGCACTGATGTGCTCTATGGCCTTATGGCCATCTGCCTACTTTATGAAGCTTACATTCTAACAGGAAAGGCAGTCTTTAAACAAGTAGCTATGTGATTAGTGTTATAAAAGGGAGGTAAACACAGACCATTTAATTCAAGTCAAAAGGCTAATAAAATCCTCCTTGAGAAAGTAACATTTCATATAAGCACCAAATAATTTGACTAGGAATTGAAGCCATGTTGTTCTAGATGAGAAGAAACAGCTCTCTTTTCCATACATCATACAAAAAATTGTTAGTGACATTGGACCCTCAAACAAATATCAGATATCAGATATTGGCTCAAAGACAATTGTTGTAATTCACAATTAGTTGGGGGTAGAAACCAAATATCTAGAGGAAGATAGAGAGAGATAGAAGGAGGAAAAGAAGGTAAGAGAAAGATATGTGGAAATTGACTTACCTTCTACTTCCACTGTAGTAAATTCAAGCTTAAAGCTCCGTAGTTGAACCTGAATGGTTTTAACAACAGTATCAACAACAAAAAAGTAAATTCTACAAGTCTATAAGGCAGATATGCTGTACTATCATTTAGAAACTGATATATTGGTTGGGCGTACATTTTCAAGGCAAAGAGATAGAGGGAGAGATTTGAATCAGTGTATTCAGAGACTTGTCTAAGGGCCTACCTAGCTTGCATGCTTTCCTTCCTTCCCTTTCTTCCCCATATTCCTTTCAACCCAAATGTGCTGCTTCTAGTTTTCTGGATAAAGTAAAAGACTACACTTAGGGCTCAGATTAACTCAGGCTTTTACTCAGTCTTTCACTGGAGAATCTGGCACTCAAAATGTTGCTTTGATTTGTCTTTGTGTATGTAGATCCCTCAGAACTCCTTGGAATTTAGGTGACTGGCAAAACTCAGGCATTCCTGTGTGCCATGCCATAATAATATTACAATACTGCTGCTAATTCTTGTTGATACTTCCTCTTTATTCTCTAAATTGAGAAATTAATATATGAGGAGGGGAAATATTCAATAAATAGGATGTGAATTAAAATTTGATGACAATTCATACAATTTTGGAATATGGGGATGAGAAAAGAAATAATCATCTCCAGATTTGTCACTTTATCAAAATAATATAGAAATGAAGGTGCAAAGTCACACAATTAATGAGTGAACAACCCTGGATTCACGAATGTATGTTGTTCTTAATTCCCTGCTGGCCATAATAAATAACAAGATTAGTATTATTGGTATATCTAAAGGTTAGAATTTTTTTTAAATAGCGTTTGGTTATTTAGCTAATGGATATGTAAAGAGAAAAAGAGAGCAATGGAAAATGTCTAACTTTGTGTGTTATCTATTACTTTGGTTTATGAATGGAATAATCACTCTATTATACTGGCTAAACTTAGTTTCACTTTTACAATGGTTATTTCCTTTCTAGTTCTCAAAATATTTTGAGCCTTGATTGACTGAAAATGAGATCCTTTTCATTCAGCATAGGCATGTAGTGATTTCTCCTAAAGTTTTATCCACAAAAGTAGACTTTTGATTAACGATTTTTAAAATAGTAAATTTAATGCTCCTGTATAATACCTTTAAACTCACTTTATAAATATAGAGAGAGTGGAAAAGTGGAAATGACAAATTACTATGTGTCTGGAGAAATCTTAGGTAGCTTCAAGTACTCTCCCTGGAAAGTCTAGATACCTTCAGAGCTGCTGAAAGCTATAGTTATCTACTCTACATTTTAAAGATGACAATATTATATGATGTTAAATATATGGCATTCTTGCCAAAATTCTCAAGTGCTTCATGCTTAAATGACATTCCTGAATCCTAGTTATTTTAGCAACACTTTCTTCATAACAAGTTCAAATGAGATATAAGAAATCTTAGTAGAGAAGTTATTCACCTATGTTGTAATTTGGCCTTTCACTGTTACAACCAGCATTCCTAAATGTCTTCAAGGGGCTAGAGTCAGAGAAAACAGGAAGGAAATCACAGTTGGGTGAGAATGTTCCTTGGCTACATGCTAAGTGATTATGTGTTGAGGTCAGAGTTGTAAGATGTGACTCCCACTGTGCATTCTGACGTGAACCACACTATCTCATTTACTGTCATTCAGCTCATATACATATCAGTTACATTTCGATATCTTTAGATGAAAATCTATGGAATGGGAGTAGGAAACATTTTAAGTCAAGGGTTACATAAATAATTGTTCTAATTTCTTATTTTTGGAACTATATAGAGAAAAAAGGTATTTAAATAGGACAATAATTTAGCAGAAAGGGAGTTAGAAAAGATAGAAGGAGGATTCATCACAGTATGAAGATGGGAAACAGACAAATAGAGAAAAAATTACATACATACATTTGATAAAGAAAGAAGATACACAGAGTTCAATGCACAGCCCCCAACAATGCCCTAGGGAGAAATCAGATGGAGGCAAATAGGAAAGAGAGATCTTGGGATCTTAATTAGAGACATGACAGAGGTTTCAAGTTTTACTGTTTCTTTTTTTTTTTTTTTGCTAAATAACTTTAAATCTGTTTGTGTTTCACATATCTAGTCATAGTTGATGTGGACAATGGTAAAAAGCTTACAAAAACTCCAAAGGGGTTGAGATATCTAGGAGAAGTGTCTGGAACTCTAGAAACAGTAACCAACAATTTGTTAATTTCACCCATCTGAGCCATTTTCCTTACTTGCTTTTGCTGTGCAAGTATCTCATCATATTAGTAGAAACACAATTCGCTCAGGAAGGAGATGGAGGCAAGGAAATAGAGATGGCCAAGTTAACTGAGTGACTTTTCTTGAGGACGAGGACCAGATCAGCAGTAGACAAAACTGTATCAAGAGAAAGCTGAGTGCTAGGCTGCACTAACCAGCTGAGTTGTTTTGAGCTGGTTCCTCAAAATGTGAGCTTGTTTCCTTATCAATAAATGCAAATAAAACCATGGCTTACTGGATTGGTTTGAAGATTAAATGCAGTAGTATATGCCCTTCCCTAATTGTAAAGTGGATAAAATAAGCAAATAACCACTGTTATTATTATTTCATTGTGCTCAAAGCTTCATACCAGGCAGCAGGCTCTGATCTTTGAAGAATTTATATAATTGCAGAAGTAGGACATACAAATTGAATTTAAGTGGTATCGAATAAATGAGACCATTTGTGTATTAAACACTGCGCTAGTGTTGGGATTCAGAAGTGAATATATTACCCATGCTCTCAGGGAGTTTACACTGAAGAATTAGTGTAAACCATGAATGCAACTTGTAAAAATACTAACAATGAAGATGTAAAAGACTAAAGAAGAGATCTGAGTATTACAGGGTTTATTAGGAAAATCTCAGCATGGGTGGGAAGATAAAGCAAGGGTTAGTTTAGAAGTCCTATTTTGGTTATAGCTCCAGGATTGCCTAGGGATTTGTGCCAATCCCATTACTTTCTCAAGTTGGTTGTATATTTTTTAAACCATTGCCCTTTAAAAGTCTTTGCTTTGAAATGTACTTATTTTCCCTCTACACGTTTTAAAAATTTCATTTTAGGATATTTCTGAAATCATTTCCTGCTGACCTGATTTTACATTAGACACCTTTGTGATAAAAAAGGTAATAGCATATGGAAACATACATTCTATTCCTTCACCATCTGAGTGACAGTGCGAAGAGGGATCAGACTAGAGAATCATTTGTTTTCTATATTAACAGTATGTTTTTTTTTCTTTGTAGTGTTTCTTACTTCCAATCCAAACAATGTCTATTTCATTATTCCTAAATGAGTTGTTCTTCCTAACACATTTTCCGTTCATGATGTCCTTATTAGCCCACCCTCAATTTTCACTTTTCCCTGTTTTCAAGTTCTGACAAAGCTTTCTGTAATATGTTGTTTGAATTCATCTACTCTGTTTAACTAATGTTTTGGGATGTTTTAAGGGCCTTTTGCCAAGTATCCTCTCCACAGACTATACATAATATAGCCAAGTCAATAGCCATCAAAGCACCTTTAAAATAAATTGGGCTATTTCCTTATTTAAAAACTCAACATCTGAACTCTTTGCTATAATCTGATTTACTCGCCTTCCATAAAGTGGGGCCCTGTCATTTTCTGTTCCCAGAAGTGTGGGAGAATGAAAGGGAAAGAAGAGAGGTGAGGAACAGGGAATACTGAGGTGGCACTTACTCATCCCTCAACAGAATTCTGCTCTAAGCCTCTGCTGATGCTGGCTTAATTTTAATATCTATTTTTTAATTTTTTAAAATAAAGGAAATTATCCACGATTATTGGAAAACAAAACATAAGGAAAAAGTAAAGTTTAAGACAGCCTTTTCATATATATTTTGGACAGAGATCAAGTCGAGTGCCTATCACAAAGTGGGTGCTTAGTTAATGTTTGTCAAATAAATCAATTAATGTGCAGGGCTAGAATTAATATGGGTCAAATTGGGCTGCATGCAATGGCTCATGCCTGTAATCCCAGCACTTTGGGAGGCCGAGGCGGGTGGATTACTTGAGGTCGCAGTTCGAGACAAGCCTGATCAACATGGTGAATCCCCGTCTCTACTAAAAATACAAAAAAAAATTATCCGGTCGTGGTGGCGTACGCCTGTAATCCCAGCTACTTGGGAGGCTAAGGCAGGAGAACTGCTTGAACCTGGAAGGTGGTTGCATGAGCCAAGGTGGTGTCATTGCTTTCCAGCCTGGACAACAAGAACAAAACTCTGTCTCAGAAAAAAAAAAAAAAAGAAAAAGTTGCGGGGGAGGTCAAATTGTAAGGTCTTTTTCTACTTACCCATATTTCTCAGATCCCTCTTTTCCTCTATCACCTTGTTTCTCTTTTAATCTGAGTACTCCTAATACTCTCCGCACCAGTGTGTGTGTGTTGGTAGCGATGGGGAGTATATGTGTACTTGAAAAATTAATTGCTGAAAAAATTCCATTTTAAACTTATTTGTTTTGTAATATTTGCAGGAAACATTTTGGATGTGATAAAGGTATTATGAATTTGGCATATTTAACAATGGTGTGCTAATTCTGTACATATGTTTAATTTTCTTGCTTATCCTTTAGGTGTAAATGTACAACAAATAGGCATTAAACAATTTAAAACATTTGGCTTCATCAGGTCAAATATTGTTAAGGTAAGTAAATTTGTCCAAGGTAGATTCATTCTAAAAAGTCTAAGCTTTTAAAAAATGGACATGATTAGATGGAGTGGGATGGGGTAGGCAGAACTAGGTCAGTGGCGTGTGTGTGTGTGTGTGTGTGTGTGTGTGTGTGTGGTGCCTTTCTTAGTACGTATAGTAATAAAAATCTCGTTCTAAATTTTATTGCTCAAGGCACATATTTGTCCTTAGAGAATTCATTGTGTGCTTTTAGAATTCCATGTTGAAGTTAATTGGCACAATCTAAGAGTTAGAAAGTACACTTACGGCTTCAAATTAAATAATTTGTTTTATCAAAAACTTCCAATTAGTGTTTAATTGGAAACAAGTTAAACCTGCTTGAGAAATTATTCTTGTTTGGATTTTTGTTGCTTGAGGTTATAGTATTGATGATCCTTATTTTCTAACTACTAAAAATTATTGGTTTTAGTTTGGAAATAATTCAGATGTATGGGAATAATTTTGACTTAAAATTAAGAGACTGAGAAATGATAGACTCCTTTTAATTTTCATTCATATGTTTATTTTGTGTGTTTACCTTCATTCAATCCCCAGTGTCAAGAGTTAACAACAGGTACACGTTTATTTGTCACCTAGGGCATGTGATTAGATTTATTTGATTTTGGGAAAGGAGCATTAGGAGTGTGAAGATCTTCACAGTATTAGACCACTAGCTGTTGATGGTTAAAGGTTTGTCACCCTTCGGCTTGCTGCCCTGCACAATCAATGCCTACGATATGCTTATTTAATTTATTGGCACAGTAAAGAAGACTATGTGATACAAGAATCTCAAGACTCAAAGTCTCTTTCAAAAGCCCTTCAAACTTTGGTAACTACAAGAATAAACATATCTCTTCCACCCCCTAAACACCCACCACCACCGCACCCCTGCCGTGGGAATCAAGGTCAGCTTGCAGCCCTGGTATTCTTAAAGGAAATTTATGAGGAAAAATAAGAGTCAGGAACACCTAACACAAAGAAGTTAATTTACAATTACACTAAGCCAAGTAACTTATCTTCTGCAGCTGATAACTTTTGAAGCATTAGGGAGTTAAACTGTATAGATACACCAGATTGTTACTTCTGAGTTTAGGTTTGGGGGACTCTAGAGTTAGCAAGCAGCTGCCTATCAGGGGGTCTCCCTATATATAATATATGTATTCACAATATATATGAATATATAAGTTATATATTCATCTTCCTTTAGATATATATATTCATTGTTCCTAAGACTAATGACTTTTTACAAATTTTAGTAGTTTACTTAAGTATTAGAATTCTCTTTTTAATGCTCTGGTTTAAGAGTAACCTACCAACATACAACAACAACCACAGAAAACACAAACTGATCTGAAGGCAGAATTTTACAGTTCTCCCAGTTTTCAGTATAAGACTCATGATTTTTAATGGAGACAATGTTGAATGTGATTCCTTGGCTCTTCATTTAGATTTTTGGTCTAAATCCTAGTTCTGTTAGAACAAAGTTGTACATTTTTGGACAATAAACTTCTTTGTCCCTTGGTTTTCTTATCTGAATGGAGAAAGAGCTGTACCTTCATCATAGGTAGGCTATGTGTGGCTAAAATCAATTGATTCATGCTAAACGTCCAGAACGGTACCTGATAAATTCTTATATGTGTTTCCTATTGTTATTAGGACTAAATTATAAAGAATTATCATTTCTGACTACATTGAAGCCACCTCTAATTAAACAGAATCAAGGAAGGACAGAGCTCTCATTCTTTCAAAAAGGATTTAGAGGCATATTCAAAGATATTACTAAATGTATAAAGGGATTTGCACCAAGGATAAATGTTAACTACATCATTATTTCTTTCCAAGGAAAAGCAATTACAAAAGTCTTAAACAACAGCAGAAGGGCATTCGAGAAAATACAAGGAAAAATATACCAGTGAGATTTATGAATAATTCTAAATGAGGTTACGGAATCTCCTCTAAGGAAGACCCTTGCCTCTCTGGGATGCTTCAGGCAGGTCAATCTTAGACAGCATCTGAAGCGGTTGGGTGGATTTTGGTTCCCTCCACTCTCTTGTGTTTCCAGCTATTTTTCCCATGGGTTACCCAGTTCCTCTCTGGAGCATCACCCTAGGCCACCTCTGACTTTCCTAGTCAATACAAATTTTCATTCACTTCTCCTTGTCCTTACATCAAACTTTCTGTAGATTTGATAGTTTTTACTTATTTAAATAATCTTTTCAGTAGCAGAAAATGGATTTCTGACTCTGTTAACTGTATGTAGTCTTTTTTTTGATAAACTCTTCCAGTTTTCATACATAATAAATTATATGTATATACATCAAATACATCAAAATATATATATAATTTCATATTTTATTTTGCCCACTCAATATTATTTTACATATCCCTTCTACATTTATCTTAGGTGTAGAATCACAATCAAATTTCTGCTTAAATCTTGTTTAATGATTTTTCTATTGACAATTTGAACTGTTTTTGTATTTTCCTTTAAACTGCTGTTATAAATGTCTGTTCATTAAAAAAATCTCAAATTATTTACTTAGAATGAATTCCAAAATTTGAATTATTAGGTCAAAGACTTAAACATTTCTATGTATCAGGATACATATGAGCCTGCATGTGCACACACACACAGCCAGGTGTCCTTCTCAAAATAATAAACACATTTTTATTTCTATGAGCATTAAATATGTATTATATATTTGGCTCATAAAACCCTCATTATCCTAATTCCTGAGGCTTTAGGAAACAAAAAATTTGACTAAAGTAACTCAAATTGATGTGTAAATAGCAGATGGACTTTTCCTTCCTCATTTGGGAAAGAAATTCTAAGCAGTATGTGTGTGTGTCTGTGTGTCGGTGTGTGTGTTTGCATGTGTATGCACAACCATCTGAATATTTGGGGCAAGTGAACTTCTGGTATTTAGATTGCTCTGTATAGCACAATGCCAAATTTGCTTACTTAGGGAGGCCAGTTTAAGCAGAGTGTAGGTAGATACTGACTGAGGGAAGGCAATAGACGTTACTCTCAGCATTATATTATAATGAGAAATAGATTGGTTTTGCAGGTGATTTGTTACTTCTGCAAACATTACGTACAAGATACTGAGTCAGGTGCTGTGGGAAGCTACAGGGATATATAAGCCACACTCACAGCCCTCTATGCCATTCCAGTCAAATAAAGAAGATAACACATGACCACAAATCAATGAAATACTAACTAGGAAGTGATGTTTTATCCAAAAAAAATGGGAGTCAATTAAAAAAAGAGATTACTTTGATGAAGTGAGGATTTAATTTAAACCAAAATATTCAACATGAGTGATATCCAGAGGAAAAAAAATCTACTTTCATTCCCATTTTGAGGCCATAAGAGTTATTTCCAAACTAAATTATGTAAGCTTTTCTGCCTTTATCAGTTGCATTGACACATGAAAATATTCGAGAAACCTTATGAAATTCCAACATCTGTGTGGAAAACAAATACACTGTAATTTACTGAAGGCATTTATTTATCAAGGCATAGTCTCTTTTGGGGGATTAATGGGAGAACTATCACGAATTTTAAAATTCATGAGTTGGTATTTGATCTTTAGCATGACACTAAGATTAATTCAGTATATTGTATGTATTTGCAAATGAATTAATCAAATATACTGAAATTGATAAAAAGAAGACAGAAATTGACTTTGACATGCTGTTTGATAGTTGCCATTAATTAAATGCCCAACAAGTTCAACAAAATACACAGTTAGGCAGAAATAAAACAAAGGGGAAAATCCAAAAGTGGCACTTTATTTAATTCTTTCTTTTATAACTGTTCCTAATTAACCTTCCACAGCTTCTGTAGAATCCTTAATGTATCAGATTACTTAGAAATAGAAATAAAAGTTTCACTTCTTTAGAATTATCACCTTATTCTAATTCACACTTTAAATTTGGTCACTTTCTCCAAGTTAAGGCTAAATTTTACTGCTCTCTTCTAAACAGGCAATCAGCATTTTGAGATTCTCTTAGGTTGAAGCGCTCATAGCCTGAAGTGAATTCTGTATTTTAATATTCACAGCACAAAGGCAGGAAAGTTAAAAGCTTTCTTCTGTGTATACATTGAACACTTGTAAGTGGAGACTGAGGAAATCCAGGATGCCACAAAACTCACTGTAGTAATCAGTTTAGAGTGCAAGTGATGGGAGTCAAACTTTATATACTTAAGGCTAAAGCAATATTCACCGACCTACACATCAAGACACGATTGAAAATCCAAGTCTCAGCCAAGCTAGGGATGCACAAGCCCTCAAGAACATCTGAAGCTGGGGTTTATACTGGCCAGGTTCTCCTTTGGGTACCCATCTCAAGTCCTTTCTTCATGTCAGCTCCTTCCTTCCTTCCTTCCTTTTTTCTTTCCTTCCTTCCTTCCTTCCTTCCTTCCTTCCTTCCTTCCTTCCTTCTTTTTCTCTCTCCCTCCCTCCCTCCTCTCCCTTTCCCTCCCCTCCCCTCCCCTCCTCTCCTTTCTTTTTGACTGAGTCTCCTTCCATCACCCAGGCTGGAATACAGTGGCATAATCTCGGCTTATTGCAACCTCCGCCTCCTGAGTTTAAGCAATTCTCCTGCCTCAGCCTCCTGAGTAGCTGGGATTACAGGAACCGACCATCATGCCCAGCTAATTTTTGTATTTTTAGTAGAGACGGGGTTTCACCATGTCGGCCAGGCTGGTCTCGAACTCCTGACCTCAAGTGATCCACCCACCTCAGCCTCCCAAAGTTCTGTCATAACAGGCGAGCCACTGCACCCCACCCAGCTTCTTTCTTTCTGACTGAAAAATGTGGTTGCCACGTGGCTGACAACAGACCACTAGTGGCTCCTGGATTTTATGTTCTAACACCCTGCCATCAAAGGAGGATGGATTTTAACAATCCATTCCCCAATTTAAGAAACCCAGAAAAAATTTCTTGTTAGTCTAGCTTAGGTCAGAAGTTAATACTTTAATATGGACTAAGAAAATAATGAAGTACTTTCTGTCAGACACTTTAAACAACAGTCTTAAGCACTTTGAATGTATTTTTAACCTCGTTTCCCATGACAACTTATGAGATGGGATTTATATAATTTTCATTTGATAGATGATATATTTGAGACTTAAAGAGTTAGGTAACTTGCCCCTTCACCAGCTAGCTAGTCAATTTCAGAGCCAGGATTTTGATCCAGGATTTGATTCTGGATCTGGCTTTTTCCAGAGCTCTGCTACCCTCCACTGTCTATGTCTGTGATTAACCTTGTCTGGGCCATGTGTGCTCTAATTCATTGTCAGGTGGTGTAGCTATGAAATGTCAACTCTGAGAAGTCAGATGGGGAAACATTCTAGAAAAGAGGACAGTTTTACAGATGTGCTCTACATTCATACTATCACCCACAGCTAGTGCTGATTGTCCTGACTGGTATGGGGATGCATCCGCAGGTCACTTCGTTCATGTTCAGTGGTGCTCCATGTGTTTTAAGAATCTGTGCTGTGTCTCCGTGTCTGCAATCCAGGGTTGCAACTTCACTTAAGGTTTATTTGATTTTTATACTAGTTTATTCATTTATTTGTTAGATCTAGGAGATGTATTTGTTTCTTGAGATAATTTTGAGATTATTCAGAGAATGGTATGCTTTTCCTCCCAATAAAATGGATTAATCTTTCTCATTAGAATGTGTACAGGTAACAAATAAAACAAATACATTAACATATACATGTTCTGCTGAAGAACTTTGCAATTGCTTGATGGAAATAATGCTTCTTATTTCAAAATTTAAGTACAGTCTTCCTTTGACATTCAAGGGGGATTGGTTTCAGTCCCTCTTGCAGGTAACAAAATCTGAGGATGTTCAAGTCCCTGATATAAAATGGTGTAGTATTTGCATATAACCTATGCACATCCTCCCAGGTACATTAAATCATCTCTAGATTACTTATAATACCTAATACAATGTAAGTGTTATATAAAGAGTTGTTATACTGTATTGTTTAGGAAATAATAGCAATAAAAAAAGGCAATATAGACAATTTTTTTTTTCTGAATATTTTTGATCTGTAGTTTGTTGAATCCAGGGATGCAGAACTCGTCTATATGGAGGGCCAACTTCACACAAAAATTTAAGAAAAAATTTTTTCTTTAAAAAAGACTCAAATCAACTGTATTTTTAATTTGAGCATAATAGACTGAACCACAAGACAAGCTTAAACTATTTCCTATTTCTCTTTGATACTATAAAGTTTTGTCAACCTAATTCTTTGTAAAGTTACAGTGAAAACAACCTGGAAAAATATGGAGTGGTTAAGTTCAAAAGTGATTCCTTTTGGCTCACTTAACAATCTTTTTTGCTAAGGGTTTTAAAATTTTTGTCACAGTGTGTCTGCTGTATAGTTTCTCACTTTCTTCCATTTTTCCCCTTCTCTGTTACTTTTAGGGGTAAAGCACAACAAATAATTGTTTGCTCTCTGTTGTGTTAAGTGTTAAATGTGGGCCATTGCTGATACCCATGCACGACTGCTTTACTGTTCACTGTGACAGCTGTCCAGCTTACCCCGTAAGCCTGTCTGCCTCACTCATCATTTTTGTTATTCTCCTTCAATTTTCAAAGAGCCTTAGAATCGGGATGATCTAGCACAGTTTGATATGATGTTAGATTTTTTTGTATTTTTATTTCCCCACCTCCCCCCCATGTTTAATGTCCCAGATAATGGATTGGTAAGAATCCAGTGCTTTAAGCATGGATTCTCTGCTTACATTTTAGCCACAAAAACATGCTAGTATATGCAGTCAATGATTTCCAAGCTGATAGCTAATGTAATGTGCCTCTAGAACCACGTCTCTGCTTTTGTTTCTGGAAAAGGCAAGGCATGTCAAATTTATTACATGCAAAATTTGCCTTCCAACCTTGTGGAAACTTTTTCACAGGTAAATTGGTATCCTGGGATTTTTTTTGGTTGCCCAGGTCAAAGAGAAAATAAACATTATAAGTTAACTCATTATATAAGGCAAGGATTCTTTATCTTTTTTGAGTCATGCACTCTTTTTGCAGTTTGAGGGGCCTATGGTCTTCTTTTTAGCATATTGTTTTTTTATGTGCATAGTACAAGATTCAGAAATAGTTCTAAGAACTATTATAATTTCAAAGTAGTAATGAGAACAAGTGATATTTTGCTATATATGCAACACTTGTAATGTAAAATATCTATGATTTTTATAGGTATCAATGTCACAGATAGTGCCTAATTCTACACTGGTTGATTGATTATATTCATAATTGAAGGAAATGTTAAATTCCAGTTAGAGATTAATAAAAACAAAACATAATATATTTCCCATCATGGACCCATTGAATGCTATTCATAGACCCCTTAGACAGAACTAAGATGAATACTTTAGATAGAGTTAAGACCCACGTCTATATAATGTAGGTGACTTAATGTATTGATTCTCTCATAGGTATTTGCATTTTTAAAAAGATCTTCAGGAGGAGAGAAATGGTTTACATAAAAATAATAAATTTATAATAATAAAATATCAACTACTGTATGGTCTTCTATTATGAGGATGCATCTGCTTTGCATGCATCTGCTTTGCTGTAACAATGGTATATATTTTAATGAACATGACAAACTTTAATATGCATGAATGCTGTTTCTATCAAAGTTATCTTCAAAAAGAAAAAAAAACAAAGTTATCTTCATAGGCTATATTCATATTGCATAGTATTGCTAATTTCAAAAACTTCCTAAAGAATAATTATTTCTCTATTTTTTTATAGCTGGAGTCCTAATCTTTTAAGTCTCTTGAGACATATGATAAATCATTGTTTTTCAATAGTGGATTTTAGTTTTAGAAAGAGCTAAAAGTAATAATGAGTTAACCTGTTTAGGATTTTTTTTAAAGGTATAAATTTAAGGCAATGGAACCAATTTTCTTAAAAATATAAATGACTTTTAAAGTTAATTCAAAGAAGTTTCAAAAATATTTTGAGGGATAGCAGAAACATTAAGTAAACATATAGATTGTCCCTGGTAACATCTTTGGCGGTAATATTCATATGAATATGTTTGTTTTTAAAAAATCTTACTTCATGAGCTATGTCTTGTAATTTTGGAACTGCTCCTATAAAATTCATAAAATCTATCAGGAAAAAAGAGAGAGAAATGAAAATAAACCAAGCCTACTGCACATGAAACATTAGCCATGAAGTCAGCTTGCTCTCTGACCTGCTTCTTCGTAGTTCTTTGGTGCCTATTGCCTCACAATCATGTAGACCCTATTACAGAATTACAGTTCCCCTTAACTGTTCCACAGATAACAGCTTGAACATTATAAAACATTAAGTTTTCCCTTTGATCATTTCAGAGAAACGGATCATCCTGATGTTTACCAGAGCAATAGGCTTTAGTGGCGAAAAGGTCTTGCATACTGATGAAACTACTAACGCCAGCTGATTCCAGTGACCCCCCACTGATACCAGCTGATTTAAAAGACCCCACTGACTCAGCTGGTCTGAAGGACCCCATGAGGAACTGACTCACCAAAAAAATGCAGTTTTCACATCCTGATGATTTCATCACCCTTTCCCTGACCAATCAATGACCCCAATTTTCCAGCCCCTCATGCTCAAGAAACCTTTTAAAAACCCACCCTAGAACTTCTCTATCCCCAGAGGAGATAGATTTGAGGATCTCCTTCCATCTCCTCACTTGATGGTTTGCAATCATTAACTCTTTCCCTGCTGCATTTCTGCTGTCTTAGGGTAATGGGTCTGTTACTGGGCAGTGGGCATACAAACCTGTTGGTCCTATAACAATTTGGAGATAGAGGAATCCTCCCACTGAACTTGGAAATCCTATGATTCAGGCATCTGTCTTCTCTGTTTCAGAATGACACTATTATAGTTCTGGCTCCTGTAGAGTCTGCCATATTCTGAGTGAAATGAGGCACTGCTTATGGTAATGCTCATTAATATTAGTAATAGTATTCTGGAGTTTCCCAAGATTCTGCTGCTTGAAGCTTACTGTGATTTACAATGAGTTGCCACTGTGATATCCTTAAGCAGATTAGAAACATCAAGTGTTGTCTGAGTCTGTCATCAGAAATAATCCTGCTATCCTTCCGTCTGTGAATATTTTGTGTAAATGTATTGACTGATTGATGAACTAAAGCTCTTCAAATTTCATTCTTCCCTGCTTACAAATGCCAGAGGAACAAATGGCCTACAGATGCAAAGAGATACTTTTCAAGCATTCCTTTTTTCTTCTTCTGCCTCAGGGACTGTTGTTGACTTTGTCAGCTTCTTGTGGGAAGCAGTAGATTTGAAATTTCTGTAGACTTTTGCCACCCCCTTCCCTCAACATTGCTCCACATGATCAGAAGTCCCATGGCAGCAGTCCTCACTCACCCTTTTCTGTCTGATGGGACCCATTCCCTGCAACTCCTCCCCTGAAGTCTTGCCCAACTTTCAAACTCTGTCCTTCCCTGCCAGTGGGGTTGGCCTGAAAGTGGGAGTAGGAGAGCTGGGGGGTGGAACTTGGAGTTCCTTTTTGCAGTTGCAAGCTGATCCTTCCTATACCTCAACCACCTTTTTGTATCAGCTTTCAGGTTTTCGTAGTTAACTTTTCTGAAAGGACATTCCATTAGGTTACCTATTAAATAGTGTTTTCAGTATGATAGCGCTAAGTTTACACATTGAATTGGCTTTGTGAATTAGACTGAGAATTTTAGTACATTCATTTAGTCTATTATGGAAAAACAACAACAAAGTATTTTGCAAATGAACTTTTAGTTTCTGCAAGTAGAGAATTGCTGTAATTTACTTTTTTTCGGTTAGTCCTAAACGCATGTACTTTCATCAATTTTTGTAAACTAGATCACCCAAGTTTATGGATTTTAGAACAGTGATTGTCAGATTTTAAAATTTCCCAAAAGCTTGTTAAAACATAGTCTCCTGAGCCCCATCTCCAGAGTTTCTTATTTAGTAAGTCTGAGGTGAGGCCTGAGAATTTGCATTTCTAACACATTCTCAGGTGACGCCATGCTGCTGATCCTGAAACAGACTTTGAGGACCACTAGCTTAGAGGACAGCTCACAAATCTGAAACTACTATGAATCTTTGCAATTCTTAACATAACTGAAATCTCAAATTTTCAAGAGAATGTGAAATTTAAACTCCTCTTGCAAAGGCACAACTAAATGAAGGTATATCCACATTCAGTTCACTTATTATATTTAATTACTTATTTTCAAGGCTTATCAGATCAGATATTAACTCCACAATTTATAATAAAAAATTCTTGCAAGCAGCAATGGGCTAGTATTCATGAATTAACATTTTTAATCTGTGCTAAACCAATGTAAGTTTTACTTTTTTGAGATTGATTTATCTTACAGTGATTTCTTTTGCTTTCCAGCCGCATTTTGTTGGGTAATGTTTTTCAACAGTTTTAAACGCTAAATATCTACCACGTTCATTATCTTTTTAGTTTGAAAATGATGTGTTTTTTTTGAAGCACTATTGATAAATGGCTCCCAGTATGTTCCTGTTGTGATAGGTAGAAATATGTAATTGATTTTATAGCACTTCTGAGTGCTCAGCCCTGGAACCTGCCTACACCTTGCAGATGTGTGAATTGAATTGGAATGGGGAAATTCTGCTGCTAATCACTACAATCCTCCAGACTTGGTGTGGGAGGTGAGTAAGCATGGGACTGCTTTTCTTTTCTTGAGAAAAAATAAAATTAACGCGATGATTTTTTTTTCTGTTGGCTGTCATATTCTCCTTTTAAAAAACGAAGACCTTTTGATTACAGTGCAAGTATCTTAGTTCCATTGCCTTCCTGAAAGATCAATAACTTTGATATTTTGCGGTAAGAAGGTCAGCAAATAAGTGAAAATAGCTGAGGTGTGGCTTAATTTATGCAAATTAATAGGTGTATCCTCTTGTGCCGGTGTTTAACACTGGAAACTACTGCATGCTATAAAGTATTCACACAGCTGCTGAAGCTCAGTGGCATCCAAAAAATGAGGCCAACCACGGGGACACCAGTCTTGAGTTCGAAGCCCAACTGTGTCATCTGTTAGTTATGCTAACTTGGGCAAATATTCAGTTTTGCTGCCTTTAAAATGGGGGAAAATATGGAGCCTGCATGTCTGTGAGGGATTAGAAACACTAGATGCGAAACACCTGGTACACTGAAAGCAGTCAATAAAAGGAAGTGATAGGGACAGAAATTCTTAAATTGGCTAATTTCCTAACTTCTTCATTTGCAAAAGAACAGCTGCTGCATTTGCTTGAGAAAAAAAATTCCTGGCCAGGCGCGGTGGTTCACACTGTAATCCCAGCACTTTGGGAGGCCGAGGTGGGCGGATCACTTGAGGTCGGGAGTTCAAGACCAGCCTGACCAACATGGAGAAACCCCAGCTCTACTAAAAATACAAAATTAGCATGGCGTGGTGGCACATTCCTGTAATCCCAGCTACTCGGGAGGATGAGGCAGGAGAATCGCTTGAACCGGGGAGGCAGAGATTGTGGTGAGCCAAGATCAGGCCATTGCACTCCAGCCTAGGCAACAAGAGCCAAACTCCGTCTCAAAAAAAAAAAAAAAAAAAAAATCCTAAAACCCTGAATAATAATCAGGGAAATGCCTATGTGCTTCTTACTGAATTTTTATTCAAGGTAATTTATGATTATTTGTCCTTGCTTTTCTCTGCTGTATCTAGGTGGATTTGTGATTGGTTAGTTGAATTTTAATAACCTCATCAGAACTTTTACCAATTTGATCAAATTCTTCAAGGCAACTTTTAATTATGCAGTAGTTATAAATAGGTTGCTAATATATGAGTCTGTTAAATATTGAAAATCCTTACCAACGTTGCCTAGCACATGGCATTTACTCCATAGATATTAGTGCTTATTGTTAGTAACTGCATTATTTGGAGATTCTGTCATATATGCTTCCAGACTGGAAATGTTTAAAAAAAAGTCAAAGTGCTATTTTTTCTAACTAACATTTCTATGGGTCTATAGTCAGGATGCAAGTCCAGATATCAGCTCAGAGATATCTCACAAAGAGCAGTTTCCTCTTTTATTCCATATGGGCTCCTGGTCTCTCAGGTCACCAAGGTAGTTTTCCTGGTGATTAGGTTCCCAGCACCAAAGTTGCTGCCTCCAAAAAACTTCTCTGATCTGCCAGGTGACACCCTCAGAGGTCAGTTCAAAACCAATCTAAGACTTCCAGTTGTGACTCAAGTTTTGCTACACTTAATAGAGGGCATTGAATATGTATGTTTCATCATTACGGAACCATTTTATTTTCTTTTTATGTTTGACAAATGGTACAAAAAGCATGAAGGAGTTAAATTGGATTAACACTGTTGTTCAATATTAGGGTGAATTATTTCATTGGCTTTTAACCTATTAAAGCCTATTGCTCTGGTAAGCATCAGTATGGTATGTTTCTCTGAAATGATCAAATAATCTCTGGAAAAACAATTGTCTGTCTCTGCAACTTCCAATCCTCTCCTTCCCCATGAGCCGAAATCAATAGATGTGCCAAGGAGTGGGTCAGGATGAGGAAACCTAAGGCCCTTTATCATAATCTCTATTAACCTTCCCAAAGCCACTCCAAAGAAGCATACATCTAACTAAAGGTCATGCTGATTGTGCAAACATTGGCAATGTGTAGACAACATGTAGACCCAATTCAAACCAGACTGATGTCTCTGGGCTCTGTCTACACAGAGTCTCATTTGGTATCTTCACTGCTCTTCCTTCCACAACTGTATTGCAAAAGACTCTGGACCTATAATTTGGAAAGACTACTGGACCTGTTTCTGAAGGAAAGTGCATGTAGGGCATTGCAAGTGGGGTTTAATTAGTGGAAATGCAACATAATTCTCATATTTTCTAAAATGAGGCATGTCTGTAGCCACTGTTTGCAGGATTTCCTGTTGGACAGGGAGAGTAGCCTAATTGCCTCTGGGTGGCTTTTTCCAGGCTTCAAAGAATAAATTTTGCATAGCATTTTGGAGGCATCATCAAAATCAAAGCCTGAATACAATTTTATCCAAACAGCAAAAATATTCATCTCCTGTATTCCCACAGTGAACATACATCAGCGGATCATGGGGACGGGTTGGTATTGTTTCTAGGCTTGATTTAGGTCAATGTTTTCTAGGGGTGAGGGTAAGATTTGCCAGAGGCCAGAACTTTAAAGGATTTTTGGTTTTAAAAAGAAAAAAAAAGAGACAGAAATAAAAATGGATTTGGATCGTTAACCTGATTCTTACAGCAACTGGATAACTATTTCCTTGCTCTAGTCCAGGAGCAAAGGACTAGGGTGAATGATCCACTGAGAACGTCTTGTGTTAGAACAAATACTGAGAGAACCTCAGCTTCATCAAATTTACTTTGCCTGTTGCTTTGCCAGATATTTTTAGTTTTGCAGTGTTTTAGACTTTATATCTCTCTGCTATACAAAACCTAAATAATCAAGGCTGCCATACTATCTTAAAAATATGCAAACCAGCTCAGGGGAGTAATCAGTCCCCTTGACTGTTGGTAAATGTCTATTTAAAGCAAAGTTGACAAATCTTTTGTGTAAAGGGTCAGATAGTCAATATTTTAGGTTTTCTTGGCTGCAACTACCCAACCCTGCTTTTGTAGCAAAAGACAACAGGTAAATGGAAGGATAAGGCTGTTTTCCAATAAAACTTCATTAAAAAAAAAAATAGGTGGCAGACCAGCATTGGTCTGTGAATCTTAGTTGCAGACTTCTAATTTAGACCATTACTTGCAAATCTATGAAAAACAGACTACATTCAAAGCTTTAATATTCAAAACAATTACACATAATTATTATTAATAATTACATCTAATACGTGTTTCAAGATAATTTGCTTGAAAAACATACCAAACTCACTGTTTTCTTTAAAAAATTAAATAGAGCAAGGGGCTTTAACTGAACCCTCTGTAGAATTTGTAAACTCTGTATCTTATTAACATAAAAAAGAGGCAGATGCCATGTGTCAGTGTGTACTGGGACTGATAGCTGCATAAACTTAAAGCATTGATTGGTCTTGGCATACCACTTATAAAGTTTGCAAGCAAGCAAATTCTTTAAGAAGCAGATGATAAAGCTCAGTCAAGAGCACTTATCTTCAAAACACATGGCTCAAGATATGTGTTTTCTTGCCAGACATATAGTTGAATTATTTAAACTATTATTGAGGATTATGGAGCATTTTTTCGTGGATGAGAAAATAGCTTTACATGCCGGTCAAAATCAAGTTTCTATATCTAGATACTACTTTGCTATGGTTCAGGTTGTTCTCATTTTCACTCAGCAATTTGACAGAAAAATGAAATGATGACCTGGATAGGTTGTATGCCCACAAGACTTACTGTCATTTTGGTGGAAATGTTTCAACTGGCCCAATTTACCTCCCCTGACGGGCAGGAGGTTCACCTACTGCTTCTTACTGTCATCGATTAGGTTAACAGTGTTTGAAAATGGATTTGTAATCAGTTTGTTTTCTTTAATTTCTACCTAAAATTTTACATTTATAAAATATCACACAGGCAGTAATAACTTAAGCAGTTCTCTAGCACTCGTTAAGAGTTTAGAAACATAGGCATAGAGTAATGTCAGCAGCTAGGCATGGTGGCTCATGCTTGTAATCCCCGCACTTTGGGAGGCTGAGGCAGGCAAGATCGCTTGAGCCCAAGAGCTCAAGACCAGCCTGGGCAATGTAGTGAAACCCTGTCTCTACAAAAAATTAGCCAGGCATGGTTGTGCACAACTGCGGTCCCAGCTACTCGAGAGGTTGAGGTGAGCAGACTGCTTCAGCCTGAGGCTGCTGTGAGCCTGTGAGCCATGATTGTGCCACTGCATTCCAGCCTGGGCAACAGAGAGAGACCCTGTCTCTAAAAAGAAAAAATCATTGCCAGATTTAGCTAATAAAAATATAGGAGGCACAATGGACTAAATCTGAATTTCAGATATACAACAAATAATTTTCTTTTTCTTTCTTTCTTTTTTTTTTTTTTTTGAGATGGAGTCTCGGCTCTTGTCACCCAGGCTGGAGTGCAGTGGCATGATCTCAGCTCACTGCAACCTCTGTCTCCTGGGTTCAAGCAATTCTCCTACCTCAGCCTCCCAAATAGATGGGATTATAGGCGCCTGCCACCACATGCAGCTAATTTTTGCATTTTAGTAGAGATGGGGTTTCACCACGTTGGCCAGGCTGGTCTCAAACTCCTGACCTCAGGTGATCTGCCGGCCTTGGCCTCCCAAAGTGCTGGGATTACAGGCATGAACCACCGCGCCCGGCCCAAGAAATAATTTTCTAGTGTTAAGAATGTTGCACAAAATATTTGGGACATATCTATACTAAATAAATATCCTAAATATTTGAAGGGACATAATTACACTAAAAACTTATTTGGTGTTTTTCTGAAATTAAACTTGAATGAGGCATCCTAATATACTGAAGCAGGATCTAGGAAATGGAGTTTTCACTAGATACTATATTTTCTATCAGGTATGACTAAAATTTAAAAATGCAAGTGCCTCTAGTTAGACAATCCTCATGGGTGAATCTGTTTAGGTAGAGTATCTACTCCTATGCCATGTTACTAGCTGGGTGAGATTTGGCTTAAGCAGGTAAAGCACCTCTAATGCAAGCATGGGAAGGATACTGTTGCTGTAGGGGTATGTTTTCTTAATTTATGATGGGTGGGAAACATTTAAAATGATGACTTGAGCTCATTCTCTATTTTAATAATGAATTTGCTTTTATTGTGTCATTCTGGGTTTTATAGTGTGTTATTTGGAAATTATAAAAGAAACAAAGATGCTAATACTTACTCATACTTTCATTATCCAGAGCAAACCACTGTAAACATTCTGCTGTTTATTGGTCCAGTCTTTCACATATATAAGTAGGGCACATCAGATGTCTTGAATATTCTAAATCACTTTACCTCTGAAATGTCATCTTTACCTTTAATTTCCAGATAAATGAGCTTGATTCCTTTCCCCCCACCATATTGTGGGAGTCCATGGCTCCTAGAATATTTAAAAAGATTCACCAAAAGCAATAGTATCCTCAGCTTGGTTTCACCTCTTGCTCCCCATTCCTCCTTTATTGGATCCTCCATCATCCCTGTATTTGTCCTGCCTCCTCTTTTATGTTATCTAATCTCATAGTATCAGTTGTCCCTCTTACTGCCTTCCTCCAACTACCGCTCCACAAAACTGTCCTACAGAGTTGACGTTTACTGGAGGTTAGAAAGTTAGTGGAGGTGGACTGCAGCATAGCACGGGATGGGAAGGAACTGAGTATAGAATGCCAGGCATCCTGTTCTTAGAAGTTCCTCTGGCATCACCAGCAGTGGGGCTTTTTCACCTGAGCTCTGGCCACTTTCCATGCTGTAATTTACCAAACCTAATACTCCTTCCCCAGAACTTTTCCACTGGGTCCCTCCTCTCTTCATTCAACAGTCCTGACAAACTCTTTCATGGTCGCCTTTGCTTCCCTTACCTCCTCTGGACTCGAAACCTGCAAATGTACCTTACTGTATTATTCAGAGCTGTAGACACCTTGTTTAACCCCCTCTGCCATGCTGGACTTTCCCAGGAGTCTCAGACTTTCTCAAACAAAAAAATTATATGTTTATATAAACATATAGACTCCATCTTCACCCCCCACCCCAGTTTTAGGAACCCCTAAACCTCTCCCATCACAGAAAATGAGGTTGACAACTGATCAGACCTCATTAATTTTATACTGTAAAAAGCTTTTTGAATGTGCATGTCCTTATTTTTACAATCATTTCACTTTCTATTTAATATCAATGGACTAAGCTTCAAAAAATAATTGTAAATGATCATATTCAATATTATACAGCGATAGTTTTGCATTTGCATATAACTATACCCATGTGATAAAAAGACATACACATTTTTTGTCTGAGAAAACATATTTTTATATATAAATTGTTACATATGCAAATTTCTTTCTATAAAATACATAAATTTAATATAAGTAATTTATATAATATATATATTTAATATTTAATCTATAAAATACACTATATAAATATTATATATCTGTGTCTACATATGTATATACATATATATAAAAGCCAAGTACCCAAAGGGCTAGAGGAAACTTTTAAAGTATAGTTTTTTTTTTAACTTGAGCCAGACAAATTCTTGGGCAAGAATATCTTCATCACCCCTCATCTCTGTGGGTGAAAGATTTATTCTCCTCTTTCATGTCCCCTTCCCCTCACCATCCTCACCCTGACCTCACAGAATTTTTTTCATGAACTGTATTTCAGCTCTAAGATTCATGATTTTATGATTCTGCCTAAGTGCCCTTCAAGACTCAAGCCAAGGGCTGTTTTATTTTATTGTTGTATTTTTCAGATCAGCTTTCTCACCTTCTCATCTCCCCAGTACCCTCTGACACTGATGCCTCATTCTGCACCCCTCTTGTTTATTCACTAGTCTCTCTGGGAACTTCCTCGCACCATCCTTGGGGAGGTGTTACCTTCACAACCCTAAAATACCCGCAGGTCTCCATGGTGGCGGTGAAGAGGGGGCCTTCAATTCTTGTGCAAATTACATAGAATATTTGGTACTAGCAACTGGGTTCAGTTAGGAGTTTCAGTGCAAGAAAATGAGGAGAAAAGCAGTGGAACCTATCAATCAATGTTGGGGTCCACATATTTTTTTTTTGTTTGTTTGTTTTTGTTATTTGAGACAGAGTTTCGTTTATGTCGCCCAGGCTGGAGTGCAATGGCGCGATCTCCGCTCACTGCAACCTCCGCCTCCCAGGTTCAAGCGATTCTCCTGCCTCAGCCTCCCGAAGTAGCTGGGATTACAGGCGCCCGCCACCATGCCCAGCTAAATTTTTTTTGTATTTTTAGTTGAGATACGGTTTCACCATGTTGGCCGGGCTGGTCTTAAACTCCTGACCTCAGGTGATCCACCCGCCCCGGCCTCCCAAAGTGCTGGGATTACAGACGTGAGGCACCGCGCCCGGCCAGGGTCCATATGTTTTTATGAGAAAATGTTAAGACACTGACCTCGCCCCAGCAGACTTTTGGATACCCATGATTACTCACCTTCATTTTATTAATTTTACTTTCATTGTTCTTTATCTTTAAGTAGGACTGTTTGTTCTTTTACCTGTGCTTCTGTCACATTTTTCAGCTTATTTGTTTTTAAAAATATTTCAGACATATGACCAAGACAAATAATGAATTTTCAATATTAATTGAAACTTCTTGTGTAGCTCTCCCTGTCTCATTCTCCCCAACTTTGCCTAGTGTTTACTATGCTAGATTTAGTGTTTCTAATTCTCATTATAACTATATATAAATTTATATATAGTTGCTTCTGCATTTCTTGAAACATTACTCATATGATAACATGGTAGTTATTCTTTTGTAATTTGATTATTTTTAGAATGTTTCTGAGATGCAGGTATGTTAATACATATAATTCTAGGTAATTTATTTCTTTGTACTATTTCATGGAATGAATATATTATATTTATTTATCTATTCCTCTGTTGATGGGCATTTAGATAATTTTCTTATTTTCCTATTTCTTCTCATGAAAAACATCAATAAAATATTCATGTACACGATTTCTTGGGCTAGGTGCAGGAGTTTGGCCAGTTTGGAGGAACTGCCGAACATGTATAAAACCATCAGATCTTGTGAGAACTCACTCACTATTGTAAGAACAGCATGGGTGAAACCACTCCCATGATCCAATCACCTCCCACCAGGTCCCTCCCCTAACACTTGGGGATTACAATTCGGATTACAATTCAGAGATGAGATTTGGGTGGGGACACAGTAAAACCAAATCAGACGATGTATCCATATTCACCTTTTTTGGAATATTGACAAGTTTCTCTCCAAAGTAGATTTACCAATTTATTCTCCCTTTAGCAATATGGGACCTGTTGCTCCACATTCTCACTAGCATTTGGTATTGCCAATTTGGTGGGTAGAAAATCATATTTCATTATGATTTTGATTTGCATTTTCCTGATTACTAGTAAGATTGAATATCTTTCATTTTTTTTTTGGTCATTTGTATTTCTGTGAATTTCCTCCTCATATAATTTGCAAATTATTTTATTTAAAAAAACTGAATTATAGAGCACTTAATATACTTTGACTTGCAAATCCTTTCTTGATTTTATTACTGCAAATATATTCTCCCCAGCTATAGAATACTGTAGTATTTTTCATAACTCTCTAGAAGCAGTTAACTCATGTGTAATGTTTTGTATTTGTCTATCTGTTTTTCTCATAAGATTATAAGTGAGAACAGAAATAGAATTTTTCATTTTTATTTCTTCAGTTCCTGGCATATCCACCAAAACTGTCTGAATTAATTTGAGAGTACCAGTTAATTTAATGTAGAAGCTATTGTAAGGTTGAGTTTCTTACTTAAGGCTTTCTATTTGAAGGCATTTCTGTCAACCCTAAGTCATGTAATATATACATATATTAATATATACTAATATACATATTAAATGTGACATAGTTTTTGTAGCCAAGTCAGATTAGGTCCTTTTTTAACTTTTAAAATAGAGCTTCCCTCAATTTCCAGGCAAAGAGTTTCTCTTAGAACACTGCTAAGGTCAAGATAGGTTAATATATTCAGATGGGATTGAAATAACAGATGCATTGCTATTTCCAGTCCAGAGTTGTTGGGGAAGCAGGGAGGAAGGAGGGCATAATTTGTACAGTGCTTTGTCATCTTTGCAGCTCATCAATATCAGCAGCTGACACAGGCAAGTGTTTGTCAATGAGTTCTATTGGCTGACACTGACCTTGCCGTTACAACCACTGCTTTCTTGACATCTGCTAGTTTGACACGTGGCACCGGATTCCATGTGCAGCTGGTACCTTGGATTTGAATGTTCTGTGAGTTCTATGACATTATTAGTACAATTCCTTGATACTGTCACCCTGTTATACATTTAACATCAATGATAGCTGTGTACTGTCTTTGTATTTCTTATTTCGTATTGCAGTAGTTATGTTTTAGGTGGCATGGCTGTTTATAATGGTATCAGACAACAGATGTTAAATTAGCTGTGGACTAATTAGCATGCTCAACTTTAGAATTGCTCCAGGAAAAGTTGATTTTACTATAACTTTATATAATGGGAAATAATTTAGGTAAATTGTTGGTAGGAATGAGTATCATGAATCTGAAAAATTGCTTTGCATTTAAGCTGCTACTTTTTAGGACTAAATTTGAGATTATATATTTTTTAATTTAAAAATAATTTTAAGTAGAACAAACTTGGGAATGTAAAAATGTATCATGATTTTAATGATTTGATCTTGAAATAGGTTTCAACATGTAATTCTAATTTCTTAACATAGTCTCAGTTATGCTTTGTGACTATGAATTACAGAAGCCACAGTTCTACTTTTTCCTCTTTGTCCTTCCTTGAACTTTTTTGCTCCCCCTATCACCCCTCCCTTCTCTCTTTCCTAACCTGGCATCCCAGTATTTGTACACTCTTTAGTTGAAGCTTAGGATTCCACATGTGAAGGTTCATTACTTATTTTTTTTCCAGTAGTGTCCCTGGAAACTATGAATTATCCACAGTAGTAATTGAAGATAACAATTTTGTTTATGGTGCTGAACATGATCACATTTACTGCTGGGTGTGTCAAGCCTACGATGATGGAATAATAAATGGGTACTGAACGTTCCTGCAACTTTTATTTGCAAGGCATTGCTCTTGCAATCAGGGTCACATTACCTAGATGTCAGTGAAATAAGACAGGGAGAGGGTATTTATTTAATCCACCATGAATGCATTCCAGAGTGACTTAATTGCTTTTCTATACCTCAAGCAGGTGGATATGTGTACATATACAATAGCTGGGAACCTTTTTAATTTGGGTTAACAAGGAGAAAAAAGTACTCTTTGCAAATTCAGGAATTATTTTTTTCTTTTTGAATTCCTCAAATAGGGAAGATTAGTATATTTTCATTGCATTTTTTAAGCTTGTTGCCCCAGGGTAGCACAGCTTTAACTGTTCCCAATATATCCCTGTTATTGTAAAGGCATTTTAATCTAAGAGTCACGGGAGCAAATGGATGGTGGATAAAAGCTTCAAAAATTTGGCCATTGTGAATTTCTGCAAAATCTTCTTCGCTTCATTTACTTTCTGTCTAAAAGTTGTATATGTCGAGACTTGAAGGCCTTTTGAGATGATTCCAGGTGTTACTCTAGGAATGTGTTCCAATTTTGTAGCAAACCTCCACTTCTTGAAGACATTTCTTGAAGCATAGATAGACCAGATTTGAAATCTACTGTGTTCACCCTGCAGGTAGTTTTTCACTAGGAATTGCATCCACGACAGGCTTTTCATCTTTAGCAAGTCATGGGCTTCAACTGAGAGTTCCTTAAATGGATAACTGAGGCACAAGGCCAGGCTAAGTGACAGTTACAACTTCATCCTTCTCCTCTCTCCTGACACCAGCCCCACCATTTCTAACTGGCTGTGGTTCCAAGTGGCACCTCTGAGAGGCATTGAGAAACATTGTGTGACAATAGTTAAGACTGCAGTGCTATGGAGTCAGAAAGACCTGTGCCTGAGTGCTACAGCTATTGCTTGCTGTATGACCTTGGGGGAGGTTAGTGAACCATTTTTAAGCATCAGAATTCCCACTTATTAATAGGGATTATAGTCGTACCTATTTCAAAAGTTTTTGTGAGGATTCCATGAGAAAGTACTTAATAAATGTCTGGCACACAGTAAACTTTGTGTTTATCATGATATCATGATTGTCTTCATCATCTCTGGTCATGTCAGAATTCTTGGGGGGATATTTGAAGAGATCATATTTCTCATTTGTAGCTAGGCTACAAGTAAACAAAACGAATCAGTGAGATTAAAGGGTGGAAGCCCAGCAGAGTGAGCCTGAACAGTTTTACAAACCCAGCTGCAGTGTCCTGTTAGAAGCCTTCAACTTGCCAAGCACAGATCCATTCCTTTGAAAAGGTCACTGTGTGAAGAGCTGCCTACCAGTGGCTGACTCACACAAGCATCTATTCACGCTCATTTTCCTACATGAATAGTTCCAGGGTTACCAGAGTTCTAGCCTCATCTCAAGGCCTTCATTTATTTATTTTCCCAGAGCAGTCTCATCAGGCTATGAAGTTCCAGCTTGCTTTATGTTGATGACTGCTGAGTCTACATCTGCTGCTCTCACTTCTTCTGAATTCTGAAGAAGAAATTTCTTAGGCTGCATTCCAGGCCCTTTGTATTCTCTCCCAGACCTGCCATGACAGCCTGAATTTCCACTGCTCAGATTTATGTGTCGTATGTCCTGGAATAACTGAACTATTGGTTATTTTCTATAAATACTCCATATTTTTCAGTCTTCATCCTCCTCACATTTACCACCTCTGCATGTGTGTTCATTGGTTCTTTATCTACATTTACTCCTTGGCTAGGTAATACGATTCAATCTCAAGGTTGTACATGCTCTCTATATCTTTATAACTTCCACATTTACATCTCCAGATGTGACTCTATGTTTAAATTCTAGGCTCATATATCTAACTCCATACTCAGCATATTTACTTGAATGTCTAAAAGACCCCTCCCACCTAAGGTGTCCACAATTGAACAGTGGTTCTTTCTCTTCTTACCCCACCTATTTATGTGTGTATGTTTAATTTTTAGTATTACTTTGTGCTTTTCTTGACTGAAATTTGGAATCAGCCATTTCTGCAAGGAAACCTCCTTCATTTTAGGGGAATATAGCATAAAGAAACCAAGATTTGGGTGCTTAATATGCTCATTGCTACTGGAGAGTGAGATCATGTCACCACTTTGCTGTGAATATTTCAATAGTTTCTCATCTCACTCAGAATAAAAGCCAAAGTCCGTTATAGTGGCTGACAAGGCCCTAGCAATCTGGCCCCTTCTTAAGAATCTTGCCACATCCCTTCTGGCTCTTCCCCAGGGTCATTTTCTCCAGCCACACCAGCCTCTGTTCTTCAGGGATGTCAGATAGCCTCCTACCTTTGGTTCTTGGCTTTTGCTGTTCTCTCTTCTTGGAGTATTTTCACCTAGATATCTGCATAATTTATTTCTTCACTTCCTTAAATCTTCTTCTTAAAAGTCACCTCCAAGGAAGCCTTCTCTGTCCAACCTATTGAAATCTATTGTGCTCTCACCTCCATCTTCTGCTACTCCCTGTACATATCTTCCATGCTTAGTTCCTTCTCAGCACGACCACAATATTCTAAGATATTATGTAACTTATTTTATTTATCATCTATCTCTCTCTTCTAAAATAGAGGTTACATGAGGGCAGGGATTTTTTTGTGTTCAGCTCACTGTTGTATCCCCAGGATCTAGGATAACACCTGGCACCTAGCCAGTGCTCAGTCAAGATTTTTTGAACAAACGATGAGTAAATGAATATTATGATATATGGAAGTAGGGAATGGTTTCTGGAAGTCTATTCTAATATGGCATCAAAGCCAAAACAACAACCTATAGCTGTGCCTCTTCTGTGACTATGAGCGTAGAGGGCAAGGAGGTGTTACAATATCTGCCTTAGGTATGTAAACTGCTGAAGAGGTGGAAGTTTCACATTTATAGCAAATAGCCTTGGATTCAGATTGTTTGTCTTTATCTATTAATGAGTCCATTCTGATGACTCAATGACTAAATTGAAGTGGGTGGTTTCGTAGAGGGAAAGTGTTTCAAGAAAAAGAAATGTTATTTGATGCAAAAAAGAAACATAAAAAAACCCACAGAAATCAGGGATAAAAAATAGTGGCAAAGAGGAATGAATCTAATAGAGGGGCCAACACATTTCCAGTAAGTCAGGCTATCTTTGAAAGCTTGGTGACTCCTTACTTGCATGCCTTCTCCTTCCTCTGGGGGCCACTGCCCTCACATGTGTGAGGGGCCATGAGAAGGAAGAGGATCCAAGCTGTGGACCTGCATGGGTTGTGAGAACATTACTTTGTCTAAATAAAATAAAGTAGATTTTGCTTGGGTGATGCTGCCATTTACTGAACTGTTTAAGAAAAATTTTAAAAAACAAAATACTTTAAGATGCTTATGGGAAAGATACTCTTTTTTTTTTTTTAACTCCTCCACTGTTTGAGATTCTTGCTCTTTGCCAGAAGATCCATCTGCCAGGCAGCGATCAGGCTTTCTGAAGAGCCTAAAGCTCTACCTGGGGAATGTGTCCAGAGGGAGAACACCTGGGCAGGCTGAACCTACTCATGATTTAGTGCAAGTTACTGAGCTAAACAGCTTCCTTTTGGAGTCTTCAGAAACGGCCATGGTATCATTTTCAAGTTAGCTCTTGTTCCCAAAAGGAAATTTGCATATTCTTATGCTTATGTGTTTTCCAAACTTGACACATTTAGTTTATGCAAGGTGGTTTCAGAATTGAAGTAAAATAGTTTGTCTTTTCTGAAGAACAAGCCAAGGAAAAGAGAGAAACTTATGCTTAGGTCTCTGAGGCCTCAAACTTCCTGAATATGTCAAAAGTCAGATGCTGGAGGTTCAGGGTAGGAAGAAGTGAGGGTCTGGCCTAAGTGGGAGCACCAATGGATAAATCAAGGCATACAAATATAGTAACTTATGAAATTATTGACTTATTTTACCCTTCTTTGCTTTCCCTGAGGTTCTGTAGTAGGTGAGACAATCTTGATGCCAGAGTTAAACGAGGTCAAAGAGTGTGGCCGGCCACAAAGACTGTGTCATTATTTAACCTTAGAAGATAAATGTCCCTCATCCCCATATCTCTCTAGCCCATACTTTTAATTACAGAGGGGTCAAAGAACATTCCAAAGCACATCTGTCTCTCAGGTGTTAGAGCAGACTGGCTTCTCAACTTTGGTGACCGTTGTTTATCAGTTTCTATGAAGCTCAAAAAGCTTGTCATATAAAAAGCCACAATGCTTGAATAGCTTATTATACCTGTTACAGTGGTCTCATAATTGGTAAGCAAATCTCGCGGTTGTGCCAGGTGATCCATTAGGGTATGGAGAAAAATTAGTAATCTGTGTTTTTATTTTCACCTTTTAAATTTCTATTTAGGTGCATGTGTCACATTATACATTTGTCCACCAGCACATATGCATGATAATGAATAAATAAATTAATAGATATTCTTATAGTAGAAGTATGTGCTCAAATTATTTTATTGATAAGTCCATACTCCAGAAACCTTGGGGGCCACCTTTTTTTCCCTCAAGTTCAACATTTTTTGAGGTCTATAGCAAAGAATTTTTACTGTTTTTAGTGGAACCTGGAAAAAAAAGTGGAGACTAAAATATTTAGACTTACAATTCTGGTGGATTTTAAAATACTTTGTTCCTATAACGACATACAACATTAGCCTCTTTCTTTTCAAAGAAACCTGTTTTATTTTTGGTGTGAGTTTCAGTTGAATTGATAAATTGATTCAGGATTTAAAAGACATATACAAATTTGTAGACATTCTCTACATATGTAGCCATGCTGGGTTACATAGCATTAATCATTAAAATAGAAAAGCCCCTTTACAATAATAACATTTCAACAAGGCTAAAATACCTATTTTCAGGATATAAATTCCACCGGGAATTACCTTAAGCTAAGTTTGAATATTGGGCCACCTGGTATTTTATGCTAACTGATTAGTTTTATATCCCAAGGCCACAGGATAATTTTACTCCCAGGATTCAAAGCTGTACTTTTTCTTTTCAAGGAGTACAGAATGTCGCTCAATATACATTTCGATTTTGAGCAATGACAGGTTAGCTGAAAGACTTGGGTTTCAGGACAGTTCTATATCTGATGGATGGCTTATATGACATAGCTCTAACTCTGAGACTGTCCCTCTTACAGAATGCTTATACCTGACCCTTTGAGCCTTTCAGCGACAAGAATCAGAATCCATCTCAAAAACAAAACAAAAGAAAACAAAATCCCATAATGCCAAATATACGTGAAGAATTTGCTAAAACCTGAGTTGAGCCCAAATATTGAGTTTATTTTTTAAACTCAAATTTGTATTGAACTTACTTCAGAATGTTTCTAAAGTACAGCCTGAACTGCTGCCGATCTTCAACATTTTCAAAACTATGGTACTATAACAAAATTAGGCCATCAATATATTCTCTGAATGAAATTGGACTTGATTTAGCACCTCTGTCTTAAGTCTCTGAATTGAGCTTTCTTATAGCAGTAGGGTCCTCATCGTCTGCATACACCACTACCAATTTGTTTATTAATCTTTTCTGACAATACCTCTCCCCCTTTTAAATAGCCTTGTTTCTAATTTGGAAGTGTCATTCTTAGTGAAACTAAAATGAGTTGCAGGATTGATCAGTTTTTGTTGATCAGTTTTGTTCATTTTCTCATTTTTTTCTTTCTTATGCTTTTGGATATTAACAGAAGAAACATAAGCAGCAGTTCGTAAACTGCCTCTCAAGCATCAGAGGGAATTTGATGCTGTGAGATTTAGGCTTTCTTCTCAACTTTTCCATGGGTGATAATGTCCCCACCATGACTCTTCCAGCAGAAAATGCCCAGACAGCTGTATGGAGTCCATCAGCTATCTTATTAGGATGTCTTGAGATATAAAAGTTATGCACAATAGTTAAGTGGAAGATACTTACTTTGTTAGACTCTACTAAACTTAGAAATTACTTAGTTTTTCCCAGGAAGATAATCCTACCTCCATAACTAGTTAGCAAGTTTGATAGACATTCTAGGCTTCCTATTTTAACTTATTTTCACATTCTGTCTAGAACAACTTCCCTTTGTTATTCAGAAATTAATCCTACTGACTTCAAGACAGTCATTTTGACTCGCTCTATTTCAGCAAACATTAGTGTGAGAACCAGCCTTCATATTGTCATAAGCATCGGTTGTGTGCACGGCATTCTATCTATGTTAAGTATTGTATCTGTGTGTGTGTGTATGTGTGTGTGTGTGTGTGTGTGTGAGACAGAGAAAGAGAGAGAGAGAGAGGGACACACACACACACACAGCACAGTGGATTTTGGCATGCATAATTTTAACATTCATAAGCAATCCTAAAGTTCCAAGCCATGGACTCATGTAGTGATTTGTAATTTTGCTTAGCATGAATTTGAATCCCACTTATTTGAGATTAATGTAGGGGACAAAGTGACTTTGTTAATGAATAAGTCAACTGTACAGACCAAAATGTATCATTGTTCTAATCATTTTTCATGTTTTTATGGGGGCTATACTGTAAAGCAGTGTTTCTCAACCTTAATAATATCGACATTTGGGCCAAATATATCTTCGTTGCCAGGAACCGTGCTGTGAGTTGTAGGATATTTAGAAACGTCCCTTGCCTCTACTCACTAGAGGCCAGGAGCACACCTCTCCCACTTTTTATGACAACCAAAATGTCTCCAGACATTGCCAAAGGTACCCTGGGGGGAAAAAATCACCCAGAATTGAGAACTGCTTCTGTAGAGTAAACCCCTGGTTGATGAGTGAAAGCTGAGCCATCATAAATTGTACCCGTATTTCCTATAGTGTGTTGTTATACATTGAGATTTTGTTTCTGAGAGCACCTTCCATTCATAAAATTACAAAATTGATTTAAAATTTCTACAGCCACTTAATTAAATATGGAAAATTATGGAAAATTATGAAATCTATATTCCTTTTAAGGGAGACTATCTTTTCCTATTGAGTTATCAGCATATCCAATATAGGCATTTCACTTAATACTGTCTGAGAGAAATTATTTAGCAATTGAAGATGGGATGAAATGGTAAGTGAGAAAATTATATTCAAGGAATCTAGCTGGGAGACTGACTTAGTCTTGCCTATAGGATAGAAGGAAAGGTGGGTTTTCAAGATCACGTGGGAGAAAAATCACTGAGTTCCTAAAATGATCATTATTACTGCCAGGTAAATCTAGCCATTCCCCAATTGCAGTGAAAAGCAAGCAATGACTTGATCCTAAGTGTCTGAGAACAGCTCCCTGAGCTCAGCCACAGTTCCTAGGATCTATTGTCATGATCCTTCTAAACCCTAGGCCTCCAGTTATAGATCTCTTTTAATTATACCAACACTTGTTGTTTCAGAACTTGTAAACTTTCAGCCCATTTAAACATTCTTATTTACTGTCTCACTTTTTTGTAATTAACTAATTTTATGATTTCTGCTATTAATTCTTTGGTTTTCAGAGTCATTTCTCTATTCAACAAGATTGTCTCTAAACTAAGCGTGTGTTTCTGAATACCACTTCATGAAGGTGGTTTTCAGAAGGGAAATTGCAGCTAAGTGAAGCACTGATAATTTGTCAACCTGGGTAGTTTTTACAGCATGACTTGACTAGGATCTGGAATTAAATATCCAAGAGAGAGGATTAAAAATAGGATGGGTTTCAATATCAGAAAGTGAATGCTTGAAGTGTCTTTCCTGTCCTTTTCATTCAATTTATCACACGCACTGGCACTACAGTTTCTGCAAATGAGTAGTGTTTCCTCTAGGGCTTCCAGATTTAAATGGAACCAAAAGGGCTGAGTTCTTTTGGCTGGATCATTCTACATGCTTGTGAATTGCAATTTCAATGCAAATCATAATTATTGGCCTAGCAATAGCATATACTGTATCCCTCAAATGAAAACAAGAACTAGAAAGTTTTGCCCCTTTTATATATCTTGGTACAAGTTCAAATCATTTCACAGTAGTCCTATGTTTGACAGGCTATTAACATCTTATTTAATATTATTGTTTTATTCATAGATAGGCAAGTAGTACCGTAAAAGTCAGGCGAGTTTTGCAGAACATACTTCTTTATTGATCATATTTTCCCAACAAAATATATTTAAATATAGGTATAATTATACCCACAATATAGCAAAAGTATCACTACTGTTAATTAATATATAAATAGTGGTATAACTATATTATTATAATGATATAAATAGCATTATAATTTAATTCATAATGTAATAATATTTAAATGGTTTTAATATTAAAATGGTTTATTTAAATTAAAATGGTTTTAAATCTTCTCAACAATTGCAAGACGAAGTTTCTGAGAGGATTGATAAGAATTATAGTCCCATTGACTTTCCATCACTTCAGTGTGTGATTTGAGTGGTTTTATTGCAGGGAAGATGGGCTGCAGAGTTATTGAATCTATTTTTTTTTTCTTTTGAGAGAGAGTCTTCACTCTTGTAGCCCAGGCTGGAGTGGTGCAGTGGCATGATCTTGGCTTACTGCAACCTCTGCCTCCTGGGTTCAAGCAATTCTCCTGCCTGGGCCTCCTGAGTAGCTGGGATTACAGGCATGCACCACCATGCCCAGCTAATTTTTGTATTTTTAGCAGAGATGGGGTTTCACCATGTTGGCCATGCTGGTCTTGAACTCTGAACCTTAGGTGATCTGCCTGCCTCAGCGTCCCAAAGTGCTGGGATTCTAGGTATAAGCCACCATGCCCAGCCCGAGTTATTGAATCTTAAAGCTGCACAGAGCTCTCAGATCATCTGGTCCAGTGGCTTTCAAATTTGTGAACCACAAATACAGTGTGTGTGTGTGTTCATATATATCTGAAACAGAGTCTCTGAAATAGTGCTTATTAATATATTTTCGATTAAATTCTATTCTATTCTATTCTATTCTATTCTATTCTATTCTATTCTATTCTATTCTATTCTATTCTTCTTTTATCTAATTCGTTTTTTAAAATGCCAAACAGGACTCACTGATAGTCATGACTTGTGGTTGGAAAAACACGGATCTAGGCTAGCAGCTGTGTTTTACAGATGGGAAATCCAGAGTCTGGCAACACAAGTGTTGTCTAAGGTCAAAAAGCTCATTAGCTGCTAAAACGAGGGGGCTTTTTAAAACACAAGTGGAATTTCAAATTCAAGTCATTTAGCATTTGGTGCTTACAAAATGATTTATGGCTAGTCCAGAAAGCACTTTCGGATTGCTCTATTGGAAATCAGGAGACAACTGTGACCCATTACTCCTGTGCATCCGCACAGGCACACTTATTCCCTCTGCTACTGGCCCTGTGACCCACCAGGCTAAAGGCTGTATTGGAACATAGGCACACCTATTTCTTTGCATATTTTCTTTGACTGCTTTTGTCATCCAGTGGCAGAGCTGAAGAGCTGTGACAAAGACGGTATGGCCCACAAAGCCTAAAATGTTTACTTTCTGGCCCCTTACAGAAAGAGTTTGCCAACTTCTGGGAATTGTCTGATAATGAATGTAAAGCACTTACAATTTCTGACACAGGATAAATATCCAAAGAACAGTAGCTGTTTTTAATTTTAAAGTGGTAATGGTGATTAAGAGGATAAGAATTACAATTATTATGTTGGTAATGATAGAAATAATAAATTTTGATGGTGTCAATAGTAATGATAATGATGATGGCAATAATATTAATAACAGCAATAATAATAATATTTTATTTAGCTACCAGCTTTGAATTCTTTTATCTTATTGTAGAAGCCACTCCTGATATTGCCTAAGTTTTTCCTTTTCCCTGGTATCAAAATTCATTTTCAAGGAAGAATCTGAAACTTGCTGTAAGATAAAAAAAAAAAATGAAGCTCTACATATTGAGGCTTAATTGGCAGGTATGGAGAAGTATTTTGAGAGAAAACTCAGGTCTTCTTGTCCATTGTTGCATAAAGCAGCCTCAGTCTGCATATTTTTATTTTATTCTGGACAACTGCTTTGCAAATATTTGCAGAGTATTCACAAGGGATTTCTGTTTCTTCCTAAGATCACACCATCAGCACTGTCAAAAGCTCTTACTTGTGTGGGGCTTGATGGTGAGTCCTGGCAGTTTTCCCATATCCCACAGGTGTCCTGGGAAAATATATTTGTCTTCTTTCTGACTTTTTTTTTTTTTAATTTACAAAGCTAAGAAGAAGAAAGACATTCTTGTTTTGTACCCATAATTTCTGTGCTACACTAAGGTTTCCTAAATTTTGGAGAATTTGCTGTCTATGGCCTAAAAAATATAACCCTCATTGCTGCCACCCACCGACCCCAAATGTGTCTTAAAGTAAATTAGACTCACTCAGAAACTTAGCATCTGTTTCTCTTCTCAGTTATAAATTCACAAATAGGATGTTTCTCCTTTTAAAGTGGTTTCCCTAGCAACTAAACCAACCTTATATGATCAGAGCAGTTTGTCACTTTTGAAGTTTGACTTTCTGACAAGGCCTTCTGGCTCAGGGAAATGAAGAAAACAACCTCCAAACACAAACATTTCGAAAACACTCAAGTGATGATTTACAAATGAATTACATTTGGGTGATTTTTCTGTAGATTGTGTGTCAACCACCATCACCACCACGCTCCACAGCCAGCCAGCAAAGATAGCCATCTCTTGAAGTAGCTATCGTCATAGCAGAGAACAGATGGGAGTGATTCTTAAAGGGGCTAAATTACCATAAAGATGTATTTTGGGAAGCGGTGGGTAGACAGAGATATAGGAAGACTTGCAGCAGGCAGCCACACAAAGCGAACTCACCTTGTGATTAGTTCATCTTGCTTATCTTGAGGCTAAAGTAAACATATTGGTCACAATTCAGGTACATCGTGGGGAAGACAGACTTTTGCTCCCTCTACTCAGAAGGAGTCAGGACAAAGTGAGAGGAAGGTGGGTCTCAGCTAACCCACCTTAGACTGACTTTTCATTTATTTTCATTATTTTAAAAATAATAATAACTGTTATTTGTCTTTCGTGCTTTTTTTCCCCACTGTTGCTGTCCTATTTACTGATGACCAGAGTTAGGACCTCATTCAATTCTGGGTTTTCCTTTCCCTTCCAATCCCTTTCTGACTCCTGCTGTAACTGGAATGCAGTTGGGGATGGATAGAGTGATTGGGGTAAAAAAGAAGGGTACAGGAAACAGGACAACTGTCTGCTTTCTAATGACATTTTCTATTGACCCCTCAACAAGGGGAAGAGAGAAATTATTTATGAGATCTGTAGAGACCCCCAAATGAGCTTCGAGTGAAAGAGCTTATGAGAGAAGAGTAAAAACAACAGCGGAAGCTTAGTCAGAGTTTGCAGAGTCAGAATCTCTGTTCTCAGTTTGAATTCATGAATTTGTTTGTTCATGAATTTGCTTTCATGGTCTCAAGATGAATTGCAAGTTTTCTTCCTTGGAAGATTTTCCCCGAGAGCACGGTGTTCCTCATAATAAGCAAGTCAAATGGGCAGGTCCCTCCCACTTGCTGGTACTTCAGATGGAGTGTGACTGAGGCTCTAGCAGCATCTAGCAGGTAGGCGATGTATGAAGTAAAGTAAAAAAGGCATGTTCTGCACAACAAAAAACTTATATCTTATGCAAAGTAAATACCAATTCCAGGAAGCAGAAGGGAAATGTTTTGAAAAGATTTGTTCTTACAAAGGAACTTTTTAAATTTTTTGGTCAGATGTGTGGTGCATGCCTGCAGTCCAAGATACTTGGAACTTTTTAAGACCTTTTTTGGGGGCACAGGAAAATTTGTCTTCTGAACTTTGTACAGATTATATTTCTTATACCAAGCTTGGAATACATTCAATTGAAGAGTTCTGTAAGTATTTATCAAATACTTACTATAGGTTTATTATTAAAATTGGTACTTTGGAAAGAGAAGCATAAAATGCTGACATAGTATGGTAGACACAGAAATGTGGTGCCCAGATCCCGTTTTGAGAAAGGTCTTGCTGTTGAGCTGTGGAAGGTGTGGTTGGCAGGTAGCATCCAACTGTCACCTCCTTCAGGGTCAACCTCATCTGCAGAGAGGCTCTCCACTGAGTGTACCTTCTCGGGGAAGCCCACAGCTGGTGAAGCCTTGGCTACTTTGGCTGGATATGGGAAGCGCTTATGGGCAGCACTTCCTAATACCAAGTGTTAGGGAGCTCCTAAGCTCCTTACCCAATTAGCCCAGGCTCCATTGGGTCTGCTTCATCACCCAACTTCTCCCTCTGCCAATCCTGCCTCTTCTTCTTACTTCCCACCAGCTGCTCTCTCATAAATATCTGGCACCCTGAATTTTGTCTCTGCATCTATCTCCAGATAATCCAACCTGCAACATCCAGTTATTAATGATTTTGCAAACAATTCAAGAGACAGGACTATTCTATGTGGGTCATTGATGCTGTGGCACAGAATGTAAGTGCTACAATGTTTTTAGATGAGACGGAGAGAGCTGAGCACTTCAAACATTAGAGAAGACTCCTGGTAGATCTGAACTCCTGACCTAAGATAGTGGAGGGTGAGAAGACAGGAAGGACAGGAAATGGAGCAACTGAGCCGAAGCAAGTAGTGCGGCTGTGAGGAAGTTGGCCTGGCTACCAAGAAGGCTACATGTTAGGGAAGAGTTAGAAATTGAATTGTTGTTAATTTACTTAAGATTAGATCAGGCTGTGCAAAAGAGAGAAAACCCCAAAATAGATGTTTGCTTTTTTCTTACATTAAGAAAAAGTTCAGAAATTTAGTTTTGTTCTTGTTTGAGATCTCTTCTTGCCAATTTATTCATGATTCTGTCTTCTTTAGAGGGAAGCCCTTATCATCAGGATCTAAGATGGCTGCTAGAGATCCAGCCATCACATCCAAATTCCAGACAGCAGAATGGAGGATGAGATAAAGAAGGGCATGTCACATCATTTTAAAGAAACTTACTTTTAATTACTTCTCATTGGTTACAACTTAGTTACATAGCCATACGTACTAGTAAAGGAGGCTGAAGAGTATCCCTTCGACTAGGCAACAACATACACAGCTTAAAATTATTGTTATTTTAAAATTACAGTTGAAATATATGACCACTCAGATGGTGGAAACAAGTGAGACAAAATAATAAAAAAGCTAAAATCTAGTGTCTTGAAAATGATGGTGGCAGTAAAACATTCCTAGAAATTACAGAGAAGAGTTATTTTATATATGTGTGTGAAATGTCAAAAGATTTGGGGCATATTTAGTTGGAGGTTAATATTAATAATCATCTAACGTATGTTGAGGGTTTTCTATGTAACAGGCATTATTTCAAATGCTTTATATCTATTGCATAATTTAATGGAGCCTAACAGGTAGGTTTTTATAAATGGCCTATTATATATAAGGAAGTGGAGATTTTCAGGAAGGAAGACAATTGACCAAGGTCACACAAACTGTAAATGGCAGAACCCAGCCTCACACTCATGTTTGTCAAATTCCCCAATCCGATGACTTGCACCATGGTTGCTCAATATTAGAGTCAGCAAGAGAAACATCAAAGAGGAGAAGCGGGAGCTCAGGAGAGAGCACAGACCTGGAAATGCACGTTGAAATTAGCCAGTTCTAATGAGCACTGAAACCATGAGAGTAGAGAACATGAGAGAAGAGAGTCATGGAGGAGAGACCTCAGGCAATGGAAAGAGGAGGATGCCGAATGTTAAGTCTTGGGGATTTTTCTTTCTTTTTTTTTTTTTTTTTTTTTGTTAGAGACGGGATCTCAAAATTTTACCCAGGCTGGAGTGAAGTGGCACGATCATAGCTCACTGCAGCCTTGGACTTCTGGGCTCAAGAGCTCCTCCACCTCCACCTCCCAAATAGCTAGGACTACATGTGCATATCATGCCAGGCTAATTTTTTAATTTCTTTTTTTTTTTTTTTTTGTAGAGACAGGGTTTCACTCTGTTGCCCAGGCTGGTCTCAAACTCCTGGCCTCAAGTGATCCTCCTGACTCAGCTTCCCAAAGTGCTGGGATTACAGGAGTGAGCCACTGTGCTCGGCTGGGTCTTTCTCTTGAAGGAGGAGGGGAAGCAGGGAGGTCACTGGAAAAGAACCAGGGCAGGATGGTGTCAGGGAGGAGAAAGACTTTCTTGAAGATGAAAGGGACAAACAATATTTACAACACCGAAGTTCAGGGGAAAAAAAGTCAACTATTTGAGTAGCAAGAGGCCATGCATTGCTTATCTTTAGAGTGTTGAAAGAGGATGTGGGAATAGGTAGAGGAAGGTGGAAAATAGTGAACGAGCTGTTTAAAACTTGTAATGGCAATCCTATTGCAAATAATAACTGATAATAGGAGTTAATATTTATTCTGTGCCTACTATGTGCCAAATACTGTTCCAAAGGCGTATGTAACTCATGTAACCACAACCTTATGCGGTAGCTACTCTTATTATCCCTATTTTACAGATGAGAAAATCGAGGCAGTGAGAGAGTAAGAAATCTGTCCAAGGTTTCACTGCTATTAAGTGGGAAAGCTGGGATTGAAGCCCAAGCAGTTTGGCTGCTGAGCTCATGCTTAAGAGTCTAGAATATCCAAAGATTTCTTTAAAAAGTAATGACTTTGCAAAAATCCACATTTATTCTTCTGATATAAAATCTCAGATACATTTTCATAGAAACTGTCAAGTGTACTTAATGATCATCTATTCTTCTTTACCAAAAAAAGTTGTTTTGAGAAGGAATTAGTTTGTTGTATATTTCCCATGTCAGCTTTGACAGGAAATATTATTATTTAAAAAATAATTTAAATTCAATTTGAAGTCTTGAAGAAAAATTTACTGCATTTTTACCGGTAACCTTACTGAGAAAACTGAAATGATACATTATGGACCTTAGTAAATGTCTCCAAAAAGAAAGAAGGCTTTCTGTCTTCATAGCAAAACATTTTAATAACTATGCACTGAAACAATGATTTTTTTTGTGTATCAAATTCCTTTATGCCTACAGGCTACTCAATTGAATGTCATTAGAATATCTCAAAGCTATTTTCACATAGTTTGAAGGCTCGCCCATCTCCTACACAGTCACATGTTGATTTGGAAAAAAAAAATATATAGCTGTGCATCATAGAGTATGGGCAGCATATTGGAATCTAAGGCTTATAGATTGCCAGCCTGCTCAGCGTCTCTAACCCTTTTCAGGTAACCAAATTTATTAATGCCAATGTGTGCTTTCAAAAGACTGAGAAGTGATTCTTAAAATGTTTTCACCAGGGATATCACAGAGAGGTTTTTAAATAAAATAGTACTGTGACGTTCAAAAACAAAGACTTCTCAAAAAGTATTTATGTTTTTAGAATTGGTAATTAGAACAGGCAGATTTGAAGGGGATAGGCTTGCTTTCCATGTAGACTTATCAATTAACAAAATCATAACTGAGAATACAGCTTCATTTTATGAAGAGATATAAGGGTATAAATGTAAAGGCAAGAAAAAATGATAAAAGTTGATCAGAGAAAAAAGGAAATCAAAATGCTGATTTAAAAGAAAAGTGCTTTGGAGTACATTCAGTAATCGTTTTTATGAAATTTTTAAATGATGATGATGTCACTGGCATGCATTGGTTCTACGTACACACTTAATGTTAGATTTCTAGTTACCTTGGAAACTCAGGATTATAATATGCTGCTACAACAATAATAACTAATCTCTTTTGAAAGCTTATCACATGGTGCTCATCATGTTGGAGACGTCCCATGTATAATTTTATTTAATTCTTACAAAAGCTGTAAGTGTTAGATAACCTGTTTTCTTTATGGAAGTGATGGAGCCATTCTTTGTTGTGTTTGGTAGTGTCTTTATTTTAATTTGTGGACAAGCTTGATAAGTACATAAAGTGCTTTTTTTCTGGTAAGATGATTGCTCTTTCAGTTTCTCTTTCATGATATACAAAATACCTTTATATAATGTATTATTTTAGTAACTTGAAATTTTTCCTTCTTCCATCCTATGTTACTGCTTTGTTACATGCCATGAGAAGAAAATTTTTAAAAATGTTTTCCTCATATTTTCTATGTTGCTTCTTAATATCTCACCTTTGAAATACTAGTCATTTCTGTCCTAGAAAGCTTTCTATTAACTAATGTGGTTAGTCAGAGAAGTGCTACTGAGGGGATTATATTATATTTGCAGCTACTGACTTACCACAAACTAAAAAATGCTTTGTCCTTTATCTACTATTCCTTTATACTTGACACGTAGCACTGTCTTATTTTCTCTGTGGTAGGCACACAACCATTCATTCATTCAACAAATATATATTGAGCATCTACTAAATGTTAAGCACTGGGGATGCACTGGTGATCCAAACAGGCATCATTAATTCTTGCCTTCATGGATGATTGCATGTGTTGGGCCCCAGCACACCTCCCAGACTGTGAAAACACATTGGCAAACTGTAGACATCAGCTGGTTTGTTTTGCCCAGGATGAAAATTACTGAGTGTCAAATAATAAAATCAAGAGAAAAGACCATCCCAGTGTAATTTGCTCCACCTACAAATCTTCACCCACTTAATTAATCTTTTACAAATATATATGTATCTTCATTCAAAACAACACTTTGGTCTAAATGGTGATTGGTTCCAGAGGATATGGAGCAAATATTTAGATCAATTAACTTGCCACTGATTGTCATGTAACTTCTGATGAGTAAGATTTTTAGCTATTGTGGACAAGAGTCACAGGGTTTGTAAAAATCTTTTGGATGATAGTAGACAAGGGTCAAGATTCTTAGAAGGTGCCTTTCTATTTTATTTTGGAGTAAAAATATTAAGGGGGGAAAAAGGAGGAAATAGTGTAAGTAAACATGGTAATATTCTGATACTCTTATCAATTAGAAATTTTTGTTCAGTCTCATACATTTACTCTACCCTAAAAAGAAAGAGAGAAATGAATATTTATTGGGTACCTACTATGTGCCAGGCCATACACTAGGGCTCTTATATGTCACTTAATTTAATTTTTACATCCATCTTATGAGGTTCAGATGCTTTTATTATGCCCCTTTTATAAAAATAGAACTAAATTTCATGGAATTTGAGTAAGTTATATAGGATTATCCATGAATAATAAGTAGATTTATGTTTTTGAACCCAATTCTGACTCTAAATTCCATTGTTTCCATTAGCAGAATTAATAAGTAGATGCTATAAAACATCATCTTGGAGCTCACATATTACCTTGGATATTTTGGAAGATGAATATTGTTTGCTAACTACTTATGGTAATCATATGTAGCCATTCAACAATAATTTCCTGTGCTCATGTTGTACTATCCATATTGAAAAGTATGTAGCTTTAGCACTCATGCTAGTGACAATATAATTGTATTCTTTGATATTCTTCATCTCATTTCTATTTTAAAGTTATATTCCAAAATAACCATGCATTGCTTTTATAGTAAGAGAATAACAGCTTTGAACAGTGGGAAACTCAGCCTATACAGCCATATTTTGAGAATGGATACTGGAAGCTTGAGAAAAGTATTCCTCCGAGTGTAGTTCTCCTGGGTAGGAACCATATTAGAAAGAAGATCCTGGCTGGCTACTGCGTTGTTATATACTCTGTATTTCTGCCCTTCTTATCACCTTCCTATAAATGTATATCTCTAAAGTAAGGCTGGCAGAAGCAGGGAGCAAATGAGGTGCAACATGAACCTGGGTTCTAGCCAGGTGGACCTGAGTTCAAATCCCATTGTCTCATGTGCTGGTTGAGCAAGTTATTTAATCTCCCTGAGTTTCATTTTTCTTACTTGTCTAGTGGACATCGTAATTCTCTTGCTGGCTTGTGAGAAATAGAAAAGATAATATATTAAATATCAAGAGCAGTATCACATAAAACTCATTAAATGGTATGTATGTGTAGGATGAAATTTGCTCTTGGTTTGAGTGGGTTAAGTGTTTGAGGTAGCCATGGTGACAGACTATGGTTGCCAACAGTGGGAGGAGTGATCTAGACCAGAGATGCTTTTCTCATCTTTCTTTATGTACCCTGGCCTCTCACACAACCCTCTGATGCTGGCTTCCTTCATAGATTCCTAAAACATCCAAAGCTCTGGCATTCAGATTCGGTTGTTATTTTTATATGTGGTATATCTTCAAAGTGACACTTTAAAGTGACAAAATTAATAAGTGTTTAAATCACTCTTATTTTGTGACAGATCCTGAAATCCTTGAAACAGAAATCCCTCCTGTCCTCTCTGAATCTTCCATACATCTAGCATAAAGCATGCAACCATTTACTTAAGAAATGTGTATTGACCTCCTACTATGTGACAGGCACTGCATTAGGTGCTGGGGATACAGCAGGAAACAAAACAAATACATTTCCCATCACAGTGGCATTTATGTTCCAACTGGGGAGCCAGACACTAAATAATTCACTGTATAGTCATATAATTTGAAAGCAGTAAATACGATGTAGAAGTACAAGTGCTAAGAGAGGGTACAACAGGAGGTTGTATCTAACCCATGGAGCCAGGGAAGCCCTCTTTAGGTAATGATTTTATAAAGTGTGTTGTGTGTCAGAAATTATGTTAACCTCATGATGTAAATTAAAATATTCACCATGGAATCTCTGAGTTTCTTAGAGCTCAGCAGGGCAAAGAGGAATTAACTAGGGAGAGAGCTGTGGGAGAGCATTCAAAGCAGAGGGAGAAGCATGCCTTACTTAATCTTACTCCATTTTAAAAAGATAACACAATAAGCCCCTCATCTTGTCCCAACCTCTAAAATTTCTAAGTATGAGAAGAAGGGAAATAACTGTTACTGAACATATGTATGTGTCAGACTTCTAAAATAACATATGTCATGCCATTTTAACCCTAATGGGGTGAGATATTATCTAAATATTGCAAATAAGTAGTCTGATTATGTCTTGGTTTGCTCAATATGGTTCTATCCCAGGGCAATAATTTATAATGCTCCCCTTTTCACTCTTGAAAGCGTTTCAGTTTGTGCGATAAATTCTATGGTCATAAATAAATGAAGCTCAGAGGGATTATTAATTTGCCTTGGGTTACACAGCTAGTAAGTGCAGAGGGTGATGTGATACCACATCGGTGCTCTCTGATCTAAAGCCCATGCTCTCAACTGTGTATTGCACACACAATTTGTTGGCTCTACTCCTGTGTTCCTCTCTATGTAATTCTTCCAATCACGGTTAGGTAGCCCAAGACTAAACTGACAAAAATTGGCTTTCTGACATCTGCCTTCACTAATTCTGCTGAGTCATGTATTTCTATAAAGTACAAATGAAAAGAAATGAAGCACTAAGATTAAATATGAAACATGTATCGTAAGTAGTAGTTCTTTTCTTGGTATGCTTATCTTTATACTTACATTTAGCCTATTCTTTATGTTGCCCAAGTATGTGGAAACTAATTTAAAATGCAGTTGCTTCTGAAACTCAATATGTGACTCTAATGACAAAACATTGGCTATCATTGTTCTTTTCTATTATATGATACCTTGTGGGCTAGGGAGGTTCGTGACTTGCCCTGGTGAGCTGAGCCTGAGTGTAAGAAGTTTAGCACTTCTTAAAATAATCAATTAAACCCTCTTATATTTAAGGCATCTTAATAACACTTTCTAACACAGTTTTTATCTTGGTCAAAACTGAGTAATACAGGTAAATTTTTTTTTCAGCCGAATATGATAAAAGCTTTTGAAAGCATTCTTCATATGTAAATATATCAAAAGCATGGAATAGGATGCTATTGCTTCCCCTTTTATTTTAAACAAAAAATCAGATTATGCCAAAATCATATTATAAGTAAATATTACATTATTTTGTTCCTTTATGGAATATACTGTTACCTCAAAAGATGCTGGCATCACTCTGTCTGCTTAAAAACAAGATTTTATGAAGTATGTCATGTGTTAGAATTTGTTTCCTTTATGATATATGTAAAAATGGTTCACTATGGAATCTCTGAACATGTTTTATTAAATAGTATTCCCAACTGTTTGCTACATACCTTATTAGTACCTCTTTGAATATATTTTCAGGTCTTTCAGTCAATCTATCATTCATTTATTCAATTCATATTCCTGTGCCACTGAATATGTTGCTTGTGCAACTGCTGTTAGCACAAGTGGATTTATACTTAGTAGACCGGAAATATATACCACCTTCCTTCCTTGCTTTCTAACTCAGAGAACGTCTCCTGATCTTCATCTAGCTCATTCTGCTCTCTTCCCAGCCAAGACCACAAATAGAATTTTATTTAGTAATTTTGTGGAAACTCCCTTTTTTTTCCCCCAAACTGTCTTCTTTTCTTACATTCATCAAATATTATGGCTAAAAGAAGGCTCTGTGGACTGTGCAGTTCAGCACTTCTGTCACACTGTGAGTGGGATGACAGTGTGCATTATGAAAGGAAAGGGTTCTGTGGCCAAATAAATACGGGAAACCACGGGCTAAACACAGCTTAAAAGGCCTTTTGACTGTGAGACACCTCCAAATATAGGATATGGAATATACCAATTCCTAAATTTATTTGACCACAAAAACCCTTGCTCACCGTTTGTCTTGCAAGGCTGATATTCTAAGAAGGGCACGTTGGATAACGCTGATCTAGAACCTCATTTTATAAACAAATTGCCCCTGAGAAAATAAGTGACTCACCCAAGACCTCACAGCTATTTGGTGGAAAATCAGGAGACCAGAACCTATTTTTGCTGCTTCTGACCTAAGCAACTGGACATTTCACAGCCCTGAGAATCCTGCTGTCTCTTCCTGCATGCATTTGTGGATATGACTTACAAGATGGAATCTGACTGCTGTTACTTGCGTCCTGCTCCTTTCTTTAGCCCGTATACGTTTGACTCTTTGTAAGGGCTGTGAACGCCAGTGATTTCCTATTCCAGTGGAACTAGGAAAGTTGACATTAGGTTGATTCCATTTTCTTCTGAACAGTCAATTCAAAGTTTACCAAAATTGTCTTTTTCATTAGAAAAAAATAAGTTTATATGATAAAGAGTTCACTTTCAGTCAAAAAGTTCATTGGACAAGTATTTATTGAATGCCTTTACATGCCACATACTACTCTAGTTGCTACAGAAATAGCAGTAACCAAAACAAAATCCTTGCCCTCATGGTGATTAAAATCCAATGAAGGAAATCAGGGAAGAAACAAGCATCAGAGGTTGGTAAGTCCTTTGAAGAAAAATAACATGGGCTAAGACGGGTAGAGAGTGCTGGCAGGGGGGCAGGTGTGGGATTGCAATTTTATATAAGGTGGTAAGGGATCTTTCACTGTTAATGTGATATTTGGGCAGAGACATGAGGAAATGAAGGCATGGTAACCATCTTGGGAAGAACATTGTGGAGAGTAGGATTAGCATGTTCTAGAAATACATGAAGGTCATTGTGTCTGGAGTTGAAGGAGAAAAGGGGAGAGTGGTAGGTGTAAGATCATTGGGCTATAGGTTGTTATGAGAACTGATACTCTTGGTAACACAGGAATCTAGTGGAGAGTTTTGCCTAGAGAAGTAACATGGCCTGACTTCTGTTTTAAAAGGTTTACTCTTGCTGCTATATGGAAGATATGCAGATTGGGTTCCCAGGAAGCAGGCTCTGAGATGGAGATTAGCATGCAAAGTTTATTAGGGAGTGCTCCCAGGAGCAATACCTGTAGATGGGAAGGAGGCAGAGGGAGAGACTGGGCTACAGAGTGGTCTCAAAGCCTAGCTGACCTCATGAGGAGCTCTGGAATGGATTCCTCTCTAGAGTTGTTTCAAGCTGGAGTGAGGGGGCCAGGATTTTATATGGATGCATCAACTAGCCATCCGATGTCCCTAAGAAGGCAGAGTGACTTTGGGCAAGAAGTTTTTTTTTTCTTGAAGAAGACTGACAGCTGACCACAGTTACAGCACTCCCAGCAGCTGGGGAATACGTCCTTCAGCCTGACAGGGATACGGATGGTTCATCAGACCATCCATATGGTGCTCATCAGAGCATCCACTCAGGAGTCAAAGTGGAAGCAGAAAGACCAATTAGGAGGCAATGATTCGGAAAGAAGACGATGGCAGGTTCCGCTACTGGGATGTTAGAAGTAGAAGTAGTGAGATAGATTCATTTTTTGGATTTATTTTGAAGGGACAGCCAATAGGATTTACTAATACATTGATGAGCGATTCTGAAAAACCAAGAAGAATAATATGAACTCATTATTTTTAGCCTAAGCAACTAGAAATAGGTAGAAACTGTCTGAAGAAGTGAGGAAAATTTTGGGAGGTGGGGAACAACTTCAAAAGAAATGCAATTAATTCAGATTCAGATGTGCTGATGTTCAGATATCTATGAGATGTTCCAATAATGATGTTAATTGTGTGAGTGAAGTCATCCAGAGAAGCCATCCAGTCTGGGGAAATAAATTGGAATTCATTGGCTTATAAATGTTATTTACAGCTAAGTAACTGGATGTGATCACCAAGGAATGACTCCTGGGCTACTTCAAAGCTGAGGGGTCAGATGGCACAAAGCAGACAGAGGAGTGTCCAGGGGATAGGAAGAGGACTGAAAGGAAATGGATTGCCTGAAACCAAGCTAAGAAAGTAATTCAACAAGGAGAGAGTGAACCACATACACTTATTCCTAATGGATAAATGTTTCTTATCATTGTCTCTGTGCCTCTTTCAAATTCTACCCTGTATAGGGCTTATTCATTTTTTCTGAATATCTTGTTAGGTCAAACAGTACTTTGAAGCTTTTGGTTTACTTTAATTAAGGACTACTGATATCTTTTTAAACTAGGAGGACATACTCCAAGGAGAAGAGTAAGCAGTATAACTATATACCTATAGCAGTATATTACTTATAAGTTATAGCGGTATACTACTATAAGCAGTAATAACAGAAGTAGAAGTCTGTGTCCAATACAGATGAGGCCAAATTTAGACTGTAATGGAATTTCACATATTGTTGATGAGATGTCAGGATTCACTTTAAATATTGCACACTCAATTCTGAGCCTGTGAATCGGGTTAGTCCTGATTAGGATCTCTGGAATCACCCATTACCTGAGAGACACGGATACGAACACCTAATGATTCCCATTTTTAGAGGAAAAAGGGCTGAGCAGAAGTGTCCCAGTGTTTGCCAGAAATAGGACCTAGGAGTGCAGGAGCTAAGAGTGAAATCTCCCCGAAAACAACCTGACATGCATTGCCCATGCAGTCTGTGTTCAGCACGTGACTTGTCATCCTCCTCTGACTTCATTCACTGCTCCCGTCACGAGTGAAGGTGTCTCTTTAATGAGACTATAAGCCATGCTGAGAACAGGTTCCAAGCCTTTATTATTTTATGTCTTCAGAGCTTAGAATCGTGACTGGCACTCAATAGATGTTTATTAAGATAAATAAATGGGACTTCTGGTACCTTCTGTTATCAAGCCTGAGGCATAAAAACAGACAAATGGATGTCTGAATAGCCTTGGCAGCTGGATCTGTTTAATCACTTACATGTTTCTTGGCAAACTTGTGGACTAATCTATTTCTTTTTTCTCAAATTTGTTTCCCATGTCAGGAAGAGGATTATTTGTTCTGTATTATTTTTTTAAAAGCAATATCTTAAGAGTCTTTCAGCTGAAAGGTATTGCAGTAATATCCGTTTAGTAATAAGGGTGACGGATGCCTGCTTCAGCTATCATCAATAATGCCAGATTTTAAAGAGAATTTTGGATTGTATTCATCTATTGCAAGCTTTGACAAACTTTGTTTTCCTGTGAAAACAAAAAAAAGATTATTCAACAGAGCAGTTTGTGTTTGTTAGTGGGAGAGAGATCATTAAAAGTTTGTGATTATAAAATGCTTAAGGGTCTTGGGCAGACCATAGATGACTTTTTGTCTATAGAAAAGTTGTTGTAATTAGAGGATAGATTCTCTTCTCCTCTCCACTCAGGTAATTTATATGCTCTTTTGTCATCCAAGACTAGGACCCATTTTTTGACCAGGTGCCATCACTTTCTATTTAAATACAGAATGGTTTCTATAGAAATTATCCAAAATACATGTGCTCTTTGAAGCTATATGTAGTTACTATCCAGATGGCTGAAGCATGCTGTTATAATGCATGACCATTTATGTGTTTTTAAGTGAAAATTATGACTTCTAGTATTATAAGAAATAGTCTATAACAGCAATTATTAGTTAATAAAACAAGGGAAAGAAAATGGTTAGAGGAAAGTTACCAATAAGACACAGAGAAAAATGTCAAAATAATAAATTGGTTTTCATGTTGTAAAATGACTCAAGAAAGAATCTGAGCAGGGAAGAGTAGGGGCTGAAGTATTTTCTCTTCTAAATTTGATTATGCCAACTTGCATAAATATTGCTTTCTGTTTGTGGGAGAGAATGAGAGAAAGAAAAGATCAGAGAGGAAAGGACAGAATGAGACATAGAAGAAGAGTTTCATAGCGTTTGAATCCACCTGGAATAAACTGATTGACCACTGACAAAAATCTGGACTGTCACTTCTTCTTGGAGAACCACACTAGAACTTTGCGATAAGAGTGATCTCTAAGATGTATTGATACTACCCTTTGGTGTTTTGATTTATATATATAATTTTATGTCTTCATATATATATATGTCTTTATATATATAAATCAAAACACCAAAGGGTAGTATCAATAAATACATATATATTTACATACATATATATTCATATATATATGAATATTTCCATTTCTGTTCTTCACTGAATAAAGCTAAAACATCTTAATTCAAGATCTTTGATGACCTACATTTAACCTACTTTTTTTTGTCTTACTTGCCTTTATTCTCATTTATGTTATTTATAAAACTAGAAAACAACAATACCCACAGGAGTAACGTGTATTAAGAATCTGCCTGGCACAGAGCTAAGAATCTGTGGAAATCTTACATGCTGAATTTAATTGTAATCCTCACAAGAACTCTGTGAAATGAGAGCTATTCTCATCCACATTTCACAGGTGAGAGGACTGAGCCTTTAAAAAGTTCAGTAACTTGTCTGAGGGCCCACAGCCAGTGGATGATGTGGCTCCAGGGTCCTGTGCTTTATGACTTACTGCTCTTGCTGTCCCGATAGGTGCCTTCAATCCAGCCCTCTCTCTTTGCTTGAAATACTTGCTATTCCATCCCACCTTCATAGTTTCCCTTTCCCCGTTCTTCTAAGTGCAGCCCAAATGCCACCATCTTGAATTACTGCCCTCCAGGTGGCTGTAACATCGTTCTCTGAAATTCCTCTGTCTTTGCTACTCAAAGTGTAACACACCAGCAGCAGATCTGGGGTGTGGCTCCCAGGGCATCTACTAGGAGCTTCTTGGAAATGCAGAATCTGAGGCCACATCTCAGATCTCCACACTTAGAAAGTGCATTTTAACAAGCTCCCCAGGGGATTTATGTGTGCAGTAGTTTAAGAAGAACTGCAGTATAGGGCTTTCTTTTCTTTCTTTCTTTTTCTTTCTTTCTTTCTTCCTTCCTTCCTTCCTTCCTTCCTTCCTTCCTTCCTTCCTTCCTTCCTTTCGTTTTTTCTTTTTCTTTTTTTTTTTGACGGAGTCTCGCTGTGTCGCCCAGGCTGTAGTGCAGTGGCGCGATATTGGCTCACTGCAAGCTCCGCCTCCCGGATTCATGCCATTCTCCTGCCTCAGCCTCCCGATTAGCTGGGACTACAGCTGCCCGCCACAACGCCCGGCTAATTTTTTGTATTTTTTAGTAGAGACAGGGTTTCACCATATAAGCCAGAATGGTCTCGATCTCCTGACCTTGTGGTCCGCCCGCCTCGGCCTCCCAAAGTGCTGGGATTACAGGCATGAGCCACGGCGCCTGGCCAGTATAGGGCTTTTTCTTGTTTTCTTTTTTCACTTTGTATCTTTGTTATTTGTTTACCTGTTTTATATTCTCAAACCATTAGCTTTTTGAGGGCAAGAGGCACTTATATTCTCTTTTGAGTATCCATAAATATGTGTAAAATAGAAGAAGGCTCATAGTTTTTTTTATAACACGGCACTTATATTCAGAAATTTAGATCATATTCTAGGTCTGTGTTGTTTGGAATAGTTCCTCCCACTGTGCTAATAGAATCACTTATAGCAATTATTTTACTCATTATGTTTCCATAATCTCAGGCTTTTGATAACATCGAAAATGTGAAGAGGCATAATCTAGGTTTCTAAAATAGTAATTCCTTCCCATAGCCTTTGATCTATATCTAGTCCTTTGGATACAACACTTTTCACTGCCAAAGCACAAATGTAGATATTACAGATTTGGAGAAAAATCAATACTTAGAAAATAGAAGTACTGAAAGCTGAAGACTCCAATCAATTTCACATATGAAGTTTTAAGGTTTGTCTGCAGTCAGGATTCTCACTGTCTTCCAGGAACCTTGGAATGAAATTCTGTTTTGACAAGGATTTGATTCCAAGCTTTATTTTAGAGGTGATTTTGTTAATAACATAACTTCAGTCACTACAGATGCTCCTGTATTGTTGCTTACAATTTATATACTAAGGATAAAGTTACTGATATTTTGAAATAACTGTGTGTTTTCTAGTTCTTTATTTGGACACAGTGTTTGCATGTATTTATACCTCTAAATGTTCTCTATGAGCATGACCAACTGATTATTGAGATTGGCAGGTGCTAGCGCCCTTCAATCAGCTTCTCATTGCTGCACAATCTGGCTTTTCTCTTCTTTTCACAGAATATATAATTGGAATACATGCATGAAAAGAAAAGAGGGAAAACACATATCAGTGGCTTTTTTTCTTTTTCTTTTTCTTTTTTTCACTTCTACTGATTCCATTTCAGCAGTTAGTATGACCTCTCATAATGTTCCAAATCTAAAAATTGTCAAAACAGAAATCTACTCTTCGGAGCTGACACAATTCCTCAATTTTGGAATGACTCTGCTTTACCTCTTTTTAGAATTTCTTCTTTCTGCGTGAGTGTGTGTGTGTTGTTTTAGTATGAGGCTCCCTTCCCACCTCAGTCATTGGTTTGCTCGCTCCCTTATGTGATGAATCAATGCTTTCAGAACAGGGGCTTCTGAGTGACTGCGGGAACAATTACTTCCAAATGACCTCGTGCATCTTATCAGGGAGCATTCAGACCACACCCCAGGTAAAAGGAAGTCTTTGCTTAATGCTTTCAGTAACTTTTAAAAGCAGTGTACGGTGCTGGTGGTATTTGCTGCAAGGATGTGAGGGAGAGCTGCCCAGTGAAGATAAATTTGTATGTATATTGAAATGAAATGCTATCTTCACTTAGAGAAAAGGGTGAGCTGATAAAGACAAAACTGCTCATTGGGCAAAGAAAATGCTCAGGATTGCCCTTGGCACAGTGATAATGTAAGATACCCTGTAATGCCTTAACAGGAGGCTAGAGGCCATCTGCGAGTGTGGGTGTCAACATCTGAAGGAAGAGAACTTTTAGGGAAATATAAGAAAGGAAGGCATTACAGCCCAAAACTGAGCAAAGGAGCTGTTAGCCTGCGTGGCATGCGGGAAAACAGTTTCTCAAATTATTAGGCTATCCGGTGAGAAGATGACGTTCTTAGAGATTTTGAGCATTTCAAAGTGTATTTAGAAAAAGATTTTAATCCTTTTATCTCATATTTCTATGACTAAATTAGTTTCCCAAGGATAGAAACTAAGATATTTAAATAACATTGACAACTGAAAGTGTTAATTGGCAATTAACAAGTGCAATGCTGTTAACATGCATCTGTTGCTGCTTTGTGTGGAAAATGGTTTTTCATCACCATAGCAATTCATTCTTAGGCTACATTGGAACTTAGCCACAGTATGCAGTAAACAGCAAATATTTTTTTGTTCTCTCCTAAACAAGGGATTAAATAGTCTACTGGCTAATATGTGGCTCTTTATCTGAATGTTGCATTGCATAGTTGGTGTAATTTCAAATTCTTTTCCAACTGAAATTCCTTGTGAATGAGTATTAGATCCTTGGTAAGTTAAGGATGCTAGGTAAAGGTGGTGAAAAGAGCTAATATTGTACTGTTAGCTTAAAAGCGAATACCAAATGATTGCCCTTTTTGTGATTATTCTTCTGAAGATATGTATGTGGACAGGAATTTATGTCTGATCTTGTTATTCTCCAACAGTAACTCAGGAAGATGAATAAGTCTTTAGTTTTATTAGATTTCCTGTTTCTGTGTTTTCTGGAATCACATCATGTACTGGTTCAACTAAAATAAAAAAAAATTGTTTCCTTACACTGGTGAGAAAATTTTATGTAGGATATGGATGTTTCTTTAGGAAAATATAACAATAAATTAGAAAGAAATAGGTTTTCTTCTTTTCAGTTGCCTTTATTGTCAGGATGTGGTTATGTTTAGAAATTTTTTAGGCAGTACCGTTGTAAAAGCATACCTTATTCATTGAAGCATCAGTTTTCATTCATACTTTGTTTCTACTTTATTCACTGAAAGTTATAGCTGTCAACTTTTAAAAAGTTCATAGCATGTGACATACCAGTTGTGGAGCTGTATTTGTATCTTAGATACTTAAGTAGCATTGAATTATACAAATTGTGCAAGGTGTTTGAAGAAATAAATTTTCATCATTATATATGCTTTAGAAGGTAAAGCTACTTACTGCTTATAATGGTTATATGTATTTTGTAACCATGGGGTGCTTATAATGAAGACTTTCATATATTATTTTTTAAATTTTATTTGGATGGAACATAAGATAGACCTATAGTCATGACATGGAAAGATAAGGGAAGGCCTAGTTACAGAACCTGGGGACAAAGTTGCAATTTCACCTCTTTACTCCTAAAGGATTATCTTTATTTCTTACTCAAATGAAATTATGGGATGGATTATTTGAACTACTTCAGTAATTTCCTTGCCAAAACCACTCTCCTTTCTATCATGATATTGATGAGATTAGTTATGTGATGAAACAGCCCTAGAAGATAATACATCTAGAAGGCCTGTTGTATTACGTATTGTTGATAGATAAGTGGGCTCCTTAAATCTCACAAGGGATCCTTCCTACAATATAAAGCACTGATTTATTACTTTTTGATGATAAGGTATTTTGACATGGATACAATGAGGAAATAATGACACATATCTTTAAAGGCGAAAAGAATATTGAAAATTAAAAGTTTTTAAAACCCTGTCAATATTCTTGTCTCACAGTTCCTTGATCTTCACAAGCTCAGTGCCCTTCCTTTCATATACTCAGTCTTAATGCCAAAGCCTGGAATTTAGAATCATCTGGAATTATCATACTTCTAATTATTAAATTAATAAACTCTCATATCATATTATGACCCCATCCATTCTCTCAAACAGTCATCATAGTATCAACTCTGTTTCCTGAGCACAGAGACCTCTAGTTCCTTCAACTTGAGGGTTCTTCCTCCTTACCTATACAAACTGAACTCCATGGTCAATCATTTGCTCTACTCTCACCAGTACCCTTAATTTCCTTATACTTGCCACATCCTGCCAAAACCAGCAAAGCATTCCTTGAGAGACTATCGAACAGCCAAGCAAATTGCCTCACTGTTCCTGGATTTATATTTGGACTGGTTCCTCAGTGTAGACTGTGAGAAATTTTGTTTCTGGTCAGCCCTCTTTCTGACTACTGTCAGTGATGTTTCAGCCTTTTAAAATCTTCCTTAAAACGCCCAGGCCACCTTGGCTAGTTCTTCCTCAGCTGGTGGATCACTCAATGTTAGAGTCTGTAGGGTTTGGCCTTAAGCCTCTTATTTTTCTATTTGTGTTTACATCTTTATTGATCTCATCTAGTCTCCTGGTTTTAAATATCATCTATGGGTTAACAACCCTAGTAATTTTATCCCCAGCACAGAATTTCCTGTAAACTTGACTCATACTCACATTTCCACTTGGTTGTATATTGGGCACACAAAATTTGATCGTTATTCTCAAACCAGCTTCAACTATTGTCTTCCCCATTTCAGTGAATAATATCTCATTTCTTGCAGTTATTCAGTTCAAAATTTGTCTACCCATCTTGATTTTTGTGTATCTCTCATATTCCACTTCCAATTTTTCAACAAATTTTAAGTTTTGTCTTTAAAATGTAGCCAGAATCTTAACAGTTCTTACCACTATTACTGCAGCAAACTACATTCAACTCACCAGTTTTTCTCCTATGGGTTATTGCAATAGACTTATAGCAAGTCTTCATAGCATTTATGAAAATAGTACTACATATGTTGTTTATTTATTTGTCTACTGTCTGTTTCCCTCCACTAGAATATAAACTCCATGAGGGTAGGGATTTTTGTTCACTGTTATGGCACCAACCCCTAGAATAGTGCCTAGCATTTAGTAGGCATTTAATAATACCTCATTGAATAAATGAAAGTAAGTAGAAGGCAAAGTATTACAGTGAGGGTTGGTTTTACTAGGAGCATAGTAGTAGGACTGAAGGCCATAAAAAAGGGCAGAGATGCAGATGTGTGAATAAATGTGGTGTTGGGGGCCTTGAAAATTCTTTTCTGATTGCTTCCGTTACCTTAACGAAATAGGAAACAAAGTCATCAGCTCCAAGTGAGAATGTGGGAGAGATGTTAGAGGTTTGAAGAAAGGGGAAAAAGTGTGAAAGAGTTTTCTAGGCCAGTGGAAGAGTGAATGGGCTATGGAAGTATAGTACGATTGTTGGGCAGCATTGAAAAGCCTTCTTGAGGCTCAGAGTGGTAAATATGAAGTGAGATCAGTAGGTGTGGTTGTGTGGTTTCCCCCAGGCATGTTTACCTTCCTGGTTCAGAAATAGAGTAGGTAGGGGATTAGACTTAGTGAGGGCTGTAATGTACTCAAACAGGATGATGATATAAAGGAGGACAAGGGATTTGAGGGGTATCCAAAAGAGTAACTGTGGTCAACTTGGTTTTTGAAGCTGGTTAAGAAGACAAATGTAGGAAAATAATTGTGGAAGAATCAGTAGATTTAAATCATGGTGAAGTTAAAAAATGTTAGAGTTGGACTACTAGGGGGATAGTATGGAGCGATAAAAAGTGATGGTCAGAGAATGAAGAAACAAATTACGGAAGGTTTGCAGCTATTGGGCAAGGCTAGGGATGTGAGGGGCAAGGAAGAATAGAGGTCAAGGAAATACAATATTATAAAAAATACCCATTGAGATATAATACTGGGTATTATACAAAGCATTGGGTTAAGAAGCGTGGCATTGAACCAGAAACTGAATCTTTAAGGAAAGAAGCATTTAATACGGGTGTGGAAAGATGACTGCAGCTAAGAGAGATTGTGAAGGGTATAGACTGATGACATGAGATTCAAAGCTGGAAGTTTTTAGACAAGAGAGAAGAATAGTCTGGAAGCAGTAAAGATAAGCAAGGAGGACACCTATTTTACTTCCAGGCCCATTGGTGCAGGAGTGTGAGAGAAAACATTTATCATTGAAATAGAGTCCTTCAGAGAGAACCATGTTTTAGTTATAACTAGAAAGTGAAGGGAGTATTTTGAAAATAAGATACAGATATGTAAGATTTTTTTAATTGCTCACTGAATTCCAGAAGGTATACAGTGAAAAGGTTTTGAGAGTTGGAGCAGGGTGCAAGATGGGAACAGAACTAGGAATGTGCATAGCATACAGGAATGGAGGGATGATACAGAGCCTAGGGTTTCTCATGGGCACTGACATGAACTGGGTTAAAAGGCGTGCTCATAAGGTCATAAGGTCTGAGCAGTTCAAGGCATAAAAGGGTGGCAGGGATTGAAGGGAGAGGGAGTGAGAGACTTGCCAGGGCATGTCATATTTCTTCTGACAGGGGAATGGAGGTGGCAGGGCAGTGTTACTCTGACAAGAAGGGACTGATTTTATCATGAAAATTAATTATATCAAGAGTGATTGCTCAATAAAACAAAGAATTGGTTTTTGGAAAGATAAATTTGACAAATCTTTAGACAAATAAATAGAATCAGAGAATAAAACGGAGACATTATAATTTATACCACAGAAATACAAAGTATCATAGAACACTACTGTAAACAATTATATACCAAAAAATTGGATAAGCTTCCAGAAATTGATAAACTCTTGGACACATACAACCTATTGAGAATGAATTATGAAGAACAGAAAATCTGAACAGAACAGTCATGAATAAGAAAGTTGAATCAGCAATAAAATATCTCCATTGAAGAAAGGCCCAGACCTGATGGCTTCACTGCTGAATCCTACCAAACATTTAAAGAAGAACTAAGAACATTTCTCCTCTAACTATTTCAAAAATATTAAGGAGGAAGGAATACTTCCAACCTCATTCTATGAGACTTGCATTACCCTGATGCCAAAACCAGACAACAACACAACAAGAAAAGAAAGCTACAGGCCAATATTCGTGATGAACATATATGCAAAAATTTCAACAAAGTGCTAGTAAACTGAATTCAAGAGCACATTAAAAAGATTATTTACCAAGATCAAGTGGGATTTATCTCAGGGAGGCAAGGATGGTTCAACAAAATATGCAAATCCATAAATCTGATACATCACATTAACTGAATTAAAGACATAAAATGTATGATTACTTCAATAGACGCAGAAAAGCATTTGACAAAATTTAACATTCCTTCATGATAAAAGCTCTCAACAAATTAGGTATAGACAGAATGTACCTCAACATGATAAAGGCCCTATATGGCAAATCCATAGCTAACATATTGAATGGGGAAAAGCTGAAAGGTTTTACTCTAAGATTTGGAAAAAAGACAAGGATGCCACTCTATTTCTGTCTTTTTTTTTTTTTTTTTTTTTTGAGATGGAGTCCAGCTGTGTTGCCCAGGCTGGAGCACAGTGGCCGGTCTAGGCTCACTGCAACCTCTGCCTCCCAGGTTCATGCTGTTCTCCTGCCTCAGCCTCCCAAGTAGCTGGGACTACAGGCACCCGCCACGACGCCTGGCTAATTTTTTGTATTTTTAGTAGAGAAGGGGTTTCACTGTGTTAGCCAGGATGGTCTCGATCTCCTGACCTTGTGAGCCACCCACCTCAGCCTCCCAAAGTGCTGGGATTACAGGCGTGAGCCACCGTGCCCGGCCCACTCTCACTATTTCTATTCCTCACAGGACTGGAAGTCCTAGCCACAGCAATTAGGCAAAAGAAAGAGATAAAAGGCATCCAATTTGGAAAGGAAGCAGTTAAATTGACCTTGTTTGCAGATGACAGGATCTTATATATAAAAAATTTTAGGGCCGGGTGTGGTGGCTAACACCTGTAATCCCAGCACTTTGGGAGGCCGAGATGGGCGGATCACGAGATCAGGAGATCGACACCATCCTGGCTAACATGGTGAAACCCCGTCTCTACTAAAAATACAAAAAGTTAGCTGGGCGTGTTGGCGGGCGCCTGTAGTCCCAGCTACTCGGAAGGCTGAAGCAGGAGAATGGCATGAACCCGGGAGTGGAGCTTGCAGTGAGCCGAGATCGTGCCACTGCACTCTAACCTGGGTGACAGAATGAGACTCTGTCTCAAAACAACAACAACAACAACAACAGCAACAACAACAACAACAACAACAACAAAAATCATTGATGAAAGAAAATGAGAAAGGCACAAATAAATGGAAAGATATACTGTGTTCATGAATTGGAAGAATAAGTGTTGTTAAAATGCCTCTAACACCCCAAGTGATCTACAGATTCAACGCAACTCCTATCAAAATACCAATGACATTCTTCACAGAATTAAAACATAATAAAATTCTTATGGAACTACACAAGAGCCTGAATAACCAAAGCAATTTGAGCAACAAGAACAAAGCTGGAGGGATCACACTGCCTGAATTCACAGTATACTACTACAAAGCTATAGTAACCAAAATAGCATGATGCTGGCGTAAAAACCAACACATGGACCAATGGAACTGAGAGTTCCAGCTGAGAGTCCAGAAATAAATCCACACACTTACAGCCAACTGATGTTTGATAAAGGTGCCAAGAACACACAATGGGGAAAAGTCAGTCTCTTCAATAAGTGGTATTGGGAAAATGGGTTTCCACATGCAGAAGAATGAAACTGGACCTCTGTCTTTAACCATATACAAAACATTTTAAACACTTAAATGTAAGACCAGAAACTATGAAACTGCTAGAAGAAAACATAGCGGGAAAGTTCTATGACATTGGTCTGTGCAATAATTTTTTGGATATGACTTCAAAAGTATAAGCAAAAAAAGCAAAAATTGATAAATAGGATTTTAGCAAACTAAAAAGCTTCTGTACAGCAAGGGAAACAATCAACAGAGTGAGGAGACAACCTACAGAATGGGAGAAAATATTTGTAAATTATACATCTGATAAAGGGTTAGTAACCAAAAAATATTAAAAAAACCTCAAACAACTCAATAGCAAGACAACAATCCAATTAAAAAACAGGCAATACATCTGAATAGACATCTCTCAAAAGACACACAAATGGCCAACAGGTATATGGCCAATAGGTATGAATGAAAATGATGCTCATAATGAAAAAGATGCTCATTGTTGCTAATCATCAGGAAAATGCCAATGAAAACAGTGAGATATTACCTCCCTCCTGTTAGAATGGCTATTATCAGAAAAACAAAGCATAAGTGTTGGTGAGAATGTAAGAAAAGGGAACACTTACACACATTGGTGAGAGTGTTCATTGGTACATTCATTGTGGAAACGGTATGGAGGTTCCTCAAAATATTAAAAATACAACTACCATATGATCTAGCAATCCCATTACTGGGCATATAGCCAAACGAAATGAAATAAGTATATGGAAGAGATAACTGCACTCTTATGTTATTACAGCAGTATCCACAGTAACTAAGATATAGAATTAAACTAGGTTTCTATCAATGGATGAATGGATAGAGAAAATGTAGTACATATACACAGTGGAATACTATTCAGCTATGAAAAGAATGGAATTCTGTCATTTGCAACAGCACAGATGAACATGGATGTTATGTTAAGTGGAATAAGCCAGTTATAGAAAGACAAATACTGCATGATCTCACTCATATGTAGAATTTTTAAAAAGTTGATCTAATAGAAGTAACGAGTAAAATAGTGGTTACCAGAGGCTGTGGTTGGTAGGAGGGAGGGGACTTGAGGAGATGTTGGTCAAAATATATATAATTACAGTTAGATAGAAGAAATAAGTTCACAAGATCTATTGTACAGCATGGTGACTATAGTTAATGACAATATATTGTATTCTTGAAAAATGCAAAGATAATAGATGTTAAGTGTTCTCACCAAAAAAATGATAATTACGTGAGGAACTGTATTTGTTAATTAACTAGATTTAACTATTCCAAGAGTATATATATTTCACAACATCATGTTGTACATGATAAATACATACAGTTTTATCTACAACAAAAGTGGTTCTCATCATCTTCCCACTCTTTCCATTTCCACCACTTTACCACGTTTGTGAGCTCTTCTACATCTTAGTCTATTTTCTCCAGTCTCAAAGGAGAGCATGTTCCTTTTGTTGTTGCTGTAACTTATTTCACCTGCTTCCTTCAGGGTTTTGCTCCCCTTTCCTTCTCTACTCTCACCCATCCCCTAGTATATAGATATGTTCAGTTCATTATAAAACAAACAAAAGCACCCTGTTGACTCTAATTTGCTCTCTAATTACTCTCAACCTCTCTTTGTACTTCTCATGCAAACTTCTTAAAAGAGAAATCTACAGTACTGTCTTCTCTTTCTCCCTTTCCATTTAGTCCTCAACTTATGCTTTTGGCTTTTTATTCTTGTGTCTAGGCTTGCGACTTCTTTTTTTTATTTTTTTTTTTTGAGACGGAGTCTCGCTCTGTCGCCAAGGCTGGAGTGCAGTGGCACGATCTCGGCTCACTGCAAGCTCCGCCTCCTGGGTTCACGCCATTCTCCTGCTTCAGCCTCCTGAGTAGCTGAGACTACAGGCGCCTGCCACCACGCCCGGCTCATTTTTTTTTGTATTTTTAATAGAGATGGGGTTTCACCATGTTAGCCAGGCTGGTTTCAAACCCCTGATCTCAGGTGATCCGCCCGCCTTGGCCTCCCAAAGTGCTGGGATTACAGGCAGGAGCCACCGCTCCCGGCTGGTTTGTGACTTTTAAAACTAGATTTTATCTATCTACAATTCTAATATGACTATGTCATTTTTCAATCAACAATGTTAACAGAACAAAGTCCAAGCTTGATACACTCTCCACTGCTGCTACTTTCCATGCTTTCACTCATCTCCTTTTCTCAGCTTGGGATCTCCCTATCCTCCTTTTCAACTGGACTTAAATTTCAGGTACTACCTATTATGAAGCTTCATGGGTTGGGTAGGCACCCTTCATCACTGTTCCCTTAGTAGTCTTATCTTTTTTCTGCTTGTGAGTAGTCTACTGACTGTTTCCTGTTCACCGTTGTTTCCCTACCTCCTGAGTACCTGTCACACAGCAAATACTTCATACAATTATTTTTGAAAAAGTGAAGAATAAATGAAGGAGAAGGTATATCTTTAAGAGTAGCATTGGTATTCTGATAGGCATACTTTCAACTTTAAATTTGTATTTTGGCATTCTTGCTAACGATAAATGTGGGGATTTTCTTGCATGCTTATTGATTATGAGTTAATAAATTGAACCGGCTAACCCAGGGTTAGATGGATGAAAGCCAGTTTTGAAACAGAACAGATGATGAGTTTGTGATGACCCCACTGAGGCAGAAATGCTCTGTGAGATTCCAGCTGATCAGCTTGCCAACCTGCTGTTTTATGCCATCCCCTACAACAGGATCTTCCCTGGGTGGTATTGTTTTCTCTGGTAAATAATATCATAAAAAAGGTTCTGATTCTTTATAACCATTTTTATAGGTGTTTACTTTGGCAGCCATATACATGATCACAGGACAATAGGCAATTCATCAAAATAAATGAGATAAATATCATGTCATATGGAGAATAAAGGCAAGATAAACCTTTGACAAGGCTGAAAGTCTAATTAACTACATGTCTCATAGGTCTCTGCTGGTGGTTCTGAAGCCAAACCTCTGATCTTCACATTTGTCCCCACTGTCAGAAGACTACCAACCCATACTCAGTTGGCTGACACCTCTAAATTCCTTGTTAAAATTCCAGAAGAATCAAGTGATAAGAGTCCAGAAACTGTAAATAGGGTAGGATTATTTTTATTCTTTTTTAATTTCAAACAATTATATTAAATTTTGATAATGATGACTTGGAAATTTGTGTATATTTCCTGTGCTTAAATTAAGGTGACTGTGACTCTAAGTTTGACTAAAAATATAATAATGCAACAGAAGCATAAATGTTATCAAATTGCATGTTCTCTCTAATGCATTATCTTCAATTTTTTTCAGTTTGACATCCTATTGTTTGCTATTGACATGACAAATTCTGCCTCCTGGCACATTCTCTCAAATGTTTCTTAAGAAAATAAAAACAAAATTTAAAAATGTTTAAATTTATCTCAAAAGAAAATATAAGACAAAACAGTGAGATATTATTATTTACAGGTAATGAATTAGCAACATTAAAAAATGTAATACCTGATGTTGGGAAAGTTGTGGAAATATTGGCATGCTTACACTTTGCTGCTGGTTTTGTAAATTTATACAATTTTGGTGGAAATACTTTATCTATAGTTATAAAACTGTTTATAACCTTTCAATAATCTAACTCTTTGAAAAGTATCCCAAGGAAATATTACAAAAGAAGAAAAATGTTATGTAGGTAAATAATTAGGGAAAAATAAAAAATGCCTAATATCTAACAATCAGAAAAGTTAAGAATATAATAGTACCTCACTTTGGCAAAGTTATACTGATGGTAATTAGATAATTCCATGGAAAATGTTAACCTTACAATATTAGGTGATATAATACTGTGTTCATATCTTGATTGTACCTATCTAAAATGAGACCAAGATGGGAAGTGAAATTACACAAATTTAAAAATCTTGAAAATAACTTGTGTTAGAATAACAAAATTTTGAGTAAAAATGTTTTTCTCTTTAAAATGTGTTTTAACATTGCTTACTTATAAATAAAATGAGATTGGGGCAACTTTGTGTTATTCTTGACACAATTAGAAAGGAGTAAAATAATCAGATTCACCTTGTCTACAAGAAAACATCTTATCTAGAAAATAGTAATATTTCCATGATCCTGGGGTTTTCAATGCTGCTATCTTCTTTCAAAGACTAATGGGGCCATGAATACTATATATGGCACTTCTAGATAGTTTCTTTCCTACAGCACTCATTTACATAATATTAATGAGATCCTTTGTAATTAGGCCTTATGAGTGGTGTGAGACTGTAGCTACATAAACCAACCTTGGTTGCAAGCCTCCAGAGCTTCCTAAGATGATAATATTTATCTGCTGATTGCAATGATATATATACAACCACATCTTTAAAAGATTTTTCACCCTATCTCTTAGACAGTTCAACATTAAAATAGTGTAATTCCTCATTCATTTATATTCTTTTTTTTTTTTTTGAGACGGAGTCTCGCTCTGTCGCCCAGGCTAGAGTGCAGTGGCGCGATCTCGGCTCACTGCAAGCTCCGCCTCCCGGGTTCACTCCATTCTCCTGCCTCAGCCTCCCGAATAGCTGGGACTATAGGCGCCTCTGCCACCGCGCCCGGCTAATTTTTTTTGTATTTTTAGTAGAGACGGGGTTTAACCTTGTTAGCCAGGATGATCTCGATCTCCTGACCTCGTGATCCGCCCTCCTCGGCCTCCCAAAGTGCTGGGATTACAGGCTTGAGCCACCGCGCCCGGCTTCATTTATATTCTTAGCAACTGTTTACTGAACATATGTTATTCTCTTGATGATTGGATTCCAACTGAATAAAGACAATTCATATAGCTTACTTGTTATCGGGAAGGCAGGCAATGAAAAAAATGAAAAAAGTATGTAATAAAATCCATATAGTGATAAATACAATGAAAACAATATCAGAGTAAATAGGGAAAGATGGGCAGAGAAATTTTAATCAGAGGCAATTTGTGTTTTATCCTGACTATATCCTCATTATCAGCTGAATAATGTGGGTGTATAAAATCAACTTTTTAGTTATATTTAATCAGTGATTTGACTTCTGTCTTCATACATACAATACATGCACACACAGTACACATTAAATTGACCACCAGAGTTGAAATTATTAGCATATTTTCATTTAGTGGCATAACTCTCTATTTTGAAATAATTTTAGCCTTACAGAAAAGCTGCAGAGAAAAGAATAATAGTAACCATAGTGTAATAATAAAAATAAGAAAATTAACATTGGGTCTTTTAAACACAATCTCAGTATACATGGCTGTCATAGTTTTAGAAAAAGAAGTTTGGTAGCTTGATAAAGCTATCTTGATCCTGGTCTTGTAAACTATGTATTCACAGAAAATTGGATGGGAAAAGACTGAGAATTACAAATCCAAAATAAAACAGTGAAAGATGCTTTGTACTAAAAATATCTGCATCTTTTTTGGTGTTCTATTTATGAGTTCTCCCTAATTAACTTAGATTGTTTTGTCTGACTATGCATTTTGCCCAATTTTATTTTTCCTTTCAGATTTTTAGAGAGATTTTGTATTATTTTAGAAACTTTCAATGGGGATTTCCTTCCTCCCTTGGCTTTTAAAGGATATACAGTTTGCTTCACCATTAACTAAACCCTTGCCCAATCCCCATTTGTTTCACAAATGTCTTCACGGAAAACATTGCTCTCTCCCTCTCTCTCTTTAAAATGTCGTATCATGACTTACTTGAAAACAGTTAGGTTTGCCTGTTGATGTTGATTACTATCCCAAAATTGTTTGGGCTTAGACCAGGAAAAACAGGTGGGCTAGTGGGCTAGTAAAAATAAACTGCTAACTTCAACCCAATCTCTTTCTTATGTCAACCTAATTTAATATATTTTTGAAAATATAAGGAGGTTAAGCTTTTCAGTGTACATGCCAAAAAAGAAGCATTTATTAAACTAATGTCAATGCTTTTATCTCTCTACATCTATTACAGTCTAAATCCAATGACTACTTGACCTTGAATGCTGGGAGCCAACAAGAGAGAGACCAAGCGAAATTGACTTGTCCTTCAGAGGTCAGTGGAACGATTTTACAAGAAAGGGAATTCGAAGCAAACAAACTTCAAGGGATGCAGCAAAGTGACCTCTTCAAAGCTGAATATGTCCTTATTGTGGACTCCGAAGGGGAAGATGAGGCTGCAAGCAGAAAAGTTGAACAAGGCCCCCCAGGGGGGATTGGCACCGCAGCTGTCCGGCCCAAGTCTCTAGCTATCTCGTCCAGTCTGGTCTCTGATGTAGTGCGTCCCAAAACACAGGGGACTGATCTCAAGACCTCATCACATCCTGAAATGCTTCATGGGATGGCCCCTCAGCAAAAGCATGGGCAGGTAGGTTTTGTGTTCCTGCTGTCCATAAGGAAAAAAAAAGCGTTTATGCACCCTTTGTCTTGGGCGGTCTGCAAAGGCCATCCTGTTTAAGGCAGACAAAACTTTCAAAGAAAAATATATTTAAAAAACCATTATCTCAGGGTAATAAATCATCATAGTGTAAACACAGATAATAAATATATAAGATAAAAAGGATTAAGCAATTATGCTGTGAATTGGCTGAAGAGAAAATGTAAAACATTTAGCTGGAGTAAATTTGGGAGAATACTACCTCTTTCCTTTAAATAATTCTTGGAGAAGGTTGATATGAGGAGTTTCTTTAGTCAAGAAGAGTGTGCTTGGTGAGCTGGGTCCATCAAGAAGCATATTTCAGACGTAAGAAAGATCTAGTGAAAAGACGGTAATTGGACATTAGAGGTAGACCCATTGATTTTAAATTAGTAAAAGACTAGTAAAAGGATAAACTAGGAAATAAGAGTAAGAAAAATAATTTTCCCCTGTGTATCCTAAGGAAAACATCTTTTGTGGTCCTGGAAGCCACAAGGCTGGGGTTGACCTCAGTGAGAGGGGGAAAATATACCACCCCAAAACTTAGTGGCAAGATTGAATGGTTCTTTTAAGGTAGAGAGAGTCTGGTACAATAGGAGAAGACCCACATCTGTGATGGCAGGAAAGAAAGGATGCGGACAAGGAGGCATTTTGAAGTTGAAAAATAGAATAATTTGCCATTGACTGGCTATTTGCTATAATGAAAATGTAAGGTGACTGACGAAGTGTAGTTAGAATGTTAGGAATGCAGACGCTGGCTTTGAGAGTAGGTAGGTAGTGGATGCAGAGCTCTAACTTCTTGACAATGACCACGAATTGTTACCCAGATGTCCCATTTAGGATCTAATAGACCAGGCATTTGCAATCAACCCAAAGTAGTTTAAAGGACATTTTTACTGGCGTGTTGGTCTTTTTGCATTACTAGGACAGGACCAATGCAAAATGGTAGAATGAGCATTGGAGTTTTGGTGCCACACCATCTTTATTTCTGTAGGCTTCACTGAGTTTCTGATGCTGCATTTTTATTATCTTCAAGCATCTAGTATCTTGTATTGTCTTCTGGTAGTAAAAGACACACACTGCGGTACTCACATTTTTACTGGGCTAAAACATTTATTTCTTCTTGAAGTTCGTTCTTAGCTAGGTATTGGAACAAAATATTATAATCATATAATTAAATGTATTCCCAATATGCTGTGATAGGTTTAAATATTTCTTTCTTGCCTCAGAAAAGATAATGAAATAGTTGGAGATGTAGAAATGTGGAAATTTCCATTGTTAGGGGAGGACAGCTTTAGGTGACTTCTCTGAGAAGAAAATGTATTAATAAAAAATTAACAAAGCAATTGTTGGGTCTTTGATTTACTCTTTCTCCAACTGATAGTTTTTTCCCCTGAATTGGCCATTTATTTTTATTTTTGTGTGTTCAAATATACAGAAGTGAATCTAGAGACTGAATATGTCCTTTAAAATATTTTTTCCAAAAAAGGTTATTTAGGAGCAGGTTATAGTTCATGTTATTAGAGCTCTAAATAAAAAAGCAGAGCTCAACCTCATATATTAATTGTGGCTGAAGATTATGATTACCAGTAGTGGTGGAATACTAGATCCTAAAGTGTTTGACCAATTACCAATTATTTGAACAATTACCATTGCTCTTGTTTCCATTTCCTATAATAATCCACTTGAGTGAACTGTAGGTCATCATGAAATAAAAATAAGATGACCATTGCCACAAGTGTAAACTAAGGAGAAATGACCAGAGCACCAAAGAAAGCAGTCTGGAAGTTTAATATAGTGAACTGTAATGTACAAAGTCTAAAAAAAAATTACACGATTGGGCTGCTTGATGCCAACAATATCAAATTTTTAATCAGAAATACAGTCAAGTAAGTAAATTTCTAGTCTACCTGGTGAAAATGAATCCATATATAGAATTGTCTGTAAATTACCTCTATTGGTTAGTCATTGATAAGCTATTCCTAAGAAATGTCTTCACTTCTTAGTCTGGCCTTTAACCTTTCCATGACCTAGCCTAGGTGTCTTTTTCTATCTACATCTTTTACCTCTCTTCTTCAGCTCTCCTGAACAATCACCAAAGTACATACTTCATACCTTCCCATCTCTGAGCCCTTGATTCCTCTGGTCAAATGCTTCCTTCTTTCCCTAGCTCTTCTCCATTTTGACCTAGGCTACTTGATAATTTAAGCTCAGTTCAAGTAGCATCTCCTCTTAAAGATGTTCCCTTTGGAAAGGAGTTAGTTCTTGTTCATGTTTGTGATTTTCTTTATTATTTTATAGCTTTTAGTGGGGGAAAAAATTCTCCATTATAATTCCTTTTCATTCTGTTGTAATAATTTACTTTTATCTTTTTTCCTCACTGGCTGAAAACTACATTAAATCAAGTTCTGGTCCCTTGTTAATTTCTGTATCCCTAGCACTTAATGCAGTGCCTTACATATAAAGGGGGTTCAATAAGGTGAGTGAAAAAAATGAAATATTCAAAAGATTGCATATCTTTTCAACTGTGAAGTCCTTGCTCAGATATTGACACCTTCATGAAGCTGTTTTGTTCTCTCAGTGAAAGCAATCTCTCTCCCAACATTATTCTGATAGCTTTTTTTCTGTACCTATTTTATAATTATCATAGGCAGTACTATAGCTATTTAGATACATGTCTTATCTCCCCTAAGAGATTGTAAAGTTTTTACAGGTAAAGCCCATGTTAAATTCAGTTTTATTAAACTTTTTGTCCCCTACAGTGGTTAGCATATTATCAGGGACATAGTCAATATAAATATTGGGTTGAATGATAAACTCCCCAAGTGCTTCCTGAAGTGGCATGTTTAAGTAAAAGTATCTTACGTTAAAAAAATCACTCAATAATTTCAAAGCATGTCAAAAGTAAACATGTTATGTAAAATAAGCTGTTGAATCAAAATCCTCTTAAATAAAATTCAGAAAAAAGAGACTTGAATGTTCATGTAAAAGTCTAAGAATTTTCTAGGGGTAGTATTAGAGTTACGGGAGAGGTGAATACACATACAACACAGTGATTCGTCTGAAAGACCTATGATAAAGTTTGGAGCTAAGATAGTGACTGTGGGAATAGACAGAGAGCCTGATGAGGTAGAATTAGCTGAACTTGTTCATTGACAATATATGGGAAAAATTAAGCATGAATGAAGTTTATTACCTCATTGGATGAATGTTGGCATCATTAATTGAAGAATGAATAACAGGTCTTGGGTGGGGATGGGAAGAGATTAGACATCTGATGTTGAGTTTGAGATGCCTTGGTGGCACTATATGATGATATCTAGAAAGAAGTTGGAAGTATGAATCCTGGACATAGGAGAGAGAAGGGAGACTGGAGATATTCGTCATATAAATTAAAGTGATGGGAATTTACTCAGGGAGAGAAGGTAAAAGTAGGAAGACAGGATTCAAGCCAGGAAACAGAAAAGTATAAAAGCACCTATGAAAAAAGAGAGCCAATGAGAAACCTAGGTGTCTTTTTCTATCTAAGAGGTGAATCAAAGATGTCTGAGAGAGTGGTTTTATGCAGTGGAAACTAATGAGACTTTCCAAAAAGAGGAGTCTATAGTAGAATATAAAACAAGGTAAAATAAAGTAGGACCCCTGAGTCCATTAAATCTTGAAATAAGGAGGTCATTTGGTGACCTTGGTGGGAACAGTGTGAGCGAGATTATGGGGACAGAAATCAGTTTGAGAAATGGATGGAGGTAAGGAAAAGGAGGTCATGCATTGGAGGGGTGATGTGGGAAAACCAAAATGAGATGGGCAATTGACTGGCTATGTTCCTCTGGGTGAGTTACTTGAAATCATAAACCTCAGTTTTCTCATTTGTAAAATGAGTTGATAATATATCAACCTTCCTTGTGAAGATTAAATGAGATAATACATGTAAAGTGCCTAGAATAGTGCCTGGCCAGTGGTAGGCTCTCAATAAATGATTTACTGTATCTAAGAAGTCTGAGATGGCAGCATTGTTTTTTTTTGGAGGGGGGGCACAAAGTCAGGAACATGTGGAGAAGGAGAGTTTCACACCTTTTTCAAATGTAGCTCAGAAGTAAGAACTGGGGAGAGGAATGTGGAACATGAAAATAAGACCAAAAGAACTGACTGGGGCTAAATAATGCAGGTCCTGACATGAAATTCTGAGGAATTTGGACACTAGCATATATGTTTATTAAATAACTAGATTTCATGGATTCATAGAAAAGGGATTACAGTAAGTTATTTGGATGGGGCATTAGACATAGAAACCCTCCATATACCCCCAGGCCTCAACTTTATAATGAAATACCCTATTCATACCAGCATACTTATTACAATAGCCTTCATGTGTCTGTCTTACCCCACTAGATTCCTGAACCCCTTGAACTTGACAAAAAATATTTTTCTCACTTCTGCTTCCCATCACCTAATACAATGCCTGGAATACTGTGGGTGCTTAAAAAGTGTCTGATGAATGAATGAATAAATGAATGAATGATCCTCCTTTTCACATGATCTTCTGATATAAATAGAGAATAGACATTACCTAAACCCTCTTAGTGAGCATTCAAAGCTGAAAGAAAATGATAATAGAGTATGGAAGAGCACCTAGGACTCCTGCCTTAGAGTTAGTGCTGTTGCTCTTACTTAAGCAAATAATCTATAGCTTCTGACCCGAGAGATTTAGAGGTTGAAAACCTTGAAAGAAGCTGGGAGGTTAAACGTTCATGTTGGATTCAGCTAACTGCTGGAGGACTAGCTTGGAATGCCAAAGTACTTGCTGAAAATTGGCACATTTATATTAAGAAGCTGGGAGGTGAAGTGTTCATGGCCATCAGCTGGATGGCTCTTTGAATGCAGAACAGAGCCACCTGGGGCCTGACTGTGCAAGAATAGGTGAGAGGTGACTAAGTAGTAATTCAGATTCTACATGGGCCTTCTTGGTCATATAATTGTTTTGGGCAGTTGGGTAGGATTAAAAATTTAGAGGCCCTACATTCTTTTAGGCAATGGACAAATCCCTGACCAAGTGATTTTTTTTTAAATAACTTTTCTCCAGTGATCTTCCCACTGCTACCTCTCCATTTCGTTTCGTGCTTAGGGTGAGTACATGATTCCCTCTTTTTATCTTGTTACCTTTCATAGTGAATGAGACTAGATGCACTTAGGAGAATTTTTATGAATCAGTGAGAAGCTCCAGGCTCTGCTCTGATGCTGGCAGAATCCCTATAGTCCCTGAATGGTAGCTTGTTATTTCCTCTGGGTGGGTTAATTTGTACCATTAACCAGGTACAAAGGAAGAACATATCTGGAAAATCAAGTCGCTGTGACAATTCCAGCAGAAAGATGATGTAGGCTTTTAAGAAGAGAGTCTCCTGACTTGTTGATGTCAGAACTTAAGAACTTGTTGATGTCAGAACTTGGCTGGGGAGGTAACGACTGAATCAGAGGTCAGAGGCAATGTTCTTCCTACCACCTGCCCATCCTCACTGCCCAGAGTCTAGAGCAGAATAAGAGGGGGCAATTGCTGAGGGAGGGGTTAGACCCTCTTCAAGGAGAAACTATGTTTCCGCTTCTGCATCCTTCTGTTCCTTCATCTGCTAGACATTTTATTTATTTATTTTTTATTCCTGTATGAAGGTAGTAGGCTAGGCACTAGACACTAGGGGTACATAGACATATGATCTGCCTTTAAGGAATTTAAAAAGTGTATGTGCATGCTCAGAAAAAAAAGTGTATTAGGTTGCATGTTCAGAAAAGTGGGAAGCCTACGGGGAGGATGCCTAAGTCAGCCTGGAGCATCAGAAAGGGTTCACAGAGGCAGTGTTGCTGAAATTTGAAGGATGAATACATTTTTGGCATTCCAGAAAGGTAATAGGGAAGGAAGTATCAGCACATAAGAACAGGGTGGAAGATGAGAAGAAATATGAAAAGGACTCATCAAAAGATAGGAAATACACTAGGAAAGAGTAATGAAATAGAGGCCATAAATAAAAGTTTTGAAAAGGAGTGAGAGATTAGAAGAGTCAAACTCTGAAAAGAAATCAGAAAAGGTAAGCGATTCAAGTGCCTGTTGGGTTTAGGAAAAATAAACCATTGTAGATGTTAGTGATAACAGTTTTCCATGTAAGGGTGGAGAAGAAATCTGTTAAGAAGTTAGTGGGAAGTGAATTAGTTTTCCGTTGTACAATAGCTTACCACAAATGTAGTGGCTTCACAAATTTACCTATTTCTCCTGGTTTCTGTAGATCAGATGTCTGGATATGTCTGAGCCATGTTCTTTGCTCAGGGTCTCTCACCAGGTTGAAATCAAGGTGTCAGTCAGGTTGGCAGAATTTATTTCCTTGAGGCTGTGGAATTCATGGCAGCTTGCCTCTTAAAGCCAGCAACAGAGAAAAAGTATCTCTGCTGCTTTGAGTCTCTAATTCCAAAGACCTTTTTTTAATTTTTATTTTTTTTAAAGAGCTCACTTGATTAGGTCACACCCACGCAGGATAAACCTCCCTTTTAATTAACTTAAAGTAACCTGATTAGGGACCTTTGTTACATTTGAAAAATTCCTTCACCTCTGTCATATTCTATCAGTTAGAAGCAAGTAACCGTTTCCACCCACACTTAAAAGGAAGGAATTCTATAAGGCTGGGACTCTTTGGGTAGTCATTTTAGGGTGTGCAGACTACAAGAAATAAGAAACTCAGTGCAGTGATTATATTGTACAGACTTGACTGAGAAGAAAACAACATAGGCCTGTAATTATGGGAAATATAGGATCAAGAAAGAGCTTGGGATATGTATGTATATATTCGTTTTTGTCAGTTAGCTTTTGTTGCTTAACAAACCATGCCAGCATTTAGTGTTTTAAAACACAATATTTTATTTAGCTCAAAAATTTTTTGGTCAATAATTTGGGCTGTTTTCAGCTAGGTGGTTCTGCAGATATGGGCTGGATTCAGTTAATCTTTACTGTGACCTACCCATGTCAGTGATTGGCTGTTGGGTTAGCTGGTGGCTGGTTAGCTGTCTGGTGGCTGAGTAGTTGTGTGCTGAGACGTGGTCTTGTATCTTCCAGTAAACTAGCCTGAGCTCATTCATATTATGGCAATGTTCTGCACGTAACAAGCCAGTAAGCCTCAATGCACAAATGTTTTTCAAGATACTGCTTCTTGTATTGCATCTGATAATGTTGTATGGGCCAAAACAAGTCATTTGGCTATCCAGATTAAAAGGTGGAACAAAAGACTGCGTTTATGATGGAATGAATGGGAAAGAACAGAGAATTGTGGGTACTTTCACTATTCACCACAATGATATTTATTATCATGTTTTTAAAAGATTGAGAGAATTTCTGTTTTATATCTATGTTAGGATCAGGGAGCTAGGAAAAAATTAAAAAGGATAAGTACATAGGTTATGGGGAATAACTGATGAAATGAGATTTCTAAGAGGGCAAGAGCTGCTGTGATTCAGAGTACACAAGGAGAATTCACCTTTTACAAAGCGAAAGTTTTTTTCATTCATCTTTCCTTAGAATGAGGGAAAGGGAATGAAGATGATACTACCAAAATTCACTTTCCTGGTAATCTCAATTTTCCTTGGAGTAAAGAAATCTAGGCCATCTGTTGAGCATAATGGGAGAAATAGTAGGTTAAGGGTTTGTGGAGAATGTAAAGTTTTTGGAAAAGCTGTTCATCAGAACAGTAGAGGAAGCCAAGGTCCAAACAACAACAACAAAAAAGAAAACACAAATCAACCAACCAAAAAATCGAGAGGTGCAGGACCCAGCTGAGACTATAGACATTGAACTTGTGCTTTCACCAGTCTACAGTGACTCAGCCAGCCCATATGTGAATTGAGAAAACCTCCCCTTCTGCAGGGGAATTCAGTGCAGGGGAAACCAGCCCCACTCAGCTTGCGCCCTTGTACAGGATGGTTTGCAAAATAGGTGCTGTGGTCCTATTAAAAAGTGGTATCAATTTTCTTTTTCTTATAGCAACTTTTGGTAGACTAGGTCTAGAAACATAATGGCAGTTGCTGGGATTGGTTTAAGAATGAAGGTTTGCTAAGTTGATTGGCAAGAGAGGATTGGCAAGAAACCACAATAGCTAGAATGTTGGCAATGCTGGCAAGAAGGTTGAGATTGAACAAAGTATTACTGAAACTTAAAAAATAGGGGATGAGGGGTGTGAGACTGGATAGCAAGAGAGGGGCTTCGTCATGAAGGAAGTATCTGTAGTTCATGGTAGACACAAAGAAACCAGTGATGAGGTCTTGAGCATAGGTGATCAGATTTTAAAAGTTCAATCTGGTGATAGGTTAAATAGGCTGCAACTACAAGTAAGAACACCAGAAAAGATTATTTAATGTGTTCAGGTAAGAAAGGCTGAGAATCTTCCCTGTAGCATTACAAGCATTCATCAGAGAGAAGAGGACAAATCAATAATAGCTAAGTTTAGGAGGCCGAGCTGCCATTATGCAATGATTGGTATGTGACGACAAGGGAGAATCTGGGGTTTCTGCCTCATGTAGCTGTACAGATTCAGGAGGAAGAGCACAACTATATACGATCCACATCTGGTGCTGTCAGAATCTCAGAAAGTATTCAAGATACTAGGTAGCAGATCAGTCACTTCAGTTTTTATTCAAATGCTTTGAAATCTCATAGAAACATCAGGGAAAATTGAATATATATACAGGAGCAGTTTATTTTAGATTTACAGGCAGTAAAAATACAAGGCAGTTCTACAATAGAGATTGGTTGTTAAAATAATTGATGGTCTCTATTACATAGGATCTGAGGGTGAATTTATGATTAGGATCATCTACTTACCTAATGATAGGAGCACATTTCATCTTCTGTTACTGAGATTATTGTGAATGTTTTCCAGAGTTCCAGATAGCCTTTCTAGGAGAAGAGAGTTTTGAAAATGACTTTAGAGAGAGTGTATGGCAAGGGGGGCTCAGGGAACCAGCATAGTTCTGGGTATTGGAAAACATGGTCATTGGTAGCTCTAGAGAGGTGTTTGAAGCAAAGGAATCAATAAAGATGAGGTAAGAAATAAATGGTAAAGAAAACCTAGAACAGCCTTGAGGGAGAAGGAGTTAGAGCATCAGTAACAAACCTTGAGAACAACATAGAGGGTTATGAATGGTAGAGGAAGAAGAGATGGAAATAATTTGTGTTAAATAGATGCCAATAGGGAAGTTTGGGATCACTAATAAGGGATTTACAGGAAGAGGTAAAATGAAGGACTGATTCTGAGCTACTGACTGAGAATTTGACAGGTGCCCATGTATTCTTTCTGCATACATATTTTCATGCCTTTACTTCCTCTTTTTAAAAATTTATTAATTAGAGAAACTCAGGAAAATCAATCTTTTTATAAAAAAAGAATCCTTCACCCCTGAGAATTTTATAAAATATGGTGTCACATTTTTATATTGGTACAAATTAGGATACATCGTGGCATATTTGCAAGTTAGAAAGGAATATGTTGCATATACTTATTAATATATTAAGAAAATATAATAAAAATTATGTGCAGATTAATATAAACATGGTAAACATCTTTAGACTTTTCAGAGCCTTTCTCTTAGAAGTTCCTTAAAAATCAATGTTTTAAATATATTAAAAAGTATAATAAAATTCTGAGATATTTATATTAGGTAAAATATTAATTAATGTAGTAGAATGTTTGGTCATTAGAAGCCATAGTTTTGAGGAAATTGGAGAGGTTAGTCTTTTCCTCTGAATGAGACCCTAACAGTTACAGCTCTATGGTCTTAGCATAGTGATAATTTGGTGAATAATCAATCAGGGTAAATAACTGAGTTTGTCATATACATTAAAGTTATTTGGAAACAGCAGAACTGAAAAGGTAATGAGAGTTTTGTGACTGCTGTTATTAATTTACAGAATTCTTTACCAAACAGCTATTCCAGGCATAGTACAACATGCAAAGACACACTACACAGTCTAGAAATGTTTCTATATTCTTTTCATTAGGAGAGATCAATCATAGGAAACAATTAGAGAAGACTTTTCTTTGTGGTAAAAAAAAAAATTCCCTGGATACACTATTTACCCTAAAAGAACAATTTCTTAAACATTAATTATGTATTTAACTAAAATGATTGCATAACTCCAAATAAGACATTGTCATGCTTGTAGTGACAGAAACATTCAGCTGCCCAGCTAGTAGTGTTTGGATTTAAATATATCTCTAACCAAATGCATCAGTTACATAAACATTGGCTAAGCAGAGTTGTTTCTAAATAAAACTTATACGAGTGAATTGCTAAGCTTTCTTCTTCCATTTGATTCAATTCTGCTTGACTTTTAATTATCTCTGATTTTCCCATATTCTGGGTTACGCCAATATATTCAGGTGTTATTTATGTAGCAAGAATTCTTCCGTGTTGCAAAGATACAAATTCACATATAAAAGAAAAGAATATTTTGGGTATGTTTACTTAGAAACTTGGAAGTTTGGGATGAGTGTTTGAATTTGCCAGTTTTAAATATTTTTAGAGATTAAAACTATATGACATGAAAACCTCTGCATTAGGTCTGATGGAAATCTTAAAATGTTATAAGCAAAATCAAGAAATATCTTTTACTTTATTTGTAAAGTTTTGCTAAGTTTGATTGTTATGTTTATATACATTTTCCTGCTATGTGCTTAATGAATATCTATATGTAAATCTTAATATTTATTGATATTTTGAATGATTGATATTCCCTAAATTCTTTATTAGACATGCATGTTTATTATTTCTTTTATATATTGACATAATCAAATCAATGACTTTTAAGGGAAAGTTCTGTTTAAAAGGTGTTCAAAGTATTTATAACTTCAGTGCTTATCTTAAAGTACTAGATGATTTTTAAAATGGCACAAGACTACCTACATCCAGTTGTTTCACAGGCTCTCCCTAGCTTCTCTTGTAAAATGATGAATTGTTCTTTATTTCCTCTTTATTTGGTTTCTTTATTTCCTCTTTATTTGGATTGGTGGGTTTCCTTGTTTCAGGTGGATTGTATTTGTAAAGTGTTCGGGCTTCTTTTGACACAAAAGAGAGCCTATTTCTTCCAGCATGACCCAAATCATTTGTTAAATGTTCATTATATGTTCATGTTAAATGTTCATTCTGGCAAATAATTAGGAAAAATAAGCTAAAACTTCCTGTTTAATTTGGACTTTGCTTTCACTCTCTCAATTTATCATTCTGTGTTGACATTGGGTGTTTCATCATTTGAATTCCAGGCACTTTTCCAAGTTCACAGCATGTAGGAGTTAAGTAGTAGAAACTCTCAGAATTTTAAACACTTGAAGTGTGTTAAAGTTTTTTTAAGACTTGTAGTCGTTATTATAATATCATCCTTTATATTCTTACAATAGAAGAAAATAATTTTCCAAAGTGAAATTTGCAATTTATACTGATGGTGATTTAAATCTTTCCAAATCACACAATTCAAAATTAAGATAACTATTTTAGATGCTGTCAACGAATTATCTTCCAACTATGCAATACAATTTTACATTGATTTCATTCTGTGGGATAAATGAGGTATAGGATGTAATGCTTCACAGCTTATTTGTATCTTATTTCGAATTCAGAGCAAGGCCTCATTAGCAAAATAGAATTTCCTTCATTTTTGTGGAGGTTTAAGATGCCTCCTTTTGTGTAAATTGTTTGTATAATCGCACAAGTGACAAGAATATTTTGATCGTTTCACAAATAATGTCCTATTTCAATCTGTCTATTTCTCTTTCCTCTAGTTAACTTCTTCTCCCACTACCTCTGAGCAGCTTGCCTGTAAACCACCTGCTTTCTCCTTTGTTTCTCCAACTAATCCGAACACACCACCCGACCCAGTTAACCTCGAGGGAGCCTCTGTCCTAGAGGAGTTCCACACTAGGAGGCTGGATGTCGGTGGGGCCGTGGTGGAAGAATCAGCTACGTATTTTCAAACTACCGCTCACTCTACACCCTTTTCTGCATCGAAGGGCACCTCCTCGACGTTACTGTTTCCCCATTCCACTCAACTATCAGGTTCTAATTTACCCAGTTCAACTGCAGCAGATCCAAAGCCTGGACTGACCTCTGAAGTTCTCAAGAAGACAACTTTAACCTCGCATGTCCTTAGTCACGGAGAAAGTCCGAGAACCTCTTCTTCTCCACCGTCCTCCAGTGCTTCTCTGAAGTCGAATTCGGCCTCGTACATACCAGTCCGCATTGTCACGCATTCACTCTCTCCGAGCCCCAAACCATTTACCTCCTCTTTCCACGGCTCTTCTTCCACCATCTGCAGCCAAATGTCATCTAGTGGAAATCTTTCAAAGTCAGGGGTAAAATCCCCGGTGCCTTCCCGGCTTGCCCTTCTCACTGCCATTCTCAAGTCAAACCCTTCCCACCAAAGACCCTTTTCCCCTGCATCCTGTCCCACCTTCTCTCTCAACTCCCCGGCCTCTTCCACGCTCACACTTGACCAAAAAGAAAAGCAGACCCCACCCACGCCTAAAAAATCTCTCTCAAGTTGTTCCCTGAGAGCCGGGTCACCAGATCAAGGGGAACTCCAGGTTTCTGAATTGACCCAGCAATCTTTTCACCTGCCTGTTTTCACCAAGTCTACTCCGCTTTCTCAGGCGCCCTCCCTCTCTCCTACAAAACAGGCTAGTAGCAGCCTTGCTTCCATGAATGTAGAGAGAACACCATCACCTACTTTGAAGAGCAATACCATGCTCTCCCTGCTACAAACCAGTACATCCAGTTCTGTGGGTCTTCCTCCTGTTCCACCAAGCTCTTCTCTTTCCTCTTTGAAGAGTAAACAGGATGGTGACCTCAGGGGTCCAGAAAACCCCAGAAACATTCACACGTACCCTTCTACATTAGCCTCCTCTGCATTATCTTCTCTATCTCCTCCTATTAATCAAAGAGCTACGTTCTCTTCTTCAGAGAAATGTTTCCATCCTTCCCCAGCTCTTTCAAGCCTGATAAACAGATCTAAAAGAGCATCATCCCAACTATCTGGCCAGGAGCTGAATCCTTCAGCTCTTCCTTCACTCCCTGTCTCCAGTGCTGACTTTGCCTCTCTTCCCAACTTGAGGTCCTCCTCTCTCCCTCATGCCAATCTGCCCACCCTGGTGCCCCAGCTCAGTCCCTCAGCTCTGCACCCACATTGCGGCAGTGGTACCTTGCCTTCAAGACTTGGGAAATCTGAAAGCACCACCCCCAACCACAGGTCACCTGTTTCAACCCCATCACTTCCCATATCTCTAACAAGGACAGAGGAGCTGATTTCACCTTGTGCATTGTCCATGTCAACAGGCCCAGAAAATAAGAAATCAAAGGTATTTTTTGCATGTTGCATGGTGCATGCTTATTTTGAAACAGGGAAGAATCTTTTTTTTTTCCCCAAGGCAGAAATCAATAATTATAGTATTAATTGTACTCCTACAAGGAGGAAGAAAAAGTGCAAGACGGTACCAGGACTTGGTATATTTGAATGTGTAAATGAATTATAATCTGTATAGAATTATGTGTTTCAGTCAAATCCTTTGATTTTGAAAATCCTCTTTCTCTTCCTAACTTCTTATATCTATGACTCCAAGGGTATTATTTTTCCTCAGACATAATATGAGTTATATCATTGGCCCTAATGACAGAATTAAAAGCAAGTAGTAGAGATTCAGGACTATGATATGTTTCTGATTGTTTATTAACAGGGACCCTAGCATCCATCCAAATATCCTGTACTGATGGAATAGTAGACAGGATTAATATAAAATGGAATATTATCTTAGATCTAGGCCTGTGACATAGCCAAGCACGTTCTCGTAGCAGAAAGCAACTCTACACTAAGGCATGCTGGCTTCCCAACTATTCTCAAGTAATTCAGATTGTGGATCACCCATACCCAGAATTTGATAGCTGTTATATCAATAAAACAAAACAGTTAAAGTGCCTGCATAAGAAGGGGTGGTGATTTTCAGCTCAGCACATTGAAATAATGTAGTTTTAGAGCTTTGAAATACCATGGAGAGTATGTTTCACTGTCACTTTTCAGATGATGAATGTCACGTTGAAGGGATAAAGTGACCCTCATTATCTTGTAAATGATGTCACAAAACAATTCAAGTCAAAAACATGCATTAAATACCTGCTATATGTGTACCACTATACTAGCTTTCTTTAGAGTGTGTGTGGTTTCTTTTAAAGGGAAGTAAGAGATTTTTTTTGTCTTAGAATAATTCAATTTTAATCAGTAGAAAAAAATATACACAATTTGGAGAGGCTATATACAGTTATTAAATCTACAGTACAGCTAGAAAACCAATATAAGGCAAAATTAATTGTGTAAGTCAGATTATAAATAATCATCAACTGAGTTCAATATAACAGGAGTAATGTGATGGAACATGGTTAGTAAGGGAAGTTATAAAAAATGTCAGGCCTGTCGGAAATATTTAGGATTTAACTTAATGAAGAGGAAAGAAGTTGGCATTTCAGAAATGGAAAACAATCTGACCAAATATACAGAAGATGATCTCAGAAGTCTGTGTGTGGAGACATAAGACGATTAGCCTTATAATCTGACGGTAATAATAGCAGCAATATCAAATGCTTTCTGTGAGTCAGGAACTATGCTAGTATACAAAATAGTTGAAAAATTAATTAAAATGGATTACATCAGTTAAGTTTTGTAACTATATGAAGTTGATAATACTATTTTCCCTATTTTGTACACCAAAAAACTGAAGTTCAGTGAATAATTGTCCAGGTAATGGGTCTGTTTCGGAGCTGACATTTATGTAATGTTAAGTCTGTTGATTCTTGAAGCCATGTTCTTTATTACTATCATTTATTGCTACAAAGAAATAACTCATGTTAGCAATTTAGCCTGACTTTACAATTCTCATGAAGAAAATCATTATTAAGGAATTATAACCAGAATTCCCAATTTATATAATTTTGGGGTCATTTAAAAAATGTATTGGAGATTAAGTCCTTGTATTTTAAACATTCAAAGAAAATGAGATGGATAAAATTTAACTTTTTCTGTGATTCTCAATTGACAATCCTACTTATTTGAGGTAAATTGACCTGTTTATTATATTTTAAATACATATATGTGATTATAAAATTTATTTGTAGAGTATTTAAAACGAACTCACAATCTAATCATTACTGTTTCCTGAGTGCATTAACTATCATTTTTTGAACCATGATGCCATATACTTATTCTTTTTTTGTGAAAAGTGATTTCACTCTAGAAGCTTTTTCAAAGCATTTCTATGTGTGTTTCACCACACTTTATGTTTTCTCCTGTTTTGGATATAGTCAGAGAGTTGGAAGAGGGTGAGCCCCAAAGGGCTTTTGATACATTAAAGGCATATTTATTGAAGACCTATTGTTTTGGGGCTCTCTTCCTGCACCCAACATTGAAAAATTTTCAGCATTTGCTTTTTACTTTTTAAAGAATTTCCAAGTAAAGAAAATTCAAAGAAATGCAAAGTAAATTTGATGAACAGGAAAATAAGAATGATTATAATTTAACTACCAGTAAAAATATCAATAGATTTCTTTGAACAGAAAAAAAAGCTTCTTATCATGGGTAAAATTTATAATAGCTTCTGCAAAAATAGAATAGTATGGACTATGAGACAATGCTATTCTTTTTCATGTTTATTTTCTCCTTGCATCTTGCTATATTATCTCTTTAGGTAAAAATCAGAAAGTCAGCCTACTTTTTTTTATTACAATCTATTATTTTCAGAAATCGTATCTTGAGTATAAAAAACTTATTAAAATGGATGTGGAATAGATAAATCTTATCCCAAGCTCTTTTGATGTTTGGCTAGTGTTTAAATTGGTAACATTATTTTACAGAATGATAGGAAGAAATAGACAAATGCTGTGTGATATTGAAGAATTTATATGCTTTCATGGGTTGTTTCTTGTCTTGCTCCTTCCAGTGTGATGCTAAGCTGAGCACAGGACTCTTTTTGAAATCAAAGAGCTTTAGATTTAGGTCAGCTTTACTCACTCTGAGATTCTGAAATAACAGGGATCATAGAATACAGATGGCATCTAATTAAAACATGAGTGCTTGGAGGATATTAGTTTAAAGTCTGGGCTCTACTGTCCTTTGATATTAAAATAAAATGGATCAACCATAGTATGCTGAGCTAAATTCAGATATAAAGTGTGTTTGATGTTCCTTTTTCATACATAAAATCTTAAGGTTCTGAATCTGCTTGCATTTGTGTGATATAATTGCTATGATATGTTAAATTCAGATGTAGTTTAAAATACTATTTCACATTATAATCATTGCTTTAGATAGGATGGGCATCTGAATGCTGCTCAGCCTGCCTTTTTTTTTTTTTGAGACACGTCCCACTGTGTCGCCCAGGCTGCAGTGTAGTGGTGTGATCTTGGCTCACTGCAACCTCTGCCTCCTGGGTTCAAATGATTCTCCTGCCTCAGCCTCCCAAGTAGCTGGGATTACAGGTGTGCACCATAACATCCGGCTAATTTTTGTATTTTTAGTAGAGACGGGGTTTCACCATGTTGGCCAGGCTGGTCTTGAACTTTTGACCACAAGTGATCCGCCTGCCTCGGCATCCCAAAGTGCTGGGATTACAGGCGTGAGCCACCATGCCTGGCCTACTTTTTGATCAACATCTATATTGTCTGAGACTTTTTTTTCCCATGCAAAAGACTGGATATTACAAAATTCACCCATGGAGTTGTGTCTGGGTCCCCAATCTGTTCTGCCTTCATTTATAAAAGAATTTAAATTTTTATCCTAGTGAATTAGTATGGTGGTCCATATGGAAATTAGGGTAAGCATTTCATCAAAGCCTCGTAGAGTCTGCCACTTACCGAAGACAGTCTGAAGATTAGTTCCAATTATAAAGACTCTCCATTCATGGGCCTGCCCTGGGCTTAAAGCTATTTGGACACATAGCTTATTTAGGGAACAAGTTGAGAGCTATTTTATATTTCATAAAACTTTATAACTGGTGTTTTATTCACAAAAGTCTCCTTCCTTTAAGACATCAAAACATTCCCAAATACATCACACTGAAAACTTAGTGGCAGCAGTCTATCTGTGACTTTCTTCATTTCTGCAGAACCACATGTAATTTGGAAAATGAGCAATATGGAATGTGTCTGCCTGAGATAAAATAGTTAATCTGGGTTCAAGCAAATCAGTCATTCAATAAATATGTATTGATTACCTAATAGGTGTGCTTTTCAAAGCTGTGAGGATATTGCAATAAATAAAATATGCAATGATGCCTGTTCAAAGACAGTTTATATTCTTTGGTGGAAGAGAAACAATCAATAATAACCCCTCCAAATAAGTAAATTATTGTGTGTGTCAGAAGGTCATATGTGTCATAGAGAAAAGTATATCCCTGATTCTCAAGGGAAATAGAGAAGGGATGGTGTCACAAGTTATGTTGGGGTATTGGGATAGGTTTCTTTGAGAATGTAACATCCAAGGAGGTGATACTCCTTAAGAGAGTATAGTGAGGAAGATGCTCTGAGGCCAGAGAGTGCTTGACAGGTACAAAGAACACATTCTGGGCTAGCAGTGAGGAACAGGATGTTGAGGTTGTCAGAGGGAGATGTAGCTGGGAGCCGGATCCTGTAGGAGGGTCTTGTGGGCCACTCTTTAGTCTTTGATTTTTACTTTAAGTAAGACAGGAAGTCTTTGGAGGGTTTCAAATAGATAAGTGACCATCTTAACTATCTCACTGCTAAATAAGAATAGACCATGAGAGGGTGAAAGTTTAAGCTGGGAGAACTTAGAAGTCTATTGCTACCATCTAGGTGAGTGATGATGGTGGCTATGGTCAAGTTATAGCAGTGAAGGTGAAGATAAGATTTCCATTATGTTTTGTAGGCAGAGTAACAAACATTCACCAAACATCAGAGCCACTACGTGAAATGAAAAAAACAACAACAACAAAAAAAAAACGCTGAAACTAGCCTTATGTGCTTTCTTATTTTGTTTTTCTCTTTTTATCTCACTGTCATTTACTCCACTCCCTTCACAAAGTTCTTGAGAATCCTTGACTTTCCAGGCTTCTTTCAGCTATGCTATCTGTCACTCGGCCTCTATACTGACCAGTTCTGTGTACCACTCCTGTGCTTCTCTCCAGCTAGCCTCTCTGAATTGATCCTAGTAACGGTTCGCACTCAGGTGTTCAATGATTGACAAAAGCTTGTCTTCCTCTCTAACCCCGCACTCCCTGGGGGGATTTGCTTTTTTTTTTTTTTTTTGAGGTGTAGTTTCGCTCTTGGCGTCCAGGCTGGAGTGCAATGGCGCAATCTCGGCTCACTGCAACCTCTGCCTCCCAGGTTCAATTGATTCTCCTGCCTCAGCTGGGATTACAGTCACCTGCCACCACACCCAGCTAAGTTTTGTATTTTTAGTAGAGACGGGGTTTCACCACATTGGCCAGGCTGGTCTTGAACTCCTGACCTCAGGTGATCCGCCTGCCTTGGCCCCCCAAACTGTTAGAATTATAGGCATGAACCACCACACTGGCCAGGATTTGCATTTTAATTGAGGGGAGTGTGCAGTTTAACTCAAACAAGAGAATTGTCAAAGGAAAAAACAGGGATCAAGATAATGCAGCAAATGTTACAGGTTTACGTCATGAAGAAAAATGACTTCAAAAATCTGTATTAGAAATGTTCTCAGGGCATGCTTGGAGTGGTGGAAGGAGGTCTTTAATTAGCCAGGCTTGTCTAGGACTTGAACCATAGACGAAGAACTAAAAATTTGTGTTTTTTCATGTCCTTGAATCTTATTGTAATTTTCAATTAGATATTTCAAGTCAACAAATATTTGCTGAACATCTTTTCTCTGCCAGGTTTGTATTAGGTGTTGAAAATAAATGAACAAATAATATAAAATCTCTCCTCTAAAAGATCTAGCAGGCAGATAGGGATGGCAAAATATTATAATAAAATGAAACAAAATTATGCATTTAAGGTGTTAGAGGAATGAAAAGATAAATGAGGGATGCAGTGGGGTCCTGGGAAGGGACCTGTCCTGGGAGGTTTTCTCAGTTGCTACCTCGCCCATCTGCTTTGCCAGGCAGTTTTTGACAGTTGTATCCTCCACCTCTAGCTTTTCCATTATCAGGATCATTATAGATTGTGCTCTGCCAGTAATCCAGATATAAGGAAGTGTCTGGGCAATCCCTATGAACGGGATCAGGGCTTGGTTGAGCTTTCATCTCAGGACTGATGTCAGGGAGATTCTGACTCAGGTAAGACAGACGTGATCACCGAGGAGCAGAAAGTGTACATGTAGAGTGATGCTCTCATCTCTGCCCAGGAATGCTTCTGGAAGAAGTTGGACATGGTGGTAGTGAGGCCCTTCACCATGGTTTCCTCATCCTATTGTTTATATAACCCAAGTTTCTTGCATTTACTGCACCGGTCCCCAACCTTTTTGGCACCAGGGACCAGTTTTATGGAAGACAGTTTTTCCATGGATTGAGGGTTTGGGGATGGTTTTGGGATGAAACTGTTCCACCTCAGATCATCAAGCATTAGATTCTTATAAGGGACACACAACCTAGATCCTTTGCCTGTGCAGTCACAATAGGGTTTGCACTCCTATGAGAATCTAATGCTGCTGCTGATCTGGTAGGAGGCAGAGCTTAGGCAGTCATACACGCTCACCTGCTGTTCACTTCTTGCTGTTTGGCCCAATTCCTAACAGGTACCAGTTTATGGTCTGGGGGTTAGGGGCCCCTGATTTACCACACTTAAAGTGTAACTGTGAGTCCAAACCCCTGATCCTCAAAGCAACTAACATAGTTCACTTTGTGACCTCATGGATCTTTATTACTAGAGCCTGTGGTGAAATTTTAGACATCAGCAACAGGATATATGACTTTAGTGGAAAATATTTTCTGAAGGGGCAGAATGTGTTCTTGCTATCCTTACCTTCAAACCCAGAATTTATATTGCAGCTGGCAACTAGCATTGCCCATAAACAGGATTAGCTCTGGTAAACATAAGTAATAAAATGCCATTTTGTTTTCCAAACCTAAACTTTGACCTGCACCATGCAGAGGATATTTAAGAAATATTTTTTAAATGTTTACTGAAAGCATAGATTACAAATTGGAGAGAACCAATAGGTATTATTGCCTTGTTTGCCAGATTCAGGTTTAGGCCAATCATTTTTACCTCCTATGATTAGCTAATGTTTACTCTAACCCTGTAATTCCACATTAGAATGATTAGTAATTTTAAGCCAAAGAGGAAAATAAATGAATTTGGTTTAGCACCTGGAAGCCTTGAAATGCTTAAGAGGAGGTGTGTTTCAAATTAGAATAAAAAATTCATATTTAGATCGAGTACATATTGTTAAGAGAACCCAGAGGAAAAACAGTGGACTCAAAATGTGTCTTTTTTTGGGCAATAAATAGGATTTTTATACTGAAAAGGAAAGGGTATGTATGTCTTAGAGGAGTAGTGCATGTCATGTAGTAGGTACTCAATAAATATTTCTTGGCCAGGCATGGTGGCTCACGCCTGTAATCCCAGCACTTTGGGAGGCTAAGGCAGGAGGAGGCCTTAAACCTAAGAATTCAAGACAAGCCTGGACACCATGGTAAGAACCCATCTCTACAAAAAAAATAAAAAAAAATTAGCTGGGTATGCTGCCACATGCCTGTATTACCAGATGCTCTGGAGGCTGAGGTGGAAGAATTGCTTGAGCTCAGGAGTTAGAGGCTGTAGTGAGTTGTGATCGCACCATGGCTCTCCAGCCTAGGCAACAGAGAAAGACTCTGTCCCCCACCACCCCCTCCCCCACAAAAAAAAAAAGAAAAAGAAAGAGAAAAAATTTCTTGAATAAATACGTTAGTTGAACAACCATAAATAGATTTACAGGATCAGTTAATGTCCACCAAGTTGGGAGACCCCAGTGGCAGGAGTTCCTAGTCCTTAGTATATGATTTGAGTGAAGATAAAAATGACACACCTAACAAAATGTTTCATGAAATAATCTAAAATTTCTTGTCTTCATTGCTTACAATGACAAACCCAATCTAATCAGATAAAACTTGATAAAGATAATGCCTAAAGCCCTGTTTTTGGGTATAAAAAGGTATAAATAAGCATAAATATAGGATGGAATTATTAGTAAATGTTTTGAAAAAAGATGAAAGGATTAGGAATTTAGGTGATAGCCTACTCAGTGTGATCCAACAGTATGAAGTAATTCCAACCTCCTTTCTTGCATATTTTTAAACTCTCCACAAAAACTAAGGAGATGATCCCAATTATTATCTTCATTACATTAATTGAGTTTATCATCAATATCATGGAGGTGATGATTTGATGATTATATTTTACTATGTGCTAAAAACACATCTATTAAACGCTTTTTATAATTTTAAGGAATATTATCAGAGGAGAGCAATGAGGGTAGTGGAATTCTTCACTTGAGTATCAGGGAGTTGGTGAAGGAAGCAATATAATTATGCAGAAGAGAGCTCTTGGCATGAGCCATGATTTCAAGAGGGGGGAAATAGGACCAATGAGATAAGTTAGCAGGAAGCATATTTTGGCTCAATGTAGGGGAGAATTTTGTACTAATTCTAACACTTAGACCTGAATGTTCTGCCTTGGGAGGCAAGCAAGTGTTCATTTGGCTACTAAACAGAACAGAGATTCATGTGTCAGATGAGGGAGTTGAACCAAATGACCTTCTATATCACTTCTTATGGTAAGATTCTTTGACATTTTGTGTGCAATAACAAGATATGTCTCTGTACAGGCTTTCCCAGCTATATTCTTTAGGGAAGTTGAGGATAGGAGAACAAGCACTGTAAATGATTACACATCCTGAAATGAGAAGCAAGGGCATTTGTAGATATGTGCATAGTTGTTGGGATAAAGTGCCTGTGTCCAAATTCCAGCCAGGACTGACATGCACTATCTGGTGACCTTCGATTAGTTATTTAACATTTCTGTACCTCAGTTTCCATATATAAAATGGGGATAGTATAGTATCTACCTAATAGCTTTGTTGTGACAATTGAGTGAGTTAATTCACTCAAGCTTTTAGAATGGTACCTGGCTCATAGTGATTGTTAGATATTGTTATTATGATTGCAACTATAACTACAATTAACTATTCATAAAACCATCATAGAGTGAGATGGTATATTTTATTCTGCATTACATGTAGGCTTAGGTATTCTTTGGAAGAAAATATTATAGAGAAAGCACGTATATTGGACACAGGCAGGCTCTTTATGGGCTGCGTGGTCTTGGACAAGTCATTTGACCTCTGCTTTTCTTAATAACTGTCTAGTTATAGGACTTCTGTAAAATTAAATGAGTAATAGTAATAAATGTCAACGTAGTAATAAATGTCAGCTCCCATGGAAAGATAGTATTTCAATTTCCGTCCTTTTTCAAATATCTTGTTGTCTAGAGACCACAGCAGTGCAGGGTTAATGTAGCAACTTAGGGCTTGAAGTGACCTGAGACATCTTCTAGCAATTGCCGCTCATGTAGGAGATGGGAGTGTAGGTTCCTTAAGAGTTAAGAGACTTGCAGAAAGCGACGTAGCTTCTTCCTATGAGGGAGAAGAGCTATATGGAGGAGAGAAAGTGGAAGATAAGTAAACATTCAGAGTACTTTTTTGGGAAAAAGTGTGCAGCTTCGGAGCTCTTGTGCACGTTTTGCTGAGTGCGTGTTTCTGAATGATTGTGTGTGTGTCTGTATGTGAGTACATATGTATATATGTATATATTCATGTGTATGAATCAGAGTGTGTAAGTGAGCATGTATTTGTGGGTGACTGATTATCTTGCTAGTGTGACTTTCTATGACACTTGCTGGCATGCAGGCCTTGGGTTGCTAATTCCTTTTCATTATCTAACTCAGTATACCAAGAAAAGAAAGAAAACAGTGAAAAAGAGAATGCATTCTGCTGTTAGCTGGATGCTGACTTTCTTCTTCTGGGTCTGGCACTTTGATTCCTCATGACTTCAACTTTTTCCTAAGGAAAATAAATGTGCTAGCCTCTTACCTTCACCACCCCACTTTAATGAAGCTTCCTTCAATTACATCTATAAAACCCAAGGTTTAATTTTATTTGATGACACTGTCTTCTGCAGACACTTTGTTTTGCTTTTGAAGACACTAAGATAGCCTGGAGCTCTGTGCCAATTTCCTCACTGGTACTGGCCACTGGGGAAGCTGCCTGAGACAAGGGCATCTGAAGTGACAGGAGCCTTGAACTCAGTTCATCAGCTGGAGACCCAGAGCAGTATCAAAACTGAGTTTTTGATTATGCATATTTATCCTGATTTCTACAGCTTCCTCATGCTCACCCATCTCCCTCAGATATTCTACAACACTGAACTGTATTATTCTGAGTTGTACTTAACACTTAGGAAATTTTAACATTTGCTTCATTAACATAACTGTTAGAAGGTGCAGGGGGTGATGAGGTTTAAAAAATGAGTTTAAGATCAAGAGTGTGTACTTTTTGTTTTTCTTTATGGAGTTACATTGCTGATATTATTTATGTTCAAATTATTGACTACTTTGCTGCTTGTATAAAAAATGGCTGCTAATTTTTATGTATTTTGATCTCTGTTTTTACGGATGATGCAAGAAAATGATCAAGAGCTCAATTACACTTATTGGCATAATATTTGTTAATTGTGACACTGTAGAAAAGAAACATTCCTTTGAGGATCAAGCAGAGCCATCTCCTGTCCTCATGTATAGAATAGTACTCCCATTAGGGAATGCTGCCAATGAAAAATTTATATATAACTTTGTGTAAAGGAAGTTTTTAAGCTCTGAAATGGAGTGGCATATAGTTGCCTGTAATCTCTAGGCTGATATTTTACTGTGGCATTTCTTCGCTTCTCATTCTAATAAAATATTAACATGGTAAGCTAATTGTTTCTGTCAGAAACAAGTTGTTCAGCATAATAACCCTTTTCTTCATTTGATAACGTATCATTTAACTTGGTAGAACTGTCTGAAAATTATGTCATATTCTTTCCCATTTTCATCTCTACTCTTGCTTTCTGGTTGCCCATTCTAGCAATACAAGACCAAGTCAAGCTACAAGGCTTTTGCAGCAATCCCTACAAACACATTGCTTTTGGAACAGAAGGTCAGTGTTGGCTCAAAAACAGTGAATTTTACATTTTTAATGTGATTTTTAAAATGTTTTCTAAAATTTCTGTTGGGAAGATTTCTGTTTTAAAGTTCTGCCTTTACTAAAATAACATTCCATTCTTAGTTTAGGATGATGTGGTGAAAACATTTTGGTGAATATAATTGGAGATATTATTGGTTTATTGCTAGAGACTGAATATGAGCCTAGGGATGTTTAGTCCACTGTCAAGCTACTTTGGGAAACTTGATTCAGATTTGGATAGATCTCCGTTCTTTGGAATTTTAAATAATTATTATATTCAAAAACTTCCATATCAAGAACTTTCATATCTGTCCATATTGATCAAAAGAATTGAGGTGAAATGGGATTGTTTGTGAACAGTTGGCCACCTTGGGTTGTTGACTGGTAAAGACTTGGTGACTAACAGTGGCTTCCACCATTGTACTATACTGATACTCAGATATTATAGCTGAGTATTCAACTTAGCCTCATAGATTCCATTGTGGACTAAACCTCTTCACCCACCCATTCTTGCCAGCCAGTGGTCCTACTTTCATGAACAGAAGGGAAGACTGAGATGACTCTCAGTGACCCAACTGCTTTCACATGACTCCAAGAGATTTTTGCTTTGCTATTAAGGGTCATTAATAATAAAATTATAGGCTGTTACATAAGTAGGTAAATTAAATTGAAGCCTCTTGTTTAATAAATATGTTACGCATGTTTAAATGAAAGCCAAGTAGAGGATTGATATCAGAATCAAAGTGAAATGAGTTACCAAGTCTATGAAATTATTCATTTCATATATTATTTTTATGATTATGTATTTAGTCAATTTATTTCTCAATGCACTAAGTCCATTTTTTTCTGTGTAATTATGGTGTTTCAAAGACTATCATTTATCAAAACGTTGTTTGCCAACCAGGTGGTATTATGATCACTGGTTTATAAATCTACATTCTTATTCTTTTAGCATGATCTGAAGAGTAAAACCTTTGTATGATCTCTTATCTAATAAGTAGGAATTGTTAGTGGAACAAGTAGTGTATAGGTGGACATTAATTCCACATTATACACAGGTAGTGTCCAATCCATGTTCTGTATATGTAAGTGCTTTGAACTGGAGGTTCACTAGGCTGCAGGAAAATCTGCAGCTTTTTCCCTAGCATCTCTCCTGAATTTCTACCCCTTATTGTCTGTTAAAAGATGAGATGGGACTAAAATACGGATTTCAGGAGACTTCTGGAGGTTGTGGAAAGGGACACTTTTCCATTGCCCCTTATTCCACACTCTGGGGCCATAATGGTGGGAGATGGTGGCAGAGTTCCCACACCACAGACTCTCTGCTTATTTTGGATGGCGATTTCTGGAACCTGGTCACAAGTGTGTGCTTTCACAGATGTGGGAGAATCACTCTCCATCAGCAGTGAGGCAAAGAGGAGATGAGGAGCCTGTTTCATGCTCGTCTTTCCCTCATACTTGTCTCGCCTCATCTAGGCACATTCTTCTGGAACTATGTTCTGCTACTATGTAAATTTCCTATTTAGAAAAATGAAAGTTAATTCTTTCTGAAAGTCTTTTGTGAGATAAGACTAGATGTCAGTACTGTTTCCAGAATCTCTGTCTGTTAGGATTGTTTCCAGAATTCTCTTCCAATTAACTAAATTATTGAGCTTATAATTTATTCATTAGTCAGTGAAAATGAAGAGTCATTAGTTTAATTTCCAATTTTATTACAAACCCATTTCATAAATGTGTATGGTGATATTGATGTGTATTTAGCCTATTATACAAGTTCATGTGCAAAAGGTTTTGTGTTTTTAATTTTAAATAAAACATTCTGTAGGAAAATTATTATGTCTATTGTTCATACAAAAAATATAAACATGATATCTAAATTTAAAATAGTGTTATTCTAGAGGGTGCTGCATTATTGTATAAGGGCTAGTGTAGGTTGTTGTCTCTTGGCTAGTATAATTTTTGGACCATAAATATTTAACTTATTCAAAGGTCTCAGATGTTAAGTGAATTTTTTTTTCTTTAGGTCCTTTAAATTATTCCACATACTTTCTGCTGGCTTTCCCATGTTATGTGTTCCTCAATAAGAAATTTTACTTTGTAAGAATTTTAAAATATCAAAGCCTTATCTAAAGGTTTTATGAGTTACCTCCATTTTCAATAGTATTTTTTGAATGATATTGTATTGTTCCTTTCAGTGTTATAGTTTTAAAAAATAAATCTGACAATTTAATCATTTATACTCATCTGTTTATACAATAGACTTTATCTTAATGCCACTGAAATAAAAGGGATTTATTTCTGAATTGAGTGGGAAAATTAGGACTATAATCTTGAGGAACTCTTCTATTTATGGAAGAATAAAAATCTTGCAATATTTTAAATCACAGAAGGTTTTCTGAGATCCCTTTGATATCACACAGAACACCACAATTCAGGGGTAGGTAAGGTTGTAGACTCATTATAATACTTGGGTAGGGTCCATGCTGTGGAATGCCTTGAAGCTGGAGCTAACAAAAATAATTCATGTCTTAGCTATTTCAACAATTATCTCTCCAATTGGATTAAACCCATGATGGGTATCTTATGCCACATTCTTTTCTACAGCATATAGTATAATTAATGAGAAACCAGATTTACTTTTTAAAAAATAATGCTATTTTTAAAAGCAAGATTTTTTCCTAATTGAAATACCGGCATCCCTTGCAATGAGATGTTAAGCTCTCGTTGAATTACTGGATTGGTTTCAGTTTTAATCAACCCTGGATGAAGCCCATCATTTTTAAAAGAGTACACTTTGTTGGCAGGGAACATGAGGTTTCTGGTACTTCTGTTCTGTAATTTATTGTCTGCATCAAAATTTAAATTTATATCTTATTCCATATTCTATCATTTTTCCCCTGTGAACCTTTAAGAAGGAAGCATTTATAGCTTAAGTCTTAAATAAGGATTTCTAGGGAGAGATAAATGTAAGGTATGATTTTTATTGTGTTGGCTTCATCAGGGTCCTTGGCTTAACCTCCTGCCAATAATCATCTTCTCCAAGAATGACATGAGGATGAAATGCAAATGATTATAAAGTAATCAGATTACATTGTGACTGTCCATAGACTTTATTACAATATGTTCAACAATATACTAAGGTCTGTAGATAAAATAAGTTGATATGGACTTTATTTTTAGTCTTTGTATTAATCTGTTTTCACTCTGCTGATAAAGATATAACTGAGACCGGAAGAAAAAGAGGTTTAATTGGACTTACAGTTCCACATGGCTGAGGAGGCCTCAGAATCAAAGGCACTTCTTACATGGTGGTGGTAAGAGAAAATGAGGAAGAAGCAAAAGCAGAAACCCCTGATAAACCCATCAGATTTCCTGAGACTTACTCATTATCATGAGAATGGCATGGGAAAGACTGGCACCCATGATTCAGTTACCTCCCTCTGGGTCCCTCCCACAACACATGGGAATTCTGGGAGATACAATTCAAATTGAGATTTGGGAGGGGTCACAGCCAAACCATATCAGTCTTGTGATATATCTTGATGTGTACTGTCTTTTTTAGAGAAAGTTAAAGGTCTCGCTTTCATTGACTAGTTTTTCTTCTTATCATCTGAGTCTGATAGCAATAGGTAAAAAGTTAAACTGTTTGACACATATTAATATTCCAAGTAAATAGATTATTATTTTTATCATGTAGTTGTTAAAGGAGGAGAGAATGAAGAAATATTTCCATAAAATCAAAGAATATGCATCTTTATTGTCTTACCAATGATTAATATTTTTCCATGAAAATATAAATTTTTTCCTTGAAAGTAATTTAAACTCTCTGTTTACTTCCTCATAAGTATTTCTGAGGATAAAATTAGGGCTGGGGCTAGGTACAATGTTCCTAATAAATGGCATTACTCTTTGCCATTTTCACGATACATTTGATTCATAAGAAGTGTGTACTTAAGAGAAGAATTCTGGAGCAGCTCAGTTTTATAAGTAGCAAAAAATAATTACAGGTTTAATTCTTTAAATGGAAAGTTATAGGAAAAACATTTTTTTTTGGTGCAAGGAATATAAAATTAGTTATTTTAACAACTAATAAAAACGACGGCATAAAAAGAAAAAGGCAAAATTTTGATATATCCTGTCAACTGTCAAGTCTATTTATTCTAAGTTGCCTCTTTGATTTTTTTGTTTCATTTTTTGAGATGGAGTCTTGCTATGTTGCCCAGGCTAGATTTGAAATTCTAGTCTCAAGCAAACCTCTTGCCTCAGCGTCTTGAGTAGCTGGGACTACAGGTACACAACACCACACCCAGCTAAGTTGCCTATTTAATTTTTTAAAGCATGAGTTGCTAAACTCCAATCTTATTAAAGATATTTCCTTAGGTGAGAATATTTTAAAATCTCTTTATGTCTTGGCAGGGCGTGATGGCTCATGCCTGTAATCCCAGCACTTTAGGAGGCCGAGGAGGGTGGATCACCTGAGGTCAGAAATTCGAGACCAGCCTGGCCAACATGGTGAAACCCTGTTTCTACTGATAATACAAAAAAAATTTAACTGGGTATGGTGGCAGATGCCTGTAATCCCAGCGACTCCAGGGGCTGAGGAAGGAGAATCACTTGAACCTGAGAGGTGGAGGTTGCAGTGAGCCGAGATCGCGCCACTGCACTCCAGCCTGGGTGACAGAGTGAGACTCAGTCTCAAAAAAAAAAAAAAAAAATCTTTATGTCTTAAAAATTTAACAAAACCTTATTGCTAATTTAGCACATGACCTATATTAGAGAAACATTGCTTAATTTAGATTCTAGTGCAAGAGGCAAATGTGTTCCCAATTTCTTTAATAATGGAGAAGAGTCCAGGACTCAAATCTATGGTAAATGGTTCTCGGGTAGTTGTCTACTATGTGCATAATTTAAAAAAATTATCAAATTGTATTTAATTATGCATATTTATTGCTTTCTTTCTCTATCTTGAACTTCTTGAAGAGGCAGATATACTATATTCTTTACTAAATGTTCATTAAATAAATAAGTTTAGTTTGGGGCCAGATAGGTCTCTAAAATTTCCAATTTTATTCCACAGGCTCTTAAGGCAAATTTTTGCTCATAAGCATAAAAAAAATAAAGTAGACTACTGTATGCCAATCAAAACAAAAATAGCAAAGGATCTTTCTTTAGGACAGAATAAGCCTCATCAATTCTACTTCCATGGAAAAGCTTATAGAACAGCCTTCTGCTGGAGGGGAAGTAAGCTGGCACTTTTGAAGATTAGACAATACAATCACAAAGGCTGCCGTATTGAATACTCTAGTGTATCAGACATTGAGCTAAGTGCGCTTTCATCTTCACAACTCTGTGAAGAATTTGATGCTCAAAGAAGCCAAGTAAATTCCCTAAAGCATCAAGGTTACTAAGTTGCTAAATTGGACCTCAGAGGAGCTCTGATTGGCTCTCAGCCTTCCCTGTTCCGTACTGTACAGTGACATCAGCTAGCTACAGTGAATTATTGAGTAAGGGATGCTCATATGGGATCCCTGCCTACAACACTTGTTTTCATTACTTGCTAAAATATATTTATATCTTCATTAAATGAGAGCAAGAAGAGTATTTTGTTTTTATGTGGAAAAATTAAAAGAAAATGGGAAATAATGTGGCTCTGAGATGACTTGAGAGAGTGATGGATTACAAACCAGCTCAATTCCTTGAGCTACTGAAAGAGATGAGGCAAATTACAGTGAAGGAGGTGCTTCTGGAAATAAAGAACACCCTTCTGACATCCTTAATTGAATGCAAAAAAGTATAGATTCCCCTACCATTGAGCTTTGCTGGAATGGGTTTGAAACTGGTTGGAATGGTTTGCAAAAACTCCCTTCTCTGTGGGAGGAACAAACATTTAACTTTCCAAAGCTCTTGGGAGTAAAATCACCAACTAGAGTTCTTCAGTTCTTGATATTTTTAAACCAATCATGTAAAAATATTTTACTGGCAAATATTCCCAGATCTTTAAAGAAACCCTACTTTATATACCTGCAAGCTCCTTTGGTTTGCAGTGTACTTTTTTTCCTTTTCTTCAGTGGTGTATGTTATTCAGACCTGAATCCCCAACTAGACAATCAAAGTGAGATTTATTTTTCTAACAATATCTACTATCCTACACATGGTTTTATATTAGTCCGGTAAGTATTTTGTAGTCCTTAGGGGATTTATTCTACCAAATAGCAGGTCATATTAACAAAGTATAGGAGAATTTAGGCTATACATAATTTTGGGGGATTGATTTGATCGTTACTAAAATCTAATAACTCAGGAATGAAATTTTTGAAATTCAATCAAATAGATAGTCTAAGTATAACAAAAAGTTTACAGATTCTGTTAGATCATTCTTCCTTTGGAGGCAGTTTACTTTCCAACTCCCTACTTTTAGAACTTCATCCTATATTTTAAGGGAGCAAATTAGACTAACTCCATATATTTGACTAAAAAGTGTTTGCAGTTTCATCAGGGACACTCATAACTGGGAATACCCATTACAGTTTATTGGCATACTTTTACACAAGGACTTTGATTTGCAATGCTTTTTCATAGTTCTTGGCTCCTAATTTTAATGTAGTGCTAAGTTCAGAAATTCTTTTCTGCTATGAGATTTATTTGGTATCTTTTCAAAAGCTGGGCCCCAAAGTTGGCACTTCTGAACAAACTACCAACACTTGTAATGAGAGTATTTCTGATTATTTGTATTAGTTAAGAATTCTTTAAGATGAATGAGCTCAAAGAATATTCCATTTATGCCTCAATTTCTGTAGTCCAATTTGGTAGAAAATGTATATTTTTAATAACAATAATTTATTAGATAATATTTTAAGAGACTTTTACCCGAAATGAATAAATCTAGAGAAACAATATCTTCCTGCTGGCTAGCTTGCCAAAAAGCAATCTCTGGTCAGAATTCTTACTAATGGAGATTTAAAGTATGCTTTTAAGAGAAAATTTTGGACGATAGAAAAAGAAGCTACTTTTTATGGTTGCTAGAAGTGGTGTATATCACAATGATACATCTGACAAGTAACGCACAGTCAATTAAAAAAATCAATTCTAGTAAATTTCAAGACTATTTAAGTTCAAAATAAGCCCCCCATCCAATTTTTAAAAATACAGCCTGAGTATTTTGTGCCATTTCAGAATTTCAGCATTACTGACCTAACACCTGTTATCTTCCATAGTTTTCCAAGGGACCTGAGTAGATAGTTCTGTCATTCTCTGAGTGAATTTCAATATCACAAGTAACCTAATAAAAGTTATGTTTGCCAGAGTAAGTTTCCACAGACTAATTAAAATATTAGTCTTATTTGGTTTGGTTTGAAAAAGGAAATAATCGCATTGCACTAGCATTGATTATATGCTCAAATCTTTGATGGTAAACAAATTTAACTGTAATATAGAGAAAGATATAGTTTATTTGTCAATTAAATTACTCAAAGAGTTTAAATCACTTCTCTAGAGCATTTTACCAGGGAGTATTTAAATCATATTACTTCTATGATTCATTTATTAATTTAACTTAACTTCATTTATTCATTGGTTTACCCAGTGATTCATCATAAAGACCTTCACTAAGCACCTATCATATTCTCTATCCTGGGCCTACAAAGATAAATATCATATTTTCTGTAGTCTAATAGGACAAATAGTCCAGTAGGGTAAAGATATAGTTTAAAAAGTAATTATGATGCAATATGCTTAAGATATGTGCAAAGTGATATGGTGCCCCAAACAGGGAATGGCTGACTTTGCCTGGTGTGAGGCCAAGAAAGATGTTATAAAGGAGTTTGATTTGGATCTTCAGGATGAATAGGAATTCTGTAAGTGAACTGAGAGTGGATCTAGGGAGAGTTAATCACATGTAGTTCAAAAGATCACCAAAAGTTCAAAGAACTGAAGCAGTTCTTTGTGGTTAAAGAGCAGCCTTTGAGTGAGGAGCATATGAAAGGCACTGTTGGAATGGTGAGCAAGGGCCAGAACAAAATCCTGTCCTGAGGAGCTGGCTCTTAATCCTGGTCTTTAATTTCTGACATTTTTTGTTTCCATAATTTTCTCTATAGTAGAGGTCGCATGTGGTGTAAGGCCTAAAAGTAAGGCCCAATATTGTGTGCTACCTTGACATCTGCTAGAATTGAGAGAGCCTCAAATGGCCTAATTGCAAGTTCCCCTCTTCACTCTGCTCCTGCAGATAAGGTCCTCTAGCCAAACAACCCTCCTTATCCAACTGACCAGGTGGAATTCCTGAGTATGCCTTAGTAATAGGTTCCAGTTCAAACAAGCCAATCATATCCTTTGGTGGAACCAGGGGTGCATTACTCTCTGGATACCCACAACCCCTGGTTGTTCCTTATTGTGACCTCCATGTGGCCCTGCATGTTTTGTGGCATCCCCCTTCCCTGGACTGTGAGTATATGTGACTAACAAACTGTTGTGGATTTTATCTGTACAGTGTCAACAGTTATGTAACCTTCTATCCCTGTAACACAAGGAAAGGAACCTCTCCCCCTTTAACAAGGTGAACAGGAGGTGATTGAAACACCATGCCAGGAAAATATTAAACCATCTGAACACCAGTGAAGAGTTATTTTTATGAAATTTTCAGTTCCTGCCAATCATTTCTCATGATTAATCATAATTTTAAAGAATGATGAAAGAAAGCACAAAATAGATTTTTGTTATGGTAAGAAAGAAGCAATATTGAATGTTTTTATTAGATTATCATAACCAACCTTCCAAATTTTGTTATTTAATACAGAGAAGTGGATTTTGAAAACAAAATTTCCAGACAATATTTACCCTTATGAGCTATTAAAACATGGGATGGTAAAATTTTATCTTTTAAAGTCACTTTTCTGAATTCTTAGGGTTATATCCCATGCCAAAATGGCAGTTCTAGCATCTGGACCTGGTACCTCTTGGTCAAGGCTAATAGTTCTGGATGGAGATCCCTGGTTGTTAGAAGGAGGAAAAGAGATTTTGATGAGCAATGGATTCCATGGTTTCACAGGTGGCATAACACCTTCTGTCAGGATATGTCTACCTCAGAATGGGAATAAAGAAATGAGAAATAGGTGGCAAATCTAAATAAGAGGAGAAGGGAACCTGTAATTCTAAAAAGTTATATAATACATGACAATAGAGAACTGAATCTTTGATTTTTTCTGTTTACAAATCTACCAGAACATATATATTCAAGCGACGATATTTCTCTTGAAAATAACTGTCTTGTGCCTACAATTGCTTATTGCATTTTTGGTAACCTCTTTTGTAACTGTCTTCAGAACCCATGGCATATATTTTTTGTGTAACCTTTCTAGCTATAGATTTTCAAACTTTGAAAGCATATTGAAACTAGATTGCTTGAAAAACTTCCTGTTGTAAAATACCTATAATCGATGATCAATTTAAAAATGGATTAAAAAACAAGTCAAGCCACATGAAATTGCCATCTTGGCAAGTATTTTTCAGTTGAATACTGACAATTTTGTGTGTGTTCAACCCAGTATAAAGCTGAGCTCATAAAAAAAAGTGGGGGAAATCCCCAAGGGTCAAATACTAAAAGCAGGCTGAAATTCAGAACGTTTATCATGGTGCTGATGCTCTGGTAAGAGAGAACTGGAGTTGCATCTCCGTTAAGAATCAAGATTTTTGAATTGTTACACTCTCAGTTGCAAGAAGTATGATAAAAAAAAAAAATTTTCAAAGGGAAATGACAACCCCGCTTTTTAATTTTTATTGTTTTAGAGACAGTGTCTTACTCTGTTGCCCAGGCTAGAGTGCAGTGGTGTGATCAGGGCTCACTGCAGTCTTGAACTCCTGGGCTCATCCAGCTTCCTGCCTCAGTCTTTCAAGTTTCTGAAACTACAGGTGTATGCCAACACATTCAGCTAATTTTTAAAATTTTTTATAGAGATGGGATCTCACTGTGTTGTCCAGGCTGGTCTTGAACTCCTGGGCTCAAGTGATCCTTCTGCCTCAGCCTCCCAAAGTGCTAGGATTACAGGTGTAAGCCACTGTGAATGGCCATAAGATTTTCTTATATCAATCTAGGCTTAGGGTAGGAAAAAATAACCTTTAGTCACGAGCCTACCCTGAGACAGGTTTGAGACTGAATTTATACAATCTCTGTGATAAAGAAAATATGTGCTGAAAATCGAAATTTGAATTAATTTAAAATTAGCTTGCCTTATTCTGCTTCTGCAAATAGAGAAGTAGCTTGTATTGGACCAACTGTTTTACAGATAACAATGATAAACTCTGGATAAGAATATAAAAAACTATCTGAAGGTACTGAAGCATGACCAAGGCAGGTAGAAACTGCAGTAGAGTCAACGCTTGCAAGAAAAATATGGCACTAGGTTGGTTTCTAGATTTTATAGTTTTTCACCTTACGGGTAGTCCCTTATCTGGTCACAATGAAGTAGTGAAAATTCAGCAACAACCCAGCAGACGTATTAGATGAGGAAACAGAGAAGAGTGTAAGGTCATACAGAAACCAGAAAGTAGGGGAGAATCTGGAAAAGAGAGTGCCAAAAGGATCCCTAAATGTTGTAGATAAACTCTGCCCAAATCTCTGGATAACTATTGAATGTGCCCATTAGGCCCAGCTGAGGAGAAAACAATGGAATAGAGATTTTGGCTAGTTCCCATCATTAGAGAGACAGAGAGTCTGAAGCCAAATTGACTGCATAAGCAAAAAGAACAAAGCTGGAGGCATCACACTCCCTGACTTCAAACTATACTACAAGGCCACAGTAAACAAAGCAGCATGATACTGGTACCAAAAGAGATATATAGACCAATGGAACAGAACAGAGGCCTCAGAAATAATGCCACACATCTGCAACCATCTGATCTTCGACAAACCTGACAAAAACAAGCAATGGGGAAAGAGTTCCCTATTTAATAAATGATGTTGAGAAAACTGGCTAACCATATGCAGAAAACTGAAACTGGACCCCTTCCTTACACCTTATACAAAAATTTACTCAAGATGGATTAAACACTTAAACTTAAGACCTAAAAGAAAAATGTCTTCATGTTAAAGAATAGCTCATCAAATACTGTAAATATTTTTTTCTTGGAATATTAATACATACAAGGCTTTCTTTGAAGATACTTTTCTACTCCAGTTGTATGACTAGAAGCCTCATATAAGAACTATTTCATTTGTCACTAGGCACTAGATGAACCAGCCAAGACTGAAAGTGTCTCCAAGGACAACACATTAGAACCACCAGTGGAGGTAATAACTTCAGATTACCCCTGCTTTTGGTATGCAATTCCAAAACTTATTGCTAACCCAGTACCTGGTTTCAATTCTTCCAGCTCTATTTTCCTGCACAGCTCAGGCAGCAAACTGAAGAGCTCTGTGCTACCATTGATAAGGTCTTACAGGATTCCTTGTCTATGGTAATGCTTTAGACTAGAATGTGCAATTCAAACATTTGCTTTGCTTCTCTTCATTTTCCTCTACTTTAGTATGATGCCTCACAGGCTTGTCCTTTTCTTTCCTTTTCTCTTCTTCTTTCCTTCCTTTCTTTTTTTTTCAGCATTCTTCTGATTCTCCTTCAAGGTCCCCAAAGACATTGTTGGGTTCTGACACAGTCAAAGTATGTATGTATTTAATATAATTTATGGAACCATAAGATTTATTAGATCAATGATTTCCAAACTGCAAGTCAAGGTCCAATAGTGAATTGAGAAATAAATTTAGTGAATAGCAATCAGTCTTTTTTGTAGAATTTTAAAGATAGTAAATATTAGACTTGATTTCAAGTAATGTATAGGTTTTGTTGACATTTGTTTACATGTGCACATATAATGCAAGGTAAGTGTATACAGGGTTGCAAAGTAAAATCTATTTCTGTGGGTCCAGTTCAAAACAGTTTGAAAGCCAACATATTAGGCTATGTTTTTTTTTTACATTGATGTTTAGAATGTATAATGTGTGGCTCATTCTCACTCAAATTATAGATTCAATATTATTTATGGAATTTATAGCCACTTAAAAATAGAGAAGTAAAAAATGAAGTAGACTAAAGTAAAATTAGTATTAAGAGCTTTAACGGAAGTATTATTTCTAGAGTTTCTTTTTCTTTTTGCTGATTGAATCTATTTCATTATTCTTTGACTCAAAGGGAAATAAAACTGGATATTTTAGATTGTTAGAGTACTACTAAACTATTAATTGTTGTAATTGAGTATGTATTTCCTTCTTATAAAATAGTTATTTTCATTTGTTAGGATAAAATAATACATTTCTCCAAATTATTTTTTTCAAACACTTAAGCTCTACTCATCCAAATTTCAAAATGCGTATGATTTTTCCTTTATTGATAATTGTTAGTTATTAGCTACTGATTTTTTTGGTCAGCCTTATTTATTTATTTCCTTGGAATTAGTATACTTTTTTCCTGTCCTTTCTTAAAATATGGGACACTGTGTGTCTAAAGTAATTTTCAAATGTACAGAACTACACATAACTAGAAGAGCAATCCTAATTTTCAATTGGAATATTATCAATAAATATCCATTAGTAATGACATATAAAACCCAGTAATCAATTATTGTCATATTAATTATATTTTAGCAGAGGACTCACAGGTGGATAATTGTAATTTCTGTATTTGAAGTCTATTTTGTTGTATATGCTTTAAGCCTTTTAATCTAAAACTTTGATTTGTCAAATATATTATATCAATTTTAAAATATATTTTTTCATATTTCATTCATTGAACATGTAAAAGACCTGTATTATATTAAATATAATGAGAATAGGATTTAAGAAGTTGTATATGAATAGTAATCTATATTACTGGTTTCTTTAACAAATACTTAAGGCTTACGGTGTTAAAAAACCCAGTATTTTAGGCCACTACATTTAAGGCAATTTTTCATTCAACAGGTATTTATTAAGCACCTACCATAAGTCTGGTGCAGCAAGGCACTAGGAACATAAGCAAGGCTGAGTAACCTAAGGTATAAGCTTTGAATGTAGTGATCAAGGGGTAGAATTCAAGCTGAGACCCAAAGATGGAAAAGAACCAGCCACAGAAATTTTGATCAGGAATAATAGCTTTCAGGTAGAGAAACAGGCATGTGTAAATTTCCTGAAGCATGAAAGAGCTTAGTGTGTATGAAAATAAAGAAGTTAGCCAATGAGCTTACTGTCCACTGAGCTAGGGATGAACAGTGCAAATGATGTTGAGAAACTGGGTTAAGCACTGTGATTTAAACCCTTATTTGCCATGGCATGAAGCTTGGATTCCAAAGAAAATGGGGAGACATAGAACCATGGTGGGAATAATATGAAACCGTAGAAGATGAAAAATATGGCTGCTGTGAGGAGGCTGCTGCAGTCAGGGAAACAGTCAGTGATGGTGGTCTGGATAGGGTGGGTTCAGAAGAGCTAGAGAAGCATGACGGTTTGAGGCTTGCCAAGAGTTTGGGTGCGGGTAGTGAAGGAGAGAGAATACTGCAGGTCTCTGTTTTGAGGATAGACAACAGTGAAGGAAGAGCTGTATAGTGGCAGGCAGAGGGTTATGTCAATTTTAGACAAGGATGAGTTTGAAGTGCTTATCAAGAAAGCTTAAACCTGTGTGTTTGAAGCTGATCAGAGATATTTGAGGGTCATTGGCACATAGACACCGTGAGCGTCCTGTACAGAGTTCCAAGGAACATAACATCACAGGTCTGACAAAGGAGGTGGAGATGAGCAAATGAGAATGAAAAGGCTTTTATGGTGAGGAAAATCAGAGCAATGTGATATCATGGAAGCTATAAGAAGAGAGTGTTTGCGAATATAATTGTGTTGATTGCGGCCAAGGGTCAGAGAAAGATAAGTCTAAAGAAGTGTTTATTAGATTTGACTTGTATATTTTGAAACCATATTGCTGGTGCTTATGTGTTGGCATTCATTCTCGTTTTTGAGTTTTTAGAAGCTTTATCAGCATATATAATCATTTCTTAACTTAAGGTTTTTCTCTTGAGTATTAAAATAGTGACTTTATATTTATAATTTCTAATTCTTGTTTTCCTAGATGTATCTTTTACTGCTACTTTCCTTTTTTTCATACCCTTTTGTCTAATTTTCTCAGAGCAGCATATTTCTGCATATAATTTTTACATTCAATTAGATTCTATTTACCAGGGACTTTAAGCCATTTATAATTATTGCAATTCTTGTTATGTTAGGGTGAATTTTTGCTATCTTATTTCATGTTTTCTATTTAAAATGTTTTTATTTCTCTTGTTTTTTTCTGCTTTCCTTAGGCAATTTTGATATTTACTAGTTTGAACATTTTGAAAATTTTACTTTATACCTTGTTACTTCTGGTAGTTACATATACATTATTAAAGACAATTATTATGCTTAATTTTGTATCAATTTTAAAACATGTAAATGCCTTTTCCCACAATTTTGTAAGTACTATAGCACTTTTCACTTTCTACTTGTTTTTAATCAACCTGTATATACAAACACAAGCACATACATATACAATTTATTAGTATTGTTTTGAACTTTATGTCTGAACACTTCTTTATCTTTCCTTTGTTTGGATACTTATTTCTGATTTAGATCCTTATTTTGCACACATTCAAAGCTTTTTCCTGGATTTATTGTTTTTCCTGTTGGAATCTTGCTTCAAGTTGTATAAAGCAAGATCTTTTTGTGTAGATTTTGTGAACTCTGTTCATGATAACATCTTTATTTTGTCTTTTCATTTAAATTATAGTTTTGCTGCGAATAAAATTGTAGGTACTCTTTCTTCAACATTTTCCCCCAGGCTTCTTTGTCTTCAACAACATACTTACGAAGTATTTTGTCAGCATGATACTTGGTCCTCTGCTATAGAGTGATCATTTACAGAATTGCTCTATAGTTTTTAAAACTTTATGTATGATCTTACAGATATTTTTTATGGTGTATTTAGGTATGCATTTTTTTCTTACATATTTTGATTGTTACCTTCTATGACCTTTCACATGAAGTGTTCAATCTTTTCTTCCCCTTACATTTTCGGTAACTTTTGATCATTATTTTTACAAATATTTATTCCCACATGGGACTCTCACAATACTGATTTTGTCACTTTTGATTCTGTATTTCATGTCTCTTACTCTTCATATTTTTCTATTTATTATTTTCTGATTCCTTCAAGAGGAATCCTTGATCTAATATTCCAGTTCAAGATTTTGGTCAGTATCTATTCTTTCCTTCAATTCCTGTATTACATTCTTTGTTGAAGCTAACATAGCTTTTTCTTCTAAATCAGATTTATTGAGGTAATATTTAATCACTGTAAACTCCATCCTTTTAGTTTACAGCTCTGAGTTTTGACAAAAGAATCCAATCATATAATTACTACCACATTCCAAACAAAACATTTCCATCAACTGAAAAAGTTCCTTGTGCTCCTTTTTAGTATATACTTTCCTCCAATCCAAGTCCTGAGAAACCACTTATCTTTTCATGTGTTCTTATGCTTTTGCCTTTTCAAGAATATCATATAAATGTAATTATATAGTCTGTAGTCACTTTAGCCTCTACTTAGTAGAAGGCATTTGAAATTCATCCATATTATTGCATGGATCAGTAGCTCTTTTTTTTTTAATTGCTGATTAGTAGTCCACTGTGTGGATGTTCCATCCTTTATTTATCTGTTCACCAGTTAATAGATGGCTGGGTTATTTCTAATTCGGAGCTATTACTAATAAAGCTGCCAAGAACATTTGTAAACAAGACTTTGTATGGATATATGATTTCACTTATCTTGGGTAAATACTTAGGAGTGGAATAGAGGAAACATTGTTTTCTTTTATAGTTTTTAAGTTTTTCAGATGTCTTATTATGTTTCCATGGAAACTCAAATTTCCCTGAGCATGTCAGCTAAGTTGGGTGTATATATGCCTGGTGCCTGGGGTGGCAGGTCCTGAAGCCCAAGTCCTAGCACTTGCCAGTTCTGGTGAGGTTTATTTATTTATTCTTTAAGAGCAGGAGGAGCATGTGCTTCAGAAGGGAGAAGCGCCATAGTATCAACCAGTTCCCACTTGCCACTTCCTCTCCACCCTGGTGACCCTGACTCTATTTCTGCCTCCCTGCACCTCTGCTTATGGTATATTCTTCTCTTCCAATAGCTGTCCCAGTCGTCATTGCTGAGAAGGGATCAAGGGAAAGATTCATCAGAAGCTAGCCAGTTGTTGAAACCTATAGTTAACTATTTTCTCCCCAAAGGCTGAAGGACCACTTTGATATTGTCTTCATCGTTACCTCTTTACAACCCTCAGATTTTAGCCCCTCAGTTCACCCCATTGATCTCCTTATCTCTGTTGTTTAAATGTGTTGTGGCATGAGAAAGCAGGTGTAGAATACGTAAAAACAGAACAAAACAAAACAACTATTTTGAAATGTTTGGCCGTTAAAAGGAAAAGGAAATTAGGTTGGTAGTGAGGTCAAGAAAGAACTTTTTGTTTTGTGAAGCTGAAAATGACAAGATCAAATTTGCATACTGTGGCATTGGTCTTAGTAGAGAAAGAAGTACTAATTCTAGAGAAGAAAGGGAAATAAAGGTCTGAATATTTGTGCCCCACCCACCCACTCAGAATTCATATGTTGAAATATATGAAGGTATTAGGAGGTGGGGCCATTAGAAAATGATTGGGTTGTGAGGATGGGGACCTTATGAATGGGATAAGTTCCCTTACAAAACAGTCCAGAGAGAAACCTCTTACCCTTTCCACCATGTAAAGACATGCAAGATGGCACCATCTATGAACCAGAAGTGGTCCCTCACCAGACACCAAATCTGCTAGTGCCTGGATTTTAGACCTCCCAGCCTCCAGAACTGTGGAAAATAAATTTCTGTTGTTTATAAGCCACCCAGTCAATAATATTTTGTTATAGCGGCCCAAATGTGCTAAGACCATTTGCTAAGAAGCTGGAAATGTCCTCCATTGTAACAGGATGGAAAATAAAGGACATGACAGCTACAGATGCAAGAATGTTTGTAGTTTGGTGGAAGAGAAATAATTTTATAACCAATATCTTTAGTTATTTCATAACTAATACCTTTCAATGAAGTAAAATGTAAGATCATTAACCAAGATTAAGGGGAGAAGTTGTGATGGGGATGAATTTGAAAAAGTTAAAAAAAGTTTATATATTCTACTTTCAATTCCTTTTCTCCAGTTTCCTCTTAGATCCCCTTTTTTTATGTCACCAAAACCCCTTTTTCCAAGGTTCCTGAAGTCCTCTGCATTGCAATAAACCCAGTCCTGAGTTGAGATGACAGCAACAGAACTTGAGATAGTTGCTCACACCCTCCTCTTTGATATATTTTCCTCTAGAGTATTTTAGAACTCCGTAGTCTCTCTGTTTTTCCTCTATCTCCCTTTTTTATTATCATTTCTTAGTCTCCTTTGCTGGTTCATCTTCTTCTTCCCAAACTGTTAATGTTGGGATGCTCTAGTCATGAGTCCTCAAACTTCTCATTCCTCTCTATATTCATTCCTTTGGTGATCTCACCCTGTTTTATGTTATAAAAACTAACTACATATATGCCGACAACTCTATTTCTAGTCCAGGATTCTTTCTCAAACTGCAGACTTCCAAATACCTATCTTCATTTCCATTTATACTTCTAACAAATGTCTTATCCTCAATATGCATACAAATAAAATCTAGATTTTCTCCCACAAAATGATTCCATATGTTGCCTTCTCATCTCTGTTGGTAGAATTTCGCTCTTTCATTTGCTCAAGGCCGAAAACTTTGGTGTCATGTTTTATTCTTCTCTTTCTCTCACATTTCACATCTCTTCTGCTAGAAATCCTATTTCTATAGCTTCAGAATATGTCGACTATGATTATGCCATGGCTTCTGCACTACTGAGCCACTGTGTTTTGTTGGATAGTACAAGAGTTTTGTCCCTATACCCCTGACTCACAATAGTTTATTCTTAACACATCAAACGCAGAAAACCTTTTAAAGCTTAGGTCAGATCATGACCCTCCTCTATTTAAAACCAGAAGTGCTTACGCATTTCAAACCTCAGAATATAAGCAAAGTCCTCACAAGGTCCTGTATGGTCTGGTGCCCCAATACTTCTGTGACTGGCTTTCTTCCAACTCTCTCCTTTACTCACTCCATCCCTGGTAGCCTCCTTGTTGTGCCTTGGATATGTCAAGCATGCCCCTGTCTTAGCACATTTAGTTTCTTTTCAAATCAGTTATATCAGTGATCATTTTATAGTTTCTAGCATACTGTGAAAAATTTTCAGCTTAACCTTTATCTCCAAAATCATGGTTAAGTATGGTTGTTTTCAGTCTGGTTCTGAAAAGACACATTTCTTAATCTCTGTGGGTCTTTTTTGGTTGTTTATTATTTCTGCTCATCCTCATTCACATTGTCTTGCCTTTTTGTGTATCTGAATCTGATTGTATGCTAGATATCCTATTTGAAAATTTCTTAATAGAAATGGAGACTTCAGATGATATTACCTTTTATAGAAAGTCTTTTCTTTGTTTCTGTCAGACATTGGGAGCACTAGCCAGAAAAAACTACCTGAATTTAATTTAAGTTTCTGAGATTATTTTTTCTAGACAGTCATCTTCAGATGATTTGATATCAGGCTGAAGACCATGTGTCTTCTGGGTCACTCTTACTCCTAGGGGCTCAATCTGTTTTTGGCAAGTCCTGGTTGACTTTCTCTCTCTATACCTGTGAGATATCAAAAGTTTGGGTTAGCTTCTCAAGCAACTCATCATTATTTGCAAACATCCCCAGGGCAAAAGCAGTTCTGAAATGCTGGGCTTCTCTCTTCAGGTTCCCATCCTCTTTTGATTTTGCCCAGTAACTATTCACTTTCTTTTTAGTTCATTGATGTTTTTGATTAAATATTTTTCAATATATTGGTCAGATTTTTTATTGTCCTTTATGGAAAGATTACTTCCAGTTTTCTATCCAACATTCTCAGAGGAGAAAATCCACCTTAGAAACTTTGCACTTGTTCCCTCTTGTTGGAATGCTCTTTATCTAGAATACTACCTACTCAACTCCCTTACTCCTTCAAGTCTTTGAAGTCTCCTTCAAATGTCACCTTCTCAACATTGATCATCTAATTTAAAATTGTAGACTCCCAGCACTCTTGACCTCCTTAACATCTAGGTGTTCCAGAAAAATACAAGGTATTTTGTAGAAGCAAATAAATTTTTATCTGGAAGCGTATATTACCCTGGGCTTCAAATTATTTCTACTCTTTTTCATTGCATTTATTCCTTTCTAACATATAATTCACGTATTTATGATTTCATTGCTTATTTCTTTTCTTCCAGAATGTGAACTCCTCAATGGCAGGACATCTTTGTCTCTTCTGTTCACCAATAAGTCCCAGGGGTGTAGAACAGTGACTGGCACACACAGTAGATACACAAATATGTATTGAGTGGATGAATGGATGAATGAATCAAATAGCTATTTCATCTCAGAAAGTGGGCCTACAAAAGAAAAATTTCGGGCAGTACTGAATGCACATTTGAAATTGATAATTGTTAATTTAAAATAAAATTAATTAGTTTGTTTGAAAGAGTTTCTCCAACAATGTTTTGCTTCTCAGATACAAGTATGGAGAAAAATGGATGGTAAGGTCAATTTAGGGTTGAGGTCTTTTTTTTTTTTTTTTTTTTTGTAAGTGAACTGGTCACAGGAAGAGAGGAAGATTAAAAAAAGTGAAAGTATTAAAATGGCTTATAATATTAAATAATATGAGATAAGAGGTAAAGCCAGAATAAAGCTGATGAAGGTCAGTGATTTGGAAGTCCCAATGATGTGGATGTTGCACTAGTAGCACTAGAGAAATGAAGATGGTGGATAGGAGGTAGAGTTCTGAGTGTGGGACATTTGTAATTGAAATTTCTGACAGTTTCTGTTTTACTGGTGAAGGTAAAGTTAAGGAGCTTTCTGGGAGTGAATGATTGAATTGGAGTAGATGAGAACATCTTTGTAATTGAGGAGCTCAAAAAATGGAAAAGACAGAGATTTCTACATGAATTTTGAAATAGGCAAAAATTATGGAAGAAACATGAGGAAAGAACTATTATGATCCATGAGTTGACATCATCAATAAATAAGGAGAAATTACCAGAAAGCTGATAAAGTCAGTGAGAAGAATAATCAAGTGATATCATTTTATAAAATAATTTTCTAAAAAATGATATTGTATAGAGAGAGCAATGTTTAGAAAGTCTCAATTGAGAAGAAGGTGAACACATTCCAGAAGTTGAGTCTATTATTATTTACTTTATTATTTCAGATGTATAATTGTTTTTATTTTCATACAGACTCCTACAACTCTTCCAAGAGCAGCTGGTCGAGAAACCAAATATGTAAGTACCTTTATAATTATACACACTGCTTTTCAAATGGGTGCCTGTGTATGCTTTAGAGAGAACACTATTATACAGTAATTTAAATAGAATTAATTGTTTTTTTATAAGTTGAAGGGTAGGATGATATGATTGCAGATACAGAAAATCAGGTTATGTCAGAGATAAAACATCAGGTAAGCTTATCAAATAAATTTGTCCTTAAGTGAGGTCTAGTTGGATTAGTTTAGCTAAATAGAACTGCCACACCTGCTTCCTGATTTTCTAGTTATCAACACTTAGATGACATTTTCATTTTTGTAATGGTTTATTATGCTTATAGAATAGTCAACTCATATACTTGAAACATTAAGATTTGTCCATTTCTAATGGGATTGCCAGTTTAATCAACTTTGACTCTTTTGTTGCTTTCCTTCATTTAAATTATTAACAAATAAACCAATTTCCACTTATGAGCAAAAGTGGATAGATATAGTGGATAGATATAGACTCACATTCAATTCAAATAATTATGAGTAGCTGGCTCTGAGTGTGTTAGACATAAACCTGCATAGCCTCATCCCAAGGCCAGTGTTCACTCACCTAATAATTGTATTTTCCATCATGTGGTCAACTTCTGCTTCTGACCAAACGTATTCTAGTAGAAACAAGATTATCTCCTTAGTAAGTGTTTAGTGTTAAGTCTAAAACAAATTAGTAAACTATTCCATTTAAGTTACACATTTGTAGTTTTTATCATAATTATGAAGAGTAAATAGTTATTAAATGTGTATTTTGTGTCATATCATCATTGTAATTTTTACAGTTCTGCCTTCATTTGAATCTCCCCAAGGCAAGTAATAAACTGGGTGAAATTACTAAATTTTATCACATCCAGAAAATTATGTTTAGAGGATGTGGGTAGGAACACTGCTTAGAGCATTTCCTGGAAGTTTTGCTGTTATTTTTCATTATTATTGGAAGCCATTTGGAGTAATACTTAAAAAGAATGAAGGCATTAGTAGACTAGACCCGAGTTTAAAATCACAGTGTTGCTTTTAGATAACTGTCTGATTCTGGGAAAATTACTCACCATTTTACCTTTCTGTGCCTTTGTTTCTTCATCTATGAAATGGGGATACTAATAATTTTCTTATGTAAGATTTGTATTAGCTAATCTATGAAAAGCCCTTAATGGAATTCTGATACAAAGGAATTGCTCAATAACTAAAAGCTTTTCCTTTCCTTTCCCTTTTTCCTTTATTCATATCTCCTTTCTTCTCTTCCTCTTATCTATCTTTGGAAGACTAGAAATATCTTGATTTAATTGAGTTCCTTGAGTCGTTAGTGGGTACAAGAAAAGAAAGTTTCCTAAAGGTGTTTCTATACTTTTTGTGACTAATACATTTTACAAGAGCCAGACCCCCCAAAAAAGTTGCTGCAATTTTTGCTCTCTCTCCTTCTTCTTTTATCTACTCTTGCCTTTCAGCAAAATGTCTCTAATTAGATTAGTTTTCAATAGGTTCAAAGGGTTGATGTCATTATCCATTCCTCTCTGGGAGGGGTTAATTTGGTAGCAATTGAAATGATTCTGGAGCGGCTTCTTCAATCTCCATAGTTAGAAATTATTTCAAAGTATTATTTACTTTCAATCAACTATCAGATTTAATTAAAGTAGGTTAACTTTCATGCCCTTAATGTTGTGAGAGCCTTTAAGTCATTCAAAGCTAAGAATGAACCATCAAACAGGTTCAGTATAGGCTAGAACAAATATAAACTCTAATGCAGATAAGATTCTTGACCTTAATTAAAATTCGTTTCCTATGTAAGAAGCTTTGTTTTCACTTTATTTTACAACATGACATTTGAATTGTTGTTTGTGGCCACTAAAACACGTCCACGTCTTTTGGAAGACCATAAAGGATCATTTTACAATGAAAGGTCAAAACTAGTTTGGCGCCAACTCTCGGGTTAGTCATATTTGTACATATTTGGCTGTAGTTATTACAATTTACTAAGTGATGTCTGATACATTTAGTTTGAGGAGAAAAGATTAAATTTTAGAGCAGAAGTTCACTTTAGCTATAAGCTTTGGTCTTAAATGAACAAGAGCTTATCTTGTATGTCTTAAATACAATATGTTCTGTTTTTTTAAAAGAATGATACTGTAATATTTTCTTCTAAAAATTCTAATATTCATATTGACTGAGCTATGGGATGTCTCACTTTAAGTATGAGTTTACTAGCTATGATTTAATTAATTAATTTATCACTATATATTTCTCTCTTCTCCCATGAAAACTAAAAAGCAACTCTGAGAAGTCTATTTCTGAAACATTTCAATATTTCATCATCTGTCTTCAAACTTTGGAGAAAGTTGTCATCTTCAGAGTATATAACTGCTGGGATTCAGTGCGTCATTGACTTTGTAGATATTCTTAGATTAAACTCAAAAGCAGGGATCGTGCAGGTTACCAACTCCTATACTACAGAGAAGGTTGAATAAAGGGAAGACATAAATTAGAGCCAAGAAAAAAAAGTTTTGTTACACTTGAGGATATCCTGAACAAGTTAGTACTGACTACTGAAAATTCCTATTTCTGAGAGTTCTTTAAAAGTATAATGTATCTGATTACTACACGTTGTATGTCTCAAAACACCACTATGCATCCCATGGATATGTACAATTATTACTTGCCAATTAAAAAATAAAATTTAAAAGGTATAGTATATAATCTATGGATCAAGACTATACTAGTCACTATTTCTAGCTCTGTTATTCAGTTTTCCACCTCTATTCATTGATTCGACAAATATTTATTGAGTGTCTACAGAGTACCATTCACTGAGGAGTCACTGGGGTGCGAAGAGTGAACACAATGACAGTATGCCAATTTCTGAAGCATGTATTCCAATGATAAGACAGATAGTAAACAGTTAAAATAGTAAATGAGAAAGACACTTTATTGTAGAAATAGAGAGGAGGTAGCCAGAGAACCCATTGATGTTAAAACCAACTTACAAATTTGCTAGTTTTCTGTGTATTCATAGGTTTTCCAGTTTTCCTGGGATAATTATAATGGTTTAATAAAATAACAAGAAAGTGTATGGCTAATTCCACTTTATAGGCCTTTGTTGAAAGACTGACTTCTCTGGAAAAAAAAAAAGAAAAAAATAAACAAAGAAAATCAACTCAAAATAATGTTTCTTTCTTTGGGTCTTTATTGCACGTATTGTGACATTTCATACAGTCTGTTTTTTAGGATGAGCCAGGTGCAGTAAAAGCAACACTAATTCAGACTAATTAAAGTAAAGGTTTTCTCCAGTCCGTGGTCTTCTTAAAATGCAGGCTATTTTACAATAATTTAATTGAGATTCTTTTAAGTGTAATAGAATTGAAACTAGGCTAACAATATGTTGAATAGGGAGTGAGCCTTAGGTCACTAGCAGGGTTGGTTAATTTATCATTAATATTTCATTTGATTCTTTTAAAAAGATGCTGAATTCAACAATAATAATAACTAATATTTTGAGCTCTTACCTTGAAAATAAAGCTTGGCTATCTCATTTAAACCATATATCAAAGCTATGAGGTGGGTATTCTTATTTTAAAATCTCCATTATACAGAGTGGGAAAACAAGCCTCAGAAATCACAGAGCAGGCAAAACCCAACCCAGATTTTCTTCATGTCAAAGTTTCTGCCATTTGATACTTCTACATACTTGTAGAAGTATAAGTACATACTGGAAATAGTTTGCATTCTTTAAATATTTTATCCATTCATATTTATAGCCTGGGTCCAAATTATTTCTTCATGCCCAATAACCTTCAGCCTAAACTTAGAAGGAATAATTTCATATTTGGTCATATTAACATCTAAAATGATAGTGATTTGCTGTTTCCAGGGTTTTAAATCATGTGCTTAAATGTACATTAACTCATATCAGATAAGGTATAAGAGTTATTTCTTATGACACTCATTTTTAAACTTTATTTCCTTCGTGTAAATAAATTTCCTTTCTAAGCAAATTTTCATATTTTTATTTTGTGGGTACATAGTAGGTATGTATGGGGTACATGAGATATTTTGATATAGGAATGCAATGCATAATAATTACATCATGGAAAATGGGGTATCTGTCCCCTCAAGCTTTTATCCTTTATGTTACAAATAATCTGATTATACTCTTTTAGTTATTTTAAAATGTACAATTAAATTATTATTGACTATAGTCAATTATTATTGATTGTGCTATCAAATACCAGATCTTGTTAATTCTTTCTATTTTTTTTGTACTCGATAACCATCCCCACCTCCCCACCCCAAAGCAACCCCCACCATTCCCAGCCTCTGGTAACCATTCTTCTGCTCTCTATCTCCATGAGTTCAATTGTTTTGATTTTTGGATCCCACAAATAAGTGAGAACATGTGTTGTTTGTCCTTCTGTGCCTGGCTTATTTCATTTAACATAATGACCTCCAGTTCCATACATGTTGTAGCAAATGACAGGATCTCATTCTTTATAAAGGCTGAATAGTACTCCATTGTGTATAAGTACCATGTTTTCTTTATTCATTCATCTATTGAAGGACACTTAGGTTGCTTCTAAATCTTAGATATTGTGAACAGTGCTGTGGCAAACATGTGAGTGCAGATACCTCTTTAATATACTGATTTTCTTTCTTTTGGGTATATGACCAGCAGTGAAATTGTTGGATCATACATGGTAGCTCTTTCTTTTTCATTTTCTGAGGAACTTCCAAGTTGTTCTTTATAGTGGTCGTACTAATTGGTGGTGTACAGTCCCACCAACAGTATATGAGGGTTCCCTTTTCTCCACATGCTCATAAGCTTTCTTATTGCCTGTCTTTTGGATTAAACCCATTTTAACTGGGGTGAGATAATATCTCATTGTAGTTTTGATTAGCATTTATCTGATGATCAATGATGTTGAGCATCTTTTCATATGCTTGTTTGCCATTTGGATGTTTCCTTTTGAGAAATATCTATTGAAATCTTTTGCCGATTTTAAACTACAATTATAATACTTTATGATAGAGCTGTTTGAGCTCCTTATATATTCTGGTTATTAATCCCTTCTCAGATGGGTAGTTTGCAAATATTTTTTCCCATTCTGTGGATTATCCCTTCACTTTATTGATTGTTTCCTTTGCTGGGTAGAAGCTTTTTAACATGATGTGATCCCATTTGTCCATTTTTGCTTTGATTGCCGGTGCTTGTGGGGTATTACTGGAGAAATTTTTGCCCAGAAGAATGTCCTGGAAAGTTTTTCTGATGTTCTCTTGTAGCAGTCTCATAGTTTGAGGTCTTAGGTTTAAGTATTTAATTCATTCTGATTTGATTTTTACATATGGCAAGATATAGGGGGTCTAGTTTTATTCTTTTGCATATGGACACCCAGCTTCCCCAGCATCATTTATTGAAAAGACTATCTTTTCCTTATGTGTGTTCTTGCCACCTTTGTCAAAAATGAGTTCACTGTAAGTGAGCAAATTTGTTTCTGGGTTCTGTATTCTGTTCCATTGGTCTATGTGTCTGTTTTTATGCCAGTACCATGTTGTTTTGGTTACTATAGCTCTGTAGCAGAATTTGGAGTCAGATAATGACTCCTCCAGTTTTGTTCCTTTTTCTCGGGATAGCTTTGGTGATTCTGGGTCTTTTGTAGTTCCCTATAAATTTTAGGATTGTTTATTCTATTTTTGTGAAGAATGTCATTGGTATTTTGATAGGAATTGCTTTGAATCTGTAGTACTTTGGGTAGTATGGACATTATAACAATATTGATTCTTTAAATCCAAGAACATGGGATGTATTTCATTTTTTGTGTGTCCTCTTCAATTTCTTTCATCAGCATTTTATAGTTTTCATTGTAGAGATTTTTCACTTCTTCGGTTAAGTGAATTCCTAGGTTATTGCTTTTACTTGTGGCTATTAATGTACATGATAGTACTCTTTTGACTTCTTTTTTAGATTGTTCACTATTGGTATGTAGAAATGCTACTGATTTTTGTATGTTGATTTTGTATCCTGCACCTTTACTGAATTCATTGTTCAGTTCTAATAGTTTTTTGGTGGAGTAGTTAGGTTTTTCCAAATATAAGATAATGTCATCTGCAAACAAGGATAATTTGACTTCTTTCTTTCCAATTTAGGTGCCCTTTATTTTTTCTCTTGTCTGACTTCCAGTTATGTATTGAATAACAGTGGTGACAGTGGACATCCTTGTCGTCTTCCAGATCTTAAAAGAAAAGCTTTCAGGTTTTCCTCATTCTGTATGATTCTAGCTGTGGCTCTGTCATATATGGCTTTTATTATGTTTAGATATATTCCTTCTGTGCCCAGTTTTTTGAGAGTTTTTTAATCATGAAGGGATGTTGAATTTTATCAAATGCTTTTTCAGCATCAATGATGATATGGTTTTTGTCATTTATTTTGTTAATATGACATATCACATTGATTGATTTGCATATGTTAAACCATCATTGCATCCCTGGGATAAATCCTACTTGATCATGATGAAGGATCTTTTTAATGCACTGTTGAATTTGTTTTGCTAGCATTTTGTTGAGGATTTTTGCATCAATATTCATCAGAGATATTGGCCTGTGGTTTTCTTAGTTTGACGTATCTTTCTGGCTTTGGTATCAGGGTAATACTGGTCTCATTATAGAATGAGATTTGTAGTATTCCCTTCTCCTTTGTTTGTTTGTTTTTTTGAATAGCTTAAGTAGAATTGGTATTAATTCTTCTTTAAATGTTTCATAAAATTCAGCAGTGAAGCCACTGGGTCCCGGGCTTTGCTTTACTGGGAGACTTTTTATTACAACTTTGATTTCATTAGTTGTTATTGATCTGTTCAGGCATTGGATTTCTTCATGGTTCAGTCTTGATAGGTTGTATGTATCTAGGAATTTATCAATTTCCTCTAGATTTTCCAACATATTGGCATATAGTTGCTCATAGTACCTACTAATAATCCTTTAAATTTCTTTGGTTTTATTCCATGCTCCTGCATAGGAAGAATCAATATTGGGAAAATGGCCATACTGCCCAAAGTAATTTATAGATTCAATGCTATTCCCATTAAACTACCATTGACATTCTTCACAGAATTAGAAAAAAAAACGTAAAAGTTCATATGAAACCAAAAAAGAGCCTGTATAGACAAGACAATCCTAAGCAAAAAGAACAAAGCTGAAGGCATCATGCTACCCTACTTCAAACTATACTACAAGGCTACAGGAACCAAAACAGCATGGTACTAGTACAAAAACAGACACATAGACCAATGGAACAGAACAGAGATCTCAGAAATAAGACCACACATCTACAACTATCTGATCTTCAACAAACCTGACAAAAACAAGCAATGGGGAAAATATTCCCTATTTAATAAAAGGTGCTGGGAAAATTGGCTAGCCGTAAGCAGAAAATTGAAACTGGACCCCTTCCTCACACCTTATACAAAAATTAACTCAAGATGAATTAAAGACTTAAATGTAAAGCCTCTAACTATAAAAACCCTAGAAGAAAATCTAGGCAATACCATTCAGGACTGGCACAGGCAAAGATTTCATGACAAAAACATCAGAAGTAATTTCATCAAAAGCAAAAATTGACAAATGGGATCTAATTAACGAGCTTTTGCACAGCAAAATAAATTATCATCAGAGTGAACAGACAACCTAGAGAATGGGAGAAATTTTTACAATCTATCCATCTGACAAAGGTCTAATATCCAGAATCTACAAGGAACTTAAACAAATTTAAAAGAAAAAAACAAACAACCCCACTAAAAGGTGGACAAAGGACACAAACAGACAATTGTCAAAAGAAGACATTTAGGCAGCCAAGAAACATGAAAAAAAGCTTAACATCACAGATCATTAGAGAAACACAAATCAAAACCGCAATGAGATACCATCTCACACCAGTCAGAATGGGAATTATTAAAAAAGTCAAGAAACAACAGATGCTGGTGAGGCTGTGGAGAAATAGAAATGCTTTTACACTGTTGGTGGGAATGTAAATTACTTCAACCATTGTGGAAGACAGTGTGGTGATTCCTTAGAGACCTAGAACCAGAAATACCATTTCACCCAGCAATCCCATTACTGGGTATATACCCAAAGGAATATAAGTCATTCTGTTATAAAGACATATGCAAGTGTATGTTAATTGCAGCACTATTCACAATAGCAAAAAGATAGAATCAACCCAAATGCCCATCAGTGAGAGACTGGATGAAGAAAATGTGGTACATATACACCATGGAATACTATGTAGCCATATAAAGGAAAAAGATCATGTCTTTTGCGGGAACATGGATGGAGCTGGAAGCCATTAGCCTCAACAAACTAATACAGGAACAGAAAACCAAACACCACATATTCTCACATATAAGTGGGACCTGAACAATAAGAACACATAGACACGGGCAGGGTGGAGGGGAACAACACACATTGGGGCCTCTCGGGAGGGTAGGGAGAGGGAGAGCGTCAGGATAAACAGCTAATGCATGTGGGGCTTAATGCCTAAGTGATGGGTTGATAGGTGTAGAAACCACCAAAGCACACATTTACATGGGGAACTAATCTGCATGTCCTGCACATGTATCTTGAAACTTAAAATAAAATAAAATAATAAAAAAGTACATAAGGAAAAAAATTCTGTAGTTTCAGTTGTAATGTTTTCATTTTCATCTCTGATTTTATTCGTGTTTCTTCCCTTTTTTTCTTTATTAGTCTGCCTAAAGATTTGTCAATTTTCTTTCTTTTCAAAAACCACCTTTTTGTTTCATTGATCTTTTGAATTGCTTTCTTTGTTTCAAATTTATTTATTTCTGCTCTGATATTTATTATTTTTCTTCTACTAATTTTGGGTTTGGTTTGCTCTTGACTTTCTAGTTGTTTAAGGTGTTTTATTAGGTTATTCAAAGTTTGTTTTTTATGTAGGCACTTACAGCTATAAATTTTACTGCTTTGCTATATCCTGTAGGTTTTGGTATTTCGCATTTCCATTATCATTCGTTTAAAGAAATCTTTCAATTTCTTTCTTAATTTCTTCATTGACCCACTGGTCATTCAGGAGCATATTGTTTAATTTCCATGTGTTTGTATAGTTACCAAATTTCATGTTGTTATTGATTTCTAGCTTAATCTCCTGGTGGTCAGAGAAGATGCTTGATATTATTTTAATTTTTTGAATGTTTTAAGACTTGTTTTGTGACCTAACATACGGTCTATCCTTGAGAATGATCCATGTGCTAAGGAGAAGCATGTGTTGAAGCATGTATAGCTGTTGGATAAAATGTTCTGTAAATATCTATTAGGTCTATTTGGTCTATAGTGCAGATTAAGTCTGATGTTTCTCTGTTGATTTTCTGTCTGGGAGATCTGTCCAATACTAAAATTGGGGTGTTGAAGTCTCCAGCTATTATTGCATTGAGGTCTATGTCTCTCTTTAGCTCTAATAGTATTTGCTTTATATATCTGGGTGCTCCAGTGTTGGCTGCATGTAAGTTTGCAATCATTATAGCCTTTTGCTGAACTGACCCTTTTATCATTATATAATGACATTCTTTGTCTCTTCTTACAGTTTTTGTGTTGGTATCTATTGTGTCTGATCTAAGTATAGCTACTTGTGCTCTATTTTGGTTTTCATAGGCATGGAATATATCTTTTTTCCATCCCTTTATTTTCACTCTGTGAGTATGTTTATAGGCTAAGTGTGTTTCCTGTAGGCAACAGGTGATTGGGTTGTTTTTCATCCATTCAGCCACTCTATGACTTTTGATTGGACAGCTTAGTTCTCACACATTGAATGATATTATTGATAAGTAGGGACTTACCCCTGCCCTTTTGTTATTAGTTTTCTGGTTGTTTTGTGGTATCCTCTTTTTTCTTTTCCTTTTTCCTGTCTTTCTTTTCGTGAATGTGATTTTCTCTGGTTGTATGCTTTAATTTTTTGCTTTTTTATTTTTTGTGTATCTGTTGTATGGTTTTTAATTTGAGGTTACCATGAGGCTTGTAAATACTATCTTATTCATTATTTTAAACTGATGACAACACTTGACACTAATTGCATAAACAAACATGCAAAACGAAAACTAATAAAAACCCTACACTTTAACTTCATGTCCCTGCTTTTTAACTTTTTGTTGTTTTTTTATGTCTTATTATACTATGTCTTAGAAAGTTGTAATTATTATTTTTGACTGGTTCATCATTTAGTCTTTCTACTTAAAAGCAGTTTACATACCACAATTACAGTGTTATAATATTCTGTGTTTTTCTGTGTGCCTACTATTACCAGTGAGTTTTGTATCTTCTGATGATTTCTTCCTGCTCATTAACAGTCTTTTCTTTCAAATTGAAGAGCCCTCTTTAGCATTTCTTGTAGACAGGTCTGATGTTAATGAAATCCTTCAGCTTTTGTTTTCTGGGAAGGTCTTTATTTCTCTTTCATGCTTGGAGGATATTTTCACCAGATATACTATTCTTGGGTAAACTTTTTTGTTGTTGTTGTTTGTTTGTTTTTCCTTCAGCACTTTAAATATGCCATGTGACTATCTCCTGGCCTGTAATGTTTCCACTGAAAAGTCTGCTGCCAGACATATTGGAGCTCCATTGTGTGTTATTTGTTTCTTTTCTCTTTCTACTTTTATGATCCTTTCTTTATCCTTTACTTTTGGGAACTTGATTATTAAATGCCTTGAGGTCATCTTCCTTGGGTTAAATCTTCCTGGTGTTCTATAGCCTTCCTGTACTTGAATATTGATATCTTTCTCTAGGTTTGGGAAATTTCTGTTATTGTACCTTTGAACAAACTTTCTACTCCTATCTCCTACCTTTGTTTCTTTCTCTACCTCATCTTCAAGGCCAATAACTCTTTGATTTGCCCTTTTGAGGCTATTTTCTAAATATGGAAGGTGTGCTTCATTGTTTTTTATTCTTTTTTGTCTCCTCTGACTTTGCACATTTTCAAATTACCTGCCTTTGAGCTTATTAATTCTTTCTTCTTCTTGGTCAGTTTTGCTATTAAAGGACTCTGATGCATTCTGCAGTATGCCAATTGCATTTTGCAGCTCCAGTATTTCTGCTTGATTTTGTTTTAATTATTTCAATCTCTTTGTTAAATTTATCTAATGGAATTCTAAATTCCTTCTCTGTGTTATCTTGAATTTCTTTGAGTAGTCTCAACACAGCTATTTTGAATTCTCTGTCTGAGAGGTCACATATCCCTGTTCTTCCATGATTGGTTTCTGGTGCCTTATTTAGTTTGTTTTATGCGGTTATGTTTTTCTGGATGATCTTGATGCTTGTGGATGTTTGTCAGTGTCTCAACATTGAAGAGTTAGGTATTTTTTGTAGTCTAGACAGTCTGGGCTTGCTTATGCCTGTCTTTGAATTATCAGGCAGAGACTTTTGGTTTCTTCCCTTACTTTCTCTCAGAGAAATGAAGTCTCTCTCTCTGTACTGAGCTGCCTGGAACTGGGGGTGAGATGCATGCACCCCTGTGGCAAGTTCCCCCAGGCCCTCCGCGGTTCCACAAATGTTGTCTGGGAGACAGGGTTTAGAGTCAAAAACCTTAGAAATTTAACTGATGTTCTATTTCTCTGAAGCTAAGCTAGCACTCAAGCCACAATACAAAGTTCTTTCTGCTCTTCCCTCCCCTTTCCACAGGCAAAAGAGCCTCTCCCTGTGGCCACCAACACCACCAGCACATGGGCTGGGGCGGTGGTCTGCTGGGCCACCACTGATGTTCACTAAAAGCCCAAGGGCTCTTTAGTCAGCGTGTGGGAAATACTTCCAGGCCAGGGACTCACCCTTCAGGCAATGGGCTCCCTTCTGGCCCAGGGCTGGTCCAGAAATGATGTCTAAGAGCCTATGCCTGGATTCAGGGACCTCAAAAGCCTGTTTGTTGCTCTACCTCCCTGTGATCAAGCTGGTACCTAAGGTGCAAGACAAAGTTCCCTTTACTTTTCCCTATGCTTTTCTCAGACAGAAGGAGTCTGTCACTATAGCCACCACAGCTGAGAACGTGATGGGTCATACCTGAAGTCAGCCCATCTCAGAGCCTAAGGCCCATGGTGTACTACGTGGGTATCATTGCTGGTTATTCACTACCCAACGGCTCTTTAGTCAGCAAGTGATGAGTCCTGCCAGGACTGGTCTTTCCCTTCAAGGCAGCGGGTTCTCTTTTTGCCCAGGATATGCCTAGAAACATCATGAGCCAGGGCCTGTAATGGGGGCATCATAGCTCTGCCTAGTGCTCTATCCAATTGTGGATGAGCTGATCTCCAGGATGTAAGACAAAGTCCTCTTTACTCTTCATTCTCCTCTCCTTAAGCAGAAGCAAGGAGTCACTTTTGTTGCTGCGAGCAGCACTGTCTGGAGTTGGGGAAGAAATAGCACAAGTACTCCCTTTGCCATGCCAGCTGATGTCTCCCTAGGTCATGTACCACCCTAGTCTACTGGCTCTGAGCTCAGTGCAGTACTAGGAGTTGCCTAGGAATTGCAGTCCTTATGTCCTAGACTTTCCTCCGTTTGCCTAGAATCCCAGAGCACTTTTGCCTATGGTGGTGAGCCTTTCCAAGAGAGTCAACTTCCAGCTGCTGGGATGGGCAGTTCCCCTCTGTATAGGCCTACTCCAAATGCTCTCTCCATCTGTGGGCACTGGCTGAGCCCAACATAGTTTTGCTTTCTGCTGTTACAAGGCAGCACTGAGTTCAATGTAATGTCCCCCAGTTGCTGTGCTCTTCCTTTCCCAAGTGCACAGACTCTCTGTGCTGCATGGTCACTACTGGGGAGTAGGGGGAAGGGTGACATTAACAATTCAAGACTGTCTCTCCAACCCCCTTCAATGCCTCTTTCAGCAATATGAAGTTAAAACTAGGTACTATGATTGCTCACCTAATTTGCTTCTTGAGAGGGTGGTTTTCTATGTGTAGATAGTTGCTAAAATGTGGTGTTCCTGCGGGAGGTACGAACACTGTAAGTTTTTATTCTACCATCTTGCTCCACCCCTCAGGGATGAATTATCTATTAACATTCTATTTCATTCTATTTTCATTCTATGAACTTTGTAGAGGGAATTTTTTGTCTTTGCATTATATGTGCCCTTCTAAATGTTTATCATTTTTTACTAACTACCAGTATAAATTCATCACATTTATATAATTCAAAACCATAGTATGCTTTCTTAATAAAGAATAACCTCTGAAAATAGGGTAGTATTTGGTCCTATTACTAATGCATCAAAAAACTCTTAGTTGGAATCACATTCTATTGATAACAACTTATTTTATAAATCCTCTACATTTTATAAATTACTTTTAAGTGCAGAGGAAATATCTGAGATGGAATTATTAAATATTAGATAGCATACAGGTAAGATCTCATTTTAGTGAGCTTGAGAGACAGAAAAATGTCATTACAATGGAAGCATATTCCTTCCAAAATATCAGAGTATATTGAAAAATGTGTCAAACTTTATTAATAATATTTTCCACTATATATACAGATATTCAAATAAAGGTCATCCCAATTTCGCCAGCTCACACACTCTTCTTGTTGTTATGCTTGGAAACGTTGCTATGCTGGAGTGTTTCAGAGGTGATGTGCAATAATGCAGTCATAGATCTTAGGACGAGAGGTGAATTACTCCAAATCAGGTCCAGATCTGCTTCAAGGTAGGATGATGCCAGAGATTTGATGAGTTTTAGGAAGAACTGGCAACAATTTAAGCAAGAAATTCCACTAGACTGATCATTACTTATTTCATTTTATATTTGTTCAGAAATATTTCTGCATTCTGCTAGATGAGGAGGCAGAGAAGAGATTGAATGAGACAAACCTTCTGCTTTGTATCCTTTTCCTTGCCATTTTAGATTTCATCAAATGGGAAGGTGCCTTATTTCAGACAAACTTCTGCTTGATCTGATCTTTTATTTCCCTATTTGTACATATAAACTATGACTTTTACTGATCACCTATGCCCACTTGTTCCGTCTACCAACTATGTTCATGACAAGTTAGAATCATCATTCCCTATCTTAAAGAATCAAACTTAAAAAAATTTCTATATCTACTCTTTATATTAGATATTATGAGGGGCGTATTACTAACTTAGAAATGGTCTTTAGTGAGATATTTAGACAGGGTAAGTTTTTTTTTTTTTTTTTTTTGAGACAGAGTCTCTCTCTGTTACCAGGCTGGAGTGCAGTGGCGCGATCGTGACTCACTGCAACCTCCGACTCTTAGACAGTGTAAGTTCCATCGATAGTAAGAATAAGCAGTTCAAAGTAAGGAAGGCATGATGTGTCATAATTTATCTCATGGCCTTGGCGTCTAACATTTTCAACATGGATTCATTGTTTTGACCAGTGCCTTATGTACAAACAATAAGAACACTCTCCAGGTTAAGAGTAAGACAGAGTCTTTATCATTTTATAATTTTATATGTCCTCAATGCCAAGCTTAGCACTCAGTAATAACTAAGTGCCCAATTCTTATTTTGAGTGTTGTCTTTCTGCTTAGCTGTACATCAGTCTTGAGGGGGAGAAATAACATAATTCAATTAGCACATTATCATGGATTAGAGCTCTTGAACTTTGAGAAAGGAAGATTCAGGACAGTTAGAGTCAACAGAGAAAAAGGGAAAAGAAGCATCTTAACGGTATCAAACCTGACATTATATTCAGGTGGAAGGGACATGACTACTGAAAGGCAAAAAAAGCATGCTAAAAGTAGAGTACCAGAGTACAGAAAGAAAAGGCAACTGTTTAACACTTTTTATCTAATGCAACTTGATTTTTGCCCCAGGCCCCCAAGATGGTGTCTGTTAGAGTGATGCCGACCAAAGGGATACCTGTCATGAATGTGAAATGCTGCAGATTGCAAGGAATGGAAAACCTAGATGATGGATAAGGAGCTTGGCTGTTCTTTGTTTGCCTTTGGCATCAAGTCTTTGGGAGATGAAAAGGTTTCTCCAAAGCTGGCTTTGGGCAAGTGGTGCCTTGTGTAGGAATTTGTCTTTCAATGGATTTCAAATCCTTACCTTTACTTGGTCTTTAACTCTTTTAGTTTCTATATAACTTAATTATTTAATTTATTTTTTTGAAATAAATTTTTTTTACCTTCATAATTTTTTGACTGCTCTATTAGTTTTTTAAGTTTCTTTTTTTGAAGGATGCAGTAATGGCTAAAGCCCATCTCTCTCTTTCTCTCATTATTTTTTCTTATATGATTAAAACAATGTCAAAGGCTGTAGAATATGGATTACGAATTTTTATTTCACACAAGAGCCATTCTTATACTCATCTCAAATGTTACTCTTCCCAGTTGGTGTAAAACTGGAGCGATATGAATGATCAAAATTTTAATGTTGTTCAAATCCAATTTCAAATTTATTTTTAGGTACTTCAAGTTTCTTCTCCACCTTTATTCAGGTGATGCAGGTGTTCAAATGTAGCAACCTTTTCCCATCATCTGCTTAGTTCACCACACAGTATCTCCTCACATTTTGGAAAATAATTGCTACAATATTGATGACATAATTATAGCTATAACTTCTAATAAACAGCATTAACCTGTATTAGACATGCACAGGGTGGCTTCTCAAAGGATTGGATGTAATTGGATTCATTGAAAAAACCTGGTTACTTTAGTGATAAAACATATAAGTCACTATTCTTCCTCTTTGCTAAGGACAAATCTGTAATAGTATTATGCATATCCACTCCACATTGTGGTTTACATTTAATTTTGCACTTTCTCTGGGAAGTTTCTGATAGCAGTGATACGGAGTTCATAATACTGGATGAAATAAAAATGTCTGGGGGTGTCTAAAGCATCTTATTATTATGTCATGATTCCCAATGAAGGAATTTGGGGGATTTATAGAGATTGGATAAAAAGATATTTAGATTTTTTCCTAATTTAATTAATATGTTTGAGCCTTTTCTCTCTTTTCCCCATGATAATAATTTGGAATTATTTAGTACAATATACTAAAAAATATTAGTAATACAAATTGTAAAGTGAAACTTTATTGTTAATATGTAACTTCTTTCCTATAATTATTGAGGTAGAAATTTAGCCTTTTTTTTCAGTTATGATGCATTTAATTCAGCATATTTCACAGAAGCTATTCATTTAACTTAGGGGATCAATAGAGAATGCTTTCATTATTGCAATAAGAAAAAATTGTTAAATGGTATAAAACCTAAGATTTTAGAAGAAATCATTATTATTACCTATATTCCATTATGAGGTTAATAATGAAAACTTAGGTGAACTGACAAAAACACCATGATGGATATTCTGAAGGGTAATTTTCCTAAACCTCAGTGCACACTAACCTGGCCCACAGCAATTAGAGAAGCGGAGCACTTAGCCAAGACACCCTACTGCCATCAAGCAACCAGGAATGGCAGCAAGCAGTGGTACCTGTAAAGAATGACATGAGTCAAAACCCAGAAAACAAACATTGTTAGACACTGTGTACAAAGGACTTCATCATTTGTACACAAAGCCTCATCATTGTTTGGTGATTCATACTCCTATATACTTGGTGATAACATGGAACCATGAGGCTTTCAGTTTTCAGTTATTGTTGATCTCTCAGAGATTAAAACAATAATGATACATCAAAATAAGCTCTGAAATATTTGCAATTTCAAAAATAGAAATATTTTAGGAACATAACTTATTGTATTTTAGCCAAGCATATTTATAATTATTCATCTGTATGCTGACCAGTTCCTGTCAAAATGGAAGGCTAAGCTGGTGTGAAAGTTTAGCCTCCCATGTAAATGCAGAAATGCTCGATAAAACATAAGTAATCCCTGGATGCCATAAATGAAGTGGGACTTCCAAGTTTGTATTAGCCCATTTTCATACTGCTATAAAGAACTGTCTGAGACTGGGTAATTTATAAAGAAAAGAGGTTTAATTGAGTCGCAGTTCTGCATGGCTTGGGAAGCCTCAGGAAACTTATAATCATGGGAGAAAATGAAGGAGAAGCAAGGACTTTCTTCACATGGTGGCGAGAGAGAGAAGTGTAGGCAAGAGCAAACAACCCCTTATAAAAACCATCAGCTTTTGTGAGAACTCACTCTCCATCATGAGATCAGCATGGGGGAACTGCCCTCATGATCCAATCACTTCCCACCAGTTCCTGCCCTCAACATGTGGGGATTATGTGGATTATAATTCAAGATACGATTTGGGTGGGGACACAAAGCCTGACCATATCAAGGTTAGAATACTAAAAAGAACCTAAAGTTCTTGTAGAACATGTGTGCATCAGACCCTAGGTGCCAGGACCCGAGAGCTTAGGTTCTAACTTTCACTGTGTAACAAGTTTAAGACCTATATGGGAATCTATTGCATAATTCTATAACCTACAAGGCCATATTGACCATGAAGCATGAAAAAGAAAAAAGATAATTTAAAAAATAATCCCTACCCTACATTCTTGGGTGATAAGAAAAAGTCACCCATGAGAAAACAGGACTCCAAACCTATGACAGTGTGGGGATTATGTGATAATGTGGGGATCTGCCATCTAGAGATTTAGGAAAATCAGGATGAGGCAATAAAATGGTAACTGGTCCAGAACCTGTGCAACTCCTAAGGCCCCCATGAGGGCAAATGTACTGCAGGGATGGTTTCTAAACCAGGGCTTCTTGGATATCTAAAGAAATCCAAATTACCAAAATTACTCAAAATAGAAAATAAAAAGCACACAAAATAACTAAAGAACATCATGAGGGAGGGACATGACAGAGAATCAGCAAATACAAGCAACATGGTATTTAACGAGGGGGGACTATAACAAATCTGGAAAAATACCATATAAATATATTTAAAACATTAAACATTATAACGTGTTATAGATATTATAAGATAAGCTTTGAAAAAGAACCAAGTAAAACTTCTAGAAGTGAAAAGTCAATTATTAAGACGTTAACTTCAATTGCCATGTTAAACATACTAACATGCAGTTAAAGAAAAATAAGTTAACTATCAGGCTTATATGCAAAAACCATCCAGAATACAGTATAAAGTGACAAAAATATAAAAACGAGTTTGAGATAAATGGGAGAGGATTTCAGAAGGCCCAAAATACAGTCATGCTTTGCTTAACTATAGGGAGATGGTCTGAAAAACACATCACTAGGTGATTTCATCATTATGTGAGCATCAAAGTGTATATACCAAGACCATCCTGGCCAACATGGTGAAACCCCATCTCTAATTAAAAAAATACAAAAAATTAGCCAGGTGTGGCAGCACGCGCCTGTACTCTCAGGTATTCCGGAGGCTGAGCCAGCGGAATCACTTGAAACTGGGAGGCAGAGGTTGCAGTGAGCCGAGATTGCACCACTGCAATCCAGCCTGGTGACAGAGGGAGACTCCGTCTCAAATTAAAAAAATGTATATACATTAACCTAGTTGGTATAGCCCACTAATAGTATTTATGTATCTAAACATAGAAAAGGCATGGTAAAAATACAGTGTAAAAGATAAAAAGTGGTACATCTGTATAGTGCACTTGCCATGAATGGAGCCTGCAGGACTGGAGGTTTCTCTGGGTGAATCAATGAGTTAGTGGTGAGTGAATGTGAAGAACTAAGGTTATTACTGTACACTACTGTAGACTTTTAGCTACATTAAGTTTATGTTTTTCTTTCTTCAACAATAAATTAACCTTAGCTTACTGTAGGTTTTTTATTTTATAAACTTTTTAATTTTTAAAACTTTTTGACTCTTTTGTAGGAACATGTAGCTTGAAACACAAATGCATTTTACAGCTGTCCAAAAATATTTTTTACACTCTTATTCTATAAGTTTTTTCTATTTCAAATTTTTATTTTTTATTTATTATACTCTTTAAGCTTTTTTTGTTAAACACCAAGACACAAACATACACATTAGCTTAGGCCTACACAGAGTCAAGATAATTAAGACGTTACTAGGTGACAGGAATATTTTTGGCTCCACTATAGTCTTATGGGACCCCTGTCATACATGAGGTCCATCATCAACTGAAACATCATTGTGTGGCACATTACTATATATTTAATAGAAGATCAATAACTAGAGCTTAGATATAATGGGAGAAAGGCAGCATTTGAAGAGATAGTCATGTAGGATTTTTCAGAAGATATGCATACTCAGAATAAAAGAACATACCAAGACCCCCAAAACACAAGAAAAAGAAATCTACACCAAGGCACATCATAGTGAAATTACAGAATATCACGGAGGTAAACTTTAAATGTTAATCAAATTTGAAGACAGAAGATCCTCCAAGTTACAACATTTATGCCAACAACAACAAAAGCCAGAGTCTGTGGGACAGCATCTGCAAAAGACAGAAATGCTACTACCCTGGAATTCTGCGTCCAGTTGGACTGTCACTCAAGAATGAGAACATGATAAAAACATTTTCAGACAACATCCAAGACAGTAAGGCCTGAAAAAACCACAAAAACCTTTACTTTAGTAAGAAGGAAACTAGGGAGCAGGGGGAAATGGGAAGTTACTAATCAACATGAAGTTTCAGTTAAACAAGATGAATAAATTCTAGACATTTGCCATACAACATTGCACCTATAGCCAACAATACTGTATTATGCACTTACAAACATGTTCAAATTACAGATTTCATGTTAAATGTTCTTACGACAATAACATTTTTAAAAATGAAAGAAACTAAATCCAGATGAAAGGGTTGAAATATAGGAGCCAATGACAAACAATATTAATCTGCTCTTTAATTTAAACAATTCTAAAAACCAAGTCATTTTTATTCTCAAATCATAAAAACTTTGTTATGCTTTTCTTTTTATATAACAATACTTTAAAGAAATATCTGTTATTTGTTTCAATTTGCTTTAAATAAATAGAAATAGCAACGATGCTGGTATGTTTGATTAAAATGTGAAGAATACAAAGAATGAAATGTTAGGTAACCTTGAAGAAGTTTTGATGTCATGATATAATGCTTATGTTAAGAAAATGAGAAAGAAAAGCAGCATATAAACATCATATTCACTATTATGTAGGCTGAATAAAAATACATAGGAAAAATATTTATGGCTATGTACCAAAAATATTAAAAATCATTTCTTTGGTGGCATAAGGATATTTTTCCTTTTCTTTATACTTTTCAAAATCCTATCATGGACATATAATAATAAACAAACTTCAAAATACTTAAACACATACATATTTTAATAAATTATGAGTTTCACTAATAAATGCCATGTTTATGTTTTGCAGGCAAATCTCTCCTCACCATCTTCTACAGTATCTGAGAGTCAGCTGGTATGTATCTTCTAAGTCACAGATCTACTGCAAATTCTGATCTCTCAAGAGAGCTTTACCTGAGTAAAAGTGAAAAAAAGAATACATTTACTATATATATTTTTATTCACTTACTTGTCTAATAACATTTTACTGATATTTTCCAAAAGCTCCATGGTGGTTGTTTTGCAGGTGACAAACATACGTAAAACTATACATAGACCTTACTTGCTAGTAACTTACATCCAAGTAGAGGCATTAGAAGAGATTGTGAGGTCAGATGAAAGATGCCATTAGAATTTAGAGAAGAGAGCACACTCTTTAAAGGAAGAGATCTAAAAAGAGTTTAAGGAGAAGGTCATGATTGAGTAGGATAGTTTTTGGATTTGAGGAAATAAGAAATAGATATGTCACACAGGAGAATTAGCATGCAAATGGTCTAGATCAGTGCTGAGCAATACAAACACAACGTGAATGACAAATGTAAGCCACATATGTAATTTTAAAACTTCTAGTACCCATATTAAAAAAGTAAAATGGAACAGGTAATGTTAATTTTCATAAAATATTTTATTTAATGTTATATAAATATTATCATTTCAATGGATAAGCAGTATAAAAATTGAGATATTTTTACATTACTTTTTTTGGGAAAAGTCTTTGAACTATTGCATATTTTACATTTACAGCAAATCTCAATTCTGCCTAGTCACAAGAGCTCAACAGTGGGGACTACATTGGGCAGCACAGATCCAGACTCTAAAATCTGTTATTTGAAGATAAAATTTGATTAAATGAGAGAATTATTTTATCTTATAGAGTTTTGTATTTCTTATGCTTACAGTGGTTACCAAATTGAAGTCATGAAATAAGTTTCCGAGATATTACTGGTCAAAGATTTTCTTTTTTTTTTTTTTTTTGAGACGGAGTCTCGCTCTGTCGGCGAGGCTAGAGTGCAGTGGTGCGATCTCGGCTCACTGCAAGCTCCGCCTCCCGGGTTCACGCCATTCTCCTGCCTCAGCCTCCCGAGTAGCTGGGACTACAGGCGCCCGCCACCGAGCCCGGCTAATTTTTTGTATTTTTAGTAGAGATGGGGTTTCACCATTTAAGCCAGGATGGTCTCGATCTCCTGACCTCGTGATCCACCCGCCTCGACCTCCCAAAGTGCTGGGATTACAGGTGTGAGCCATCGCGCCCGGCCAAAGATTTTCTTAATATCTTTGGCTATTTATTGTCTAAAATTGTAAATTCCTGAATAATAGATATCTTCACTAAAATGATGGAAATTTCTAGTAAAACAGTTTGAAACATTAACTGATAATCCCCTTTTAAAGAAATTGTTTTGGTATCCTATAGCCACAGCCAACAAATCATCTTGTCATTATTATCCCAATAAAAATAATTACAATATATTTATTTGTAATACTGAGAAATCATAAAAAGTGTTGTTTGACTTTTAAAATAGCTTGATTCAATCAATCCACTTGGGTATACTGGTGTTTATACATATAGTGTGTATATGGCATGTGTTTGAATATGTGTGTGCATTAGTGTCAATTGGTTTAGAACAGTGTGTGTGTGGGGGGGCAATATAGTATAGTTGAAAGAATCTGGGATGAGTATCAGAAGACCCACCTTATACTTCCTGCTCTGACATTAACTAGTGGTCTGACAGTGGGTAAGTCAAAAGTCCGGGAGTCTGGATTTCAATTTCTTAATTGAAAGTGAGAGCATTCTATTGCGTACTTTCCAAGCCCTTCCAGGGCTGTGAATCTATGGTTACTAACACAGTGAAGTTGAAGGAGTTGCCATGGAAACAAGCACTGCAATAACATAATGAGGTTGAATGACTTCCCACTTTAGATATGGAAATATTACTACAATTATTTTAGTATTTAAAATGATATATTTGTTTATTTAGAGTAATATATGGAAATGAATGTTTTAAACATTCTCATATATAGTTTCACTCAGTATAGTATATAAAATATAGATTTTAGGTGTTGGACTATATATACATGTGTAGGTGTGTATTTTACATACATGTAAGTTCTTGGTTTAATCCTTTAAGAAATTATTTCAAAGTGGCAAATATATATATGTGTATATATATATATAATGATTTTATAAAATAAGATATAGTAAAACAACTCTTTGTGAATGTAATAAAAAAAACTTACTTTTTGCCCAATAAAATAATCCTGTTGTTTGTGTTCTCTAGTGGCAAAACTACAAAGCATTGCTTTGAATGACTTTTATAATAATTTCTCTGCATTTACTTAAGTCCTTTTCTCTAAGGAGTTCAAGGCATTTCTTAACCAAGTTTTAAATTAAGTTTTAATCTCAAAATGCCCTTGAGATACAGGTAGGTTTGTGAAGGGATTATTATCAAGTAAGCATATCACATTAAAAAAAAATCTCTTCTACTGATATGTTTATTTTATTCAATAATTTTGGTTTCTATTTCATGTCGTTAGCCCTGTGTTTATATTAATACTACCCGAGAGTGAAATAAATAGTGGAAAATGATTGTATGTAAGACATATTATAGGACATGTACTTCACTAAGGAATTAGAATATTTTTACACTTAAGTAACACTATTTATAAAGTTATAATTTTTTCATTTTTATGAATGAATTTTCAATATTTGCCATCACGAACTCTTTAAGTTCTGAATAATATGAGTAAATAAGAATGTCTTTGATAAACAAAACTTTGATATATATATTTATATTTTTATATATGTATGTGTTTATAATATGCATACACATATAGATGACATATGAGGTAATTCTGATTGTTTATATATACACATCTTTGTTTATATGAGTAAATATGTATGGATGTATAACGCATAAAAACAAAGTTATTGGAAATGTATGATACTTTATAGTTGAATTATATAAACAAATATTTGTTTTGTGTAAAACAAACTAAATAGTTAAAATTATTTGACTCCTATTTTAGGAGGTAAATGTAGTAAATGTTTTGAACAGAAAATATATGACAAAGTGCTATGGTACCACAAGCTTAATGCAATTCTCAAATTGCTTTTGAGATTTAACTTTTTAACGATACATCATTTTTTCATGCTTTCAAATTTTTAACTTGGCTGATCTGTTTGCTTGCTTTTATTGCAAGTGTGCCAATTCAGAATTGAAAAGGAAAGAAGAAATAGAGCCATGACCCTTACTCTTAAAATATTTCCGTTGTTTACTCTGGAAGCCAAATGATTTAGAGGAGCTTGGGAGACTGTTTTGGAGGTTCATGTGAAGCTAGTTCACCAATCTTAGCTTCTCTTCTACTATTAAACTGCACTGCAGTCGATCAGAACTGGAAAGGAAATTAGAGATGAAAATATTGGAAATTCCCACCTATTCACTGGAGATTGGAATAACGACTCTGTCAGCCTGAAGGGATTATTGTGAGGCTCACATATCATAAAATGTGGAGTTGTCAGTATACTCCTATGGATAGGGAGAGGTTATTTTTGCACATAAAATCTGTGAATGATGAAGAGATATTATGAGCAGCCATTTTTACAGAAAAAGAAAGAAATGCTTATGTAGTTAAATAGATTATCTAGGATCACCAGCATTAGTGTTCATCCTTGCTTTATGTAGTTTTGGAAAATGAATCATTAATATTGATTTTAGATAATTCAAGGAAAATAAGAAAAGAGTAATTAAGGAGTTTGGAAACAGGGCCTCACTGGAAGCATTACTTTCACTGGGTACCTCCTGTGTCTGACTCTGCCTCGTGTTTTTGCACTGCCTGGAAAATGTGAGTACTTACCTAAGAGGAGACTGGGTAGGGTCAGTTAGAGTACTGAAGTTTTCACAGCTGTGAATAGTGCTTCCTGTAGCATATTAAAAGGAGCAAGAGGAAAGGAAAGATCTAGGGTCTGCGTTAAACCTTCACAAAGCTTTCCTAGCTGTTGAGCTGAATCATCACAAAGATATTAACAAAGGCCAGCGGGGTCTTTTTCCCTGCATAAGATAACACACAAGTTAGGCACCCCAAGGTAGCTAAACCCTGGTCTTCTTTGGCAGTAGGGGAGCCTGGTTTAGATGACATTTGCCTTTTGCTTTTGAAATTTCATGCCGTTACAAAATGTTCACTGTTGTCCAGGATGGAATACTTAATCTAAAGAGCACAAAACAATAGATTTTAAAAATAAGTCACATGGCTATATACAGGTAAAAGCAAGATGCTATTTACTGGAACACTATTAAGAAGAGTGCTTAAACTTGCAAATACTTTGTTCCTAGTTCTGAATGCCAGCTGATGCATCCAGCTTTAGCGGTGGGTGCATGACTCATCTTTCTGAGGGCCCTTTTAAGGCCTCTGTTGTTCAGAAAATGCAGCCCTGAAAGCTTTTATGTAGAACCGATGTCTCCTTCAAGCTCAAAGGCAGTTTCTCCTTGACCAGTTTTTCCTTGACATAACGTACTTAAGTGCCACAGCATTTATCAGGTACGCCTCCTCAGGTTTGAGTCATGCTATCATCTTTTATTTAACCATTGAAATATTTCAATCTGGCCAATCTGTATTGTGTATATTTCATGAAATGGTTCTTGAGCCATGAGATACTGCCAATAATTATTGAGGTCTTATGTGCCTTTATTTTTATACAACTATTGTAATCATTATAAAACTTTTTTTTGGAAAAACACATCAAGTAGGTACTTTTGTGAATGGTCTAGATCATTTAGAATCAACATGCCATATTTATAATTGCAAAGTATATATTCTGTTTTACTTTCAAATTTATTTTATGCTGTTTTTTCTTTATCAAGTTTTGTCATGCATATTATCTCATTAGGTTCTCGAATCACCTTGGAGTTAGTATGGCAGGAATTGTTATTTCCATTATTCTGATGAAAAAACTGAAGTTTAAATATCTAGAATGCCATGTCAATAGTTGCGTGGTAATAAGTGGTATAAAAATCTCTTTTGTTTTTTCCAATATTGGGAGCTTTACCCTATGCCATAGTGTTTTGAGATTTAAGATATTTGTTTGAGGGGAAAACATAGCTTGAGTATTTGCTTCAAGTATATAATAATGTTTGTTTAAAACAAGAATTAGGGTCTATAAATCTGTATTATCTGAATGAGTAAATCAGGTAAATAATCTAGAGAATATTGCTTTTGCCCACAATTTTGCCTGGTAGAATATATTGAGTTTGCACAAACTTTTTTGCCATGGAAATTCTAAAGGCAAAGAAAAAAGCACTGGAGAATGAAGACAAAACTGCAGCAAATGGGTCAAAAACAACCATGGCACTTTCACAAACTCTTTGAGCCCATAAAATTAGTAGAATTTCCAGCCAGACTCACAGAATTTGCTATATGTTGTTTTGTCACTTTCTTGCAGTTTTGTTACACATCTTATCTCTCCAGAAAGATTAAAATAAACTCTTGAAAGCTGGCACCCTGTCCTTTATTTCTTTTTTGCTTTATCACACCACCCGAGAGCTTATTACTATAGTCAAAGGCAATTAAAAAACATCAGTCCATTAGTGTTAGTTGAAGTTACTAGTTTAAGAAAGATTTTGCTGTAAAAACCCATTATTTAAAAATATTGGTCATGGATTCTCTAGGTCAGCGCTGGTAGTTAATCTCCAACTTTGGTCTCTAGCTCAGAGGCTGTACCAACTTGCTGTCATAGAATTATAAGTTCCAAAGGATGGAAATAGTATCTATTTACATAGTGCCCAAAGTGACAATGTTCAAGTATGAGTGTATACCTGATAGATTATAAACACAAATCAATAGCAGGCTTAGACGAGTGTCTTATAGCCCATTAAAACCTGCCACTGGGCTTCGGGGAGCCCATATATTCACTCCCTTGGATTTTTTTCTGTCCCCAAGACTAATGTTAGCATCAGATATAATATCCTCTTCTCCTCCCCACTCTCCACTCTTGAATTCTCTAAAAAAGATGACATCATTGTGTTTTGGTATTAAGAGTTTTATTGCATATCACCATGAACAGAGGGAGAAAAACAACAATTTATTTTAAATGAAGAAGATTAAAATCGTGTAAAGTCCCTAAAGAAGTGGCCTCTTTCCTTGACTTTCTGAAGATGAGAACTTTGGCTTTCTACTCTTTCTTCTGAGGGTGAAACTCACCAACCCACTTTCCTTCTTCTCATCCTCTATTGGAAAAATGCCATATGGCTCTTCTATCCCTCAAAGTTCCCTCTTTGTGAATTATATTGTGATCAAAAAGCCAATTCAAGAAAAATAATGGAAGACCTCAAGGAGTCAATCAGCACCTTTTTTTAAAAAAAAGAAGTTATTTTAAGTTCCAGGGTACATGTGCATGACGTGCAGGTTTGTTACATAGGTAAAAATGTGCCATGGTGATTTGCTGCACCTATCAAACCATCACTTCTGTATTAAGCCCAGCATGAATTAGCATATTTTCCTAATGCTTTCCCTCCTCGCCCACAACAGGCCTCTGTGTGTTGTTCCCTAACATGTGTTCATGAGTTCTCTTTGTTCGGCCCCCACTTATAGTGAGAACATGCAGTGTTGGGTTTTCTGTTCCTGCATTAGTTTGATGAGGATAATGGCTTCCAGCTCCATTCATGTCCCTGCAAATGACATGATCTCATTCCTTTTTATGGCTTCATAGTATTCCATGGTGTATATGTACCACATTTTCTTTATCTGGTCTATCATTGATGGGCACTTGGGTTGATTCCATGTCTTTGCATTGAATCAGTACCTCTTATAGACTCCATATTGAATTATAGTCAGCACACTGAGCTTCTGTCTGTCAATTAACTTATTCATTCTGCAAGTATTTATTGAGCACCAACCAGGTACAGGCACCATTCTAGATGTTGGAGATACAAGAGTGAATAAACCGAAGATCTCTGGTTTCACAGAACTTACATTCTAGTTGAGAAAGAAAGACAATAAACACAAACAGATGTCAGGTAGTGGTAACTGCTGTGGAGAAAATAAAGCAGGTAAGAGAGGTGGAGATTGCTATTTTATATGGCTCATTAAAAAGATCTGTCTGATAAGGTGATGTTTAAACGGACATTTGAAAAACTGAAAAAGAAGGAATAAGGGAGTTCCAGACAAGGGAAGAGCAAATACAAACTCCTAGAGGAGGCAGTATCATATAATGTGTAAGCTAGAGTAGAAACAGTGAAGGGGTGGAAGGGAGAGTACTAGGAAATAAGATTGGAAAAAGAGAGGCTGGTTAGGGATATGAAAGATCAGGTCATACAGCACCCTTGTAGGCATTGCTTTGTAGGCACTACCAGGGCTTTGAACTTTACTCTCAGTAAAAAGGTGAGGCATTAGAGAGCTTTCAGAGGAGAGTTGACATGACTTGATGTAGAACTGACGGACATCATTTAGGAGATGAGTGACATGACTCGACTTATACTGTGGTTATCTTATGATTTATTCAACAGGATTGTGAACCCTCTGAAAACAGGGGGTATGTCTTTTTTTTATCTCTATAGACACTATAGTTCCTGACACAGACTAGATCTTAACTGGCAAAATGTCTCCAGTGAACATCTGGTAGAGGTGTGTTTCAGAGTTGCAAAACAGCTATTTGTCTTTCAGGCACTTCAAAAATGTCTATACCCAGTGTAAATCAGTTCTCAGTACATTCATGAATTGATATTTTCGATTTGGAGAATCTTCTCATTTTTTTTCTTGTGCCCTTTGTGCTGGCTATGAGAGTCATTACATTTTTTATTTTTCCACATAGGCTGGAAAGAAAATTACAAAACTGCTTTTTCTGGCATCATTAGACGGCCATTTGCACCTATCAATCATGAGTCTGACTATTCTATGGATTCTATAGTAGATAAAAATGAAAGAAGGGCCTCTTAAGGCTAGTTTAGTTGTAATATTGCTGAACAATGACAATCTTACAGTAGTTCAGTTTTATAGACTCCCCTAACTTGATAGATCTAATTTCCTCTGTGTTTGTTTGGACACAGATGTAACAAATTAAATTGTTCAGAATTAGAGAAGTTGTTCAAGAGAACCTTTACTTGAAGTCCAAAGGTATCAGCAAAGATCACTACACACAAAGTTGCAATGTAGATGAGGAATTAATAAAGCATAGTCTGTTTTAAAGCCTCTCCTTCAGTCTGGAGACAGAAGACAAGGCCAAATGGGTGTCTCTGGAATGATAGACTTAGAAAGATCTATCTCTACATGAGCAGCACATTTTAATGTATTGAGTTCAAGTCTAGTGTCTTTCAACTTTTAATGTGTACATGAATCGCTTAGGGATTTGTAAAAATGCAGATTCGGATTCAGTAGGCTTAGGTCGGGCACTGAGCTTTGGCACTCATAACAGGTTCTCAGGTGATGCTGATACTGGTCTACAGCCTTCATTCTAAGGGTCAAAGTGCTAGCAGACAATGTCTTAATTGGATAGAACATTAGTTAACTTTCTGTTGCAAATGTAGATTGCATCACCATTTGACATTGTGAAACAAGGTATGAGGAAGAATTGAGGGGAAGTTAACTAATATTCCAAGAGAGACTTATGTGTGATGGCAACAGTGCCAGTTGCTTCACATATGCTGTTTTATAGACTTTCTAAGTGGCACTTTGAGACCCTTGTTTGGGTGATGGGTTTGAATATGCAGAAACAAGCCCTTTGCTGTAACTCTGTGTGGTATAATTCCTGAGGGGTCGGAAAGGTAAGTAATAAAGTGTGTCATTACCCATTATTAAAGGACATAGTCATGTATTAGAATTACAACCCTTCAACAGAAGGTCTACACAGGTTGAATGGCTTTTCCAAGGTAATACAGTTTATTAACAACATTGCAAAAACTAAAATCTATGTCCATGTTTCTCTCCTTCTACAATATTATGCTACTTCATGAGAGTAAATTTTTAACCAAATCCAGAGACACAGTGGGAATTTGATGTCTTGGCCATGCAAATTATGGAGTATTTTAGGAGGTGGTGAAGAGGTGTGTGTGTCTGTGTGTGTGTGTGTGTATATGTGTGTGTGTGTTTGTGTGTGTGTGAAGAGAGTGGATGTGTGGATGTGTACAGTCACCAGGAACTGAAAACATTAGATAACATTAGGTCCTAAATGTTCTGAGAATATTTAGGATGGCTAATGAAAAGAAAGTAAAATGGCATAGAATGAGTTAGCAATGGCCAAAATCAAGGATGAGACAGTTGACAGTGGAAATAAAACAGAGAAACAATAAATTTTAAAGGAATAAAACATATAAAAACTACAGGAGCTTTGTTTTTGATTAGACAGGATAAGTTACAGAGAGGTGGATATTTAACAAAGATTTCAAACTTCTATCTATTCTATGATGTCTCTCTTCCTCCCTGGAATCGGCATAGAAGTGATAAAAATCACAGGCATGATGATCACACCAAACATGGATTTAAACCTTAACATATTAACTGCATGACTTTGGCATGTGACTTATTACCTTTAAAACTCCCAAAGAATTTACAAGAAATTGATGAGATGATCTATCTAAAATATTGAGTTCAGTTTTTGATTCTATATTGATAGAATATAGAATCTGTGTCTATGAGACAATGACAATGTTATTAGCTGCAATGGGTCCTCAAGGATTTTGAAGCCGGTTTTGAAGCACATGAAAAGGCATGAGGAAGGTGCAGAGGCTACCATGCAGATGACTTGTTAGTATACCAAGGTTTGTGGAGGGTGCATGAGGTTCAGAATTGGGACACTAGGGTTAGATTTTTAACTGGACCAATAGTGAGAGATGGTTGGGTTTGAAAGGTATGGTTAAAGATTATAGGATGAGAAGTATGAACAATGTCAAAGGCAAACTATGTGTAGTCGTCTTTTGCCTAGAGTTGGCTTCCATATCTATGAAGTATTGACTACTGGGTAACAACAAATTAAGGTTGTTGGAGCAAAGAACAGGACTAAAGAAAAAGGGAACATATACAATGTAAAAATCAGGGAAACCATATGAAGACCAAGTAAGTAAATAGAATGAGGAAGACTCAGAGACTTCATATAGCCCAAACCTGGGAACACAAAGTCCAAGAAAAGAACGTGGAAAATCTGGTAGAGTGGAGGAAATGGAGCAAAAATCATTGTCTAATTGTCAGAGACAACCATCAAATCCAGGAAACTCATAAGAACTAAAGAGCATGAAAACTGGTAGAGAAGCAAATATGAAGCATCAGTAACAGACTCTGATACTGAATGTATCTGATATCCAACCAACCAGAAGAGTCTCTCTTCTGATGTCACCCTGGAAAGGACTGATCCCAAGACAGATGATCTGAGTGGAATGCCCTAGGCCAGAATAACCCCAAACATCTGCCTGCTTGCGATAAAGGGACCCAGGCAGTCATATTTCTCTGGCAGAGGTTATCCTACCATCCAAAGTGCTCCTGATTAGATTTCTTCTCCCTGCTTTCATCTTTCTGCATAGTGACACCAAGCTTAGCCCCTAAAGTACCATGTTGGTTTTACAGCCTTGTAGCCCGAGTCCTGGAGTTGCATTTATTTTCTGCCTCACAAGGGAGTAGAAGAGAAGGAGAAAGTGCAGGAAGTGCAGGAATAGGAGAAGAAGAAAGAAGAAATGAAGCAGGAAGTCAAATGAAAAAAAGAGACAGAGGTGTGGACAACTTAGGATCATGGCCCAGATATCAGGCATCTCCATAATTACAGGTGGCTATAGAAATCAGGAACTGCCTGGACGTTTTTTTTTTTTTTTTTTTTTTTTTTGGCAGCACTTAATGGAGGAATATTGTTCTCATGTGTATACTCTATGGCATGACTTCATGCACAATTGGATGTTACTTATTCATTTTTCCCCTTGAGAAAAATCAGAGTTTCTTAAGTGGGAGATATTTCTCAGTTTGGGGAAGATAGAGACTTGTCTCAATCTGTATTTTCCCAGTTGTCATATACATGAAAGACCAAATATCTGTTGAAGAAAGTATTGCAGAGTGACATTTATTCAAGACTCAAAATATATCAGGTGCTTTATAGAGCAGAGAGATAGATGTAGTCCCTTAAGGCTTAACTTGTGAGCATCAGCATTGACTGAAAAGAGCTAATTTACCATTTTCCAAAAGGAAATGGGGTTGAGAAGAATGATTGCAGCAAAAGTGCTTAAACAGAAAGAGCATCACAGCTTTTTATTAAATTATTGTTTGGGATGTTTTTGCAAACGTCAATCTTTCTGTGACATTTTACGGGGTAACAAGATTTTGGTGTTTGTGAAACATCACATTTTGAAATTACCCCAAACTAGAGTTCTCCTGCCTCTCTTTGTCAAATCGACACTGGGTACAAGCTTAAGAATCTCGAGTGACTGATGTATTAGCTAAAATTCTTTGGATTGCAAGTGACAAAAGTAAAGTTGAGTTAAATAAAAAGGTGTGTGTGTGAGGGAATCTGGTGTAAAAGAAAAGGAAAGAACGTCAGGAAAGGAAATTCATGTAGGCCCCTGGAATGTTTGGGGAGTCAATTCTGGAAAGCCCTCTGGTGTCTCTCCTTTCTGGGCTGCCCCTCCATGCACTTTGCTCTAACCTTCTTGATCTCAGCATATCTGCTTTTTAGGTCATGTTAAGGCTTTCCTGTAGCTTCTACATGACATACTTTAATTTCAGTCTCCCACAGTTACTGCACAACAGTTTAAATCCCTGTTCCACGTTATTGGGAGAGACAATCTATTTGCCACCCACCCTCCACTCTTTTAGGTCAGAAAGCCACCTCAGTTCATAATATGAACATGGCATCTGGGGGCCCAGCTTTGTAGATTTTGGGGCATGGAGGGTGAGCAGTTTCCAGAAAAAGAAAGTTGTCATGGGCTTGGTGGATATACCAAAGTCATCTATGCTATCATGCCCAGAATGCTGCCTGACACAGAGAAGACTCTCAATAAATACTTAGCAAATGAAATATGTGTTGACCAAATGCACCAGCAAGGGTAGAACATGTTTGCATTTTGAATGTTACAATAGTAGAGCTTTATGAACTGATTGCTGTTATAGTTAAATTTTAACTAAACTTATATTAGTTAAAATCATTTGACTTCAGGCTGTTTTTATGCATTTTTGAAATCATTTTAAAATTAAAAAAATATAATTTTCTGTGAGAACAGCATTGAATGACTTAACAATAAACATATTTGTTCATTTTAATAGTGTTTTTTTCCTGTTTTTAAAATATTTATTTTACATTCATGAAGACTAAGCCTGGAGTAATTCGCCCAGTACCTGTAAAATCCAGAATATTACTGAAAAAAGAGGAGGAAGTCTATGAACCCAACCCTTTCAGTAAATACTTGGAAGATAACAGCGACCTCTTTTCTGAACAGGTGAGCACATACAAGAGAAAATGTTTGCTATTTTGATAAATATAAATATATATAAAATATATATAAATATATAAATATATTTTGATAAATATAAAATAAAGATGTCTCTATGAATATAGTATGCGTAAGAACATGTTCATTTGATTGGAATATATTTGGTAATGAAAAATGCTTGCATAATAAATAGAAGTTGCTAAATAATTCAAGAATAATATTTTGAAGCATTTTAATGTGTTTTTTTTTTTTTCTAAAACTTGTCTATCTAGTGCTGGTATTGTTTTGGAGACCAAGATGTTGCTCTCTATAAAGACATCACAAAATCACTGATTGGATGGGTCATATAGGTGTTGCATTCTTATTTCTAAAATCCTGCTTCCAGCTGGATACAGTGGCTCATGTCTATAATCCCAGCACTTTGGGAAGCCAAGGCAGGAGTATTGCTTGACCCCAGGAGTTTGAGACAAGCCTGGGCAACATGGTAAAACCCCATCTCTACAACAAATTAAAAAAAATATATAGCTGGGTATGGTGGCGTGTGCCTGTGGTCCCAGCTACTTGGCAGGCTGAAGTGGGAGAATTGTTGAAGCCCAGGCGGTTGAGGCTCCAGTGAGCAAGTAATCATGCCACTGCACTCCAGCCTGGGTGACAGAGCAAGACCCTGTCTCAAAAAATAAAATAAAATCTTGCCTCCTTTTGAAGAGATGGAATATTTTAGATTTGGTATACTGAAGTTGACAAAAGTCCTGTTTAGATTCATATTAACAGAGACGATGCAGTCTCCCAGATTGGGAAGTAATAGTAACAGAATCGGGGATCAAGTCATATTTAGGATTTGTTGTTCATTTTGTTTATGTTTGAAAAGTCTATACTAGATTCTCCTTATATATGTTGAAGGAGGTATAATGGAGAATTGTCAATGGTGCTTTATATTTGTGAAAAATATGAAAATACACATTTATGCAATATAAAACTTCATAATGAATAGCAGAGATTTTAAATCTTTGTCATATTAAAATGCAGCAAAGAGTATGGGCTATATATTTTATTGAGAGATTGAAATATGAAATTAATAAGCAATGTAAGATATTCAGAAAACTTTCTGAATACAGTCAGGACATGTAAGATCATCATATTTTATAATCCATAATAAAATAGATTTAGGAATATAAGGTGTTATGCTCTTTTTAAAATTTTAGTTTGAAAATAATAACTAACAATATTCTTGAAAATATAAATTATAATTACATTTATATTTATATTTATAAAACATAAAGAATCTCTTATCTGATGTGTTAGCTCTGTGACCATGGGCAAGTGGTGTTATCTCTCTAGGCTTCAGTTTCTTTCTTTCTTCCTTTCTTTTTTTTTTTGAGATGGAGTTTCGCTCTGTTGTCTAGGCTGGAGCTCAATGGCGCCATCTCGGCTCACTGCAACCTCCGCCTCTTGGGTTCAAGCGATTCTCCTGCCTCAGCTTCCTGAGTAGCTGGGATTACAGGCGCCTGCCACCACTCCCGGCTAATTTTTGTAATTTTAGTAGAGACAGGGTTTCACCATGCCGGCCAGGCTGGTCTCAAACTCGTGACCTCAGGCGATCTGCCGGCCTCCGCCTCCCAAAGTGCTGGGATTACAGCCGTGAGCCACCGCGCCCGGCTGGCTTCAGTTTCTTAATGCACAAAATGAGGTGTTCAGATTAGGTACCTTTTAAGGATCCTTTAAACACTAAAATTTGCATTACTTAAAATCTATGATTAACCATAACTGGGTCTGAAATCCCTATGTAACCTTGAAAAAGTTCATTACAAATACTTTTTATGATTAGTTCTAGTTTTTATTTACAAAATTCAGATGAAAATATTTTCCATTGATTTATATACACTTTCTGAGAAGGCTATGATTTATAAGTCTGATTTTTTTAGAAGGCATTGATATGATCAAAAATGATAATTAGAGGCAATTATTTTAATTTTCTGGAATAAAATTATAGACCTCAAATTAAATTAAATAGGGAAATTTTGTTGATATATAAGGTTGCCTTCACTAATTCCATACATAACAGAAATGGAAACTCCTGTGGGGAAAACATTTTTTTATCATTAACAAAAGCACTTATGAAATATCTATTGCTTGTATGACACTAATATTTTAGTGGCTTTTAGTATGAAGTTTTAGACAGTATGGGATAATTATAAAATGTTTATAAAAATAATTTAGCAGTTATATGAAAATCAAACCACTAACAGTTAAATTTCACATATTATCCATGGAACCTACATTGTTCAAAATATGATCCAATGCTGGAAGATAATAACTTTATTCTTCTGTGTGAGTATAATTTTAAATTCATGCATTTTACTTCAAGCAAGACTCCTTGTAGAGTATTGAGTTAATCTACCTGTAATTTACGACATGTACTGTCTACTGAAATGATAAATTCCATTTTCAAGTGCAGAAAATTCTTGTCATTAAAAATAATTGCCATTTCTTTTCGTTGCTTTTTCTGACTATAAAGTAAGTTTAAAGCTCTTTTTACATTACAACATAAATCTATTTATTTCTAAATACTTGGCTGAAAATTTGACCTATTTTGCAAATCTTAAGTTACCACAGACCTAATCTTATCTATATTTTCTTTCAACCAATTTATCCTCATTTGTATCCCCATTTGAATGTGGAACATGAGAAGTAATAGCAGACAATGCACTGTCAGAATTGAAAGAAGCCTAGCATACCACTTAAAAGTGAATTCCAAAGGTCCCCTGGCCTTATTCATTGACCTGGCATGAAAGGGAAAGATAAGATAGAACCTTGGGACCACTGAACACCTGGGAAACGGCATGTACTGTCAACTGGCCTTTTTATGTTGAGCTTTAACTATCATCTCATTGTGTCCAGAATCTACAATGGAGAGATACCAAAACAGCTCTCAAGGGTAGATGCTTACGTCTGCTTAAAAAATAACTTGAATAATAAAATGTATAATCTCAGCATTGCTACTTCATCAGAACCTCAATAGAAGAAAGTGTACTCAAATTCATTTCTAGTCACTATTGTCTTCTCTTACACTGCTGCCACAGAATAAATTGAATGGTTCCAAACTCAGCTGATCTCATCCACCCATGTAATGGAAAATTCTTTAGCCAGACAGTTGGGCCAAATGGAAGTAGCTCACAGTCACTAATCTGCCTTGTACTGGGGACAGTTCCACATGACAGGAGATGTTGGATGGGATTGTTAAGTCAATAAATTTTTCCTAGCAGCTTCACTGCCATTAGATATGATTTCAAAATTCTGTTACAAAATGTCAGACACTAAAGATGATAATGAGACCTGACAGAAATGTATTTACTGTAGTTCAAAAAGGTGCAGCTGGGCAGCCTTTTGACCTGATTATGAGCTGAAAATTTGCCTGGAAACAGCTGCTGAGTTCTAACAGCCAAGTTTGAAACCAAATGCATAATCAAGTCATCGAAATTTACTAGCCAACAACTTTTACATCAAAGTGGCATAGGCCAGGAAGCATCATTGTATATTAGATTTTTTTTTAAAAAAACGAAACCTTCAAAATGAAGATTATGCTTTTCTGAAATTGTCTTCGTTCATTATTAATTAATAATTAATCTTCACTCGTTATTCAGTTAATTTATTATTGTGCCAATTTGTGGTGCTTTTCAGTTATTACAAAATGTCCTCACACTTTGCCATAAATCTATGGATTTAAAAACTGTGGTGGTGTGTTTAAAGCATATTTTTATTGATAACTAAAAGTAGAGCTGGAAAATAATTAGCAAAATTCATTGGACTAATGGGCATCCAGAAGACATACAGGCTCAGAAAAGCAATTTGCTGATGAGAATGAAGATGCTAAAGAGCTGAATGGTATTTAGTTTATTCTGACTATTTATGAATTTGCAAAATATATTGCTTGTTTTCTGATCATTTAATATGTGTAATTAGATAAAGAGGATTTCATTGAAGATTTTTGGTTTAATATAAAAGGGCAATAATTCACCTCATTTACATAAAGTGTTATGTAAAAATCCTCTCTTTATAAATTAATAATGCAACTCATAGTATTAGATATATTGATACTTTCTTAAAGCCCTAAGGAAATGTGTGAAAAAAGGTTTTGGATAGAATTAAAGGGAGAATATTGTTTCATCTGATTTTCCAAGAAATATTTTTCTTTTTTTTTTCCGTTTGTGAGAAATAACACTTTCCAGCATGTATGCCTCTTAAAATTTATTTTTCTTCTACTCTGTTTAAATGGGAGAGAGAACATATTTTCTATGAAGATGACCATTTAGAGAATTTCCTCTGTGCTACCTCACAGAGAACATAAAAGGGTAATTATAGAGACTTTTCCTTGTTATAGTATTTCATTCCCGCTTTTCTTCTGAGTTTTTTTTAGACATCTGACTTGCCTCTTTTCCCTACCAAAATGACTATGCTTGACATTCAACTTTGATGATTATGTCAGTGACTTTCAGGTTTCTATCTAATGATTCATCAAGTTGTATTTCAACTGTGACCTTCAACTTCCCTTCTTTATGTCACCCACATGTTAATATTACAGGATAAATACCTTTGTCGTAGGTGAAACTGACAATACTGCCTTTTACTCTCTCTGAAAAACTCTGGCTTTGTCACAAACTACCACTTTTTCAACATTTGTTTCTCAATCAAGATGGCCCATATTCTTCTGTCATAAAATCATCTTTTATAATTGCTAACATTTTATTGAGAAATATTTTGGGGTAAATGTTTAAATGAACCTTTTTAGGTGTAGAAATGAATTAGTGGTTTGCTAGATTGTTTTAACGAGAGGAAAGCTGCAATTTCTTGTAGTGTTACATTTCTTTGGGAAGGTTTACGAACAGAGATTTGGCTTCTCTAAGTTTTGCCATGTTTTTTTTTTTTAATTTAAGGACTGAAGTCCTTATGAGTTTTCTCTATTTTGCTTTGCTTCCTTCCTTTATATGAAAGATGTAATAGACAATTTAGCATAAACAGGTTATGTTCTATACATAATAGACAAATTATCATCAGCACGATAAACTAGTTTCTTAGTATATATCTTTTTTAAAAATTGTCTTTTTGAGACAATATTTGCCTTTTCCTCCAAAATATAGTTAGATAGGCTCACTTCTTCATACACAGAATTTCCATCACCTCTGCACCCCCCCCCCCTTTTTTGACATTTCTTTTCTCTTGATTTTATGTGTGCATCAAGTTTGGAAAATTGTAACCTATGCTTTAGATTATTCTGTTGGCAATTGTCAGTTGTTAACAGGAATTTCTTTTCCATGCCCCTCTTCAGCTGCCTTATGTAGGAGTAAAAATCTTAAAGAGATTTTTATTTGCTTTTAAAACAGCAAACACCCAAAGAAGACTTATTTGCCACTCTATCATAATGGTCTGAAGCATTATTTGCTTAACAAATAGTTGGTGGATATGTAGTGTCTGTTAATATCCCAATTTACTAGGAAACAATGACCTTTTGAAAGTTTTACGCAAATGTGTTCTATGTTTTGTTAACACATGATGTTTGTATGTATATTTATTCAAGGGAGATTGGCCACTGCCATATTTAGAACCTCTCATACAAAGTACACTCCAGTTTAAAAATAGGTCTTTGTAATCCCAGCACTTTGGGAGGCCGAGGTGGGCGGATCACGAGGTCAGGAGATGAAGACCATCCTGGCTAACACGGTGAAACCCCGTCTCTACTAAAAAAATTACAAAAAATCAGCAGGGTGTGGTGGCGGGTGCCTGTGGTCCCAGCTACTCGGGAGGCTGAGGCGGGAGAATGGCGTGAACCCAGTAGGAGGAGCTTGCAGTGAGCTGAGATCGTGCCACTGCACTCCAGGCTGGGCAACAGAGCGAGACTCCATCTCAAAAAAAATAGGTCTTTGTTAAAATAGAATGTTTTAATTCTTTATTGGTTTTATCTGTAAGGTATTAAACAACAACATTTCAAAAGAGAGAGAGGATATCTATGTAAAAATAATTTTAAATAATATCCAAAATAAATGTTATTCTGAGATTAGAAAGTTCAAAAATTTTGTTTGTTGGCTGCGTGCAGTGGCTCACGCCTGTAATCCCAGCTCTTTGGGAGGCTGAGGTAGAAGGATTGCTTGAGCCCAGGAGTCTGAGACCAGCCTGAGAAACATAGGGAGACCACATCTCTACAAAAAATTTAAAAATCAGCCAGGTGTGGTGGCATGCATTTGTAGTCTCAGCTACTCAGGAGGCTGAGGCGGGAGGATAGCTTGAGCCCAAGAATTCGAGGTGGCAGTGATCTATAATTGTGCCATTTCACTTCAGCCTGAGCAACAAAACAAGACCTCCATCTCTTAAAAAAATTTTTTTGTTTGTAAGGAAAAAAAGATGCATTCATATGTTTTATTTCACAAGAGTCTCTATCTCAAACCTTATCCTCAAATTTTGAGACAAGATTAGCCTGTGTATAGAACCACAGATGGTAACAATCACATACCTTTGGCATGTGGGTGAGAATCTTAAAGGCATTTTTATTTGCCAGTTTATGTACCAAATTGTCTTATAATACGTAAGATATTTTTGATGAAACTAGTGCTCCTCTCCAAATACACTGCCTCCCTCCCTCCCTACACAGTTTCAATTCTACAACTGCCTTAAAATGTTTTGTGTGATAGCTGTTAATAAGTATGCTTAGGAAATGCAATCAAAGATATTGGCTTGTGATTTTCTTTTCTGTACTGTACATTTGTTTTGGCTCATGAGACGTGAGATCAAGGTAGAATGCATACAGGAGAACATAATGAAAATTGGGGGTATTCTTTGAATATGAATGCTAAGTTTAATGTGTTTAAAAACATTTTACAATCTCTCAACCTTGGCGATATTGGCATATATTTTAAAATGTGTGTTATAGACAGATTTTGAATGAGGACAAACCTAAAATATGACAAGATGTACAAGTTTGAAGATGAGTTACATGAAGATAATTGGGAACCTTCTCTTCCTTTCTGTGACCCAAGATAAAATATCTTAAAAAAAGCAATTTAGGCAGGAAAAACAATAAATCCTAATGAGAAGAGCAACCAAGAGAAGGCATAAGAGAAGCAAAGAGCTAAAGCTGGTAATCAAACTGTGTTTTGAATTCCACTAAAATAAAACAAAGGACAGCTTGTGAAGTTCAGCCTATGGAGAACAGAATCAAGCTAGTGATGCAAATCATTTAAAATAAATGTATAGAAAGAAAACCCCAATTTTTTTGAAAAAAGAATTGTATTTTTGTCTATTTCAAAGACTTCATGGAAAGGGAGACCTATACTAAGTTTGTAAGTTCAAAGTTGGTGTTTCTTTAGGGATGGGATTACCGGTAGGTTTTAGAGTTTTTAAAAATAATGTTCTTACACCTTGAACAATGAGCCTCTTGAGTTTGTAGGAAGGGCAGCATGTCCTCTAACGCTTTGAAACCTTTAGAGGGAAGATCCTCATTTTTTACAATTTTGTTCCTTTTCATCATAGAAAACATGTTTAAGATAAAATACAAACTTTACCTACCCCAAATTCATAAAGTACATTTAGTGCTGTATAGCACTAAAACTTAGAGATACAGACACTGTACTTACTTTTTAAGAATTAGAGACAGTAACTCCAAAAATAATTGTCCTTTTTTCTTTCTTTTTTTTTTTTTACAATAAGGCTCTTGAAAATTGTCATTACTTGTGTTTTCCTATACATTCATCTGTGTGAAAGCCTTTTTCTTCTTTGATTTAAAAAAATTAACTATACAGTTAATGGTTTAGAACTTAGAACTACTTAGAATTAATGCTAAAGTGTCAGGAAGAAATTAATTTAGCTTCAATAATTGTGACTGGCCTCAGGAATTCTCCCTTCCACACCTGCCCACCTCACCTCACCGCACCGCACCGCACCGCACCGCACCAGAGCCAGAGCAGCTGCTTGTCTGCAGCAGGACACAGTTCCTACATACGTTTCAGTTCTTTCATGGTAAGCTCAATGGACTTTGAATTGTTTACAGTGCTGTATGTCCAATTGTTAAATGTACCATTCTGAACGATGTTAAAGCAAGTGTGGTTTATTTATGGCATGAACCATGTAACTTGAAATATGAACTTACAAGGAGGGGCACTCATTAGGTAACAAGTTCTTACACCAAACTTCCTTGATGAAATAAGCCAAAATAATCCTAAAATTCATTAGAAGAACTTGATAAAAGACTCAAATAAATGTTAGAAAGAGCCCATAATTTTAGGACTCCTATAAAATTCTTCCTTGTTTGTTAATGCTATTAAAACTCAGATTCGAGGGAAATACCAGCTTCCCCTTGAGTCACTTTGAAATAGTTAATTCAACAGCACCATGTTAGAAATATATTGGCAGCCAAGACTCTGAACTCTGCAGAAACATTTGTTTCACCCAGACTTCAAACTCTAGCCCTGACTATGATGCCCCTGTGTGCATTTACAATAAAGACTCCAACGGAGGGAAAAAAAAAAAAAAAATGTTCTAATGTTCAAATAAGGGCATCCTAAGTGGAATTTAATTTATTGTAGCTCAGGCATCCAAATATCAATTTTCCTTATGAGCCTTAAGATCTTTAATTTTTTTTAACCTTACTTTCTCTTGAAAATAAAAAACTACCTTTGTTAAGTAAATAAACAGCTTACCAGGAGCTGACTTGTCTAATTATTTTTATGTAATAAAGTTGGGAGGGCTGGGTGCAGTGGCTCAGGCCTGTAATCCCAGCACTTTGGGAGGCTGAGGTGGGTGGATTACCTGAGGTCAGGAGTTCAAGACCAGCCTGGCCAACATGGTGAAACCCCATCTCTACTAAAAATACAAAAAATTAGCTGGGCGTGGTGGCGGGTGCCTATAATCCCAGCTACTCAGGAGTCTGAGGCAGGAGAATCGCTTGAGGTTACTGTGAGCCAAGATCACACCATTGCACTCCAACCTGGGCAACAGAGTGAGACTCTGTACCGAAAAATAAAAATAAAAATCAATAAAAATAAGGTTGGGAGGTTTAGCATATTTTATCTGCAAAAGGAAAGCAAGTTTATATGATGTTTATTACATTGGGTTAAGTTCAGAAAAATAGAGTTGTTTTTCTCTCTCTTAAGCTTAGGTCTCCATGAATTGCATGCGGTTGAAGACTGGCCCATTGCAGGGCATGGTAGAGTCAAGCTAGTTTAACCTTCCCATGTCAAAAACTACATTTAGGCAGGATCTGATGACTTGATTCATTTTTATGTGTAATAGAACCAAAGGAAATCTAGGGCAGCTTGGTTTTACAGAAACAGTTTTGAAGTGTGTATTCTGGCTGTGACATTGTGGTTAATCACCTCTACTCTGTGCATTTGTGAAACCTGAATCTCATCAGTGAAATGAGGGGATGGCACCAGATCAGTGATTCTCAACCAGAGATGATTTTACAACTGAGAAAGTGGGATGCTACTAGCATTTAGTAGGTGGCGGCCAGGGATAATGCCAAAAATCCTACAATGCCCAGTACATTCCCACACAACAAAGAATTACCCAGCCTCAAATGGCAATAATGCTGGCATTGAGAAACCCTGGACTAGAACATCTCTTGGCACTCTCTGCTCCAATACTATGAATAATGAAGCTCATTACTTTATCCCTGCCAAGGGCAATTCAGTTCAACCAACATTGATTAGGTGCCTTCTTTTTGTGTTCTTAGTTCTTTAGGGAGAACTAAGAACTTCTCCCTATTTGACATAAAAAAAGAAGGTAAAACTCTATCTCTGGAATTCGTCATATTCCAAATATTGTCCCATGTAGCTTCTACTCATGGTAGCTCTGTTTGATAAGGAATGTACATTTTCAATGATTCCAGATATATCGGCAAAATTATGGCTTTTCACATTTCTAGACATTTCTTCTTTCTTACTTGTTTCCCTAATTATTAGGTTCCAAGACAATCAACTAAAAGAGAAATTTGAAAGAGTCAGATGGTTTATATAACTCTTAAAATCCGTATTGTTGGATTAAGCCATTCCTGATATTGGATCTTATTGTCTTCACCCGCACAATGAGAGTGGAGTACAATGCACTATTGAAAGTCTCCTTGTATCCTGAAATTCTGTGTTTATGTCTTTAAATACTGTTGGAGCCCTGATATTTGATGATTAGATGATTCAAAAAAGAGGGGGGAAAACAAGTATTATTTAGGTCACATGTTTGGAGAGATGGAAAGTCTTAATTTATTGTTTAAGTCAACATCATGACAAATACCCAGCTCTACAGGGTTTACTATGATGTGCAGGTGTATGTGTGCCTGTGTGTGTGCGCCTGTGTGTGTGCACATGCATGGGCTTGCCCCCGCCCCTGCAATTTGGATAGAGCAATTTTGGGTTGAGAATTTTTTTTCCCCTTTCTTAAAAGTCAGTTTCTATTCACTTCCTGTTTGTATTGAGAAATCATCAATATGATTTATTGTCATTATGTCCCTTTGAATGACTATAATTTTGTTTTCCTTTGCCTTAAATTAAAACCCCTAAGAGATAATTTATTTTCAAAATTAAATATGTCTGTGTATGCAAAAGATGATTAAATACACACACATACATATTTAGTGGTTTTTTAAAGGGTCTTGGCATTTGCTACTTAAGTTACCTTTTATTTCTTTTTCACATTGGTAAATTTGTCAACTATTTCTGCTGTAAATATACTTAATAAGAAGGCTAACTAGGCAACCTAAAATTTAAGTGAAGATACTTTTAATAATGAAGGTGAACATGTCTTTGCACTTCCCTGTTTCTGGATTTACTGTCTCAGCTTTCTTCAAGTGCAAAGGACACCATATTTCATTCATGTGTTTCATAATTATAAAAGACTCTGGGTTAATCCTTGCAATAAACTTTGGGGATAACTTTTGCCTTTTAAATCTCTCTCTGGAAAGTGATGTGAGACTTAAAAAGACTCTGTATAAGAAAATAATTTAGTTGTAGAACATCAAACTTTTCACTTAAATCCCTTGTTAAGACAATAATAGATTCAAAAGAACAAAAGGTCAGTATATTAAAAACTGTAAGATCACTTAAAAATATAATACTCCTTAAGCATGAACAATATAAATGCTTCATTTAATGTGTCTAAATGTATAGATTTTGTAACACTAAAAGGTTGTAATGCTATAATAAAGACATATCTCAGGCCAGGCTTGGTGGCTCACGCCTGTAATCCCAGCACTTTGGGAGGCCAAGGCAGGCAGATTACCTGAGGTCTGGAGTTCCAAACCAGCCTGGCCAACATGGTGAAACCCCGTCTCTACTAAAAATACAAAAATTAGCCAGGCATGGTGGTACGTGCCTGTAATCCCAGCTACTTGGGAGGCTGAGGCAGGAGAATTGCTTGAACCCGGGAGGTGGAGGTTGCAGTGAGCCAAGATTGCATCACTGCCACTTCACTACAGCCTGGGCAATGGAGTGAGACTTTGTCTCAAAAAAAAAAAAAAAAAAAAAAAAAAAAACAACAAACAGCATATCTTGTATGTACGTAATCTGTTCAGAATTAAACAAAAAAAAGTTTTTTTTTAATTCAAAGATATCTACATGCTTTTTGAATCAATAAAGTTGTAATTAGCTGATGTTTGTATGCATTGTATCTCCACTTGAAAATTTTACACCAAAATAATAAAACCATGGTCTATTCTGTTTTCCTAACAAAGATATGGTACTTTGACTACCTGACTGCCATAGAAATCAAGAAGAGCATAGCCATTTATTTTTTATGTGCTTTTATAAAGATAATCCTATCTCTTTACAGTAAGTCACAAATCCACAGGCAGCAGTCAAGTAACACATTTTCAAGCAACTTATACTTATTTGCTTAGTATAATTTTCTACCATTCTTTGAAATGGAACAACTCTTAGGCTCAGAGCATCTCTTGCAGTTTTAAAATCCAGCTAGTTTTTGAAAATCTCTTTTGAGATGTCTCAAAATGACATCTGTCAGAATCCCCTCCCTCTTTTTGTAAAAGGCTTTCTGCCAAGACACACCCAACAGCCATTTCTAGTCTATGATTTCCATACCAGACTAGCCACAGGGGAACTTGTGAATTGGTCCATTTATTCTAGATTTACTTGGCAATCGCTGGAAAAATTCTCTCTAATCTCTTATTCCCCAGATTTATCAGGGATTATCTTCACCACCACTACTTTCACCCTGGGAGTCAGCTCAGTGCTGACAGTGGTCATGGGGACCTTGCCTAGTCCTATTGAGACTTCTGTTCTTGTTGTTTTCCTCTGTTCCCTCCATCCTGCTCTCAGTCCCAGCACAGTTCACACATTCTTACTCTGATTAATTATGTTCTTTTCCAGAGGTTTGATGTCCTAGCTCCTAGGCTTTTGAAACCCAGTTTTTTCTCTGTCAAAGTATTAACTCTGCCATGAGTTTCCAAAATCTATTTTGAAACCCAAACTCTACTTTTTCCTTTTTGCAATTCTGCTTTAACATTTTAATCCAGAAACATGAGGATGGAATTAATCTTTAGCTACCTGGGTTGACAGAAGGAACACAGAACACAGGACTATGAGAAAGACAAAACTAGAAAACATTTATGAGCATGTGGTCTCCGCAATGCTGAGTAGTGAGTGCTGTGGTTTTATGCTGAATGGTGTTGCTACTTCTCTGTCTACTTATCCCCCTTTCCTCTACACTTAATATTCAGGCATTTAACGTTTGTGCCAGGCTCTGCAATAGGCCTGGGTGATTCCCCAGGAAATAAAGGAGACGATATCCCTCCCTCATGTAGCTTAGATTCTAGTAAGTTCTCAATATTCTGGACCCTGGTCTCTGCCTTTTTGCTCCTATTTGTAACCTTTTCTACACGCTGTGTACTTCCTCACTAAAAGCTGTCCACTTTACACTCAGGCTGCACATTCTGTGGACTCCTACTGCAACGGAAGTGACACGTCTGGTCCTTGGCTCCTCTGATCATTGAGGAACCCTATCCTTGTGGCTAGTTACTGTAGCCTTTGACTTTCCTACTTCCTGAAAAAGAGAAAAAGACGATGATAGAATTCAATGGCAAGAACATGGGCTCTTGTGATTTTTGAAAAAATCAGTCCTTACTGAACTTCAATTTTATCCTACAAAAATGGGGCTACTAATCACCATTTCTAATGGAACCCATACTAATAAGTATTTGTGATTTTTTTAAAAGTATAATTTCTTTAAATTTTTTCCAAGTGCTTTCATCTTTATTGCAGTATAATTGACAAAAATTATACCTATTTAAGGTGTAAAATGTGATGATTTGATGTATGTGTACATTGTATAATGATTACCACAGTTAAATTAATCAATGTAACTATTAATGTACTAGTTACTCTGTGTGTGTATATGGGAGAAGAGATGAGGACACATAAAATCTATTCTCAGCAAATTTCAAGTAAAAAGTAAAATATTATTAACTGTAGTCACCATGCTATACATTAGCTCTCCAGAACTTATTCCTTTGATAACTGAATGTTTCTACCCTTTAAACACCATTTTTCCTTTTCACTTAAATCCCTTATTAAGACAATAATAGATTCAAAACAACAAAACATCCATTTCAACCAAAAGTCCATTCCAACCCCTGGCAACCATCATTCTACTCTTTGCTTCTGTAATTCTGACTATTTTAGATTCCACTAAAGTGAGATCACGCAATATTTGTCCTTTTGTGACTGGCTCATTTCACTTGGCATAATATATTTGGAATTCATTCATGTTATTGGAAATGGCAGGATTTCTTTCTTTTTTAAGGCTGAATAATATTTCATTGTTTAACACGTTTTATTTATTCATTTATCCATCAACAGACACTTCGGTTGTTGCCATATCTAATTGTTAAGAATGATACTGCAATGGTTGAATGAAATACTCACTATCAAAGGGCTCTAAAGACTTAAATGTTTCTTGTTATCATTTCCTTTAGAATCACTTCAATTTTGGAAGAAAGAGGTTGATTTCCTGCTAAAGGGTCAACTGAATATATTGTCTTCTTTCTCTCTTCCATTATGAGCAATTGTAGAAGCCTATTTTCTATGTTACTTTTGACTTCTTCAATTTTAACTGCTCCTCCATCCTAAACACCTCCACATGGGAAATAAAAGACCAGAATCCAACTATATGTATAGAAAAACATAAAACTCAGCATTGTAGTCCTCTGCTGCTCACTGTGATTGATTATGGAGTGTTTTTCTTTCTTTTCCCTTGAGTGTACCTCCATCAGATACTTCCATGCTGATCCATGCCATCTGTTCTGTGAAACTTGCTGTCAGACAACCATACACTTTAAGCACTAAGTTATCCAAATTCTATCTTAAAAATTATGTTGTGATTATTAAAAATCTTTTTTTATATAGAGGATTTCAAATAGCTAAGCATATGCTAAATTTTTCATACTTCACAAGTTCAAATTTTCTTGGTTCAAATCAGGATTCAAAATATATGTGTTGCTTTAAATATGTCTGTTTGAAAAAATGCATATGGATTCTCCAAAATTTGGGTTTCTAAGCAAGAAGATATGCCATATAATCGAAACCAATTTATATTGGCTTTATCTTAGTGAAATGTAGATAATCACAATCTCTTATTTCATAGTAACATGAGGTTTTTGTGATGCTGTCTGTAAAGTGTTGGTGTCTTTAGATAAAGGGGTCGCTCTTTAAGAAAATATTACTACTGTTCATGATTTTATTAGCAAGGTGTTGATTTAAATTAAAACTGTAGCAAAAATGCTATGGCTCTGATTTTAAACTGCTGTAAGTTCTAGACAGCAAAGGAAAGCTGAAAATAAATGCTGCATTTAAAAATAAATGTTGCTTTACCAAAGAGGTGGGAAGATGGAAGACAGGATGGAGTGAAAGGCTCCAGTAATTTTACCTATGGTACTCTGAGTTCACAAAGGTGTCTTGTACTCAGACAGAAAACCGCAGCGTGAAGAGGGGACAGCATGAGTGAAGAGGAAGTGAATTTTCACCCTTCACTTCCAAACCACAGGAAAGGAAGTGACTTTAAAATGCCAGGATGGAACAAAAGCATTTCAGATGTGCAGGCTTTAATAAGAAGAGCTCAAAATGCCGTAAAATGCCCTTTGATGTTGCAATGGAAACAGTTTTTGAAGTTAAACAGTATGATTTGATGGTTGAGTAGAAAGTAGGCTTTTTCTAGAGCACCAAATGCATCAGATATGGCTATAACACTAATTTTCTGATGTGTCTGTCAGTTAAGCAGAGCTAAATTAATATATTCACTGCATATTTGTCTGCTAATTTTTCTTTAATGAACAAAGATATTACTTGCTTCATAAGTTCCTGTCTTCTTGAAGTTTTGTAGAATGATAGTATCATCTCAAAAATAATTAATTCTTTTCAAAAATCAAGCTCCTCAGTAAAGCCTTTTTTTGAAACATTAGTTCTATGTATACTGAAATTGAAAGAGGACAATTCTCAAGTGACTAAAAAGCGGTTTAAAGCATTTTATCAGAAATAACTATGTTACCTATCTCATTGATAGAAACATGTCCAAGACTGTTTTATGATCCCTGTACATCCCTCAAAAACTAAAACATTAAAAGATTCATATATTGCATGCTAAAGCAGGATAGAGTGATGTTCATTTTCAAGAATCATTTAGAATAGTGATCTCTAAAGTATTAGGTACCAACCTCAAGATAATTCGCTGGGGTGGAAGTAGGGCACAAGTTAGACGTGATAGAGATGCCATTAGTGTGTTTTGAAGCAAATCTCAAACAGGGGTCACAAACTATGGTCTGTGGGCCAAACCTGGCTCACCAGTGTTTTTATAAATAAAGTATTATTGGAACATGGCCTTGCCTATTTCAGTTATGTGTCACTTAAGAATGGGATATGTTTTGAGAAATGCATCATTAGGTGATTTTGTCATTGTGTGAACATCAGAGGGAATTACACAAATCCAGACAGTGTAGCCCATTACACCTAGGGTATGTGGTATAGGCTATTACTGCTGGGCTACAAACCTGTACAGCATATTACTGTACTGAATACTGGAAGCAATTGTAACACAATGGTAAGTATTTGTGTATCTAAACATATCTGATCATAGACAGGGTACTGTGAAAATACAATATAAAAAATAAAAGAAGGAACACCTGTATAGTGCACTTACCATGAATGGAGGTTGCTCTGGGTGAATCAGTGAGTGAGTGGTGAGTATATGTGAAGGCCTAGGACATTACTTGTACATTATTGTAGACTTTAGGAACACTTAGACTACACTAAATTTATTAATATTTTTTTGAGATGGAGTCTTGCTCTGTTGCCCAGGTTGGAAGGCAGTGGTGCGATCTCGGCTCACTGCAGCCTTCATCTTCTGGGTTCAAGCGATTCTCCTGTGTCAGCCTCCCGGTAGCTGGGACTACAGGTGCACGCCATCATACATAGTTTTTTGTATTTTTAGTAGAGATGGGATTTTGCCATGTTAGCAAGGCTGGTGTTGAAGTCCTGACCTCAGGTGATCTGCCCACCTCAGCCTCCCAAAGTACTGGGATTACAGGTGTGAGCCACCACAACTGGCCACATTTTCTTTTTTCAATAATAACCTCAGCTTACTGTAATTTTTTACTTAATAAACTTGAAGTTTTTAAACTTTTTGACTCTTATAATAAACAAAATGCAAACACAGGCCAGGTGCAGTGGCTCACACCTGTAATCCCAGCACTTTGGGAGGCTGAAGCAGGCGGATCATGAGGTCAGGAGATGAAGACCATCCTGGCTAACATGGTGAAACCCTGTCTCTACTAAAAGTACAAAAAAAAATTAGCCGGGCATGGTGGCGGGCGCCTGTAGTCCCAGCTACTCGGGAGGCTGAGGCAGGAGAATGGTGTGAACCTGGGAGGTGGAGCTTGTAGTGAGCCGAGATCATGCCACTGTACTCCAGCCTGGGGACAGAGCGAGACTCCGTCTCAAAAAAAATAAAAATAAAAAATAAAAATAAAAATAAAAATAAAAAGATACAAACACATTATGCAGCTGTACAAAAATATTTTTTATTTATATCTTTAATCTATAAGCTTTTTCTCTATTTTAAAATTTTCTGGATTTTTTTTCTTTTTTTTTTTTACATTTTAAACTTTTTTTTTTTTTTTTTTCTCAGACACAAGTACACAAGTTAGCCTAGGCAGGGTCAGGATCACAAGACATCACTCTGCAATAGGAATTTTTCGGCTCCATGTTAATCTATGGGACCACCAATACATATATGGTCTGCTTACCAAAACATCGTTATGCAGTGCATGACTGTATGTATCTATTGTTTAAGGCTGCTTTTATGTTACTATGTTAGGATTGAGTAATTGTGACAGATTTATGGTTTGCAAAGCCTTCAATATTTACTGATGGGAACTTTACAGGAAAATGTTTGCCAACTTCTAACATAAAATAACAACAAAGATTCTAAGCTTTGCTGATTTATATGGGTTTACATGGGTCTCCTTTGTAGGTCTGAATGCTAGATAGTTACAACTCATATATATTCTAAATGAGATTCCTTGGAAAAGTGTCAGGCCTTTCTAACTTGGGGTGATGGACAGTGAGCCCTCAGTTGGCCATTCCTTAAGCCTGTTGTATCTTATTGCACTATATGTGCCCAGTTAGCTAGACATACGATTTATCATTTTTAACTATTTTTAACGAAAATAGCCATCTTAAAATAAGCAAATGACTTTATTAAAAAAAACCTTCGGCAAAATAATCTAGATTGACTATACCACTGCTGATACAAGCATAAGCAACAAGAAATAGCAGAGGTGACACCATATCTATGTCTAACATAAGCTTGTCATCAGACATACGTATCCATTTCAAACCCTGAAAATCTACTTGAATTTGATAAGAAGTAGGTTATTTTTTGAAATGATTAAAACAATTTAAAATATAGTTTTATATCTGCTTTTATTATGAATATACCTGTCCTTAAGTTTATATTTTTGCCTTGAGTTTTAACTAATAATTGCATTATGGCATCATACTTGATAAGACATTAACAAAACCGGCATCCAAGGTCATGAAGCTGTGCAATTTTCAGTACTGTTTAAAGACACAAGGTACTCAATATTATAATGTGTAAAGTTTTACTGAAGCAAATGATAAAATTCTCTTTTGAAGAATCTTAACAGGGAAAAAATGAAAAACCCAATTCAGCTGGGGATACGTGTGTTCTTCCTGCTGAAGTATTTATTGCAGAATAATAACAATAGAATGATGAACTGAAATTTATTCCTTTGTAATTAAATGCCATTAGAAAATGCATAGAAAACACCTTTGAAGATCTGAAAAAGTGAGTAATGAGCCAATTACTCCCAATATGGGAGTTTTATTATGCAGTTGGATCAAAGTATAGATTTTAAAATATTCTCAGTTTATAACATTTGTTTTCTAAATATGAAATATACAGAAAGTGACATTTGAAATATATGAAATACACAGAAAGTGACATTTTGGATTCTTAAGGGAAAAACAAATAATAAAAAATTTGTTCTCTAAAGTAAGTGACTTCTTTAATAAAAACACTGTTTTATGAGAAAATTCTGGAGGCATAATAGCAGTGGGCTACATTAATGATTGTACTATGAGGTTGCAGTTACATCAACATTTATAGGTAACCTATAACGACAAAGGAGATATACACACACACACACACACGTAGAGGATTCTTTACAATAATAAAACTCTGTTCATGAGAAGGATTATGAAAATCTTTGGGATCATTCGGAGTTTCTCAAGTTATCTCATGGCAAATTATTTTAAAAAGTAACAAACTTCAAGACGCATTAGAAATGCTCGTTTTTGAGAAATGCAAGTGGGGTTCCTGATATAATGCTCTATCTCTCTGTGGCAGCCTGGGCACAGACAAGTTGCCATGGAAATTGCTGTGTAGCTGATGATAGTCTTCATTATTTTAGAAGTAGAGGCTAAACCAACTCATACCCCAAACCCTGGGCACAAAGATAATCCCAGGTAGTGGTCCTTTCCCTGTATGAACCTGTTGGAAAAACATCTCGTCCAGGAAATCCATTTGCTATGGAAATAAATAAAATACAAAAGGAAAAAAAGAACTCCAGAGTGAATAACAAACAAAATTAATATTTAACTTGAGACTTTTAAAACAAAGTGTAGTGAACAGTTGAAAAGTGACAGAGTATTCCAGGTACCTACCACAAATTAAAAAAAAGGAGAGATCATAATCTGCAAAATGGGCAGGTTGAATTCAGGCTAAAAGTTCCTTAAGCAAGACACATAAGACCCCCTTATAATGCTAAAAGATGGCATTTACAAGGAAAATACAGTCATTAGAATATGAAAAACCAAAATATAACCTCTATCTTCATAAGGCAAAAGCAGGAGATAAGATCTGGAAAAAGTGAAAATATATTATTGGTAAAATATTTTGTTAACTTGTTTGTTCAGTTTATCATAGATCAAATAAAAATAGGCAAAAGTAGATCATCTCGAGTAAATCTAATTTATATATATTCAGACTCTATCCTGCAAACAAAACAAAATATTACTCTTTTTAATATCTGTGGAACTCTCATAAAAACTGACTATACATTAAGCTAAAAAAGAAAACCTATTAATTGCCAAGATGGAAACAATATACACAAATTTATCTGATCACAAAAAATTTATAAATTAATAACAAAGTTAGAAAACAAAAAGTTCCTGACATTTGTAAATTGAAAATTTTGCTTTTTCATGAAACTTTATCAAAGAGGAAATTCAGAATAAAATTTCTGTGTTTTACTTTTTTTATTCTCTAACTTTATTGAGGTATAATTGACAATTAAAAATTGTATATATTTTAGGTAAAAAACTTGACGTTTTGATACATGTATGTATTGTGAAGTGATCACCACAATCAAGCTAGCATATTTATCACCTCATGCAATTAACATTATTATACTATTATTGTTGTGGTAAGAATATTTAGGATCTGCCCTCTTAGCAATCAAGCCTACAGAGTATACAGTACACTATTGTTAGTTATATTAATATTGCCATTCATTAGATCTCCAGAAGTTATTCATCTTTGGTAACTGAAACTTTGTACCTTTTGATTAACAGTGACCCATTTTCCCCTCCCCTCTGCCCCTGGTAATCACTATTCTACTCTCTGCCTTCTATGAGTTTGACTATTTTGGATTTCACATTTAAGTTACGTAATGCACTATTTGTCTTTCTGTGTCTGGTTTATTTCACTTAACATAATGTCCTCCAGGTTAATTTATATTGTCACAGATGGCAGGATTTCCTTGTTGTTTAAGGCTGATTAATATTCCATTATATGTATTTATGTATTATACCACCTTTCCTTTATCCACTTACCTGTCAATACACATCTAGTTTATTCCCATTTCTTGGCTATAGTTCTGCAGTGTACATGAAAGTACAGATATCTCTTCAAGACACTGATTTAATTTCCTTTGATGATATACCCAGAAGTGGGATCGATGCATTTTTATGGTAGCCATATTTTAAATTTTGGGGGGAAACTTCATACTGTTTTCCTTACTGACTTACCAATTAACATTCCCACCAACAGTGTACAAGTGTTCTCTTTTTTCCACATTCTGACCAACACTCATTCCTATTGCTAATACTCATTCCAACAGGTGTGATATGATAGCTCATGGTGGTTTTGATTTGCATTTCCCTGATGACTAGTGATGTTGAGCACCCTTTCATATACCTGTTGGTCTTTTCATATGCTCATTGGCCATATCTTCTTTTGAAAAATATCTGTTCAGGTCCCTTGCCCATTTTTTAATTGAGTTATTTGTGCTTTTTTGGTATTGAGTTGTATGAGGTTTTTTTCAAATACATATATTTTGGATGTTAAGCTTTTATATAGACAGTTTGCAAATATTTTCTTCCTATATACTGTAGGTTGCCTTTTCACACTGTTGAATGTTCCCTTTGCTGTAGAGATTTTTTTAAGTTTGTTGCAATCCCACTTATCTATTTTTGCTTTTGGTGTCTGTTCTTTTGCTGTCGTATCAACAAACAAACAAACAAACAAAATACCCACAACAATGTCAAGCAGAAGCTTTTTTTCTTGTTTGCTTCTAGTAGTTATACAGTTTTGAATCTTATGTTTATGTGTTTAATCCATTTTGAGTTGATTTTTGTATATTGTGTGAAATAAGGATCCAGTTTCATTCTTCTGCATGAGGACATACAGTTTTCACCACACCATTTATTGAGGAGACTATCCTTTCACCTTGTCAAAGATTAGTTGTCCAACCATAATGGGTAGATTTATTTTTGTTCCACTGGCTATAGTCTGCTTTTATGACAGTGCCATACTGTTTTGATTACTATGGCTTTGTAATACACTTTGAAATCACAAAATGTGATACCTTCAAAAAAGGGTGTTTGAAAAATTTCTTTGGATTCACTGAGAGTATTTTTAATATTGTCTTTCTGGCTTGCATACGACTTCTGATCTTTCTATAATAAGCTTATATTACTTTGTAATTATATTAAAACTAAGCCTTTTAAAAAGTAAAAAGAAGATCTAACTCGAAAAAATAGAAAATAAAATTTCTATCTGGAAAAGTAAGCTAATGAAATCATTATTTTTCAAATTATTGTCTATTAGAACTGATAAGATATAGTTAAAATAGTCCTTGAAAGGAAATTTATAATGTAAAAATGCTAAATGAATAAGAAGAGTAATAAAGGTCAACCAAGTAAGCATTCAATTTGGAAAATTTAAAAACAAAAATAAAACAAATATTTAGAGGAAACATTATTTAAGGAGAAAATCCTTATTCTTTGCATAAGAAAATAAATGAAAAGGACTTTATAGCATTAGAAAACGATAAATAGCTAGAAAGCAGAACAGTTGTAAAACTCATAATAGCACGTATTCTTTGAAAAAAGTGCAAAATAGCAAACTGTTAGTTAAACAGATCAATAAAAAGGGAGAAAATATAAAATACAAAATGAGAAATAAACATGAAAATAACTAACAATATAGAGGACACAAAATACGACACTGCTTCTCTCACCCTTATGCAAGTGAATTAGGAAATCCACAGGAAATAAATACTTTATAGCAAAAATACCTAGAAAAATATAAAAATAAAACTCCAGTAAACCAATTACCAAAAGAAAAACTGAAAAAAAAAATGAAAAGTTACCCTCAAAAAGCTCCAAGTCACAAATAGATTCCCAGGGAAATTCGAACAATCTTTTAAGGAACAAATTCAGTTATGTGTTGCTTAACGATGGAAATACATTCTGAGAAATCCATCCTTAGGGGAATTCTTTTATTATTATTATTATTTTATTTTTACATAAGTTATTGGGGTATAGGTGGTATTTGGTTACATGAGTAAGTTCTTTAGTGGTGATTTGTGAGACCCTGGTTCTCCCATCCCCCGAGCAGTATATACTGCACCATTATATGTTGTCTTTTATCCCTCGACCCCCTTGCACTCTTCCCCCCAAGTCCCCAAAGTTCATTGTATCATTCTTAGGCCTTTGCATCCTCATAGCTTAGCTCCCACATATCACTGAGAACATACGATGTTTGATTTTCCATCACTGAGTTACTTCACTTAGAATAATAGTCTCCAGTCTCATCCAGGTCACTGCAAATGCTGTTAATTCACTCCTTTTTATGGCTGAGTAGTATTTCGTTGTCTATAGTGTATATATACCACAGTTTCTTTATCCAGTCATTGATTGATGGGCATTTGGGTTGGTTCCATGATTTTGCAATTGTGAATTGTGCTGCTATAAACGTGTGTGCAAGCATCTTTTTTGAATAATGACTTCTTTTCCTCTGGGTAGATACCCAGTAGTGGGATTGCTGGATCAAATGGGAGTTCTACTTTTAGTTCTTTAAGGAATCTCCACGCTGTTTTCCATAGCAACTGTACTAGTTAGGGGAATTCTTTTTTGCGCAAGCCTCATATATTTTACCTTACACAAGCCTAGATGGTATAGCCTACTACACACCTAAGCTATAGGGTATAGTATAGCCTATTGCTCCTAGGCTACAAACCTGTACAGCACAGTATTGTACTGAATACTGTAGGCAACTGTCACACAGTGGTAAGTATTTGTGAATCTAAGCATATCTAAACATTGAAAAGATTCAGTAAAAATGGGACCACCATTATATATGCAGTTCGTTGTTGGCTGAAATGTCATTATGCAGTTCATGATGACAACTCTAATAACAGAGAGTTGTAGACTATAGTAATGCAAGCATATCTTCTAAATAATTTTCTGTAGCAAGTGTAACATTGTTATAAAACCCAGCAGAAGTTGCACAAAAAGGAAACTTCAGCTCAAACTCAGTTATAAATATCAATGCAGATATCTCAATTTAGTAGGAAACAGAACTCAGTAGAACATTAAAGAGTGCTGTGTCCTCACCAAGTGGGATTTAATGCAAGGGGAAAAGAATGTAATTGTCTCCTTAGACTTTAAGTGCCATCTTTATTAAATAAACAAAACAGAACCCTTAAGGACTTTCAGTAAGGGATGGTGGATTGAATAATGCCTCTAAATATGCTCCTTCCCAATATTTCCTTAAAATTATTGTAAAGATGTACTGTAAAGATATAGTCTACAAGTATGGGAAGTAAGAAGAGGAGACACAGCAATAAAATTTTAGAGGCAGAAAAATATCCTGATGAGGAAAAGCTGACATAGCAACCCAAGAAAGCTAAATCCTAGGCTGGCCAGGGAGAAAGCCAAGTACTGATTCCATTTCTATGTTAGAGTTCTCAGAAGGCTTAGGATTTGGAGGTGCTTGATACCTCTGAAAGGAAGGTAAAGAAATGGTAGCTGAAAAAAGGAAGAAAAGGTAAAAGCTATTTAAGAAGTAGCTATCCCCAAATTCATATTTCTTCTTGACTGATTAACTACCATTTTAAGATAATAATTCACATGCTGGAGAGAGGAAAACAGGATTTCTGGCCTGGGGCCTCCTGGCATAGTGGAGAGCAGTGGAGCTCTTCTGAAAACAGGGGACTAAGTGATGCTATAAGGGGTTAATGCCGACCCGCACTGTCTCTTCTATTCACATCTCAGAACACTTGTAGCCAGGCCTTTGCCTTCTAGCCAGGAGATTGAAAATGTCTTTTTTGAGGAATCTGACCAATACAAAGAGGAAAGCTCTCAAGTTATTGAGACTGGGTTACCCTGTACAGTGAAACTCAAATAGCCTGATCCATGTGCTCAGAGTTTCCAAAGTGCTCTTAATTCCTGACTCTAAAATATTAGCAGATAATTAAAGATATCCAGATACCCGAGGAAGACCTCCAATATGAAATATGAGCAGAAAACCAAACCAAAAAAAAAATGACCAAACAGGAAATAAAACAAACAAACAAACAAACAAACAAACAAAACAGAGGAAACACTATTTAGACAGAAAAAACTCAAGAACATCAATATTTTTACAGATAGATAAGATAGTGCCTCTATAAAATCGGAACAGAATACTAAAAAAATAAAAAGAATACTTGGAAAATAAAAGGGCCTCTTGGAAATTAAACACAAGATTGCAGAAACAAAGAATGCAATATAAAAGTTGGAGGTGGGGTGACTAACTCATCGCAGTTTGTCTTAGCACTAAAATTCCCACTCCTGGGAAACCTCTCTATGCTAGGTCACCTTAGTTGGAGAATGATACGGTTTGGCCCTGTGTCCCCACCCAAATCTCTTGTTGAATTGTAATCTCCAGTGTTGGGGGAGGGACTTGGTGTGAGGTGATTAGATCATGGGGGCAGATTTCCCTCTTGCTGTTGTCATGACAGTGAGACAGTTCTCATGAGATCAGGTTGTTTAATATGTGTAGCAATTCCCCTTCACTCTCCTGCTCCGCCATGGTAAGATGTGCTTGCCTCCCTTCGGCCATAATTATAAGCTTCCTGAGACCTCCCACCCATGCTTCTTGTACAGCCTGTGGAACTGTGAGTCAATTAAACCTCTTTCCTTTATAAATTACTGAGTCTCAGATAGTTCTTTATAGCAGTATGAGAACAGACTTATACAGAGGACAAATTAACTAAACCTCTCAAGCTGATGAGCAAAAGGAAATGAGATGAGAATTTGAGGACTATCTAAAAAAGTCCAACATCCAGAAAGAGAAGAGAGAAGAAAAAGAGAAGGAAATGATAAAATAATTCATGAAAATTTTCCAAAATGTTACATATAAAAGAGCATCAAATTCCTACAAAAGTAGATGAAGATATACCCACGCCAAAGCGCATACTGGGGTATTTTCAGATTATTGAGGACAAAAAGAAATCCTGTGTGCTTCCAGAGAGAGAGGACAACAAAAAGGGTCATTTACAAATCATCGGAAATCAAAATGGCTGGGCTTCTAAACCACACTGGACAATAAAATAATCCAGTATAATAATACTTTCAAAATTCTGAAAGAAATTATTTTCCAACCTGGAATTTCATATTCAAACAATCAAACGTAAGAGTAGAAGAAAGTCAGTTTTCAACATGCAGGTTATTGGAAATTGGCTTCCATATACTTCATTTTCCCAGGAAGCTCCTTTAGGGTCCAGTCAATATGAGAGAAAACCAAAAAAATGTAAGACACAGGCTATTAGAAATAGGAGATCCAGGCCGGGCGCAGTGGCTCACGCCTGCAATCCCAGCACTTTGGGAGGCCGAGGCGAGCGGATCATGAGGTCAGGAGATCGAGATCATTCTGGCTAACACGGTGAAACTCTGTCTCTACTAAAAATACAAAAAATTAGCCGGGCGTGGTGGTGGGCGCCTGTAGTCCCAGGTACTCGGGAGGCTGAGGCAGGAGAATGGCATGAACCCCGGAGGCGGAGCTTGCAGTGAGCCGAGATTGCGCCACTGCTCTCCAGCCTGGGCGACAGAGGGAGACTGTCTCAAAAAAAAAAAAAAAAAAAAAAAAAAAAAAAAAAGAGAAAGAAAAAAGAAACAGGAGATCGAACATAGGAGAGAGAGGCAAATTAAATATCCAGGATTATGCTAAAGAGAATCACAGGATCATAATGTATACAAACATAGAAGGCAATTAGCACAGATTGAAACATAAATATTGAAGCTGTAACCACTAAGAATCCTTTCATCTTTGTATTGTATTAGCAACTGACAGTACTCAAGTGAGCTTCGCCAAGGTTCTTAACTCTCTTTTGCTCGTCCAAGTGCTGATAAGATTCTGCTCTCCCTCCCTGCCCAGCTGCCTGGGTAGAGTGAGGACAACACCTGATCCTACAGAAACATTCAGGTTTGACCGACTCCTAAGAGCTGAAGATTGGCAAAAGTGAACTTAGAGGCACAAAACACAGAGTAGCACACTCTCTGCAAACATTTTCCTCTTGATTGGATAGAACTTGATTCCGCCAGATAAGCGCATTTGGTGAATTCGTTGCTTTCCATGGATCACCATGGGCTTTCCCCCTGACAACCTGAGAATTGATTTTTACACCCTCCAAGAAAAAACTGAAGCCTGAGTATAAGCCAGAGACTGTTCAAACCACTTTACCTAAGCACCTTCAACTATCAATAACAACACTGTCCTTTTCTCACATAGTTAGTCTTGTGTTTGCTACTCAGTTGTCATATTAATCACTTTCACACTGATTAATAATTTTTGTAATTACTTGCTAAAACAATGAAATGTTTGATTTAGAAATAAAACAAAATTATAAGTCAGAATCATCTTTAATGGACAAGTACTGCATATGTTCCATTAAAGCTACCCACTGACATGGCTTTCATTTCATTTTCATTCAATGTTAGAGGCATTAACCAATGAAATTAGACAAATGGAAGAAATGAAAAGTATCATAACTGGCAAAGAGGAGACAAATTTATCACTCTGTTAGGTGAATTGATTTTTTTGGATTGACCCAAAACTTCTAAGAGAATCAAGTGAACGACAATTACAATCAGTACGATAATTCAGTAACGTGTCTTGGTAGAAAATAAATAGCTTTCATGTACTGATACAGAAAAATTCCAAAATTGTCAAATAAAAAAATCAAACAAGACACAGAACATTGTAAAGAGGATATTATCTTTTTAAATTTTAAATTTAAATTTTTATTTTTTCTTCAACTTTTAAGTTCCAGGGTATATGTGCAGGATGTCTAGGTTTATTACATAGGTAAACGTGTGCCATAGTGGTTTGCTGCATGGGTCAGCACAACACCTAGGTGTTAGGTCCAGCATCCATTAGCTATTCTTCCTGATGCTCTCCCTCTTCCCACAACCCTGGACAAGCCCCAGTATGTGTTGTTCCCCCACCATGTGTTCATGTGTTCTTATTTTTCAGCTCCCACTTATAAGGGAGAACATGTGGTGTTTGGTTTTACTGTTCCTGCATTAGTTTGCTGAGGATAATGGCTTCCGGCTCCATCCATGTCTCTGCAAAGAACATGATCTTGTTCCTTTTTATGGCCACATAGTATTCCATGGTGTATATGTACCACATTTTCTTTATCTAATCTATCATTGATAGGCATTTGTATTGATTCCATGTCTTTACTAGATGCTATCTTTTTAAAATAATAAGTATGCATGTGCTGTGTGTGTAAAGTAAGATACATATTTGTATTTGCTTGATTTGTAGAAGACATATACCTGTATGTAGGCCCTTTTTGCAACTTTTCTTTGTAGCCTCAAGACTTCTTACTGTTTTGATTTCCTTGCTCCATTCACATAATTCATGGCCTCATGTAGTAGTTCCTACTTCCTCAAAGCCACTCATCGTTTTTCCATGTTGAAGACCCACTTTAGTTAAGGCCTCGTAACCTCCTTTCTTTGCAGTTGCACTCCTCTATTTGTTGCACCACCAGTTTCTCTCCAAAACAACACATTGCCTAGAATTGAAGACCTTATTCATTCTTTCCAGACCCACCCTTCCCTGATTCCTTATCCATGACAAACTCAACTCCGAAACTTATTGTGTCATGAACTAAACCTTGTACTTCTGCCCCTCCACTCACTTTAATATTTTCCACAATGCCCTCCCCTTGACTTCCCGATTTCTTCCAGACCAAATCACAAGCATCTTTAAATTAATTTCCATGACTACCTACCTCTTCCATGAAGATGTTCCTAACCCCAGCCCACTTCTTTTGGATGGATTATCTTCTTCCTTACAGATATCTCCCCTTAATACTTTCAAAAATAAACCTGGTACCCTTCAGGAGACATTCTGCAGGCACTTGTTTTGTTCTGCAGAAGAGGCTGGAGGCAGGGAATGAAAGGAATTTTTGAAAGAGACACACAATATACACTGAAAGCAGTTGTCTCATGAGGGACACCATCTCATGAGGAGAGGTTGTCTTCTTACTGGTAAGAGATTCTGACCTATGTCTATCGTAGACCTAATTCCAAGCGTGCTTGACTTTTTTATGCTAACATCCTCTTATGCCTTTCTTCTTCCCCACCAGGATGTAACAGTCCCTCCCAAGCCTGTCTCGCTCCATCCTTTATATCAGACTAAACTCTATCCTCCTGCTAAGTCACTGCTGCATCCACAGACCCTCTCACATGCTGACTGTCTTGCCCCAGGACCCTTCAGTCATCTGTCCTTCTCCTTGAGTGATGAACAGGAGAATTCTCACACCCTCCTCAGTCACAACGCATGCAACAAGGTGAGAACTCCTCCCCAAAATGAGGACTATTCTATTCTGTGAACCTTCATTACGCTTGACTTTTAAAACTTAAATGTGGAGGAAACATGTGTTAGGAATATTTAAATATTAAATATCTAAATGTATAAAGAATATTAAATATTTGTGTGAAAGCACATTACCTTATAAGCAGATAATAATTGAACTTGGGAAATAATAAACATTTATATATTTTTCCAAAGTTATTCCCTGATTTGTATTTTTCACTGTTTCATGTTCTAACTCCATGGTGGAAATTCCAAGACATTTTTCAAAACCTCACAAAATGCCATTATTAATTTATATTCTAGTCTTAGTTCAGTGTTCCTAAAAAGCTTCTTTAAATTACAGTGCCTGGTTGAGGAGGCACTTATAATTAGAGTCAATGGGCAAAAAATGACTTAGAATTACTGTGGGTATCTGCAAAATAATATTCACATTTTACTTTAAAATGTACCTGTCTGCTTCACTGTGTATAGTAACGCGATGTGTAAAAAATAATGAAGTGTTTCGTACCTGAAGTGTGTGTGTGCGTGTGTGTGCGTGTGTCTGTCTGTCTGAGTGTGTATGATACAAAACAAGTAAAAAATATTTATAGTTGGCTTTGGAATTGAATCATAAATGTTTTCTAGGAACAAGCAATTAAACTACATGGGGCTTACATATAAGTGCCCTTTGCTCTTCTGATAAGGGCATCCTGGCTAGTACAGATGCTCAGACCCTGAAAATTTCCTAAAATAATTAACTGGTTAAACTTTAATTAAATCTTTTTGTGAAATTCAAAATCCTGTTTAAAAGCATTTATTCTACAAGGTATCTACCTCCAGTTAAATACATCTCTATACTTAGAAATCAATCAAGATCATCTTCCAGAATGTAGTTGGATAATACTTCTTGGAGCCTGAGGCATTTTTAAAGAAAAAAATGTCAATAAACCCTGTCTAAATGCAAACAGTCATCTAAAAGCAAAAACTATAACACTGTTATATAAGGAAAAATTAGATTTTTATATTTAATAGCTTCTATGACAACTGAATGATCAATTTTGATTAAACAAATTTTAAAATATCAGTTTTTTGCCAAAAAATGTTTTTGGGCAACATTCAATATGACATTTTTCTGACCTTTGTTTGTGTCCCATTCTTGGTCTAGAAAATAAGTATATGAGAGAAAATATAATATTTTAAAAATTATTTTATATTATTTGAAATTCTTTCTGATTTAATATTTGCCAACAGCCATGAAATACATTTAGTTATTTGAGTTAATAATTCTGATAATACTATTACCATTTTCTTATAAATTGTCATCTATATGATAAGGTTATGATTTAATTTACAGATATCCGTTACATGATATAGCTCATTGTTTTGATATTTTGAAAGTGTTTTCTGGAACTGTTCAGCAAGGATAGACTATATTTCATCCATATGTCAGTCTTTGTTTGGTTAGGCTGAGAAGAACAAAAGCTGTGTGAAATCAGACAACTATTTTCAGTCCACATAATCCTCATAATAGATTTTGTCTTTCTGAGTGTGAGATTTGTTGATACTGAATAAAGAACCATTCATAACCAAAATAATAATAGTAATAATAATAAGATAGTAATACAACATTTTTAATGGAATGTTCACTTGCTTAGTCTTGAATCTGTATTGCCTTATTAAAGTACATGAATTACCAATTTGATGTCTATGTTTACAAACATTGTTTGTTAGATATTGGGTTAATAGCATACTAATTTATCAGGACTTTTTCTTTTTACTTGAAATAACTTAATGCCTTTAATTGCAAGACATAATCTGTTATTTAATTAACTTTTCTTCAATACGCTAACATGATTCCCAAGTCTGACCTTACAGCTTTGCCTACTGGCCTATCTCCAAACTCAAATCTTCCCATCCTTCCCTCTGGAGAACCATGCTGAACTTGTCTTACCAGTCTTTAGAGTCCCTCTTCAGCTGGGCTACAATAGGTGTTCAACAGGTTGTATTCTTCTTCTGCTGAGTCTGCAGTGTGCACTCTTCTCTTCTAAGTTTTAATCAAACTCCTCATGTCCTAAATCTTCACCTTAATCCCTCCCTTACTTTTTTACTTTCAAGAGGGAACTTTATAACTGGGTGCATCATATCCTATAAGGATGCTCAGGTACTTTCTTTTCATCCTGGAATAAAACAGTACAACTGCCTTCTTCACTGCCTTGCAGCCTCATGAAGGAAGTCATTCCTTTTACTTTCTTTTCTTTTTTTTGTTTTAATTATACTTTAAGTTCTGGGATACATGTGCAGAACATGCCGGTTTGTTACATAGGTGTACATGTGCCACGGTTGTTTGCTGCACCCATCAACCCGTCATCTACATTAGGTATTTCTCCTAATGCTATCCCTCTCCTAGCCCCCCACCCCCCAACAGGCCCCAGTGTGTGATGTTCCCCTCTCTGTGTCCATGTGTTTTCATTGTTCAACTCCCACTTATGAGTGAGAACATGCAGAGTTTGTTTTTCTGTTCCTGTGTTAGTTTGCTGAGAATGATGGTTTCCAGCTTCATCCATGTCCCTGCAGAAGACATGAACTCATCCCTTTTTATGACTGTATAGTATTCCATGGTGTATATGTGCCACATTTTCTTTATCCAGTCTATCATTGATGGGCATTTGGGTTGGTTCCAAGTCTTTGCTATTGTGAATAGTGCTGCAATAAACATATGTGTGCATGTGTCTTTATAGTAGAATGATTTATAATTCTTTGGGTATATACCCAGTAATGGGATTGCTGGATCAAATGGTATTTCTGGATCAAATGGTATTTCTGGTTCTAGATTCTTGAGGAATAGCCTTACTGTCTTCCACAATTGTTGAACTAATTTACACTCCCACCAACAGTGTAAAAGATTTCTTCTCTCTCCAGATCTTCTCCAGCCTCTGTTGTTTCCTGACTTTTTAATGATCACCATTCTAACTGGCATGAGATCGTATCTCATTGTGATTTTGATTTGCATTTCTGTAATGCCCAGTGATGATGAGCTTTTCTTCATATGTTTGTTGGCTGCATAAATGTCTTCTTTTGAGAAGTTTCTGTTCATATCCTTTGCCCACTTTTTGATGGGGTTGTTTGTTTTTTTCTTGTAGATTTATTTAAGTTCCTTGTAGATTCTGGATATTAGCCCTTTGACAGAAGGATAGATTGCAAAAATTCTTTTATCCTTAAAAGTGAGATAGCCCAGCAGGTTAAGAGGATGATGCCTCTAGTTCCTTTGTCTGAGGTTATTTCTTGACCCAACCCTTTTTAGATGGTGATATTGGGCAAGTCATTTAGCCTCTGAATGCCTCCGTTTACTCATTTTTAAAATGAGAATAATAATAGTACCTACCTTATTAGAGTATTATGAAAATAAAATTTACGAATATGCGTAAAAGTGCCTGAAGATAATGAAAAACATATAAAAGTTAGATCTTATTATCACTAAGCTTTCTGGGATTGTCATTCTTACTGCTCTCCAAAATCGTCCATTCTTCTCCATTGGATTCCTCCCCTTTGTATGCAGAAGCCTAAAAAACAAAATAAAACAATACAAAAGGAGCACTTGATCCTTTTCCTTGATGATGCTGCAAATCTATCAGTTTCAAAATTTTCTTTCTCTCAAAGTGGTCAATAGCCACTATCTCCATCCCCTTTCTGCAAACTCACTCTTCAGCCCGTTCTTGAAAGCATTCTGACTTTCACCTCTACCACTCTACTGAAATTGCTCTGTCAAGGGTAAACTGGTTGTCAGCAAATTCAGCTGAATTTCCTGACACAGTTGATCATTTCCTCTTGCATTTCTCTCCTCACTCTGCTCTTGGGATAATATGCACATTCTAACTTTCCGACTGCTCCTTCTTTGCTTTCTTTGTGGACACTTCTTGCTCCTCTACCTCTTCTTTCTAATTGCCTCACTTCAGCTATTTACCCACTCACAGGCCTTAGTGATTATCTTAGTACTGATAAGTCTCAAATCTACACTTCCCATTCTGCTTCTCCACTGAGATTCAGTTTCGTATCTTTAGCTGCTTGCTTATCATTTCCCCTAGGATGTCATGTTGTCACCTCAAACTCATCATTCATTTTGTCTCAAACTAGTTCTGCACTGGCTTTTCTACTTCTGTGATGAAAATCACAATTCTCAGTCCCCAAACTCAAAACTTGATTCATCTGTTATGCTTTATGCTTTTTCTGCTTTGTCCTTATATTGAGTCATTCACCAAGTTGAATGCGTTCTTATATTTTCTCACACTAGTCTTTATTATTATTCTTTTACTTTACTTAAACTGATTTTCTTATTTTCCTCTAGGCACACCTTGGAAATTCCTTACTGTTCTACTTGTTCATGCATTTTCCCATATAAAATACTCTTCTATGTTCTCCTTGCTTACACAAACCATTCTTGTACTTTAAGTCCAAGTTAAATTATCCCTCCTCTTTTGTGACATTTCTCCATGCATCAGTACTCAAAATGATTTGTTTTCTCCTTTCAATTTCTATACTCTTTTCCTGTGCCAAGGCATCTCATGCATATTATAGGTCATCTTGTATTTATTTGTTGTGCTTGTCTTGGTGTTTATCTAGGGTGTGACATAATATGCTATTTCCCACTGTATAGGCAAGGTAGTAAAGATCTATTAATGATGAACAATTTCTACAACTACCTAACTTTTTCACTAGGAGCCCCAGATGCTTGAATTATTATGATTATTTCTATTTCAAGTAAAGACTAAATCTGAGTCAACTTATGGATTTACCAGTTTGTTTAGAATAATGTCACTCAGTTGAGGATATTTCTTTTATTGAAGGCTATATCCAGTTTCCACAGATCTGATGGAGTGTGTTGGGAACATAGGTAGGGTGGGGTTGTGGAGGCAGGGGGCATCTGACCTTCTCTTGTGGTGTTCTCATTCCTTTCTGTTATATAACCATGAGCCATATAATACATGGTTACATCCTTTTTTCTTCACTAGCATGGCATGTCCTTATCAACTGTAGGTCAGTTACTTTTGTGCCCCTACAGCTTACATGGGAGAACATTATTACCTGCTTGCTGGGAGCAAGGTGAACTTTGTGAAGCTATCTCAGAACCATTCTCTTGGATGCCCTACATATCTTTCTCTGTTCTGTTCATGTCCCCTTTGCCATAGGGAACTCCAAAACCATCCGTATTTGTGAGTTCATCTACTCACTAAAATTTATTTGTAACCCCAAATCAGCACTCATTGTGTTTGCTCTTCTAGTCATTTGTGGACATTCACAGAACAGGGAGAAATTCGAATCCTCTATGTTCCCAGCTCAGGTTGAACAAGGCAATGCCCTGCTTTCTTGCTGTCATGCTGTAAACAATTGTCCTTTTTAAAAGCCAGGTGCGGTGGCTCACGCCTGTAATCCCAGCACTTTGGGAGGCCAAGGCGGCTGGATCACCTGAGGTCAGGAGTTGGAGACCAGCCTGGCCAACATGGTGAAACCACGTCTCTACTAAAAATACAAAAGATTAGCCAGGTGTGGTGTGGCACACCTGTAATCCCAGCTACTCAAGAGGCTGAGGCAGGAGAATTGCTTGAACCCCGGAGGCGGAGGTTGCAGTGAGCCGAGATCACTCCATTATACTCCAGCCTGGGCAATAAGAGCGAAACTCAGTCTAAAAGAAAAAAAAAAATTGTCCTTTTTGCATTCTCTCTGGTATCATGTTTTTGTTTGCATCTCTGTGTGTTTTGTTGGTAATTTTGCTGTTTAAAATGGCCCCTAAGCATAGTGTTGAAGGGCTTTCTAATGTTCCTATGCTCAAGAAGGCTATGATGTGTCTTAAAAGAGAAAATAAGTATGTTAGGTAAGCTACTCTTATGCTTGAGTTATAGTGCTGTTGGCCATGAGTTTGGTGCTAATGAATTAATAATATATTAAATATGTGTCTTTAAACAGTAAACAACCATAAAACAGGTTATTTATTGATTGGTTGATGAAAATGTAACCAGAGACTTGCAATAACCTAATCCAGGTTTTCCCCAGGAGAAATGGTTTAGTATTCACGAATTCCATGCTCATGGAGGCTTTAAGGACATAACTGCTGTGAATAATCAATAATGAGGGTGATTGTACCTTTGTTTGGTTTTCTCTGAGAAGACCGTCACTTATGAGTAGTTATTTTGGGAGGTGGTTCCAGGAAATGCCTGTTAGGGGAGTGGGGACTGAGACAAGGAGGAGAGGCATCTGGTAAAGGGTGTGTGAGCAAGCAGATGACCACTGTGGGGAACTGGAGCTTCATATGGCTGGGGAACTCTGGGAGCTGCTGTAGGGACACACAGCTCAGAGCCCTGCTTTCTGAGGGGTGGAGGAGGGAAATTCTGGCAGTCATTAGTTGAGGAGAGGGGGTGGGGCAGCATCAATCCCCAGAAAGAGCCCTGAGGCAAAGAAAAGTAGAAACAGGTAGTTTGAAGTTCAGAGGATGGTTGCTGCTTAAACGTTAAGGACTGAGAAGGTATATGTGGCTCAATGACTTATATTGTATGTATCTGTACAAACATATATACATATATATTCATGAAATTTTATGTTTATGATCTAATTTTGAAGTCCAGGCTCCTGCAGATCAAAACTTTGGCTGTTAAAACTTAAGGTGGCTCATGCCTGTAATCCCAACACTTTGAGAAGCCAAGGTGGGAGGATTGCTTAAGCCCAGGAGCCAGAGACCAGCCTGGACGACATAGGGAGACTGTCTCTAAAAAAAAAAAAAAAAAAAAAATTAGCTGGGCATGGTTTCGTGCACCTGTGGTCCCAGCTACTCAGGAGGCTGAGGTGGGAGGATTGTTTGAGCCCAGGAAGTCAAGGCTGCACTGAACCGTGATTGTGTCACTGCATTCTCGGCTGTGCAACAAAGTGAGACCCTGTCACAAAAGCAAACAAAAACAAAATAAAAGTCTTCAGGATATTTTCTTTATTTTTGATATATTATGCTTTGGACTATGTATATTGCTGAAACAAGAAAGGGTACAGAAGAAAGATGTGTCTGTGTGTGTGGGTTAATATTTTAAAATTGTATCTAATCTACTATAGTCATTTTGTCCATTTTTCCCCCATTTTACAATGCATTTAAATTATTTTTTTATCTTTGAAGGTAGCAAAGTACCATGTACAACACACCTGTTTATGTCTAGATTAAGGCCTACTGGAGTCCATTTTCTATTTTTAAAAATTCAGCTCATTTAGAAAAATAATATTCTTCCTAGGCACCATAAGTATGTGGCACATGTGTCTCAGCTTACTTACCTGGCCCTAAGGTGAGAAAACTAACACACACATAAAGTATCTAAGCTTATCACTGTCCATAACTTTTCTTCTTTCCTCCATTCACCCCTTCTCATTTCTTCTATCTTCTACTCTCATAATTTCCAAGGTAAACCTCTCTTTTTAAGTCACCCTAAAATTCCAATTCTTCTGGCCTACTTTCAGTATTCCCACTTAATTACTCAGTTTTATGCACTTTGTTCTCTTCTTATTCCAACTACATTTTCTCCCTTTTATTTAGCATAACTACAAGCCATGTAGACAGGAAGTTATCACTTATTGTTTTCTCCCTTGAGTCTCTACTCTGCCAAGTTTGCACCAGCAAACAAACGAGAAACACATGGCCAGTCTGTGAATAGAAACTAGAGGAGTGAGGACTAAGCCTTCACAGTCAGGATGACTTTTCTGATCTGTTGGCAGAAGCAAGGCTGAGATTTCCTAAGCAAGAAGGCTCTATTTACAGTGAAAACTTGAGAGGTTTTACAAGCAAAAATAGGATCTTTATAGGCAGAGAGACAGCTTTAAAGCCCCAGGAGAAAATTCACAGCCATCCTTGAGGATATTTTTTCTTTCATTTAAAAAAAAATTATTTCATGCCAAGTTTGTGACAGTGGAGCCATTTTATTTCACTTTTAGTTTTCTAAAAATGCATGATCTTTGTGTGTTGTTTGTAACCATACACTATTTTATTTCAAGTCTGCTTCTGTCTCATGAAAGAGGTAAATAAGTATGGCAGATTTCTTCACATGTACTATGGATTCTCCCCTTTCTTCCACTGCTGTTAAATCCTATTGTAAGTTTTTATGCAAGGGCTAGTTCTAGATTTCTCTAGCCTTTCCATTTGCATATTTCAGTATTTATATCTGGAGTAGTCTCTTAAAAAATCTCTACCACTATAGCTTTCACTTCATAGCCAGAGCAGACTATTCATCTCCTACCTCTCCATTCGTCTTGCCCAGAACCCCTCATAGCCTGAACACTCTCACTCGCAGACCCCAGGCTGTTGTCATTGCTCAAGGTCAGGGCATGACCTTTAAGATCTCTCACATAGACAGGAAAATGTATACTCCTATGTAGATGATCATGTGTTCTGATCAGTCTGGGCCATTTAAACATATATATATAATATATATATATATAATATATATATACACACACACATACACATATATGAATAGAAACATTATATATGTATACAATGTTTTGTTCTATTTTTTGAAGAATTTTATTTTTTAAATAGTTTTGAGGCTGGGTGTGGTGGCTCATGCCTGTAATCCTAGCACTTTGGGAGGCTGAGGTATGCCGATCATTTGAGGTCAGGAGTTCAAGACCAGCCTGACCAACATCCAACGTGGTGAAACCCCATCTCTACTAAAAATACAAAAAAAAAAAAAATTAGCTGGGCATGGTGACACATGCCTGTAGTCCCAGCTACTAGGGAGGCTGAGGCAGGAGAATCACTTGAACCCAGGAGGTGGAGGTTGCAGTGAGGCAGGATTGCACTACTGCACTCCAGTCTGGGTGACAGAGCAAGATTCTGTCTAAAAATAAAAAATAAAAAATAAAATAAAATAAAATAAAGTGTTTTGAAAATAAATATTTATGTCTACCACTATAATAAACCCTTCCAGTCAATAAATATTTTTAAAATTATATGATTTCAATATTTTTAGTGCCCCTCTGTTTATCAGAAGTATCCTGTTTAATCAGTAAGCATAAAGTCACTCTACTTATAGTGAAATGCAAGTTAAAATTCGTCTGCAGAGTCTATTTGTAATGAGGCATCAGTTGCTGTATTTATTTTGCAGAATCAATGAATTGTTGTATGCCTATACTTGAAAAAGTAATTCAAACTCTTGCTTTAACTTTCTTACCTGTGAAGTGACAAACAACAACAACAACGAAATAGAATCACTATTATAGAATTGTTACCAGGATCAAGTGATATATGAAAGTAAAACTGTCACATTCCAACTTCAGTATTCAGCTTTATACATTTTTTAGCATCTAGCTACTATAATAGAATTTTGGTGCTGGAGTGAAGAAACAATCCATCAGTATAACTCCTAGGCCATTACTCTCATCTTAAATACCTTTTTACTTTTATTACGGCCTATTTTTCTATTGCTTTCTGATTTATTCACATATGTATTTCCTTTAATTCCCATTTGTCACTCTTCTTTCCTTTCTGCCCCCAGAGAAATATTCTAAACTATGTGATGTGTATGTTTGTGCATTTTCTTTCAAAAGTTGCAGTGTTATTTTGTGTGCATATGACATAATTTACGTAAATGTTATTGTGCCACACATTTCACTCTCTTCCTGCGGGTTTCTGTCTCTTCAGCTGTAATAGTAGGACATTTAGTTCGGTTTCAAAACCCTAACTTTAGGACTCAGATTGGGCTGTTTGCTTCAGAATTATCTGGGGAGCTTTAGAAAAGTGCAGATTCCTGGCCGGGCACCGTGGCTCACGCCTGTAATCCCAGCACTTTGGGAGGCTGAGGCAGGCGGATCACGAGGTCTGGAGTTCCAGACCATCCTGGCCAACATGGTGAAACCCCATCTCTACTAAAAATAGAAAAAATGAGCTGGGCGTGGTGGCACGCACCTGTAGTCCCAGCTACTCGAGAGGCTGAGGCGGGAGAATCGCTTGAACCCAGGAGGTGGAGGTTGCAGTGAGCCCAAATCGCGCCACTGCACTCCAGCCTGGCGACAGAGTGAGACTCCGTCTCAAAAAATAAAAAAAAATCAAAAGAAAAAAGCAGATTCCTAAGCCTACTTACAACTTAAAAAATTTAGAAATCCCAAGAACCGGGCGACCTCAAAGTTTTTACCTCATAGAAAACACTATGCTTCCCCTGTAATAACAGACGTTTCTTTTTTTTTGCCTTTTAAATTCTCTAATGATTCAGCAAGAAAATGAACTTTCTTATGAAAAACTTTAAAAGAAAAATTATATTGGCATGTTTATAAGTACTAGATTATAATTATTTTTTCCTCATATAACTCCTAGTAAGTAAAAGGAAACACAACTGTTAAATTAAATATATATGGAGAGAGTGTATGTATATATACTATAATATAGTATATACTGTAACCTATCTAGTATATTAGCTTAGGATTTTTTTATTAGAATAAGTTATGAAATATTGGGTTTAGCTGTTAATCAAAATTGTCCCCATGTGCTTGTAATGTTTACAATTGGGCCTGAGTGTTTACACATTCAGTATTCATAGACTTACTGAATCAGAAGGTGTATAACTTTTTCTGGTATGCTACTTCAGCTATTAAAAGTCCTTTCTCATTGAAAAAATACCATAGCCACCAACATGTACTTTCTTATGATTTCCTTTTTTAAAAAATTAAAGTGCCCTTTTCATAAAGATATTTTAAATTATAGCAATTATTTATATTAGAACTATGTTTTTGCTAAAAAAGATGAAGCATTTACTTATAATACATTTTACCTTTATGATATGTCAACACAATATTTACTGATCTTTTTTCTTAGCCTTTTTTCTAAGCAGCTGCTCTTGAGATTGTAGATTAAGAATAAAGAAGGAATATAACTTGTCTGAAATGAAAAAGGGGGATGAGAGTGAGCAAATAGATGTATTTTCAGTTCAATTATTTGCGTTATTTCTGTCTTCTCTATGTAAAGAATCACTCCACTTATAATAAGGCAAGGGAGAATCATCTATTAGAATAGTGAGGGAGCCTACCTAGCAAAATGTATTCTGAATGAGAAATACACATATAGGAAATAGGAGAAATGAAAAACAATAGCAATAGAGAGCTAACTCCTTTTGTTTCCCCATCATAGAGGATTAGGGGTTGGCATACCTAGTCTGGAACCTCTGGTGAGTTTTCATGGCGGTCTGATGTTGTGTGAATGACATAGGAGGACAGAGAAAGGAAAGAAACTTTCATGTCCAGAGTGGGTAGGTGGGAGAGGCCCCTTCACAAGCTGGCTTTAGCCTGCTTCTTAGGCCATGAGCATTCTTTTCTTAAACTCCTTGGATATTTCACCCTGTAAACATTGAAGGTTGACTTTCCTTGTTCATTTCTTCTTCTACTTATTTATTTTCAAATTTAGTACGTGTGTAACGTTTATATTGGTAACGTTATTGAGAGCATGTAAATTGGTATTATCATTGCATTGCTACTCAGAGAATTGACCTTGTAAATCTGCAGAAATCCAATAAAAACTAAAATATTAATATTATAGTCATATATTCAAGCATGGGTTGATTTTTTTTGGTAGCTCCTCTGAAATATTTTTTGCCAGAGGTTTCTTCTGATATTTTAACAAAGATCAATCAACAAGAGTTAATAGAGATTATGACTTATCTGGAGAAAGGAAAATCAGAAGTAATTCTAACCTTCCCCTACTGCTTCAAAGGCTGAGAGGGCTTTGAAATAACAATTTATTTTTCTAATATATGCTGTAAATATTTAAATCTAAAGATGTGAAAAATCTTTTATGAGTATATGTTAAGAATAAAGGAACAGCTCTTTGAGATAAGCAGTCTACAATTGTACATAGCTTCAAAATTAGAAAAATGAACATTAAGTGATTTGGTTCAAGGTTACCAAAACCTTGACTAATTTCTTACTAAAAACAAAAAGCATAGACTTTGCAACCTTTTTGTTCCAACATAAAGTCTAGGAACTCAGGAGTCTGGAAGTTGACAAAACACATTTATTCATTTCCTAAAGATGTATTGAATATCTGTTAGGTGCAAAGCACTGTGTTTGTGCTGGCCATGCACTGGAAAGCCAGCAGACAGAGACATGGGGGCCTTTTCCAAGTCCTTATTTTCTACATAGGGAAAACAGAAATTAAAGAAGAAAAAAATTCAATACTTAGTGATAACTGTCACAACTGCCATGCAAAAGACATTTGGGCAGGTATGAGTATATATACCAGAGGTCCTGATCCAGTCTGATGAATCAGGAAAGACTTAATGAGAAAATGGTGTTGAATCTGAGGCCTGAAAAGAAGTGAAGGCTGGGAGTGGACTGGGCATTCCAGCTAGAGGGGGCAGCAAGCATAGACATACAGAAAAGGAACAGAGCAAACTTGAGAAAACGAAAGCAGGCCAGAGCATTGAAGAAGCAACTGGAATCAGAAACTATAATGTGAAGTTAGCATCAATTAAGATTACTAGATAGCTTCCACCTTCCTGAACATAATGAGTTATCTGAACTGGGGGGAAAAAGCAGGGAGTGAGTTGAGAAGTCACTGAAATTTTATAAGGAACATATTTAGAAAAAGTAGACAACATTCCACTTACTTCACATGCAGCATTTTATTTAGATTTTAAAACAATCATAAAGTAGGGTTTATTTTTTCTTTTACATATGAAGAAACTGAGGCTCAGAAAGTATATATAATTTGTACAAAATTTTGCAGAACAGCTTAAAAGCTGATGCTTGATTAATTTTCTTTGAGATATCTCCCTAACGTCTATCAATAAAGTGGCATTACCACTTTCACCATCACCACCACCCGGGAATCACGCACAGGCTTCCGTTTGGTCAAACCCAGCACCATATATGTAAATCAGGTCTAGAACTAATTGCTGAGGCCATCTGACTTCCTTCAGTCTACAGATAAGAAAACTGAAGCCCAAAGATGCAAAGTGACATACCCAAGGCCATGGCATGAGTTACTGGCAGAGCCTGGGCTTATGAATTCCACAATACTTTTCACATTTCATCTCCAGGCACCAACATTCTTTTGGCAGAACTTTCCACTTTGCAAAGGTTAGTGGCTAACAGAACCACTAAACATCTAGTACTCTGACAAAATTGTACTGAGGTAGCCACATTTATTGAAAAAAGTCATCTTGAATTTTGGAGGCAAAAACATCCCTCAAACCTCTTCATTAATAATGTTTATGTTCTAACTTTATGTATGATTAGAAATCCGTGTGAATAAACCAGGTAATTTATTTTCAATCATCATAGAAATAAACAGCTTTACTCTCAATTCTAAAACTTTTCTGACAAGTTTTTAAAGATAATGGAGATTAGATAGCTATCGAGATGATTAAAATATAAAATATTTGAGATTGTTGGAATTGGAAAAAAGACTTTATCAAATATAAAATGGGTTTTTAAAAATGTTTTAAGATTTTTCAGGAAGTCAAAACATGTACACTATTTGACGATGCCAAATTGTTTTCAAAACGAATGAATGTGTTTAATTCATTCACAAAGAAGCTTCTGTTCAAAATGACTAAATGCAAATTAATTTGACTTTTAACATTAAAAAATGAATGTCAATGAGCAGATATTTTAAGAGAAGTGGTTTTGCAAAATGAATTATCAATCATTTTTAGCTAGGTTCTCCACTAGAGGGCAAAAAGAGCATTTCAACAGAATACATGCCTTAATGACAGGCTGGAATTTGAAACTGGGCATGCTTCTGTTTATCTAATTACCAGTCTTAAAGTGTACTTAATTAATCATAAAACAGTTGGCTTTTAAATTTTTTCCAGGAAACTGAGAACAATCAATTTCTTTTTCTTATTTCTCTTTTTGGCTTAATCTTAGTAGCAAGAACACCTGCCCCAAGCTCATGTGTTGTCTGCCATTGGACATATAGTATCTAGCTGGAATTTTTCATTGTAACATTTTTAAATAAAATCATTCAAGAAATTAGGAATTTGGTAATTGGAAAGAGATGTATGGCTGCAGGTAGGCAGGATAACAGTTTTATACTTTGAGAAACATGATTTTTAAAGCTCTTGTAAAATAACATGCTGGCCTTTGGAATTTACTGACTATGCTTGTATTTTATGGACAGAGAGAAAATAAACTGCCATCCATTTGCACCTTGTTCTGATGGAGACACTAAGGGATAATGAACTCTCTATTTCACCACACACATCAGCCACCTGTCCCTTCTCCTTCGTGTGATATGTTAAATCAGGTTCCTTAAAAGCAGATCCTGAGACAGCGGTTCAGATATTGGTGATTTATTGAGGGAGGGTTCTTCAGAAAAGCTTCCTGTAAAGAAGGGAGTGAATTCAAATTGAGAGGGGCAAAGAGCTGAGCAAATGTGACTTCAGTTCAAGGCCAGCCTTGACTTAATTCATAGGGAGAAGGCTCTAGAGAATAAATTGCAGAGTTATCCACACCTGATGCAAAGGAGCTACCCTTTTATGCCCTTTACCAGTCAGCCATTGGCTGTGGGCACTAGGATGAGAGAGAGTCGAGTAACTCAGGGTTAGGACAATAGTCTTAGCTGAGTGAATGCGCAGTAGAAGGAGGCAGCTATGAGCCATGCATTATTAACCCTGAAATGTAATGAAAACCAGGATAGAAGCATTTTATCTTTGCAAATTGAGTTTTTAAAATATATATTTTGTCTACCTTTGAACATAATTGCTTGTCTAACCTTCTTGAAAAGCTATTGTTTTTTTAAAAAAGTTTCTTTAGGTTGCACCACATGAAACTGCCATTATTCAATAGCTTTTTACCTACACAAATATCAATTTTATCAGTTTCATATAGTTCAACCTAGTTGTCTCATTGCCGTAATGTATTTTGTGATCCTTTTACTTATCCCATGCAACAAAATCTATTTTAATTATGTAATATTTGCACAGCCAAGGAGTCTCCTATTTTGAAACTTCAGGGCAAAATTTTTCTATGTTGCTTTATCTTGCTTAATGTGACCACTGTTTTACTCCTTTCACCAAAATATGAGCATAAAATTTTTTCAGATTGCTAAATTTGTTGAAGTTTACCAATGTGTGACTAATGAAAGCACAACTCAGACATTTAACTTACAGCCATCAAATAATGATACTCATTCGCCTTCATATAAGCCATATGTTCCATAAGTTCTGTGAATCAAATGGAAATCTCTTTTGGGGAACAAGAATATGACTGTGAGGGTGGGCCCTTCCTCAGGTTTTATAAAAATATTTATTTAGCCACCATTAGACATCAAACACTTTCTTAGCTTTATGAAGGCATTCAAATGAAGTGTAAGACCACGACTTGCTTTCAAAGCATTAGAAGTCCAACACTGGAAAATCTTAATACTTTGAGGCTCTATTTTTAGGAATATATGTTTATGATAGTCATATTTTCTGGTTCATTGATTTTATTACCAGTATATAATATCTTTTTTTCTGTCCCTTATAGCATTTCTTCTTGAATTCCATTTTTAAGATAATAAAATTACTATTTTTAGTTTGGTTCATATTGGAGAGACAAATCTTTTTCCTACTTTGGTTTTCAAATTTGTATGACTTTTATTTGTGTGTATGTCTCTTGTTGTCCAGATATTTTCTGATCTTGATTTTTTTATCTTGAGACATTTCTCTTAATACCTGAGATTATCTCGCTACATAACCTTAATTCTACCATATTATCACATTTTTCATAACTTATCTGTTATTTCTGCTTTTCAGTTTTTTATTGGAAAGGTGTAGTTTTAATTTACTGGTTTAAAATGTATTTAACCTTGTTTTGCTGTTGATGGTCCTTAACTTAAGGTCTGTATTCGTATTTATATCCTTGTATTGATATCTGTATCTTCTTCTAGTAAGACAAGTCCATTTGGTCCCTTCCATTGCCTCCCATCACATAGATAGTGTTCAATTCTAGGTGTTTATTTCTGACATATTATGGTTATAGTTTCTCTCTTTTTCATAGTAATTCATGGTTTGTTCTGTTTTATTTTTACGGCAGCAACACACTTAATCAGATTGCTTTATTACCCTTTCTTCCCATATTTCCTGTAGCATCCTCCTGTATGTCTTTCTCTTTTTATTTAAGTCCTTGACCCAAGAAAGTTTTTAAGACAGGTTTTTATTTAGCAAATATTCCAAGGCCTTGAATGCCTGAGAATATATTTTAATCATCCCATATTTGAATGAACTTTTAACAGTTTATAAAATCCCAGGTGATATCGTAGGCAAATTTGGCAGTACTATGAACATTTTTCTTCTCATTCTCAAAAGATCTCACTCTGGGATGGCTGAAACTGACTGACAGTGGAGAGTTTTCTTTAAGGGCTTCTTAGCGATCAGTAAATACCTCATTTATTTTATCCTTTGAAGTTTGAATAAAAAACCATCATAGCTGTTAGTTTGTGGTTCTAGCAAGAACATAGCTGGAAGTAAAAGAAGACAGATTCTCCAGAAGGAAGATTTTAGACTCCATCAGTTGGCTCAGGAATGGCCACAATCTAAGACCAAGTTAGAGTGCCTGACAGGACCATATAGTCAGACCATGTAGGGCAAGAAGCGGAGGTGGAAGGAAAACACTGGGTGTACTGACAGTTTAAAGGCATTAAACATAAAGGAGATGGTAAAAGGGTCAGAAAAAGCTTACACAACTTTGAAGTGTAGTTTGAAATAATGCATAGGAAGGTGTGGGAATGGAGGAATGTGGCCCAATGCCAGGAAGATGGGTCTGGCAGGCACCATATAGAAAGAAGCCCTTCTGTTACCTATAGACATACAGTCCTTAGCTCATCTGCCTGCCAACCAACCACATACCCTCTCCCTCCTCAACCAACTCTTGGCCCCCACATCCTTAGTGATGCTCTTGGGGGTGTACTGCTAGAGGAGAGTGGAATGGGATCTGGTACGGGGTCTAAGGTGAGAGGGGATGGCTTGACCCTATCACAGTCATACCTATTTATTTTCTTAAATACTCTTCCAAATCCTTGCAACACATCAATTGACATCTGTTGATATTACACCTGGGATCTGGGATAGATTTCCTGCAACTTAGAGGTAACTGGTGGCAAATTAGGAAGACCTTGGATGGGATTAACGCAGGGGCAGGATTCCAAAAACATTTATGGAACTCGGGAATATTAATACACAGCTGTTTATATTCTATTTTATGTCACACTGGAATAAGAGGTACAATATTCCTTATAATCTATAGAAGATAAAAAACAGAGAGAGAAAAATATTCCACCAATATTTTATTTTGTGAAGAAATAGACATTTGATTTATGATTGTACTAGACTGGTATGATATTGAAAACAATTGAAAATGATGTTTTGCCTGTAGTACTAAGTAATGAAGTGTTCTCTTAAAGGATAGACAAAAAGAACAACAAATATGCTTCCTTGTCAATTCCAATTTCAACTTCTGGAATTTGTTTTGAGAACTGAAATGGTGTTAGAATACATGTTTTACTCTGTTTTCATTATAACCTGGGAGCTGTGCACTGAAAAAAGTGAATGGTGTAGTTAATCCCCTTAGGGAAGTGGTTTTCTAGTTGAGAAAGAAACAACTCTAGATGAAAAATGTAAGTCAACAATAGGATGTGGTATTTGTTTTTAAATAGGCTGGACATACAATAATGAGCAGACAAAAATTCCCTTACACTGATGTCTAGAAGGTGGTCTTTGGAAGAAGAAATTCTAACATGCCTTAAGTCTTTATCTCTTGGGATGGAAGAGGAAAGGCCAAGAATAAAAATAGCATAATTTAGGAGTTTTCCGTCATATTTCAGATCTATTACAAAGATCAGGACAGAAAATTCCTATGTTTTCTTATTAGTATTCTTAGAATTGAGACTCCAATATAACAATATTAATGACCAATATTCAGTAGTGAGTGTTTGGTGGGCTTACGAAACAATTAACATGCATTTCAACAGAATATACCAACCAACATGTATTATCAAGTGAATATATAATAACCAAGGGAGTACACAAAAGAATGTAGTGAAACTTAATAGTTTGTAACAGTTCATACAAGGAATAAATAAGCAGAACTAAGAACCGATATTAAGGATTCCAGTTAAGATTGGGGAGTTCATTTTACCATCCCCATCAGCATAACTTCTACCTCAGCTATGGCTCAGTGCAGGAGATGCCATAAAGAAGACCTTTATTTCTGAGGTAGCATCAGTTATCAATCAATAGATTTTTTTGCTTAAGCATCATGGAACCAATGAATTATCCAAGTAAAAGAGGAACTGAAACTCATCTATTTAGGGCCCAGACTTTAAAGATGAAAACCTAAAGCCCAGACACAAAGTGATTTTCCCCAGGTCACAAAGGGAATTAATTAGATAGACAAACTTGGGAACCTTTGGGCATTACCACAAATATATGCTCTACTTTTGAATTCTAAAAATAAATATTTAAATCCTAAAAATAAATATTAATAAATGTTGTAATATATTTTTGATATTTGGCCTAATACAGATTAAATCTTTAAGACATATAGCTAATTCTTTTTTTTTGATATGAGAGGCATATTTCTATCGAGAGGAGCTTTTTCCACATAGCATGTATTATCCACAGACCTCAATAAAGAAAAAACTCAGAGCATTGCCTATGTTTTATTCCAGGGTATAGAATTGTGAGCAGTAAAACCAATCAACTAGTGTTTGGTGCACAACTGCTAGGATATGATGAGACCTATTCTCAAGCAGCTTGCAGTCTTTTGGGGAAATGTCTTTGGGGAAATGAGGAACACACACACACACACACACACACATATATATATATACACACACACATATATATACACATGTATACACGTGTGTGTATATATATGTTTATTTACTTTTATTTTAAGTTTGGGGGTCCATTTGCAGGTTTGTTACATAGGTAAATGTACGTTAAGGGGATTTGTCATACAGATTATTTCCTTAGCCAGGTATTAAGCCTAGTATTCATTAGTTGTTTTTCCTGACTGTCTTCATCCTCCCACCCTCCACCCTCTGACAGGCCCCAGTGTCTGTTCCCTTTTATGTGTCCATGTGCTCTCATCATTTAGCTCCCACTTACAAGTGAGAACATGCAGTATTTGGTTGTCTGTTCCTGTGTTATTTCACTAAGGATGATGCGTCCAACAATCACATGATAAAAAGCCCAGCATCACTGATCATTAGAGAAATGCAAATCAAAACCACAATGAGATACCATCTCATACCAGTCAGAATGGGTATTATTAAAAAGTCAAAAAATAACAGATGCTGGCGAGGTCATGGAGAAAAAGAAACACTTATACACTGTTGGTGGGAGTGCAAATTAGTTCGACCATGTGGAAGACAGTGTGGAAATTCCTCAAAGACCTAGAGACACAAATATCTTTTGACCCAGTAACCTTATTACTGGGTATTTACCCAAAGGAATATAAATCATTCTATTATAAAGACACATGCATGTGTATGATCACTGCAGCACTATTCACAATAGCAAAGACATGGAATTAACCCAAATGCCCATCAATGATAGACTGGATGAAGAAAATGTGGTACAGATACACCATGGAATACTACACAGTCATAAAAAGGAATGAGATCATGTCCTTTGCAGGAAAACTCATATTTAACAGTGTTCATTCATTTAATAAGCACTTTCAAGGGCTTACAGATGACACTGAAGTGAAGTTGATGCATACAAATTCCTCATAGTAATTCTCTGTCCTCAGTTTCTGACATCTCTCTCACTCATTTTACCCATCCACCTGAATTTTCTCCCTATTTTTCAACCAGCCCAATTGTGAGTAATTTCTTCTCAGGGACTAATTCCATATTCACTCATCATGCTTCTTATTCCTATGAGGTAGCATCCCTGAAATTTCAGCCTCTGGGAAAAATATGCCTTCATCCTTTTAGTTTAGGTTAGATTCATCTATTATGAACCCTGATAAGACTCAATACTTTTACTTCCTAACACATTATTTTGTGTTTGGACTTATATATTCCTGATTATATAATTACTATCTGTCTCTCCTGCTAGACTGTAGTCTTCAAGGCAGGTGACAACGTCTGTTCACTGATTGTTATATCCTTAACATCTAGCCAAGTGCCTGACCTATTAGCAGGTACTTAATAATCAAATATGTGGTAAATGATCTAACTATACAACTCCAGTGTATCTGAATTGATTAGGACATTTTGAGTATAGTTAATTTTAGTTGGAATAGATAAATATTTGAAACAAATTCATTTCATCAATTTATACAAAGATATTGGCAATGACTTTACTATTCAACCTGTGGTAGCATCAGCACCAGCTGACAGCCTGTCATAAATGCAGAATCTCAGGCCCCTCTCCACAACTACCCTGCCAGAATCTGAAATTTACAAGATTTCCTGGGTTCCTCTAGCACATTGTGATATGTTGTAAATCAGGGATTAAAAACACAAATACTTTATTGGGCTAGGCATATCTCCAAAGTGAATGAAACAAGCCATATATATATATATATATATATATATCTGTCTCTCCATATGAGACAGATAATAATTATATAATCAGGAATATATAGGTACAAACACAGTATATATAATATATAGTATATATAGTAATATAAATATATATTATAGCATATAATATATAATACAAATATATATATTATAACATATAATATATAATACAAATATATATATTATAACATATAATATATAATATAAATATATATTATAACATATAATATAAATATATATTATAACATATGATACATATATATTATAACATATGATATAAATATATATAATAGCATATAATATATAATATAAATATATATTATAACATATAATATATAATATAAATATATATATTATAACAGATAATATAAATATATATATTATAACATATAATATATAATATAAATATATATTATAACATATAATATATAATATAAATATATATTATAACATATAATATATAATATAAATATATATTATAACATATAATATATAATATAAATATATATATTATAACATAATATATAATATAAATATATATATTATAACATAATATATAATATAAATATATATATTATAACATATAATATATAATATAAATATATATATTATAACATATAATATATAATATAAATATATATTATAACATATAATATATAACTATATTATAACATATAATATATAACTATAATATAACATATAATATATAACTATATTATAACATAATATATAACTATAATATATTATAACATATAATATATAACTATATTATAACATATAATATATAAGTATAATATATTATAACATATAATATATAATATAACTATAATATATTATACCATATAATATATAATATAACTATAATATATTATACCATATAATATATAATATAACTATAATATACCATATACTATATAACTATAATATATTATAACATATAATATATAATATAACTATAGTATATTATAACATATAATATATAATATAACTATAGTATATTATAACATATAATATAAATATAATATATTATAACATAATATAAATATAATATATTATAACATATAATATATAATATAGATAATGATAATAAATATAACCTATAACATATTATCATGATATGTATATAATCATGATTATGTACATAATCATGATAATAGGTAACCTCTGACCTCTGGCCTCCTCATAGGAGTGGTGGGGACTATGTTTATATGAGATCTTTAGCTTCATCTAAAAGGCACAGGCTACTGTCCAGAGTCACAAAATTGCAAGGTTAGTGTTGGAAGATCTTTGAACAGTTCAAGAGAAACCAGAAAAACAAACCGGCATGTATGATCTATGGACTTAAACACTGACAATTAAATTTAATTCTTTTTAAAGCAAAAGAAATATGAGGATCAAATAGAACTTACTTGTGTGATAGTTCTACTTGAAGGATCTTCAGTTTTCAAAATCTCATACAAAGGATGTCTTTTAGGCATTCAGTTCATACTTCCTAAGGCCTCACTAACTCAGAATTCTTTAATTTTACAAGTCGGAAAACTGTTTCTTTTCTGTAGCCATCGAATTCTTCCTTTCTTTTATTAATTTATTCATTCAGTGTCTACTCTGTACTGGTTGGGTCCTATGCTAAGTACAGAACAACTAACAACGAGTTAGTTTTAGTTATTTATAATCTATGACTTCCAATGGCATCTAGTCTTGTAATGACAACATTAGACTTATGAAACAGACAGTATTTGATGTGGGTATTGCTGCAATAATTTGTAATGTCGCTTTTGAGGGATGGTCTTGAGAAGGTTATGCTCTGTCTTAGCAGTTCAGAAATCTAAGTGGAGAGACAGAAGCAGAAGGTACAGATGACTGAAGACAAATGGTGTGAAGGAGGTTGACAAGAGGATGTGGTTGAACATAAAAGCAATCCTAAAGAAGTGAATTCTGGATGGAATGTATGGCACCCATGGTGATTTTAAAATGTTAAAACTTCCCGTAACACTCCCTCAGCTTCACAATTTCGGGCAGTCCAGAAAACATACTTTATCTCCACTCAAAAAGAGAGAACTGTTTCACAAAAGCTAAAGCTCTAAATTTCATGTCTTGTGTACATTAAAGACTTAATTAACTGATTTAACCACATTTTGCCTATTTTTTTTCTAGTTGTTACATTTTCATTTCTTCAGTTGGTGTGAGGGGATTTTATCTCTTTGTGAGTGTGGTTTATATTACCTTGGAAGAGGCAGTGATATTTTTGAGCATGCTAGTGACAAACACTTCACAAGGCTTTATGTTAGTTTGGTGGCAGCTGTGACCAAAAGTGTAATAAAAATCAACTGAATGTTTTATTCAAATGTGTTTATCCAACAGTGGTGAGTGAACAAAGGTTGGGTTAATCTGTTATACAATATCTAGGACTGGATTTTCTATCCAGGATGAAAAGCGTGCTTTGTCTCAATTCTCTTGAATTTTCCATTTCATTTATCTTTCCATGTTAAATAATGCTCTCATGTTAATATCAGTAACTTTTTAGTTATTTTTTTCTTTGAGGCAACATAGTAGTTTGTTTTCCACAGTGTTTACCATCAAGTATGCCAGCTTGGATGACTCTCTCTGTCCTGTAATATTAATCTACTCTCTGCATAGCAAGCCATTCACCTACGTAGAACTTGTTTTTTTGCTGTTTTTTTTTTTTTTTTACGTGGAGTGTTGCTCTGTCACCCAGGCTAGAGTGCAGTGGCGTGATCTTGGCTCACTGCAATCTCCACCTCCCGGGTTCAAGCAATTCTCCTGCCTCAGCCTCCTGAGTAGCTGGGACTGCAGACGCACACCACCATGCCCAGCTAATTTTTGTATTTTTAGTAGAGATGGGGTTTTACCATGTTGGCCAGGCTGGTTTCAAACTCCTGATCTTGTGATCCACCCGCCTAGGCCTCCCAAAGTGCTGGGATTACAGGTGTGAGCCACCACACCCAGTCAGTACTTGTTTTAATGCTTAGTTTCACTGTTTCCATTCTGACTGGCAAAATTTTCATACTGTGTGTTATTGTCCTCCCCATTTGACATCTCTAGTCCTCATGCATTACAAAGCCTCTGCAGTTGGCAGAGGTTTTAGCATTCAACATTTCTCTCTGTTCCCAGTTTTTCTTCCTTAATCAACAAAATAGCAACATATCTACCCTCTGCTTCTTTGCTCATCCTGGAAAGTAGGAAGGCTAGAGTTACCCAGAAAACTTGAGTCTATTGTATTTTCTGAGATCATATTTTTATTAGAATCTTCTTTTTTTTTCTCCCTCCCTTCCTTCCTTCCTTCCTTCCTTCCCTTCCTCCCTCCCTTCCCCCCCCACTTTCCTGCCCTGCCGCCACATCTCTCATGCATTATTTAAATATCTTCCAATCCACATATTTCGATATTTTGCACATCAGCCACAGTAACTTTTTTTGAAATGAGAAATCTGACCACATGACCACACGTGTCCCCTACTTAAAGTACTTGAACGACTTCTCACTGCCTAAGATAATTAAGCTCAGACTCCTCATCTGACATATAAGCTCCATTATACTGTGTCTCTTGTGTGGCCTTTCATAGTTATACCAGCCAGCCCTGAGATGCTCTTGGTCTGAGAATGGGACACCCTTGACTTCAGTGCCTGGCTTTTCCCTTTACTATATGTCATACTCCATTCACTTCCCCTGTCTCTCTGTCTTCCCTGCTTCTTTTTCCTGCATAACTTCCCATGGGCATATTGCCACCTCATACTTGCTTTGAGAGCACAGTCTCTGCATACTCTCAGTCTAGATTCCAGCATGGATGTTCCACTCACTAGTTTTGGGCCTTGAACAAGTTATTCTACCTCTCAGTGCTTTAGTTTCCTCATCTGTGAAACAGAGTATTACTAGTGCTCACCTTACCAGGTTGTTGTGAAAACTAAATGAACAAACCCATATAAAGAATTTATTATGTGAGTATGTAATAAATTATTATGACTAAATCCATAAATCTTCACAACACATTAATATCACATTTTTAGTCAGCTTAAGAATATTAAAAAGGCAAATCTACTGTGATAAAAGATCATAAACAGAAGAAAGCATGCCAAAGCTAAATATAAATGATTTGAGGATTACCAATTCATTAGGATCAGTCATTTTCTGTTCTCTTTCATTGATTAGGATAATCAACACATAGTTTTTGAAATTCAAGATTAAAATAAAATGGATTAAAATTACTGAATACCTGTATTAGAAAGGAAGAATGGAATATAACAGTAGGCATCACATAATGACTCGATTGCTTTTCTAATCTCAGTTGAATGCTTTATTGGGATATTACCAAGATTTTAAAATTTCAAGATGATTCTTCTTTTCTGTTTTAGGAGATTAGAAGGTTGGACGTTTGACATTGTACAAACTGTGATGATTCATATAGATATTGTACTACTTAACCTACTTATACCAATGACTGTGCTATTTCCAGGATAAATCACTTGGGTTTGAAGTTTGAAGCAGTACCTAGAGTCTGATCCTAAGCCATACTTAGGATCTCAGGAGACTCTGATGAACAGGAGAAAGTAGGTGCTTCCAGCTGCTTCCTGGAATTCTATTTAGATTTCTAGTTGGCTCTAGGGCCAGATCATGCTTCTATTTAAAGCAATGGTCTCAGGCAGCTAGAAGGAGTCCTGTTGCTATGATACCCAAAGGATTTTATAGTTGGGAACAGAGTGTAAGGGCTTGGATTTAGTGAAGCTATAACTTTAAACAAAAACTGGCTCCATTCTTGAATGTCTGTTGGAACAAAGGGAAACCTGAGGAAATGTCAGGTGGAGACCTCCTTGGCCTCCCTAGCAGCCAAGGTTAGAGTCTTCCCCTGGGTAGGCTAAATTACTGGCCTCCTTCAAATTGCTCTGGGGGTTTAAGAGCTGATCTCTGTCCATGGACTTTTTGCCCAAAGCAAGACCCTGTTGAAAGTGAAAGGGGTCCAATCATTTCAATAGCCCTGGTTTGCCGGGAAGGATGGCAGAAATAAGAAATATTCCTGTCAAACTGGATCTGTGGTGATTCTAAAGCTGGAGCTAGGATAAATGGTTAATACCAAAAAAGGGTAAACAGATTTCATTACAAACGTTTGCTCTCCCCTTCTCTTTGTGTGTGTCTCTTAGGTTGTCTCTTTCTTGCATATTGATGACTTTCTTCTATCTTATGAAGTTTATGTGTAGCTCTCAGAAGACCCACATAGCAATAAAAATTCCCACATAACAAAAGACCTTCTCTTCTGTTAAAGTGTCTCTATGATATAAATTACATTATAATAACATCACCTGGTGAGATTACAATGTTTATGAAGTCTGTATGTATTGAGATTATTAATAGTCACAATAAAGCACAATATTTTACATTTCCAGTAAGTACTGTCTATAGATGCATCTACACTTACCGTGGGTCTGAACATGACTTGTTGCTGTTGCTTTGGAGCTTTTCAGTTAGAGGCCTATTATCTGAGAGGTGAAGCATAAATTTAACTTTGTTTCCTCTCTATGAAATCTGTTAGTGCATTTTGACGATTCCTTCATTACATACATAATTAATGAAGGCCTATGCTATATGCTAAGCACTGTTAGAGTTGATGTGTGACATAAAAATAAATAAGATGTGGTCTTATACACAGAGTACTCACCCTCTGCCAAAATATCTTCCTTTTGTCTTTTAGTGACAATTGAATCTTAGTGTTTATACTTGGTAGAATCCACTGTTATCTGCAATAAAATATTTATGTCATTGTCAATCTGTTTAAATGAAATTTTAACATTTATTTTTTTCTCACTTCTACTCCTGATCATATCCTGGGCATCTTTTCTGTGAAGCTGAGTCATCCAATGGTGGCTATTCCTGAACATGAAGCTCTTGATTCCAAAGAGGTAAATGTAAGATAGGACTGGATATCTAATTATCCATTTCTGTGTGATTATAGAAATAAACCAATCTTATTTTTTTAATGTTAACAAAATTGTGCTTTTATAACAAAAGAAAGAATTATTACTAACTGTTTCACTCTGTCAGTCACAAGGATTTGATAGTGAAATAAGTAAATTCTTGCTGCCTCTCAATGTAGAAGGTAGCACTAGAGTTCCCCGTGTCTGATACCTGGACCACAAACCAACTCCTACCCCAAGTGCCTGTCTTTGTGATTTCCTTTTTGGGTTCATATGTGAAATCACCATTGTCTTCTTTCTCTAGAGGGTCAATGGATGTCCCATAATCCATATGGTGTGTTTTCAGGGTCAGAGTCACAGTATCTCATGGTATCTCAGTTTCAGTTCATAGGAAGATGAGTGCTAGGCTCACTGAGCACCCCCAACCCCACCTTCCCCAAGTGAATTTTATATATGGCATGCAGCTTTTAGACAAAGGCATATCAGCTCAATCATAGCCTCTACATTTCATGTAAATGTTTATCTAAAGTTTTGAGCTGATAAGTAAAAAGTAAATTCAAACAACTTTCTTTTTTTAAAAAAATGCTATACCACAGAAACAAAGAAAAATTCTGTAAAGAAATGTTCTCATTATGGTTTACTTTTGTATTCCTCAAGAGCAAGAATAACTGAACAGTGTTTTCTTCTTTACATCCCCTCAGATAAAGTGGAAAATAGGAGAAAAAAAGTGATTTTAAAAAACTTATCTCTGAGAAGGGACTGGGTGAGCTCACACATTCATTTAAAATACCCTCACAAAAGAAGTATGCTTAATTTTGCAGCCTCCAAGTTTAGGAAGAAACAAGCATAATATAAAAGAGAAGTAAGAATAATAAAATTCCACGTATAATTTGAATTTTGTTTTCCAAGCCATATTTTCCACAATTTAGGGCATACTATCTACATTTCCTAAACTGGCATCCCTATTTCTGCAAATTTAAAAAGCTCTGTCATAGTATAAGACTGATGTGGCTTTTTGCTGTAACATTAGTCATTAAAATATAAAGTTGTGTTATGAATAGGTATGCATTTATATCCTTGACCACATCTCTGGTTACTTTTTAAGATAATATTGTAAAAATAGGATTATTGGTTTTATGATTATGAACATATGGAAGACTCTCAACACATGTAGCCAAATTGCTGTCCTGGAAAATTGTAGTAATTTACCACATGAGGAGTGTGTTATAATAATATCTGTCTCCATGCAGTCTTGGCAGCATTGAGAATTATTATAATTCCCAGTTTATTGAGAGGTTACTATACATTAGAAACAGTGTTATGCACTTTGTTTTACTTAATTTTCATAAAACATTCTTAAGTTAACTACTATTATTATTCTTTTTAGAGATGAGGAAACTAAAGCTGCAGGAACTTAATCTATTGTCTAAAGTCAAATAGCTAGGAAGTGTCTCCACAATCAGAAATTGAATCCAAATCTGACAGCCTGCAGTCTGTGCCTCTTGGGCACTCTATTATTCTCTGTCTGGTATCTAAATTAATCTAAATTAGGATTTTTAATTTAGATAAAGATATTTATCCAAATTTCTCTATTTAAATTTATATTTCTATCTATATGATCTAATTCTTTCTCTTTTAAAATCACGTTTAAAATACTTGCCAAATTAAAAGGGAAAGTTACTTTTTAATATTAATTTGCATGTTAAAATTCTGTATTTCTTCTGTTATTTTTGTCTTTTTAAATCTATTTTGTTTTTGCATTATCTTATGCATTTATTGGTATGGTAATATATTTTTGTTGAGTGGTAAACTCCATTTTTATATATTAAAGTTAATAACTTTTTGTCAAATGTGTTAGCTCTTTCAGTATGATAGTGGCAAATTGTGTAATAGTGAAAAATTAGAAAAATATATACTTTCAGAAATAGAAGAATGATTAAATAGATTTTGCCCATTTCAGATGAATATAAAAAATAGGAAACTTTGTATTTCTTTCAAATACAATAATTTTGGTTCAAGTTCACATTGACTATATCTACACAATAAGAGTGTTCCTACACAAAAAAGAGAAAATGAATTGGTTATTTAAATTACAAAAACAGCCAGTTCAGATAATAAATTGAGAACTACTGAATGTTAGGTAATGCAAAAGACTTTGTGAGCCAAAGAGAATGGTATAGATGTAGTACTTGCATTTTTTCACACCAATTATCACAACCCTGGAGACAAAACTTAAAATTAAGATAGTGGATAAGATTGCCATAAAATGATTTTGATTCAGGTTTGGAATATACGAAAAATGTCATTTACAGTTTGAAGTTTAACATTTGTGAGAGACAATACCTATTATTAGTAAAAAATGTAAATAATTAAGGAAAAGGCCATTTTGTGATTCCAGTGTTCTGTATTTTACTTCTTAGTAATATTGGCACATTTTGGAGCAATTTAGCAACTTTTTACAACTTCTTATGATGTGTGGTCAGACCAATATTGACCAATATATTTCCCCCAAACCTTTTCTCTGTTATTTATTTACCTTCAACAACAACCAAGAAACATCAGTTTTATAAAGCAATTCTGTTCTTATGACTATATGACCTAAAGGAATAAACCATTTCAGTTACAAACCCAGTGCAAATAAAAAATTATGGAAAAGCCCTTGATGGTATCTCATTATTTTCCTCTTGGTTTTTCTTTCATTTCCTAAAGACATTAGTTTGTCTTGCTTACTACCAGACTGTCATTTCTTGAATCAAATCAGGCTATTTGTAGATACTACCTTTTTAAAATTAACTCAGTAATTCATTTAAATACAAACAGATGTTAGATATATCAGATTTGACTTACTCATCATTTTTGTAACTCACATCATTTCTAAAGTTCATTTAAAAGGAACTAACTCAAAAAAAAAAATTCCACTTAACATCTAGCTCAGTGGTTCTCAACCCTGGCTGAACATTAGAATCATCTGTAATTGACTTTTGAAACACACCAATGATAAATATACTTCCTTGTCATATGACAGAAATCCATTCCAGACAAATTAATAAATCAAGAAACTTTATAGGTGACAAAGGTATTTGTATGTTTTAAAATCTCTTCAGATTATTCAAATATGCATCAAAGTTTGAGATCTTCAAATTATAGTTCCTTCATTGGCAGTCTAGGAAGGCCAATCAAATAAATCCATCATTCAACCCTGAAAACACAAAATAGAAAGTAAAAGTAGGAGGATCATGAAAGAATTTGTTGCAGTGAATGATTTCAATTTCTAAAAACTTGAGTGACAACAAATTCCTGTCCAAAGGCTTAAATGAATAACATGTGCTTTAATTTGTGGTAGATTAATTTTGAGAGATCTGTTCTGTGTTGAGATCCACTGTAATTTCATTAGTAAAATTTAATACTTTATTTTTGTTTGCCTTGACATTCCATACAAGGTTTGGAAATTGCTTAGGATGGGGCTGGCATAGCATTTGGTGCAAGCCGAGTCTGGAGGCTTAGGGCATTCCAAACAGTGTTTTATTTGTACTTTATATGACACTTAAAATACATGGTCACTGATGAAACTCCATACAAGCAGATGAGATCTGTAAATAATTGATTTGACCATTGTGTCAGCTCATTTTCAAAGAAGAATACTTTCATAGATTTTTACTGTTCACACCAATGCAGTAATTTCTAAGAAGGTGAATATTTAACACCATACAGGCAGAGCATACTCGTTGACTAAGATAAATGATTTCTGAGTTGAGTTACTTAGGAGAAAATTAAATTCTAGTAGTGACAATTATTTTTTATTGTATTTCTCATCTTGTAAGTTCAGCAACTCTTCTATCCACAACCACTCCATAAACTACTTCTCCTTCTGCAGACTTGTTTGTGAAAGTCATACTGCAGAATGAGATATAAACAGACCGCCCCTCTTTGTATTACCTGCTACATGCAGCCCTATGACTACTGCATTTTATTTTCAAATTGAAGATCAATTGATTTCCCAAAACATGATTAGATGCATTTGGTTCTGACCTTTCAGGTTCATTTGTTATTAACACAACTTGAGAGCTAATCGTTCACTAGCTGCCCATAAAACACATGCTAGGCAAATTCTTGTGTTTTCTTATTCCTTCTCTTTGCAGATTTTTGATAAACATTTAATGGTTTACAACATAACAATTCTGTTAGCAAGGTGACTATGACTGATTTGCCACTTTGGTGGTATATAAGCTTTCTGAGTTTATTTTATTTTGAATTTCAGAACCTCCACTGATGTCTAAGGTTCTAAGAGTATAAAGCAGCCATCCCATTCCTCTGACTTTATCCTCTGGATGAGAACATAGAAAAGAGAAAATAAATTACTTGCCCGTGGAAGCCACTCTCATTTTCTGGTTTGATTCAAGGGTAAAAATAAAATTATCAAGAGAAAAAGGCCCACTCTATTCTTTTCAGGCAATTTTCCAAAACATTATTTCTCAAAATGAAGCTTTGATACATCTTGGATTGCTGAGAGTTGAAGGTTGTAATCTTAGGCAAGAATTTGGAATCTGGATATTATTACCTGTTGATTAAAAGAAGATTCCTATGCATTGATAGACAAATGGCTACAGGGCCAGGGTAAATTTGTCTTATAAAAATAAAGACACCTGATACAGGTACCTGAGTAGATAGCCACCTTTCCCAGTCATCAGGTGAGCAGGGAAATAATAAAGGAAAGGATATTCCTATACTCGGATTTGATAGCAATGGACCCATCAAAATGACTTTCTTGTGTTGTAAGCCCCCAACCTGTGTTGGGGAAATGTAATTTAAAAACAGAACAAAACAAAACCTTTCTGCTAACCCAGAAGTTCCCTTCACTAGGGTAGTAGAGAAAGAAAACCCTTTTTGTTATTGAATAACATTGAACCAGAATGTGATGTGCATCATAGGCAATCTGCTAATAGACTGCAAAGACGAGAAGAAATCTCACCCTTCGTATAGCCAAGGAGATAGACTCCATTTTATACATATTCTCAAGATCAACAATAATTAAGTTGGTCCTCAAGTAAGAAAAAAATGACAGCATCGTTAATTATACATAGTTCATCTTAAGTTCACCTGGAATTTGGGATGACAATCTGTGTCTGGCTTTACACAAGGTAAAGTAAACTTCTCATATCTTTAGGACATGGGGTCGTTTCATAACTTTGAGCCAGGCTTGAGCTAAAGTTAGAGTCTTATCCTCCCTGGAAACTGGCAGATGGGGATGATGTCTTTCTTGGTTGTTTACATTTAAAGGACATGGTTCTCAAGTCCTTGAAAGAGACTTTTCAGGGCCTGACAAAAGGCCCACCTGTTTTCAAAAGAATTTGTATACATTTCAAAGAGAGGAGAAAGTACTTACAATGATGAGTTTTCTAAAGTAAATGCTTTAAGAAAAAGAAGGAGGAGGGAAATCTCTCCCCTTATGCTCAGCAGCAAGAATTAAGCCTTTCTTTTTGAATTTCCAATTGTTCTTACACTTGGTTGGCAAGAACCAGAATTAAAATCAGAGAGAGTCTGGTTCTGAAGTAGCCAATAAAAAGAAACAGGTCTCATTTATTTTTCTCTTCTAGAAACTCAGTTAAATCTACTATAGGAGAAGTGGGCGTTTGACAATTTTGGGGTCTCTCCTTCAAAGTCATCTCAACAGATTAAAGTTGGGTTTGATATTGTAGTGAGTCATTGTCAAGTTGAGCAGAAGTCAGGAACTAAAAGGACCCACAACTCCTCTGTGTGGTGGCTTGGGAAGACTATTTCTAGTTTCCAAGAGAAACAAACAAAACACTAAGATCAGGGTTAATAATTATTTGGAACTCACATCATTCAGATGTCACATGGTTTTGACCCCAGATTCAACATTTTACTCTTTAGAGTCCATTGTACCTGCATCCTTTATCTATGAGGCTGCCTTTATAGGACCTTAATTACTGAACGTTTTATAGCTTCTGGCTTATGGATAATAAACTCTGATACCAGATTTTATCTTTTTTCACCAAAGTCAATAGTTACATAAATGCACAAAACATTTGAAATCTTTCAGGAAAAAAAAAGAACATGCAGCATTTAATCATATTATGATACACATTTCTTGGAAATGGCTTTTTGTTCTCAATACATGCAGCCTAATTTCATATTCACAAGAACACATGTGTAGGTTATTTTGTTTTCATTTTGCAGTAAAGAATATGCATATTTGATGTTGCATTTAATGGGAATGAAAAACCAACTCACACAGCACATTCTTTTAAAAAATGCTTTCTGTAACATTGGCTTAATGTTTCAGAAGAATATATTACCTATTACCCAAGGTTAACTCTGAATTTAAAAAAAAACCAAGATTTTGAGTTTGACTGTGTTCCAGAATTATGACTTCCAAAGCATCTTAAGTTCTTTCTTGCTTGTATTTTCTTATATCCAAAATAAGTGTGTTGTTTCATTGGCAATATAATAAAATACTGAGCCTTAACTGCCAGTGTGCTAGTTTGAAAATAGAATTGATTTATTTGTTGATGATTCTCACTTTTCTTACATGTTCACCTTTGTTATTCCCAAGTTTTTTAGCTCTTTACCTATAATGAGATTGGCAAATAAACCCAGTAAAAACTTCACAAAGTGTCTAAAACGATGGCTGTAGCTGTCATAGCATAGTACAACTTTTCCAACTGGCTGCTAAATTGTGGGGCCAAACATTTATTTGACCTGCTGGTGGGTTCGGGAAGAGCTGAGAAATAGTGCTAAGCTTGCTGGCATGGCATCAGAGGATGATCTGCCTATGGTGCTTCAATCTGATTTAATGATTCCTATTATAATAAAATTTTATATTTCAGAGGGAACTTAGAAGGCATTTATTCCAATATTTTATTTAATGTTATAATCCCATCTACATCATATATGCTCATATATCTTCTATTGAACCTCTCCTGGTAACAGAGTTCACCATTTCAGAAGCCAAACTCAATATAGGTTTTAGTTTGACTAAGACAAACTAAGTAATGGCTATGTGAACAACAAAAGCAAATATAAAACGTGGAATAAGCTGGGGTTTAATTTGGAGCACTATGACCTTGGGTGTGATATTGACTCCTTCTGAGCTTCAATTTTATTCTTTGTAAAATGGAATCAAATGATCGTGAAGGTCTGCCTAAGTGTATGTAAAGTGCTTAGCATATAAAATACATGGCACTTAAAAAGTATTAGCCAAATGATGATCATTTCCTTAAACCTCTGTAAAATTAACTACTAAATGCTGGTACTTTAAGAAAAATCATGTTGGTGCTTTCAGAAAAAGCAAAATAATGGTAATTTTTATTTGTTAGAAAAATTAATGAGCAGATGTACTTGAGTCATTTCCTCCCTTCATTCTAGGGCTTCAGAGAATTCCAGATGATGAAAGCTACAGCTTACTTCTTACTTTTTGCCTGTTGATTTTCTATGGCCAGAACAAACCAGAGCAGTCATGAGCCACCCCTTTGTTAGTGCTTTTTATCTGTCTCCTTCTTCTAGTCTAAAATATACTTTCTCATAATAATGCAGAATGTAACCGCGATTCACAATCCTGTTTAGCTGCTTGGCCAAGACATTCACCTTGCACATAGGAGCCAGCTCTAAGTCACCACTGCTTCTTCACCTCATGATCTGGCTGAGGGCAAAGCACAGACAGTTGCCTACAGAAAGGCAACTGACCTCCTTTATTTTCTACCAGGCATTTCGGAAGGTTCCCATGTTAGTCATGAGTTGGAACCTGGAAATAGAAAGTTCTGGTCAGTTCCTCCATTGGTGTTATTCCGTCACATTGTTCTATCAGAGACATGTCTTAGAACTATATTTCTCTTCTTGCTTCATCTCTGATATTTTCTTTTATACTTTCTTTTGTATAATCTGCCTTCACAGTTGCCAATAGCCATCTTCCACTCAATTAAGTTTATCTTATCTGTTCCAGACAGTTCAACCCTATCATATAGGAACAGAGAGACTGAATGGGTAAAGAAATTATTGGAATCACTCCTCTACCACAGAGCAAAATTGTAAGATCAAGCAAATCAATATATGAAGAAAAGCGAGAGGTTATTTGGTCTTGGTCTTTTGTAATGTTCCTTTTTGCAAAAGCTGGGACTTAATTCAATCCCTATTCAGTTTACCTCCTTGTTAGATGATGCATTTTAGGGAATGGTGCAGTCAATGCTAAAGTGAAGTTAAGTCATCAGCCAAGTCATGGAAGGGTGTGGGTGTGGGTGAGATATAACAGTGCTGTTCCTTAAGGCAGCCCCTGCCCCTCAAAACCATCATGGCACTTTGTAGGAGGCCAGAACTGCTCTGCTGAACTGCCAAGAGATTGGAGTCTGATGTAAAGGTACAGCTGTTTGTCTTTATTATGCCATTAATAGTGAAACAAGGAAGGATCTACTTAAGGAATAAAAATAAGCTTTTCCTATTGTAGTATAAACCATTTTTTTGTAGGAGATGCTATGCCCAAATATTAATGTATAATTTTCAGGTGTATATTTTTAAATTTATTCATCTTAACCTGACTACCATATTCTCTTATTTTACAGCAATGAAGTTGGAGCAGAGGCTGAAAACACAGGCTGCTGAAGTTTTTTGGAATGCTGGTGCTAACCACTTGCTAGATTTAACTTTTTTTTTTTTTTCCAGAATGAGTGCTCCCTTTATGAGCTGCAGTGCAGCAGAACCAAAAAAAAAGTTTGCTGCAATTATATAGCATCACAGTGCTCTGCTAACAGCCAGCATAGAAGAGATTTACCTACAGCTTTTTGCACCACTGTTCTAGCCTTTAATGCCTTCTACTTAATATTAAGCTGACCGCAATACTAACGTGCCCCTATATTTGGCAGCCAAATAAAGAAGAATCGTGGGTAAATAGAAGAATGGCTGTGACTATTTTTCAATACAAATTTTATTTAATGCATACATTTCTAACTGAGTCAGGTTTTTATTCCCCTTTTACTTCACTTTTTTACATGAAAAAAATCACAACTTTTAAAGTAACTAATTAGCTTTCAGAAGACGCTGATATTCAGAGGTTCTCTGGTGAGATCTTGAACATGAGAAAGTTGGTATTTTGTATAACACACATTGCTTTCCTGTTCTGTTGGGATTCGGTGCTGCTGGGACAGACTATGTGCCAGGAGCAGCCCAGTGCTGATGAACATCGCGTTACTGGAGTGTCTGTGTCTGGGATACCACTGTCTCTCTGCCTGTCACCACATGATTCTTGTGAAGACTACTTTAGAGTTAGTTTGTATCCAAAATCCTGAGAGCAGCAGAGACCATAGAGCAAACCCATACTTGATGACAGTCCTGAGAGCCCCCTAGAGGCACATCATGTGCCCACCGTGTTGGCCATCTTCAATTTATTTCCCAGTTGTCATCCCCAGCAGTCTGTCCTAGCCCCCTCTAAGTGATTTCCTTCTTCTGCTCATATGGGAAGCCTAGGATAACACACATTAAGAAAGAACAGGAGTCTGGACAGTGAGCCCCTGATGGTAAAGCAGTCTTGGGAAAACTGGCTTCATTCACTCTTTGCACATTGCCCATGTTCTCTGTGGAGCCAGCTCTGAGCCACAGTGCCCCTAAATCAAGCTTCATCACCCAGTCCCATCACCCAAACTCAAGCAGGGAGAGTGACCTATAGAAGAGCAACTAGGCTCCTTCATTCTCCAATAGCCATTTTAGAATGTTCTAATTTCAGCTATTATTTGACAAATGGAAATAAATACTTCTCAATGTCCCCTTTGTTGGTGTTAGAGAAGCAAAGGAGGCTCAATAAAGCCCTCTGCTCATCTCTCCTTCCCCCCAAAAAAACCATTTCTCCATCAACCTGATAAATTGTGTGGAGCATCACTTTAGATTATTAATAATGATCTCTAACATTCACTGTGCTCTTATCATGAGCAATGCACCACACCAAGTACTTTACATGAATGTAATTTAACCTCCACAATGAGCCTGTGATGTTGGTAATATTATTATCCATATTTTATTTTTGTGAGAACAGGCTCCTCCAAATGGTTAAATTAAGCTAGTAAGTGGCAGCGGCAGAATTCAAGTCCAAGTAATCTGATTCTAAGACCAAGCCACTTACTCAATCATTTGTGTAGTTATTTACGCAGTCATTTTTGGATCTCCAGTGTAAAAGGGTGACTTGATTACACTCCTCAGCTCATGGCAGATTTCTGTCACAAATTTGGGCAAGCCCCCCTCATGTATGCTTGTTGATTAATGATCATCATTTATAAGAATTTCTATCTTCCCTTCTCTGCTGTATGCACACATTCTTATTTATTTAATGTATATCTTTTGCTCATATATGTTTTGAAGATGTACATTGTTTTGTCTGCATATATATTTAATAAATATAAATGGTATTGCTTATATTCTGTTTTTTTTTTTTGTTTTTTTCTACTCAGCTCTGTTTTTAAAGCTTTATACACATTGCTCTATAGACATCTATTATATTGTGTTCTCACAGCTGCGTGGTAGAGTCTCATCACATTTTACTTATCTACCCGCCCAGCCTTGGTCTCTCAGGTTGTTTTCCTGTACCAACTGTTGTGATGTACATTCTTGCATGTGCCCCCTTGTGGACCTCTGTGAGAATTTCTCTGGAATACATACATAGGACTAGAATTGTTTAATCCTGAAGTTCCCATGTACTTAATTTGATGAAATCCTCCCAGATTACTTTTTAGAGTAGCTGCACCATTTTTTATTCCCATCAGCAATGCATTAGGTTTCTTATATCCCCAAGTACCTTTCCACCTTTGAAGGTCTGATCTTTGAAACATTAGGATCCAATGTCATTGGAGGCAACTCTTAAAATGGGAAGGTTGTTTGACGTGGTGTCCTATTCATCCTATATTTTCCAATTCTCTAAGACTTTTATACCCTTTAACTCATTGCAATTTTCAGTCAAGTATTATTATCTTCATTTCATTTGTCAACCTAAATAACAGAGTGAGGCCCTTAAAAGAAAAAGAAATTTATTTGGGAGTAGAATATTGCGGTGGGTATACATAGGCTATAGTAAACTATTTGCATGCATATTAAGGGAAGTAAAAAACAATAAAGAATTTTAAAGGAAAAAATGAGGAGGATTACATGATAATTTTGAAATAATTATCCTTAACTGCAAATATCAGTAACAAAGGTGACACCAGTTCAAGATTGGATAGGCAGTTGCTGTCCTTGTAGAAATATTTTGTTGTATAAGCTTCCCATGGCTTTTGTACAAGGTTGTGATTTTGCAGAGTTTTCTGTAATAGCTTTTATCAGGCATAGTAGCAGGAGAACTCTCTCTTCATGGCCGTTTCTGGCTCTATCAGATTTTTGTTTTTAAATGTTTGTGACTCCATTTTGATTCTGACAACTTTCACTTGTTACTGAAACATTTGAGACCGACAGGTTATTTGACTGAGGTCACCAAATTAGTGAATGACAAACCTAGCACAAGGTCTTTTGATTTTCCTACTGTGTCATTGCTACAAATTGCTGCATCTGAACATCATGGTTTAATTTATTTGTTCAGTTTCTCAGTAAAGAACAAAGTCTTAAGAGCGTGAGCATAGGAAAGGCAAGTGTTGATTATTGGGAGAACATGGGACATGAATTAGTGACTTTTCAGTTTGGTGAGCAGCACATTCAGTGCACTAAGGAGGTTGGGGGCACTATGTATGTTTCTGAGGAGGAAGGAGATGGGGACAGATGATGTGGAATTTGCCAGGTACTGAGACTGCATCTTTATTTGGGTTCTTCCAGAAGCGAACTCTAAGACAAGGATTTAGTGTAAGTAGTTTATTTGGGAGATAATAATAGGAAACACTGATAAGGAAGTGAGGAAGTAAGCTAGGGAAGCCAGTTACTACATTGGGCAACTACTGTAGTTTATTTCCACTAAGAAATTTGAGGACACAGGTTGAACAGTCCTCAGACTTCATTCAGTTTAGAGGAAAGGAAACTAGGGTAGTAATTCTTAAGTCTGACTATTAACCTTTACGTGACTATGGCTGTGACTTCCCTCTTTATAAAGCTTTTGTTTTTTTCGGACTTTTCATTACACATCACCGGTGGGACCCATTATTTTCTTGTGAAATTTTAATTTGGTGAAAATGGAAGGTCTTTTGAATATTGTTCTTCATAGTCTCTGAAGTAAAGTGCAGAAACAAAGAGATAATTGAAAGCTTAAGTAACAAGGGAATATTCTCAGAACTTTATCTATTGGGCAAGCAGAAAAATCTGCAATTAGGACAGGGAACAAAAATTCTACTTTAACTAGACTGCTGCAGATTTCTACATGTGAATTGTTTATCAATTAGAAATTAAATCAACTGTATGAGATGATAACTTGATTTATAAGAAGAAAAGATTGCTTTGCTTAGAGTAAATCCAGAGGTCTTAGAGTAATCAACTAGTAGTTAGAAAATATTTCTGGATTTGTTTAAAATATATAGCACATTTGGGGGACATTTCATATATTCCTGTGGTAGGTTGTAAAATTAAATGTTTTATTCCCTTCATACTTTAAAATGTATTATTTTCAATTTATTTGACTAGAAATAGGCTTTTCTCTTCATTTTATAGTTTAATAAAAACGCTTTAATTTCTTATAAAAGTTTTCTAACAGATGTATATACAATTGCTCAACATCACTTAAGCACCTGAGTCCATATTTTCCTTAATTGGAAACTCTGGGGATAAATTCAAAAAATAAAACCACACAACAGGCAGAGGAAGAGTCATAAATGCTAAAAAAAAGAAGGAAAAGTAAAAAAGACAAATTTTTCCAGGGGGCTACAGATTGTGATTTAAAAATATTGAACAGAATATCTAAATTGAAACAATGGAAAACTCAATTAAAAATATGTTTAGCCAAAAATATGTTCTGTGGAAGTACTAAGAGGCAAAAGGTTCTGATAATAATGTGAATAGAACTGGATAATATTTCTCACAAGGCTTAGAAGCCTTTTCAACTTCGAGCTGAGTTAAATCACTTAAGGGCGTAGAAATTCTAGAGATTTTGTCAACTCTGCTTTTGAGTCACAGTTCAGTCTTTTTGTTTTTCTTTTTAAATCAATACTAGTTTAGGTAAAAATAGCAGAAGTTGTGGAGAAATTAAAGTTAGCAGCTTACTTCTCTTTTCCAACTAACAGATAAAGTTTGTAAAACCTTTTACTTAAGTCATTTAAGATTAGAGAAAGAAGTAGATTTTGAAGAATGCGTAGTAGGCCAGGCTCTGAACTTTTAAGAACTGGTGCTCAGTTAATATTAGGTAGGTTCAACAGAATTTAGGAAAGTATACCAACAAGGACTGAAGCTTTCATTCATTATTATATACTAAGGCAGTAATACTAGGGAGAAAATTCTATTTTTCAAAATTTGTTTTTGCACACAACTAATAATATTTACATAAAAGGGAGAAAACAAAAATGTGTACTTTCTTCTAAGTTTCCAGTCCTATCACTGCTCACAGATTTTGCTTGCATTTTTGCATCGGGCGTAATAATAAGGGAGATTAAACGTTAAGGTTAAGATGTGGCAGAATTGGATTGGAATTTTGGTCTTTTTTTCTCTGAAGGTCTTTTTCCTCTACAAGTGTTTTTCCATTTTTCTTCTGCCATGAGTCAAACAGTTAACACTCTCTTGGAAGTCACATTCCCTTCTCTAAGGGTACATCAGTAAGAGCTATGAATGGAGATTATGACAGGTGGGAGCCTCTTTACCAGCTCGGGCGGCAAATAGTTTCAAGTCTGATTTTTCAGATTAACGGTTCAAGTTTCCACTTGCCCAACAAGCAGGAAATCTGAATAACTATGTTTGGATATTCTCCTCTGAATCCCCTTGCCCAAAGCCTCCTTTATGCAAGATGAAACTCCTTTTTGGGAACTAAGCTCCACTTCTCTCAGACAATCTTGATGGGCACAATACTACTCAAACAATTCTTCCTAAATTAACAAAATCTGCTTTAAAGAGACTGTTTCTTGAACTATGGACATAGTTCTGTATTTTTGATTTCTCTTTTCAAACTTCTGCCTTACTTGACACTCCATTACAATACAGGAGGATTTAGAGATTACATCCATTTCAGTGGCATGCCAGCTGCTCTTCCTCTCTTCTTCTGCACGTGCTAGTGCTTTACCACTCTAATATTGAAAACTTCTGTTATAACACCCTATTCCCTGAATAATTGAGAAAACCCAGTGTGATTTGTTCACCACTTCAGAATACACTTGCTAAATCATTCTCAATAGTAATATGTAGAATGCTGCCTCTAGTTAAGACTGGCTTAACACATCCCTGCTTGCTAAGATAAATTCAATGCCCTCTCCAAGATTTCTGTGAATTCCCAAAGATTATATTTTTCTAGAGCAAATTCCTAGCTTCTATGGAACATTCATGTCCTACTTCGCATCTTGCTGAAACATTCTTAGCACGCCTTCAGTGTGGATCACATTCCCTTTACCTGAGAATCCCTACCTACAAGTCCCCTACACCAAGGTATAAGCTAGACTTTTACTGAAGATTTGTGAGCTATGGTGATAACTGAGAGATGAAGACTTATTACATGTCAACAAATGACGGACTATTTAAATTGGATTTTAGACTTCCTAGTTCTTAAAAAGGAATGAGTCATTTATGACAAATTGGCATCTTCCATTTCCACCTTGCTGTTTGGAGTCCTTCTCTCATTTTCTCTCTCCTTAACTTCATTCTGTCCACAAATTGCTTCTTAATTTTTATACAACTGTTTTACTATCTCTTTCTTAGATCTTCTATCCATCTAAATAGCTTATTGATTTTTCTAAATAAAAAGCTTCTTTCCTCAGAGCTGCGTCAAGAGATACAATAATAAGTAATGCCATTAGTGCTCAGAAAGTAGTAGCCAAAATTTTCACCTAAAAATCTACCACAACTTTTTTCCCGTTCTTACTTTAAAGAAAGTGAAAATATCACAAAACTTCAGCAAATTGGAATCATCATAGTAAAACAAACAACAAAAGAATCCCTCAAACCCAACCCCAAAAACAGTTTTGTTGGTCCCTTCTGGAGTTGCTCCTCAGGCATTCCCTGCCCAAGGTGAGACAACCAGCCACAGAGCTCCCACAACGGGCTACTCTTTAGCCCCTTTCACCTACTGAGACCTTCTATCTTCTCAGCTACTCTGCCACTAACACACTTGGACTCTCCCTCATTGCCAGGCCCCTTTCATATCAATAACTTGAGTTTGGACCACATCCTGAGCTCTGATATGACACTCCCCTGAGGGACTGATCCCTCAGCTTGATGGTCCTCTATCCTATTCAAGTCACTGGTACGGCTGTGGAGATCTCAGGTCTGAGGGCCTGAGTGTCGGAGTGGGTGTTCACTAGACTGGAACTGTTTTGGAGTCTTAGTTGGTGGTCATGCATTGATTAATAAGCTATGGTGAAGGTAATCAATGCTTTCTACCTTAGAAGTAGACAGTAATAGTCAGAGAAACACTGAAATGCGCAGTTCACTGAAAGTAAGCTTGACTTTCTGGGAAAATGACTAGAAAAATTTTTAGTTTCTATTGGCTATGTGAAAGTTGTACTTTAGAGGATTTAAATAGAGCAGAATTTATGAGACCAAGTTGCAAATCAGCTCTAAAACCCAAAGTCATTTTGGTTACATAAGACACATTTTTAGGCTTATGAAAATTTTACATGTCAGGCCATTTCCTAAGTGAGGGCTTTATCTCTACAATTAATAAAATATATAAATGGAAACCTGCAGCTGGCTGAATTGTCCTTTCTGTTCACATCGTATTTCCATTTATGCTTAGAGCCGGAATTTAACTTAAAAAACACGCTTTGTACACCTGATAAGCTTCTGCTTTATTGTACTCCCCTGGGAAAAGAATTTCAGATATTCGTAACGAAGAGAGCTTCTTTTGCTGTCAGGGCCAGCTAGACACAACCTCAGAGAAGGCTTTCCTGGAAAACACTTCTCAGTCACCTCTTGGACATGGTAGCTGATTAGGCAGTCATTTTAGGCTTCTGGCTTTGGAAGTGTCACAGCCCGCTAGCACCTTCCCTGATTCAGGGCTGGGGGTTAGGCAAAGGAATAAAAGTAGATGAGTTGTCAAATCATTCTTTCATTTTAATCTAGTCACATTTCCCCAGCCTCTGAGCTTCCCAATGTACTTCCCAATACATACACCCTCCTGACACACACATACTTCTACACGCACACCACACACACACTGCACAACCACTTTTTCTTCCTCACATACATACACCTTCACACAAATAGACACACTCCTGTACCTGATGACTACTAGTGGAATTATAAGCATGCTCTTTTAGTTCTGATGGCTCCAGAATAATCTAACCTTTTGAATATTTTAACACAGACTAATGAACACCAATGTGGTGGGATATGCCTGCTTTTGTAGAAACCCAAGGTGTTAGGGGCTAAGACAACTCTTCTCAGTCAGAATGGCAACCATTTGGTATCAGTCTTCCCCATCCCTTATCCCATACTCATGCCAGAATATTTTTCTGATCATGGTCTTGAGCTATGGAGTCTAGGTTTGGCTTCAGAATCCTCCACACAGAGTTCCAGCCAGCCATAATCATAAGGTAGTAACTTATGTTCCAGCTGAAACCTGTTACCACCCCTGTCCTGAAGTGTTGCAGTTTGGCCCTTTGACAACACTTTCCTTTGTGCTCTATTTTTCCTCCCCATTTCTCATTCACTCTGGAGGTCTGAACCAACTCAGATTCTCAGCACTCCTTCTATCATCAGACAAGTGGTGTTTATGCTCTGGGTTCTGTACTTCAAGAGGCCCTCAGCTTTGGAGTACCTTCCCTAAAGTGTCTAAAACCCCCTTTGATTACTGTGATGAGCCAGGATTGGCAGTGCTACCCAAATGGGGCATCCTGAGTTGGCACAAGGAACTGCATGGGCCCTTGTCCCCATTTCTCCCATGCAGAGTATCTTGACTCTATTTTTTGCTTGGGTCAACCAGGTACTCTAAGATGCTCAGAGACCCATGCCTAGAGGGATGTCCCAAAGTCAGGCCCCAGTACCAGGAGAATGGTCTGGTAAGCAGACCACCCTAGCTGTGCTGTGTTATTTCTTTCATGCAAGGTTGGGCCTCCACATAGTCCTGATATGCCAATTCTTGCCAACTCAAGAATTTTTGCTTATATAGACAAAAATTCCACAAAATATAGTCTTGCTGCAATGTTAACACCATTAGAGTTCTACTTATCTTTCCTTCCTGCCAATTTCTCAAAACTCATTAATTTTATTGTACAAAAGAAATAATATACTTGCAACATTTTCAAAATTAAAATGTACTTGTCCTAGTTCCTAGTGCCAATAGGACACAATGTCATTGATTGACCTAACAAGGGGGCTGTCTGAGAGACCTAATTTTGGTCAATGAGATTTAAGAGAAAGCCTACTTAGGGGTTTCTAGGAAGCGTTTCATAGCTCTTAAAAAAAGACATAATAGGACAGTGATGTAAGGAAGATAGTGGAATAGGAAGATCCATATTTTCTTTACTCCCATGGAAACACCAATATAAGAACAATACATGAACCAATTCCTTTTATGAGAAATCAAGAAGCCAGTTAATAGTTTCCTGCACCCTGACAAGCATAGAATAAGCTGCATCAAAGATAACAGGAAAACTTGTGGCAGTCTTTTGTCACAGTTCCTTTCCCTAGCCTAGCACCAGCAATATACAATCAGGAGAAAACTCCAAGCTATTAGCTTCTCTGGGTGGAGAAAGAGAGAAGACTCTGCCTTAGTACTATGCTCTGACATTTTGTGGGACTGTTCAAGGGGTTGACACCTTCTTTTCTGTCTTGGAGCACTGACAGGACCTAGCAAAATCCAGATATTTGGGGGTCACTGGGAATAAAAAAAGAGTTGTGCAGGGTGCTAATGCTCCTGAGGGTCTATTATAGAGCATACAGAGCCTGATACAGCATGACGACCTCTCCCTTAGCAGAATAGAGAAGAGGAGAGTGTGCATCCAACATTCCAGCTTTTTTTTTTAATTATACTTTAAGTTCTAGGGTACGTGTGCACAATGTGCAGGTTTGTTACATATGTATGCATGTGCCATGTTGGTGTGCCGCACCCATTAACTTGTCATTTACATTGGGTATATCTCCTAATGCTTTCCCTCCCCCCTTCCCCACCCCACAACAGGCCCTGGTGTGTGATGTTCCCCTTCCCGTGTCCAAGTGTTTTCACTGTTCAATTCCCACCTATGAGTGAGAACATGTGTTGTTTGTTTTTTTGTACTTGCGATAGTTTGCTGAGAATGATGGTTTCCAGCTTCATCCATGTCCCTACAAAGGACATGAACTCATCATTTTTTATGGCTGCTTAGGATTCCATGGTGTATATGTACCACATTTTCTTAATCCAGTCTATCATTCATGGACATTTGGGTTGGCTCCAAGTCTTTGCTATTGTGAATAGTGCCACAATAAACATACGTGTGCATGTGTCTTTATAGCAGCATGATTTATAATCCTTTGGGTATATACCCAGTAATGGGATGGCAGGGTCAAATGGTATTTCTAGTTCTAGATCCTTGAGGAATCACCACACTGACTTCCACAATGGTTGAACTAGTTTACAGTCCCACCAACAGTGTAAAAGTGTTCCTATTTCTCCACATCCTCTCCAGTCAGCACCTGTTGTTTCTTGACTTTTTAATGATCGTCATTCTAACTGGTGTGAGATGGTATCTCATTGTGGTTTTGATTTGCATTTCTCTGATGGCCAGTGATGATGAGCATTTTTTCATGTGTCTATTGGCTGCATAAATGTCTTCTTTTGAGAAGTGTCTGTTCATATCCTTCGCCCACTTGTTGGTGGGGTTGTTCGTTTTTTTTCTTGTAAATTTGTTTGAGTTCTTTGTAGATTCTGGGTATTAGCCCTTTGTCAAAATTTTGACAAAATTTTCCAAAAATTTTCTCCCATTCTGTAGGTTGCCTGTTCACTCTGATGGTAGTTTCTTTTGCTGTGCAGAAGCTCTTTAGTTTAATTAGATCCCATTTGTCAATTTTGGCTTTTGTTGCCATTGCTTTTGTTGTTTTAGACATGAAGTCCTTGCCCATGCCTATGTCCTGAATGGTATTGCCTAGATTTTCTTCTAGGGTTTTTATGGTTTTATGTCTAACATGTAAGTCTTTAATCCATCTTGAATTAATTTTTGTATAAGGTGTAAGGAAGGGATCCAGTTTCAGCTTTCTACATATGGCTAGCCAGTTTTCCCAGCACCATTTATTAAATAGGGAATCCTTTCCCCATTTCTTGTTTTTGTCAGGTTTTTCAAAGATCAGATGGTTGTAGATATGTGGTATTATTTCTGAGGGCTCTGTTCTGTTCCATTGGTGTGTATCTCTGCTTTTAAAGAAATTGTCTAAGGAGCTGATTTCTGTCTCTTCAGTATGAGTATGAATAGGACATGGAATGCCTTGGGGACACTTAGAACAACAATAACAAAAAAAAAATTGGGCAGCATGCTACTTCTTCAGAGGGCCTGTGTACAGCAGACACCAACAGGAACAAGAGATTATAAAATCCTGAAAATAAAAAGAAGCTGACACATTCCTCTAATTAGGAATATACACACACAAGTCCAAAGAAGGCATATTTACAGAAAAAGTCTGAAAGCCCTCAAAATCTCTAGCCAACATGAGTGGTAAAAGTATTTTCCTGTATGAGGCCAGTTTGTAAAGACTAGGAGAGGTGGATTTTTTTTTCCCAAATGTATGGGTATCAATTCAAAGTTATATGAAACATAAAGAAATAGAAAAAAGTGGCCCAGTAAAAAGAATAAAGTAAATCTGTAAAAATTGACCTTAAGAAAATGGAGGTATATAAGTTACCAGACAAGTAATTCAAAACAACTGTCATAAAGATGCTAAATAAACTGAGGAGAAGGATGCATGAACAAAATTTGATAGAAAGAGATAACAATTAGATAACAAACGGAAAGTATAAAAAAAGACAAAAGAAATTTTGGAGTTGAAGCATGCAATAGCTGAATTGAAAAATTAATCAGAGGTGATCAACAAGAGACTTGATGAAGCAGAAGAAAGAATGATGAACTCAAAGACAGATCATTTGAAATTATCTTGTCAGATCACCAAATAAATGAATAACAAAAAGCATGAAAAAATTATGTTTTATGTAAACCCTGTGGTAACTACAAAAAATAACAATAGAAGATACACAAGAAAAATGCAAAAGAAATCAAAGTATGTCACAACAACAAAAATCAACAAAATGCAAAGGAAGAGAGCAACAGAGAAAAAGAGGGGCAAAGAGCTAAAAGACACATAGAAACCAACAAAATTGAAATTACCTTAAATATAAAGGGATTAAACATCATAATCAAATGGCACAGAGTGGGTTACTTGATAGAAGCAAACAAGCAACAAACATAAGTGTCAGCTATAAACTATCTATAAGAGACTTACTTTAGATTAAAGAACACATATAGGCTTAAGACAAAAATATGAAAAATATATTAATTTCAAGTGGTAATTAAAAGAAAGAAGAGGTGGTGGTACTTACATCAGACAAAATAGAGTTTAAGTCAAAAAAATGTTCACAAGAAACAGAGAAGATCATCATATAATGATTTAAGGGTCAATTCACCGGGAAGCCATAACAATTATAATTATACACGTACCCAATATCAGAATACCTAAATATATGAAGTGAACACTGACAGAACTGAAGAAATGGGCAGAAACACAATAATAGTAGGAGACTTCAGTTTCCCACTTTTAATAATGGATAGAACATACAGACAGATCAATAAGGAAATGGAAGATCTGGATAACACTGTAATCCAAATGGAACTAACAGACATATACAGAACATTCTACCCTCAAAGAGCAGAATACCCGTTCTGCTCAAGTGCACATGAAACATTTTCCAGGATAGATCATATGTTACATCACAAAACAAGTGTTAACTAATTTAAGGAGATTTAAATCATTCCAAATATTTTTTCTAACAAAAGGAATGAAACTAGATGTCAATAGCAGAAGGAAAATTGAAAAAATTCACAAATATGTGGAAAAGAAAAAAAAATCACCTCTTAACCACCAATGGATCAAAGAAAAAAATCAAAAGGAAAATTGAAAAATATTTTGAGACAAATGAAAAGGAAAACAGAAAATAATGAAACTTATGAGATGCAGCAAAAACAGTACTGAAAGGGAAGTTGTAGTGATAAATATCTATATTAAAAAAGAAATATCTCCAATAATAACTTTACACCTCAAGGAACTAGGAAAAGAAGAACAAACTAAGTCCGAACTTAGCAGAAAGAAGAAAATAATGATGAGAGCAGGAATAAATAAAGAATAGAGAAACAAAGAAGAAAAAGATGAAACAAAGTTAATGTTTTGAAAAGATGAACAACATCATTAAAACTTTAGCCAGGCCAAAAAAAAAAAAAAGAGAGAGAGAGAAGATTCAAATAAATAAAACCAGAAACGAAAGAGGAGACCTTACAGCAGATGCTACAAAAATACAAATGATCATAATATGCCAACAAATTAGATAAACTATACAAACTATCAAGACTGAATCCAGAAGAAATATAAAGTCCGAATAGACCTGTAACTCCTAAGATTAATCAGTAATCAAAAACCTCCCAAGAAAGAGAAACCTAGAACCAAGTGGCTTCAACGGTGAATTTCACAAACATCTAAAGAATTAGTGCCGATCATTCTCAAATGTTTCTATAAATTAAAGACAAAACACTTCCAAACTTATTATATAAGGCCAACTTTATCCTGATGTCAAATCTAGCCAAAGACATTACAAGAAGACAAAATTACAGTCCAATCTATCTGATAAATACAGATGCAAAAACCATCAACAAAATGCTAGCAAACTGAATTCAATTCTAGCACATTAAATAAGATTATGCGCGGTGGCTCACGCTGTAATCCCAGCACTTTGGGTGACCGAGGCGGACGGATCACGAGGTCAGGAGCTAGAGACCATCCTGGCTAACACGGTGAAACCCTGTCTCCACTAAAAATAGAAAAAATTAGCCGGGCGCCTGTAATCCCAGCTACTCGGGAGGCTGAGGCAGGAGAATCCTTTGAACCCAGGAGGAGGTTGCAGTGAGCCGAGATAGCGCCACTGCACTCCAGCCTGGGCGAGGACAGGGCAAGACAAAGTCTCACAAAAAAAAAAAAAAAAAAAAAAAAAAAAAAAAAGAAAGGTTATACACCACGACCAAGTGCAATTTAACTCTGGATTGCAAGGATGTTTCAACTCACAAAATTCATTCAATATGATACATCAAATTAACAGAAGGAAGGATTCAAAATTAGATAATCATCTCAGTAGGTTCAGAGAAAGTATTTGATAAAATTCAACCCCTTTTCATGATTAAAAACACTCAGCTAATAGAAGGAATTTGCCTCAACACAAAAAAAGGCCATATATGTAAACCCCACAGCTACTATCATACTAAATGGTACAAAAATAAAAATTTTTCCTCTTAAAAATAAGGGTTTTCCTCTTAGATTAGGGCAAGAATGCCCACTCTTGCCACTTCTATTCAACATTGATTTGGACACAGAAAACTATAAAACATTGGAAAATAAATTTTAAAAGATAAAAATAAATGGGAAGGCATCTATGTCCATAAACTGGAAGACAATAATGCTAAAATGTCCATACTATTTAAAGAATTCTACAGATTCAATTCAATCCTTAACAGAATTCCATTAACACATTTTACAAAAATAGAAAAAAATCTTAAAATTCATGTGGAGCCACAAAGGACCCTGAATAACCAAAACAATCTTGAGGAAGACAACCTACAGAATGGGAGAAAATTTTTGCAATCTACTCATCTGACAAAGGGCTAATATCCAGAATCTACAAAGAACTTAAACAAATTTACAAGAAAAAATAAAACAACCCCATCAAAAAGTGGGCAAAGGATATGAACAGACATTTCTCAAAAGGAGATAATTATGCAGTCAACAGACACATGAAAAAATGCTCATCATCACTGGCCATTAGAGAAATGCAAATCGAAACCACAATGAGATACCATCTCACACCCGTTAGAATGGCAATCATTAAAACGTCAGGAAACAACAGGTGCTGGAGAGGATGTGGAGAAATAGGACCATTTTTACACTGTTGGTGGGAGTGTAAACTAGTTCAACCACTGTGGAAGACAGTGTGGCGATTCCTCGAGGATCTAGAACTAGAAATACCATTTGACCCAGCCATCCCATTACTGGGTATATACCCAAAAGATTATAAATCATGCTGCTATAAAGACACATGCACACATATGTTTATTGCAGCACTATTCACAATAGCAAAGACTTGGAACCAACCCAAATGTCCATCAATGATAGACTGGATTAGAAAATGTGGCACATATACACCATGGAATACTATGCAGCTATAAAAAAGGATGGGTTCATGTCCTTTGTAGGGACATGGATGAAGCTGGAAACCATCATTCTCAGTAAACTATCTCAAGGACAGAAAACCAAACACCGCGTGTTCTCACTCATAGGTGGGAATTGAACAGTGAAAACACTTGGACACAGGAAGGGGAACATCACACACCAGGGCATATCGTGGGGTGGGGGAAGTGGGGAGGGATAGCATTTGGAGAAATACCTAATGTAAATGACTAGTTAATGGGTGCGGCACACCAACATGGCACATGTATACATATGTAACAAACCTGCACATTGTGCACATGTACCCTAGAACTTAAAGTATAACAAAAAATTGTTGAAAGTAGGTTTAATGATATGTGTGACTTTTAAAACCACAATAAAAAAGAGATAAAATAATAGTTCACTTTTCTTCCTTTTTACATTGATGCAAGAAGATTACCTGAGATATTGCAGTCACTTTGTAGCACTGAGAAATCGATGACAAAGTGGAACTATGGAGACAACTTTGATTCTTGATAATGTTTTTAAGTTTCTCAATTAACCAGCCTTAGAGCCACCACACCTTTTTTTGCTTCAGCCAGTTTAAGTTGAGTTTCTGTTACTTGCATACTGAAGTATCTTATATAAACCATTTGTAAAGATTTGTCCCTAGCTAATGAGAAATGCCGGTAAATGACTTAGAGAAAACAATTTTAAAATTGAAAACATGAAGAAAAAATATTAAACATAGAGTTAACATTTGATCCAGCAATTCCAGTTCTATGTATATAGCAAAGAGAAAAGAAATCATGTATACATAAAAAATTCCTACATACATTTTAATTGTGCGTTATTATACTATTATAATGGCCAAAAAATGGAGAAAATCAAAATATCTATCAACTGATATATGACTCAACAATATGTAGTTGATCAATCTGCTGCAATATTATTTGACAATGAAAAGGAATAAAGTACTAATACGTGCCTAGATAAACTTTGGAAACATGTTTAGCGAAAGAAGTGAATCCCAAAGGCCCATATTGTGTGATTCCATTGATATGAAAGTGTAGAATAGCCAAATAGAGAAATAGCAAGTAAATTAGTGATTGCCAGGGACTTGAGGAAGAGGAGTGATTATTAATGCTTATGAGGTTTCTTTTTGGGGTGATTAAGATATCCAAAGTTTAGGTAGTAATGATGGTTGTACAACTTTGTGAATGCACTAAAATATCACTGAGTCATACTCTTTAAAGGGGTGAATTCTATGGTACATGAATTATATCTTAGTAAAGTTGTAATGAAAAAAAATGAAGAAATAAAAACAACTCAAAGGAAAATGCCCACCAAGAATCTCTTTTTATGTCTGGGCAAGAAAAGCACATAGCTTGTGGGGAAAAGGAAATTAGATTATCCTCTGAGCTTTCAACATTCATATTGGAAAATTTAGAATTCCAGAAGAATGTGTAGTACTATATAAAACATGACTCAAGGAAAGAAAATGTGACTCAAGAAACTTATATTCAACAAAACTGTCCTTGAAGTATAAATGGCACCCACAAACTGGTCAACATGCAATAACTCAGGAGACATTGTTACTAGGTTCCCTTTTGAAGACAATGTGTTAGTAAATGAGCTTCAGACAGCCAGAAATGACTAGAGTGATGTGGGATTAAGAACACGGAAGTGGTAAGTATTACATGTATAGTTAGGTGTATGATTAAGGCCATATGAAGCTTAAAGTGGCTTTATCTTTGAGAATGCAGATGTAGCAAATCATTTACAAACGGGATAGAGGAAGGAGTTGAATGGTTCCATGAGGATGCAATTAACAAAATGCAGGCAGTGCGAAACTGTATAGGACAAAAATCTTGAGCTCTTCAGCATATTTATTGTAATAGAAGAGACAGAGAAAGAGATGGAGAAGGAGCCTATAGATTCAAATAGACTATAAAAACATTTTTAAAAAGATAATAATAGGGCTTATAAATAAAAATTGGGTGACAAAAACATGAAGAAACACAAGGAAGCAATGACTATGGAAGTCAGGTTACTCCTGGAGGGAGAGAGGAGGCTGTGATTGGAATGGAACATGTAGAAAGCAGTCTAGTGTGGCTGTCAAAGTTCTGATTTTTGGCCTGGGTGTTTATAAGGATATTCATTTTATAATAATTCAGTAATCTTGGAAAAAAGAAAATGTTAAACACATAATTGTAAATTCTAAGTATATCACACATTCATAAGAGTAATATTACTACTACCACAGTAATAATAACAGTTAATGCTAATTGAATTCTTTATATGTGCCATACATTATGCTGTTGTCTACTTAATTATATTATCTCATTATTTACTTTGATTTTTTTTTTTTTCATTTCATAGGTGAGAAAACTAAGGCACAAAGATGTTAGGTGACATGACTCAAATTCACACAGATTCTAAGCCACCTTGGAGTTGAATGTTATTTACCTAAGAAAGTCTTCTGGCTGACTCAGGTAGCAGAAGTAGCTTTCAATGGGGATGGTGCAGAAAGAGTGTTTTGGGTTTATTAATTAACTTATTCATGGATTCATTTCACAAATTTGTCGTTGTTTTAGTTGGGCATCTACTCTGTGCCAGGAACTGTGCTGCAGTGGCACTTGGGGGTATTACTATCAGTGACCCTATGTGCTTTCACACTGCTGCAAGATAGAAGGTACCACAGGAATGGTTAGCAATGAGATGGGTGGGATTTTAGTGAGGAGTGGAGGTTTAAGCTGAGACAGAAGGGTGAAGACCAGTTCTCCAGGCCGAGGAGGATGGAAGCCTTAGCAGAGAGAGAACTGCACCTATGAAGAAGGCCTTGTGATTGCTAAAGAGGAGGGTACATATCAGAAACATGGAAAAGGGTTTCTGAGTTTTTCTAGTATTTAAACCTCAACTCACTCCACACAGATCCTACATAAGGATGAGTGACATTAGAACAACCAAACCAACCAGACCAAAACTAAATCCAAACATTTGCATCCCAAGTAAATCTAGAATGAATTGAACTTACAATGAACAAATCCCTCTCTCTCTCTCTCTCTCTCTCTCATTTTAATTGGATTACATAAAGAGTTAATAAATTTAAGGAAGAATGGGTAGGTGGCTCTGAACCAAAGTGAACTAAAATTAAACTACATCTAGGTTTGTTCACTGTGGAACTAGAAGGCTGAATTAGTGCCAGTGTGAGAGAGTTCAAGGTGTCATGTTTTATTGCACTATTAAAGTTTCAGAAAATAGGAGTAACAACTTTCCATCATGAGAAGGGTTTGAGAGACTAGATTACTAATGTGGCAATGATGATGTCTGTGTTGAGGAGGAGGTTGGCCTTGGTGAACTCAAACTCTTTCTAATTTTTTTAAAAAATAAGAATATTAGACTGTTCTCAGACATGAGCAACAATTGAACATGACTATTTTATTAGGTCTGAGTACATCTGGAGGCTCTGAGCTATGTTTTGATAACCGGCTTTAAACCCACAGCAGATGATATGAGGAAAGTCCCCTTTGACCACATGAAGGCCCATGGGTCCAAAGGCCCATTGCTTGCTAGCACTGGCCTCTATTTGAGGCCATGCTGGCTTTGCCTTAAGCTCAGCCCTGACTGCTGGGGCTCATCTCCCAACACTTGACAGCTTCATTCTCTTCCGTCACAGTCACTGCCCCTCCTTGGGCCTCAGTTTTCTGATCTATAAAATGAGGATTCCCCCGACCTCCCTACCAATGATCTCCCAGAAACTCTGTTGGCATTTATACTCTTAGATTCTCTGATTAATATGTACCAACCAACATTACACTAAGTAAAAATGATTGAGTGGGGTTGTTGACCCTGACCTGTAGGCCCAAGGAATTGTAGTCAGGGCTTCACAGTTCACTGACTAATCATTCATTAACCAAAATCTTCAAGTCCTGATTTATATGGTACTATTTTCCTAGGAAATGGGCAATGGAATTTTTCAACTGTGAAAAAAGTTTATTTTCCAGATTTCATCAATGCACACAGTTACCTATGTGATAAATCTTGTTTTTCCTCTACTGGTTCATGAGCTTTATTACCTGGAGATTTTCCCCTTTTGTTCTTTGTCCAGATACCATTAACATTTTCTTCATCTATATAAGTTACTATGTTATTTATATTTTATATTTTGCCACCAAACTTCTTCTATGCTTGAGGTTTTTTTTTCATATTCTAAAATGTTTTTCTGTGGTAAAAACAAAAGAGCTCAGACTTTGGAATAAGACAGACTTGGCTTTAAATACTCTTTTCTACTTATTAGAATTTATTTGGGGAAAATTATCTTTTAGAGCCTTTGTTTTCACATCTGAGAAATGGAGATATAATACCTACTTTACAGTGTTGCAGTGAGAATTAAATGAGATAATAAGTGAAAAGAGCTGGTGTAACATCTTACACAATAAATATTAGTTTTCTGTTTCTTCCTTTATATTACTAAGAATAAGCCCCAAGTGTGTCTTTATCCTTTATTTTTCTTTTAGCATTACTCATACTCAGCCAAACTGTGGGTCCAAGTGAAGGAAGGAGTATATCACGTATATACCCATTCATGCTCAATTCAACTGGGTGTTTGAGATTGTGATTTAGAATATCGGTCTTTTTTTTTTTTTTTGCCTTCAAGATCTATGACATACTCATTGTATGTTCACAAAATTATAGCTATACTTTCTTTCTTCCCTGTTTGAGGTGAACATCTGATAATTTATCACATACTAATTTTTCTAGAAATTCCCCCAACTAGTCTACCTGCACACTGATTCACCATCTACATAGCCATTACGAGAGCTATGGTGTAGATACACTTCTTATGCAGTCCACAGGCCACAGTGAAACTGTGCAGAAATGAAACCCCAGTTCAGAAATCTAGCCTGGTCAACATTTAATTGGTCATGATGAGCACATAACTCAGGCTGAACAAATAAGCTTTTCCCCTAGAAATCTGGATTTGATTTGAGATAATTAATTCCATCTCTCGGCTGGATATTGAATAATCACAGAAGCTTTCATAGCTGTCTTCCACAGCAGATATAGGTAAACTGAGAGGTGTGATTTGCAATGAGAGAGACAAATGAGAGAAATGCATGGAGGGAAATAGAGATGAGACGGCCTAACCTGAGTTCCTCCTGGCCTGAAGCCATTCATTCCATCAGTTCTAAAGGGTCACTTGCTTCCCTGCCTTCACACACCCTTCCAATAAATTTGCTCATTTTTTCTGAAAATACTACGAGTTGGATTTTGCATATATAACTAAATGAATCTTAACAGACTGATAAGATATTAAAGCTTACAGCATGCAAATCTGGCCACTGTAGCACTTAGAGACAAATAACTTCTTTGCAAAGCTTTTGTTGTGTCTGTGTTTCCTGCAGCATTCTTTACTCCTAATAAGTCTGTGCATGCTCTAATGATGTGTGTACATGGGCTTTCCAGTTTACTTTTAGCTTGCTTGGACTTCTTGAAAAGTGTGATTCATTAGAATAATTGGAACACTTTGTGGGAACTTCTGTCAATGCACACTGTAAGAAGAGTTTGGCTAGGTTTAAAGCAGAGGATTCCAGATGGGGATCAAGTATTCAACTCTTAGGATGAATTTAAACAATCTCAGTGTGACAATCATCTCTTTGATCACATTAGACAACTAGTGTGTATAGTAGAAACAGTGTTTCAAAGCAACAACCAAAAGATTACTCAGCTATTTAGAAATTTGGAAGTACTGTCCTTAAGTAAAAATATGAATTCTAGATTAAACTCCCTTAAGTTTAAATCATGATTCCAACCCTTAGCAACTGTGTGACTTTGGGCAAGTTATTTAAACTCACTGTGTCTCAGTGCAAACCTGTAAAAAAGGGAACAAAATTAGTGGAAACCTTGTAAGATGCTGTGAAGGTTAAATGAAGTAGCACATATAAAATAAGTTGTCTGGCTTAGAGTCATAGCTCAATAAAGGTTAGCTATTATTTTTATTATTATAGCTATTTATCCTTAGCCCAATTAAAAAACTCCTGTGTCTCAGTACCTAACTGAAATCAATATCCTGAAATTATGTATAATTCTAAAATCACATTCTTTTACTTATACATTTTTGCATGCTAGGTAGTATTACATTTTTAATTATGTGCAGACATTTTTATACATGGCAAAGACAGGTGATAGAAGAAAACAATTTTATTTCCTATGTTTTTGTAGTTTAAAGTTTAATGAAAGAGCTGGAGCAATCCTTAAAGAAGATGAAAAATAATAAACATCAAAAAAGCAATTAGAATATCTACCACATATCAGATTAATACCAAAAATAATAGTATATTTGAGGATCTAGCCTATTTTTCTTATACTAAATCTACAAATGTATGGATTACTGGTGAACACAGAGAAGAAATGTGTCTCAGGAAATAAATTTTTGTTGAAACTAAAAGCGAGTAGAGGTATAAGTTAAAAGAGATGAACCAGATGGAGCTCTTTAGTAAAGGAGAAGAATCTTAATAGATCTGGAGTAGGAGGTAAAGATGTTCTGAGTGTCTTTCAACAAATAATGTTTGAGCTCTTATGATGTGCTATGCACTATATTAGTCACCGAATTTGCAAAGATAAATAAAAATGTTTATTACTGACAGAAAACCCACTCTAGAGCAGTAGATACGTGAATAGCTACAATGAGAAATGAAGGACAATTCTTTGCAAATATTAAACTCACATGTTTTCATGACCTTCCTAAATGTGTTTTCTTGCAGCCTTCTCCTAAGCTGAGCCACCAGGTTTTTTTTTTTTTTTTTTTTTTTTCCCTACAAGAAGGAGAAGAAAGATACTGCTCAGAAAAGAGGTCACTAATTAGTCTTAAATATTAAAGCTGACTTTTGTGACCTGTTTGGGGAGTCAAAAACTCTAAAAGAAGTCACGAGAAAGGAAATAATTTTCTAAATTACTTTATCTTTCCTTAGAACATCAAGAGATAAGTAAAAGACTGGATTGAAGAGGTAGTGCCAGGGCTAGGGAATTCTCAGAATATAAGGAAAGAACATGGAAAACCAGCCACTACAGTCTTGAGTTTGGTGACAGGAGAGAAAGCTGTAATGTAGGAGATGAAGACTCCTGGAAGAGTCCTAGCCTTTGATTTGCTGCCACACCCAAACGGACTCCCTTATGGCTGGATGAGGGAGCAGTAGAAGGAAGCCAGGTAGCCCTCTGGACTCCCAAGGATGACGTTCAGAATTCAGGTGACCTAGAGTTTCTTAGGTCAATCAGTGGTGCCAATGAGCTTGGAGAGCAAGCAGAGGCCTGTGTTCAGAAAGAAGGGGTTAAGTATTCTGGGCTTTGAGCCTGAGTCAAATAACTGGGGTCACAGATTTTAATCATGCATCCATTATATCACCCTAAATGAATTTTCATTGCATATCCGAGGATATTCATGACCCCACTACACAGAAAGTTATAATGTAATTTGACAAGAAGAATGAATTGCTCTGAGTCTGAGCAGGGATGAGGGAGAGAGGATATACATGTAGTGCCTAATATGAGATTGATGAGAGGGCTTCTTTGTGGATGTGATGTTTAAGCCCAGCCCTAAAGGATAAGTAGGAATGACCTAAATGAAGTTAGGAAAGTGGGATTGGACTTCCAGGACTCAGATACCATGCATGCAAATGTCTGGACAGGAACAAACACACAAACATGATTTGGGTGCTGTATTTCAAATGGTTGTAGCACGGACAGCAAGGCACCTCTTGGGTTCCCCAGGAAACAGACTCTAGGACAGAGATTTCAGTGGAGAAGGTTATCTGGAAGTTGTCCAAGGACAACATTCATCAGGGAGTAAAGAAGACAGGGTTGGACAGTGGGAGAAGTTGGCCTGGGATACAGTTACAATAGAGATCTCAGCAACCCTTATAGTGAGTTCTGGAGCTGGGATGGCCTTTTACATTTGTCCCAAACTGAGGTGAGCGGAAGTCCTTTTTATCCTCCACTTGCCTTGGATAAAAGTCCAGGATAGAGTAATAATGGGTGAGAGAGTTTCTTTTGGTTGATGGCACTTCTCAGAAAAGGGTTTCAGCTGTGAGCCATCAGCCACTAGCAACATCCGGTGGCTGGAGAAATGTAGGCCTGACTTGGATGGGAGTCTGGGTGGCACAGCACACCACTCACTACAACGTATGCATTTGCAGTAGATGAAGTCAGAGAAGGAAGCACATAACAGGGAATAAAAGGCCTTATAAATCACAGTTACAGGTTTTGACATTTTTTTTAAAGCAAAGGGGAGTTCCTGAAGGGTTTTAAGAAGGAGATAAATCAATATGATCGTGTTTGTACTTTTAAAAGATCACTATCGCTGCTGTGTCGATAATTGATTGTAGGGAAAGTAGGGAGACCTGGTAAAAGTTGTTGCAATCATCAAAAAGAGACATAATGAGAGTATGAATTTAAGTGAAGGTGGCAATGAAGAAAGGTAGGCTAATTAAGGAGACATAGAAAAAGCAGAATAATGGTATCCACTTATCAGTGGTATTTTATTGGATGTGGATTGATAAGAAAGATGGATAAAAATCACAGATTCTGAACCGGGAATCTGAAATAGGAAACTCGGCCAAATACAATGCTATGTAGTTTTTGTTTCCTATTCTTTCTTTCTGGCACATGGAAAACTATACTTGGCAACACCATGGCAGTTGGGAGAAACCACTCAGTGGAAGTGGAAGTGACACGTGTTACTTCTGGGATGAAGTGATGGAAATTCCTATACCATTCTTCAGTCCTTTTCTTCTTTGGCAAGAAGCAGGGAGACCGTATGTTCAGATTGTAGAGTCACAGAATCAAAATGGCTGGGAACCCTGAGTAACCCCCTGGAGCACAGCTGCTTTGAATTGTTGCTCAGTCAAGAGAAGACCTTGTATGAGCTAGAAATAAAATTTATATACTATGCTTTTGAGATTTTGGAGTTACTTGTTCTCGCAGAATAAGGTTAGCCTATTCCAAGAAATACTGAAACATAGAAGGAATTTGTATGCATGTCGTGTGTGTGTGTGTGTGTGTGTGTGTGTGTCTGTGTGTGTTTGGGGACAAAAAAGAAGGGGAGTGGAAAGGGCAAAATGTGAATTCAGTTTTAGAAATGTTGAATTTAAGATAACTGAAAAATATTTAAGTGGACGTGTCCAGTATGCAGTTAAAAATATGGGTGAAGAATTCTAAGCACAATCTAGACTAGAGACAAAATTTTTTAGAAATATCATAATCCATAAGTGAAGCCATGTGAGGGATGATTCTAAACACTCAGATGTAAAATGATCTGGGAATTTTTTCTTTTTAAGAAAGCAATGGAATTCCAGCAAGCTTTGCCCTTTGCTTTAAAAATTGCATTTACTATGCAAGTGAACCTAAATATCACCATACATTATAAAGCCACTTTCTTTTCCCCCCCCACCTCCTGAGATTGTGAGGCATCAGGGTTCCCTGCTTGAAAAGTAGAGGAGCCAACTTCAACCTCATAGAAGAGCAGAGAAGCCAAACAAGTAGTAAAAATCTGCACCTAGCTTCTGTCTCCCTTGAAGTGATCTCTCAAACTCAAATTAAGAGTTGTTTTCAAAAGTTAATCTAAAGGGGCTTTTTGGTTACACAAATGTAAAATAAACTAGTACACTATTGTACAAATCTGAATGTTGTTACTTTAGAAACAGAAGATGTAAAAGGTATTCGGTAATGGAAATTTTATATGATTGAACCAGACTTCATATTCTGCAGATTCTGTTGTTTTGGGGGGATAAAAATATGACAGAATCTAAAATGAATTCAGCTTGCATTGTGCTTGAGCTGTTGCCTATTCCTGTTCAGATAAATGTGTGTGTTACTGCTTAACAGTTAGTTGTTAGATGCCTAAACTAAGACTCTGAGTTCAGCAGCACGAGTTTTGCACCATGGTGCAAGAGATGCAGAAACAAGGAAGTACGTTGTGTTTGGCTCAACCTAATTTAGTGGTCTAAACTGTGGATGTCCTTCATACGAATAACCTAAATGTGAGAAAATATACTCAACCAGTATACTTATTATCATTTCACCCATAAACTGAGTCAAAAAAAGATAAATAACCTCTAAAAAGAGTACATCAAAAGATAAGGCTAATGCCAGAACCCACATTCAATTTTCGGATTCAAAATCCCAAACTCTCTCTTCTTGACCACACTGTTTTAAATGAGATCATTTCAGACATGTTATTTATATCTCTCTGTAATGTAAGGAATACACATCTCCACCGCCCCCCCATCCCTATTTTTTTGGTCCTTGGGGCTCTGAAACGTTTTAGAAAATGTATTAGTCTTCATTCTCACTTTATTTGCTTGTGAGAGTGGAAACACTTCTCCTTTCTCTCTTCTGGTGTTCACTAGAGCAGCTGCTCAAAATGAGTCAGCTTTCCCAGTCAGCTATGGTTCCTGCCTCATGGAGGGTAGGAAAGGACATACCATCTCTGTAATAACATGCCCAAAGTTGCCTGCTTCTGGTGAGAAACAAGGAGCCCTGTCCTTGTCTGGACCATCATGCTTTCCTCAACCCAGGTGCATCCGTCTCATGTAGTGTGTTTCATCTCATTTTCCTCATTCTGTTCTGATTGAACATCAACATTTTTGAATGGGTTGTTATCATCATCTCTGTGAGCAAATGGGATGTGAATACCCTGAGGATTCCTACTCATGAATACAAATGATTTTTTTATTCTACAAAAGGAAGAAATATGATTGCTGAATATTAATAGCCCTCTGAGAATTAGAATTTAAGATTACACAAGATCTGTTTAATGCTCTTATTATCCAAAGGTGAATGATTGGAAAGGGAGGGGCAAATCCAGGAAATAATTTGGAGAGGAAACTAATATATATTGAGTGCCTATTATGTATCTGGTATGGAAGCTTTTCAATTTATGTATTTTCAATTTATGAAGTCTCACTATTTGAGTAAAATTAGATGACAATTAAAAGTGCTCACCACCAATAAATGGGTTACTAATAATGTTAGGTTATTTTAGTCATTGTGGTTTCTTGAGTCATAGGAAGCTGCTCTCCATGTGTTACTTTCAGGGTAGTTAAGGTAATTTAATGCAAATGACCTTAAAACTGACACATGGAGAGCAGCTATGACTCAAGAAACACCTCCTACGACTCCGTGCTTGATAAGTACAAAATAAGTGCCAGGAAGAAAAGGCATGGTGGGATGGAAAATAGTGATAATTTTTATAAGTTAAAAGTGATGAGGAAATGAATAGCTGTTGTACAAGTGTATGGGATAACTCATTTTTCAATAAGAATAAATCCAAATGACATATCACAAATCATGACATTATACAGGAAGGCCCTGTGTCTGTACTATTGAAATTAATAGGGAAGAGATGAGGAAAAAGAGACTGGAAAAATGAAATTTTTGAGTAACTGCAATAGTTGTTTTTCAACTTATTTCATCTTGTTCTATACAAATGAAATCATAGATTCTTAAGATGAGATATAGAGAAGAGCTTAATTTTTATTTTTTATAATTTTTACTTCCAGGTGATTCTAATCTTCAGCCAGCATGAAAAACACTGGATTAGGAGTGCTGGAGTGAGATTATGAGTTTGCAAATGAAAGGGTTTTTAAGCATTGAGAGTGTGCTGATGACATAAATATGGGATGATTCCCCCAAGTTAGTGATGATTCCATAGGCTGAAAGCCCCTTCAAATTCTCGCATTAAAACAAGTGACAAGGCAATAGATGCTGTTATCACATGCCATGAGTTCCCTTTCACTTGTGTAGAGATCATTGAGAAAGTGTCTGATCTTATTTACACATTTGTTCTTTATTCTGTTAATGTGGTGAATTACATTGATTTTCTTTTTTTTTAACGTTCATTTTAGTTTCAGGGGGTACATGTACAGATTTGTTGTATAGGTAAATTGCATGTAACTGGGGTTTAGTGTACAGATTATTTCATCACCCAGGTGATAAACATAGTCCCTGATGGGTAGTTTTTTGATCTTCATCCTCCTCCCTTCTTTCACCCTCAAGCAGGCCCTGGTATCTGTTGTTCCCTACTTTGTGTCCTATGCACTCAATGTTTAGCTCCCACTTGTAAGTGAGAACATGTGGTATTTGGTTTTCTGTTCCTATGATTTTGAATTTGCTGAGGATTATTTTATGTACAATTGTGTGGTCAATTTTAGAGTATCTGCAATGTGCACATGAGAAGAATGTACATTCTGTTGTTTTGGGGTGTAGAGTTCTGCAGACATCTATTAGGTCTATTTGGTCAAGTGTCAAGTTCAAGTTATGGATATCTGTTAAGTTTTCTGCCTCAATCATCTACCTAATACAGTCAGTGGAGTATTAAAGTCTTCCCACTGTCATTGTGTACTTATCTAAGTCTCTTCATAGGTCTCTAAGAACTTGTGTTATGAATGTGAGTGCTCCTGTGTTAGGTGTATACATATTTATGATAGTTAGGTCTTCTTATTGAATGGAGCCCTTTACCATTATGTAATGCCCTTCCTTATGTTTTTTGATTTTTGTTGGTTTAAAGTCTGTTCTGTCTGAAATTAAAGTAACAATCTCTGCTGTTTTTCTGTTCTCCATTTGCTTGGTAGATTTTTCTCCATCCCTTCACTTTCAGCCTATGGGTGTCAGTGTATATGAGAGAGACTGTTGAAGACAGCATACCCATGGGTCTTGTTTCTCTATTCATCTTGCCACTCTGTGATTTTTAATTGGGGCATTTAGCCCATTTACATTGAAGGTTAGTGTTAATATATGTGGATTTGATCCTATTATGTCGTTAGTTGGTTATTATGCAGATTTGTATGGGAGGTTGCTTTATAGTGTCACTGGTCTCTGCATTTCAGTGTATTTTTGTAGTGGCTGGTAATAGTCTTTCCTTTCTATGTTTAGCATTCCCTTCAAGACTTCTTGTAAGGTAGGTATGGAGGTAACAAATTTCCTTAGCATTTGCTTGTCTGAAATATTTCTGCTTTGTTTAAGAAGCTTTGTTTGCCTGGATATGACATTATTTGTTGGGACTTCTTTTCTTTAAGAATGCTGAATATAGGCCCACAATCTCTTCTGGCTTTTAGGTTACTACTGAAAGGTCCACTGTTAGCCTGATGGGGTTCCCTTTGTAGGTGACCTGCCCCTTCTACCTGGGTGCCTTTTTTCTCTCATTTAAACTTTGAAGAATCTGATGACTATGTGTCTTGAAGATGGTCTTCTTATGTAGTATTGCACAGGGGTTCTCTGCATTTCCTGAATTTGAATGTTGGCCTGTCTAGCAAGGTTGGGGAAATTTTCATGAATGAAATCTTGAAATATGTTTTCCAAGCTGTCTAGTTTATCTCCCCGTCTTTCAGGGATGCCAATGAGTCATAGATTTGGTCTCTTTACATAGTCCCATATTTCTGGGAGGTTTTGTTCTTCTTTATTGTTTTTTCATTATTTTTATCTGACAGTTATTTTGGAGAATTGGCCTTCAAGTGCTGAGATTCCTTCCTCAGCTTGGTTGATTCTACTGTTAATACTCACAATTATATTCTGAAATTCTTGAAGTGAGTTTTTCAGCTCTATCAGATCAGTTTGGTTCTTTTTTAAAATGGCCACATCATCTTTCAGCTCCTATATCATTTTATTATATTGGTTAGAATCCTTGGATTGTGTTTTGACTTTCTCTTGAATCTTGAGCTTCCTTCTTACCCACATTCTGAATTCTATTTCTGTCATTTCAATGATTTTGGCCTGGTTAAGAACCGTTGTTAGGGAATTAGTTCTGGGGAACTTGTTTTGAGATAAGAAGACATTTTGGCATTTTAAATTTCCAGAGTTCTTGTGATGCTTTTTTCTCATCTTTGTGGGCTGATATTCTTTCAGCCTTTGAAGTTGCCATCCTTTGGGTGGATTTATCAATGTTTTTATCTTATTTGATTTCCTTGGGGGTTTGCTTGTGGTATTAAGTGGGTTCAGTCAAGTGGCTTCATTTTTAGAAGATGTTAGGGAGAAAAGGTCCAGATCAGCACTCCTGGACTGCATACCCTAACTCTGGGGGACTTGTATTGGGCCCTTGGCTTTGTTCTCAAGTTCCCTTGAGTTTAGGAACCTGCTGTGCTAGAGGGGCCAAAGTGTTCCTCGACCATTGGCCACAACCCTCTGATGTGTAGTGCCAGCTGAAGTGCTTCATTGTGTGGTAGCAACAGGATCCATGCTCTTTCACACGTGCCAGCAGCAGCAGCAGCAGCAGCGGGGTGGGCTGCTCACTCACCTGCTAGGGCAGAGCCTAGCTGGTTCAGCGGGCGCCATCCTCCATGCTGGTATTCACAGAGGCATTGGTGGCAGCATAGGAAGGCAGGGCTGCTGGCATCCATGTGTGCATTTGCACCAGCAGCAGTGTCAGTGCAAAACATGGGTCATTGGTGGCCTCCATGCATGCATTCACCCCAATGGTGGTGGTGGTGGTGCAGAGTTGAGGGGCTGGGCTGTTGCTGTCCATTTGCATGTCTGCACTGGCAGCAATGGTGGTACAGGGTGGCGACGGGCCTCTGGTCTCCGTGTGTGTGCATGCATTCATGCTGGTAATGGCAGCAAGGCTGGGAGAGAACAAGGTGTGCTCATGGTGGCAGTAGTGGCATTGCAAGGTGAACATGCCCATGCACCCATGTAGGGAAGGGGAGGGGAGATCCTCCCATGCCCATGTGTGCTGACAAATTGCTGTGGGGGGTGACTGTGGGCGAGTGTGTGCTGGCAAAGCAGCACAGGGGAGGCTTCAGTTGGGGGAGGCTGCCAGTGGGCTGGTGCACATAGGTGGGGGCCATTCGGCTGGAGCTCTTCAGTGGTCAGGTATGGTCTGCCAGCACAGGAGCTATGATGTGGTGGGCCTCTGGGAGGCACCCTGATTGGGTATTTGAGGCTGCACTGCAAGTAGGCTCAGCCAGGCTAGGACCCCAGGAGGGGCCAGCAGACAGTGGAGCCTCAGGTTGGACTGGCTGCCATCTCATGGGCAAGATCACCCTGCTCTGTTAAGGTCCAACAGTTCCACTAAGACTGAATTCTGCATGGTGAGCCTTGGGGGAAGGACATCCCTGGACATTCTCCCTGCAGATGTTCCCACACCAAACATTCTGGGCTTTGCACAGGCTGGAGTCCTGCCCCTACCACCATTCTAAGCAGGTCTATCTGGCAGCTCAAGTGTCTATGGAGGGTGTGGGGGTCTCTTGCTGCCAGGATTCCAGAAGTCTGTGGTGAGAGTGGGTCCTTCCTTGCCTTTCCAACTCATTCCTTCTGCAGGAGTCACTAGAGGCCAGGAATGAGTCCCAGAGCATGGTAGCCCCATGCAGCATTCCCAGTTCTCTCCCTTTTAAACTCAGTGTCTGTGTTCACCCCCCATCCATTCTCAAGGCCTTCCCTCCAAAGATCTGCTCAGAGTGCACCAGTCTCCCCGATGTCCCCATCCCTCAGTGGCAGATGTTCCTCCTGGCTGCATGTAGTCAGCCATTTTGCCTGGCACACATTTTTATGTAGATAAAATAGTCATGTTTTGCAAAAGATTCCTAATTCCTAATTGAACATGTATCAGCAAAGAGGAGAAGCTTATGTTTGGTTTTAAGTCCTTTTAGGGTAAATGCATCTGGAGGTCACATGCCAAAACATGCCAAAAACCTTCCAAGTCCCTTCAGACTTTGAAACTCATCAATTTAAAATCAAACTTTGGGAAAATATTTCTTTGCAAGTAAAGGAGCTTCTGCATGATTCCAGTACTTTCTCATCCATTATGTTATTTAATCCTCAAAGCAACTCTCTAAGTTTGGTATTATACTTCCAATTTTGATATTTGAGTTAACCAAGCTTATATGAAAATAACTAATTTGACCACTGTCACACGGCTAGGAAGGGATTTCAGTCTGATTTGATTTGAATCCAAAGCTAAGAATCATTCCATTATACCACGATGTCGCTCGTAAAACAAATACATGAGAGATATTTTCTTTTTTTTTTTTTTTTCAGTTTGGTAATGAAATAGTGAAATTGTCTTTATTGTTTTTCTTTTTTTTTAAATTTTATGATTATTATACTTTAAGTTTTAGGGTACATGTGCACAACGTGCAGGTTTGTTACATATGTATACATGTGCCATGTTGGTGTGCTGCATCCATTAACTCGTCATTTAGCATTAGGTATATCTCCTAATGCTATCCCTCCCCCCTCCCCCCACCCCACAACAGTCCCTGGTGTGTGATGTTCCCCTTCCTGTGTCCATGTATTCTCATTGTTCAATTCCCACCTATGAGTGAGAACATGCAGTGTTTGGTTTTTTTTCCTTGTGATAGTTTGCTGAGAATGATGGTTTCCAGCTTCATCCATGTCCCTACAAAGGACGTGAACTTATCATTTTTTATGGCTGCATAGTATTCCATGGTGTATATGTGCCACATTTTCTTAATCCAGTCTATCATTGTTGGACATTTGGGTTGGTTCCAAGTCTTTGCTATTGTGAATAGTGCCACAATAAACATATGTGTGCATGTGTCTTTATAGCAGCATGATTTATAGTCCTTTGGGTATATACCCAGTAATGGGATGGCTGGCTCAAATGGTATTTCTAGTTCTAGATCCCTGAGGAATCGCCACACTGACTTCCACAATGGTTGAACTAGTTTACAGTCCCACCAACAGTGTCAAAGTGTTCCTATTTCTCCACATCCTCTCCAGCACCTGTTGTTTCCTGACTTTTTAATGATCGCCATTCTAACTGGTGTGAGATGGTATCTCATTGTGGTTTTGATTTGCATTTCTCTGATGGCCAGTGATGATGAGCATTTTTTCATGTGTTTTTTGACTGCATAAATGTCTTCTTTTGAGAAGTGTCTGTTTATATCCTTCGCCCACTTTTTGATGGGGTTGTTTGTTTTTTTCTTGTAAATTTGTTTGAGTTCATTGTTGATTCTGGATATTAGCCCTTTGTCAGATGAGTAGGTTGCAAAAATTTTCTCAATAGATGCAGAAAAGGCCTTTGACAAAATTCAACTAACCTTCGTGCTATATACTCTCAATAAATTAGGTATTGATGGGATGTATCTCAAAATAATAAGGGCTATCTATGACAAACACACAGCCAATATCATACTGAATGGGCAAAAACTGGAAGCATTCCCTTTGAAAACTGGCACAAGACAGGGATGCCCTCTCTCACCACTCCTACTCAAAAGAGTGTTGGAAGTTCTGGCCAGGGCAATTAGGCAGGAGAAGGAAATAAAGGGTATTCAATTAGGAAAAGAGGAAGTCAAATTGTCCCTGTTTGCAGATGACATGATTGTATATCTAGAAAACCCCATTGTCTCAGCCTAAAATCTCCTTAAGCTGATAAGCAACCTCAGCAAAGTCTCAGGATACAAAATCAATGTACAAAAATCACAAGCGGTCTTATACACCAATAACAGACAAACAGAGAGCCAAATCATGAGTGAACTCCCATTCACAATTGCTCCAAAGAGAATAAAATACCTAGGAATCCAACTTACAAGGGATGTGAAGGACCTCTTCAAGGAGAACTACAAACCACTGCTCAATGAAATAAAAGAAGATACAAACAAAAGGAAGAACATTCCATGCTCATGGGTAGGAAGAAGCAATATCGTGAAAATGGCCATACTGCCCAAGGTAATTTACAAATTCAATGCCATCCCCATCAAGCTACCAATGACTTTCTTCACAGAATTGGAAAAAACTACTTTAAAGTTCATATGGAACCAAAAAAGAGCCTGCACTGCTAAGTCAATCTGAAGCTAAAAGAACAAAGCTGGAGGCATCACACTACCTGACTTCAAACTATACTACAAGGCTACAGTAACCAAAACAGCATGGTACTGGTACCAAAACAGAGATATAGATCAATGGAACAGAACAGAGCCCTCAGAAATAATGCCGCATATCTACAACTATGTGATCTTTGAAAAACCTGACAAAAACAAGCAATGGGGAAAGGATTCCCTATTTAATAAATGGTGCTGGGAAAACTGGCTAGCCATATGTAGAAAGCTGAAACTGGATACCTTCCTTACACCTTATACAAAAATTAATTCAAGATGGATTAAAGACTTACATGTTAGACCTAAAATCATAAAAACTCTAGAAGAAAACCTAGGCATTACCATTCAGGACGTAGACATGGGCAAGGACTTCATGTCTAAAACAGCAAAAGCAATGGCAACAAAAGCCAAAATTGACAAATGGGATCTAATTAAACTAAAGAGCTTCTGCACAGCAAAGGAAACTACCATCAGAGTGAACAGGCAACCTACAGAGAGACATTTTCAAATAGTTTAAGAGAGAAATTATTTTTAAAAACTAAACTTCCAATAGAGCCCATAAAGTTCTAAATTTAAAGCAAAACTCTTTGCTGAAGACTTACAACGGCATTTAGACTATTCAACTATCTTACTGACAGAGTCATGCTTCAGTCCTGGCTGATGATGGGTAATGTCATTCATTTCCATGGCTTTTACTATCAGCTATGTGTTGATGGCTTCCAAATCTATACAATAGCAATGACGGAAGTCAGTTTTTCATTAGACATATCCATCTGAGTAACCCACTAAAATATCAAACTTAATAGGTTTCAAACTGAGCTCATCTGTGCCTTAAACTGCTTCTCCTAAGCTAATGTTACTATGTAGTCATTCAAGAAAGGAAAATGAAACTCACCCTAGGCAACCCTTATTCCTTTATCCCTGTAGCCAATTTGACATTATGGAAGTATGACCCACTTAATACGTTTCTTATTTAACTTTCTATTCCAGAACCACTTCTCAAGGACAAGTTATCATCATCTTTTGCCTAGACTATTGCATAGTTTCCTGACTCATCTCCCAGCCTCCGATCTCACTATCATCCCATGTGTTTTTTATTCTGGTAACATAATGATTTATTGAAAAATGCCATTCTGACCATATCCCTATCTTGTTAGGAATTTGAAATAACTTTCTAGTTCAAGGATTCTTTGGTTGCAAAAAGCAGACACAAACTCTGGTCAATTTAAACCAAAGGAAAAAAAGGAACTTGTCAGAAGAATACTAGTGTTCATAGAAATTAAGGAAAAGTTGAATGATCAAGGATCTTGATCTATAACTCATGATCAATTTTGGAAGTGTTGGTGTCTGAATGACTCAGCTCCTTCTGCTTTATACACTAGTCACTCCACTGAAGATTCAAATTGTCAGGAAAGAGTGACTGGCTTAGCTTATGTCATGTGCAGACACTTCTGGGGAGTGATAAAGGTAAAGACTCATTACTGATGGTCTCACCAGGACTTTGGCAAAGTGGGAGATGAACAGATCCCCAAAGAAAGCCATGTGCTGTTACTTAAAGAAAAAGGAACTGTTGGGAGAGCAAAAACAAATGACCCACATTTTTTTCCATTTTTAGAGTGAAGTCTATAATTTATACTATATCCTTGTCATTCAAGACCCAAAATGATCTGGCCCCTCTCAGCTTTTCAAATATGCTATATGTTATATTCTGTTTCTTGTCTAGAAATTCTGTCTACTTTACATGGCAAATATCCTACTTACTCTTTAAGATTCAACTAAAATGTCATTTCTTTAGTGTTGTCTTCCCTAGTGCTACCAGGAAGCATTGACTACTCTTTTCTTGGTGCCCTTTTTTGCCCTCTACATATGCCAGTAATAACACTTATCAAGGCTCAATGCAATGATTTTTTTAATAAGTTGGCATCTCTGGCCATACTGGCTTGGTCTTTAAGAATTAGAATCAAGTTTCATTAATCAGTATATTCCCAGAATATAGCATAGGGCCTGAAATACATGTGGAGTTCAACACATGCTTTTTGAATAAAAGAATGAGTAAGTAAAATAAACTTCTTTCCTGAAAACATTATACTACTAGAAGCATGTTAAGAGAATGAGATAGCAGGCTTATTTCTTATTTTCAAGTGCCTCTTGTGAAATAAAGCACTAATTAAAAATTTTTATTAGCTCTAGAAGTAATGTTTTTGTATTTCCCGTAATGTTTCTTGTTTAAGCACATTAAAGTTAGACTTTTGATGTGAAAATAAATATTCTTACTTATATGCACAGATTTTTTTCTCACAACTTTTTTCTGTTAGCTTTTTCTACATTGTAGTCTATTGCTAGTCTCTTTGCCTTCCTGCATTTTCCTTCATTTTTTAGTTTTCGGTTTCTTTGGGGTTTTGTCATTAGCAAGTTTGAATGGCTCCTCCTCAGTCTACATGGAGGCAAAGAATTGGCCACATAATCTCTGTGGAAGGCCCTTGAACCAGAGTGGAGATTGATCAGGTGGGCGGTGAAATGAGGTTTTTGTCAAGGCCTCTATTTCTCTTCCTTCCAGCCTTAAACAGATGCATCATCTCGGCCCATTAGAAGTTTTCTTTGGTGCTTGATGGTCTAATCCAAATGTCCTCTCCAGGCTGTCTTAATTTGCAAATGCACACTACACAAATCACCATACTGTGCCGTTCTGTGTTGGGAAATAAAAAGTGGAAAAAGAGGTTGAAATTGCTATTGCAAAAAAAAAGTGAAAAACAAGACGAAAAGTAGAACCCAAAGTACCTGTTTAGTTATAATGAGAGGTTAGAAGGCTTTGAGCAAAATTGCAAGAAGCCTGGACCTAGGCCCAGCATCCTGAACTGTTGTCAATTGGGAGCTATTGCAAGATCCTATTTTCCATTTCATGAGTCTGTTAAGTTCTTCATTTTATTTTCAATTTTCTCAGCAATGTATAATTAGAGACCAAATGTGCATTAACTAGTAAACTTCCAGAGAAGAGTGGAGTTTCACTTGAGTGTATAACACACAACCAATCAGTGAAAAACTCCACAATCTTTCCCTAGATCTTAGCTTTGGCCCCTACTCCCCTTCCCATACTCCCTCTACCTGAGTAATACCTGGATTTGAAAAGGTTCTGCAAAATTTATTCATGTCATGGGCTAAGACCAGACTTCAGACAAGAGGCCAGGGTAAATTTGTAGACAGAAACAAAGGCAGGAGGGGGCAGGGAAATGCTCACTGAACTTGCTGTCAAACACTCCATTATTGGTTGTTTCACACTGCTTAGTCACTTGAGCCAGCCCTTCATCTGTAAAACCTAAAATAGGAATAGTATTCATACTGTTTGCCATCACAGACTGTTGCAACAATCACATGAGATTATATCCACACACTAATATATAATGTGTATTGTGTACAATATGGGCATTTATATGTCTATATACAGATGTATATTGTAACTGTAATGTGTATAATCTTCCAGTCTCCCACAGCAGCTTAATTCAAAGATAAATGCATCCTATAGTCAGAGACTGTTTTTATGTCTTATTAAAATTATTTATTCTAAAATTTGAATTAACTCAATTGAATAGAAATAAGAAGGTAGCTTCAAATAATTAAAAGCCTTGACCTTCATAAGTGAGTTAATATTACTTAAGCTATCTTACCAAAGAACACTTGCTACCAAATAAAATTTTTGCACACCCCATAATTTAAAGTAATAAATTTCTAGTGATGGAAATTAAGCCAATCCAATAAATTGTTTTTAGCAAGGCTATCTTCCTATTCTCTCTGTCTCTTTGTCTCTCTCTCTCTTACACACACCCACACACACACACACACACACCACTTTGCTCTACATTGAAAAAGGGACTGTATTATGTCCCCCAAAAAACACAGATCAGAGAAAGTGGTTTGGCAGAACATGGTATTTCCTCTTTAAGGTTTACATTTTACATATTTAAATATACCTGAAAACTGCCAATTATAAACATGACTGTAATTTCCACTTTTCAGTCCATTTTCACAGCATCTAGCTAAGATCTTATGTCAGGAAGGTTATTTGATAAGCTTCATTTTTCCCAAGGTAAAATCAGGAGGCTGCTGATCTCTTCCATTCTTTCTTGTGCAATGGAGGTAGTAAAAGTAATCATAAGAGGGGCTGCAGCACTTTTCTTCTCCCCTAAAATGTACCTCACCCAAGGAGAATGACCAAATTGGAGGAGATTGTGGCATGATGGACTCTAATATTTTCAGTCATGTATGTACTGCACCCAAAATTTTTGAGGGAGTAGCCCCAGTATATATGTATTGCCATCATTAGTTAATATCTCAAAGCAACCACTTATTGGAGGCCCATCTTATGAACCTTTATATAAGTTGAAATAGCAAATAAGTATGATAATTTTAGCTTTTATCTGATGTCTTGTTAATTTAAATTTTTTTTGATATATCTAAATCGGCATTTATCAACAATGGTATGCTGCCATTTTGGGCCATATGATTCTTTGTTATGGGTTCTGTCCTGGGTATTCTAGAATGTTTAGCAGCATTTCTATTCTCTACCCACTTGCTTCCAGTGGTATCTCTCCAGTCTGAACAATAAAACTCTCTCCAGACATGTTAAACTTCTCTTAAGGTGTAAACTCAACCCCTTGTTGAAACCCACTGGTTTAAAGGAATACATTATTTGTAGAATTTGTTTCAGATTTGTCACTTTCAATGTGAAGTTTCTTTGCAGAAATTTTTAAAAGCTTTTGTCAATTTAGAGTGGGTGAATGAGTTAACGCAAGATACTATAATCAGTAGATATACCTACCAGACACTGGTAAACTACAGTATTTAATCATGTAAACAAATAGGCGAGGGTGCAATTGTCAATCCCTCTCACTATAGAGCTCCTATTCTTGTCTCAAAACATAGACTATGTAGATGTGGATAGCAGAGATTGCTCAACCAAGGTTGGGGGATGGGCATATTTATATGCCAACTCCTTTAGGCATTATTCAAAGGTTGCTTATGAAAGCTCTGTGACATCAGTCAAGGCAACGATTTTTTTGATATGACCCCAAAAGCACAGGCAGCAAAAGCAAAAACAGGCAAGTGGGATTATATAAACTAAAAATCTTCTGCAACAGCAAAGAAAACAATCAGCAGTGTGACAAGACAACCAATGGATTGGGCAAACATATTTACAAACCACACATCTGATAAGGGGTTCAAATCCAAATATATCAGGAACTCAAAACAATTCGATAGCAAGAAAACAGTCCTATTAAGAAATAGGCAAAGGACCTGGATCAACATTTCTCAAAAGAAGACACTCAAATGGCCAACAGATACATGAAAAAAATGTTTAATATCACTAATCATCAGGATAATGCAAATTAACATCAGAATGAGATATCACCTTACATGTATTAGAATGGTTATTATCAAAGAAACAAAAGATAACAAGTTTTGGCAAGAATGTGGAGAAAAGAGGATGCCTACACATTATTAGTAGGAATGTAAAGTAGTTCAGCCATTATGGAAAACAGCATGGAAGTTCCTCAAAAAGTTAAAAATAGAACTAACATATGATCTAGCAGTTCTACTACTTGCTATATTTACAAAGGATATGAAATCAATATATTGAAGAGATATTTGCACTCCCACATTCATTGCAGTAACATAGCCAAAATGTGGAATCGACTTAAGTGTTTGTTGGTGAATGAATGGATAAAGATAATGTGGTATATATACAAAATTTAGCCTTAAAAATAAGGAAATGTTGTCATTGGTGACAACATGAATGAACCTAAAGAACATGATAAAAAATAAAATAAGCCAGACCCATAAAGACAAACACTAAATGATCTCAAAAAGTTGAATCTATAAAAGTTGAACTGGTAGAAGCAGAGAGTAGAATGGAGGTTACCAGAGGCTGGGGGATAAGGGAATTGGGGAAATGTTGATCAAGGGTTGCAAAATTTCAGTTAGGAGGAGTAAGTTTCAGAGATCTATTGTAAATTATGGCAACTATAGATAATAATAATATACAGTTGGCCCTCTGTAGCTGTGGGTTTTGCGTTGATGGATTCAACCAATCTCAAATTGAAAATATTTTTAAGAGCTACAAACGATAGCAATAAAACAGTAAAAAATTTATACAAATTAAAAAATACAGTGTAACAGTTATTTATGTAACATTTACATTGTAATAGGTATTGTAAGTAATTTAGAGATGATTTAAATTATACAAGAGGATATACAGCAGGTTATATGCAGATATTTTGCTATTTAACATAAGAGACTTGAGTACCTGCTGATTTGGGTATCTGTAGGGGGTCCTGGAACCAATCCTCCATGGATAACGAGAGACAACTGTATACTTGAAAATTGTTAGAAGAGTAAATTTTAGTGTTCTCACCAAAAAAAAAGATAAGCATGTGCCCTACTGTATATTTTAATCAGCTTGATTTAGCCTTTCCACAATGTACACATACAAACTACAAAGCATCAAATTGTATGCCATAAATTATGCAATTTTAATTTTCAATTAAAAATAAAATCAAGTTTGATTCTGGGTTGGGGGAGGGTTTTAAATCCTCAACATATCTGGCTTGTTATTCTGGGAGTAGGGGAGGGAGAAGGAGGAGTGGGCTTTGGCCAATAAATACTTCACATAGCTGTAGTTCTAACTAGCTTGTACTAAAGTGGTAAGAATGTTGAGAATATGAGTGGGGTGACAATGGTGTCTGCTACTGTCCTGCTAATGGACTGAAGGAACTGGCTGAGAGGGAGGTTGATGATGTGTGGGACCTAAGGGGTAGGGGAAGAAAGAGATAAATGGTGTCAGACTGAAAATCATAGATGGAAGAATTATCTGGAAACCCTGGTACCTTATCTTCAGAGTCTGGAAGGAAGAAAGGAAGATGGTTGCAAGTGTAGATAGGTTTATGGTTTTTATGACAGGAAGGTGTGGGATTAACATTTGCTGTTTTTGTTTTCTTAGTAACCTGTGGGAGAGGGTCATCTCTAGAAAATGAGAGAGTGAGTTAGGAAGGCAAAGAGCTTTGTAGTAGTCACTAAGGGAAAGAAGAGACAAATTAAAGAAATATGAGCAGCATTTAAGAGCTCTGCTAAGATAAATAACCCAAAATTTATGGTGTCACCAATTTTATGGTCTAGTAGATCATCTCCAGCAGCCCTCAGTAGAGAAGGTAGAGGGGAAAAATGCAAATTGCAGGATTTATTTGTTTATTGAATAAATATTTATTGAGCATCTACTATGTGTTAGGCACTGTCTTAGGAGCTTGAGATAAAACCAAGACAGAATAGACAAAATTATCTGATCTTGTAGATCTTACATTTTGGAGGGGAAATGCAGAAAATACAGCCAATGAATAAAATTGTAGTATACTGTGATAAGTACAGAGAAAGCGAGAGAGGATGCTGAGACGGAAGACGGTTTGTCATTTTGGACAGGGTGTGTGGGAAAGACCTCTCTGAGAGGCCGAAAGAGATACAGCTATTCGGTTATCTGGGAAAACATGATTCAGGCAGAGGAAAGAGCAAGTGCAAAGGCGCTAAGACGGAAGTGTCCGTGGTATGTTTGAGGAATGGGCAAGAAACCCAGTGTAAGGACGGGACCAATGTGTGCAAGGTGTAAAATGATATAAATTAAGTTCAGAGAGAGAAAGTTGGAGGTCCACCTTGGATATGATCTTGTGGCCCATAGCTGTTAAACTGATTCATGTTGGAAGTCTGAGGGAATATGAGGTATGAGGACTAGAGGTGGGAATGTTGAGAATGTCAGTGAAAGTCAATTTCAAATGATCATTGAGAAGGGAAGGAAGTGAATCCAAAAGTGGGCAGGTAAATTGGGAGCATTGTGAAGAATGGGAAGAGAACCAAGAAAGAATGAAAGCATAGAAAGCAAGGGAGGAAGAGTTTCTAGGTAGTGGGTATGCTTATTAATGAAAATTAACATTTATTTAGCATGTGTGATGTGCTAAGTACTTTGTGTTATTATCGCATTTAAATTTCCCACCCATCTGATGTAGTAATAAATATTAATATCCAAATGTGCAGATGAGCAAATTGAAGCATAGAGTAAGCCACATACCCAAAGACATGCTGCTAGTCAGTGGCAGAACTAGGATATGAATTCCATTAGTCTAACTTTTATGCTCCCTTCCTCTCTTTTCCCTGTAGTTTTGCTGAGGTATAATTGACAAATAAAAATTGTATATATTTAAAATGTACAAATTGATGTTTTGATATGCATATACATTGTAAAATAATCACCCCAATCTAGCTCATGGGCATCTCCATCACCTCACATAGTTTCCATTTTCTTCTTTCTCTCTCTCTTTTCCCTCCTTCCTTCTCTCTTTCATCCTTTTTTTCTTTCTTTTTTTGGTGAGCACACTTAACATCTACTCTCTTTGAATGCTGCATAAGACACCTGTATGACAAGGATAAATGCAGATCCATGGGGGAGTGGCTGGTAGGAGGTCATTGGTGAAAGCAGGTGGGAATGGAGGCAGTACTTTGCAGTAATTTAGTGATTCAGTAGATGGCAAGGAAGTGGAGGCAGCAGGTGTTGGATTGAAGAGACAGGGGCATTATGGATAGTGACATCAAGATTATGTAGACTTTTTTTTTTTTTTTAAAAAAAGAGAGACTCACATTGGTTTAAAGCCTGAGAGGAAGGTGCCAGAAGAAAACGACACAATGAAGACAAAAGTGTGAGTTGAATAAAATAAACAGCAAGGTCAAGGAACAAGTTTGTAGGGTTGGAGTTATGAAATAGTCTGGGAAAGGAATACCCCATTTCATAGACAAATAACTGAGGACCAGAGAAGTAAATGGTGAACCCAAGGTTATAGAACCAATTAAACAGTAGCTCAGGGACCAGAGTCCGGGTTTTCTGATTGCCAGGACAGGTGCTTTCCACTAGTCCACCCAGCAACTCTTGCTGAATCATCCTCTGCTGGTTACTTATCCCCAATCCAAAGGAAGTTGTTGTAGTTAATGAGTAAATACAGTGTAGCCAAAAACCAGTGAAAACACACAGCTCTATAAAAACACAATGACACCTTGTCCTTCCAGTTTCCTTCACAACACCCTCCCCCCATAGTTCATTCACACCGAGTACTGACTTTTCTTGACTATAAGCTGCCTTCAAGATACTGAAGGTTCCCAGTGTTTGTGCTAAGCAGGGACTCAGGTGGAGAGAACTAAGGTCACCCTCAGGGAATTTCTTGCTGAATTAGGTTCCACTAAGCCTTGAAATCAAAACGCTTCTGGTAGGTAAATGGAGTACAGATGGGAAATCAAACCAGTGTGTGACTGGGCATGATTTAGAGCAACTGTTATTGATATGACAGATCCTAGCAGGCAACCTCATGAGAGCCTGGATGTTCGTTTCAATGCAGGCAGGTGAAACGAATAATTGCATTTTTGACTTTTGAATTTCCTGCACCTTGCCAGTGGTTATTACAGCCATAATCTGGGCCATGTATATTCTAAGGAGGCTTTCGATTTAAGAACCTAGATTTTTTGAGAGGCATGCAATAGTCAATGTATCTCTATGCATAAGATTTTATGTAGATATTTTGATGATGCATAATTTCTACACTATATGAAATATAAGTTTTTTAACTTTGGGGGAATAACAATAGTTTATTTCTAACATACATTATCTTGGTCAAACATTGAAATTCTTGATTAATGTTTAACTATGAGAAGTATACTCATTCAAGTAAAGGATCAGTTTCAGGGTTCAGGCTGAAGTGTCTTAATGACTAGAATTCAGGTTCCAAGGAGAAGCCCACAAGGCTAAGGGTATTGGATATAACGGAAAGTGGAAGCTATACCTGACTTCCAGAGAATGTGGACCGGATATAAGATCTTAATCTTCTCTTATCTTACTACAGAAATCTGGATGGAGAAGCAGTATTTATCTCAAAGAGAAGTGGACCTAGAGGCTTATTTCACTAGGAATCACACCGTTTTGCAAGGTACTCGATTCAAAAGAGCCATTTTCCAAGGGCAATACTGTAGAAATTTTGGCTGTTGTGAAGACAGAGATGATGGCTGTGTCACTGAGTTCTATGCGGCGAATGCGTTGTGCTACTGTGATAAATTCTGTGACAGAGAAAATTCTGATTGCTGTCCTGACTACAAGTCCTTTTGCCGTGAAGAGAAAGAATGGCCTCCTCACACACAGCCTTGGTATCCAGAAGGTAGGCTTTGGGAATGTGTTTCAACATCATCCTCGTTCATAACAACAAGATCTGACAAACGTTCTCTCTTTTTCTTCTTTCTTTTTTTCCTTCTTTCAATGAAATGAAAATGATTATTGTGATTGAGAAAATACATTTCTTTGGATTGTTAAAGTGCTTTGGTTTGGATGTGGGGTTCCTGTGTAATACAAGCACCTTCAGGAAAGTTCTGATCTGACAGTCCTGCGTGCTGATCGGAATCCTGATCAGTGAGTTTTGAACACTCACTCAACTTGTATAAGGATTACTTTAAACTCTTTCTTCTGTTCTCTCTCTCTCTTCTTTTTATTGACATCAGGTTTCTCAAGCCTTTTTGTGTGCAGCCTCTTAGAGAGTCTCAAGAAAGTCGCAAGATTTCCTATCCGTAGATTTTAGTTGTTATTTAAAAGGGCTAATGGATGCACTAGCATTAGAAACTGTGGTATTAGTAATGCTATTAAAACCAGGACAAAATAAGATAAAGTCAGTCACCCGCTCTGCCTAAGTAATACCAAATGTATTCTTCACGTGTATTTTTGTTTTGCTTCATTTGTTTTTCCAGTCTGGGACTTTTACAATTATTAAAAAGAAAGGAAGGCTTCATATAGACTGGTTGAAAAAGTCTAAGGTTAAATGGATAAATACAATATAAAGAGGATGATGGTATTTATTATATTTATCTAATTGGAGGAGAATGACTATGGATTTTGAGCATAGATGAGGCTTTATTTTTCTGTCTCTCATTGTATTAAATCTCCTCAACAGAACTTCAGGGTTAATCAGACTTCTCTGTCACACTACCATAAATGGGTGATGGTGACTAGAAATCCCAGTTAGAAGACATTTTAGGGTAAACTAGGGGCTTGGAATCCTTATTTCAAAATCCAGATGTCATTTAAAGAGTCAGAGCAAGACTGTGTCAAAAAAAAAAAAAAAATCCAGATGCCATAGCCATCATTCTCAATAATGTCATCTTGTTTGTAAAATTGAGGAAATGTCTCTTTATGTGTCTACATACGTATTATTTTAAATTTTCCACATAATTGTTATTTATCCTCGGTCTTTACATTTTACCAATAAACAGCTTTCCCTTCTTCCCTCCCTCCACACCTCCATCCTTCTCTCCCTTTCTTTTTTCCTTCCTTTTTTTTCCGTGTGTGTGTGTGTGTGTGTGTGTGTGTGTGAGTCTTGCTCTGTCACCCAGACTGGAGTGCAGTGGCAGGATCATGGCTCACTGCAGCCTCTAACTCCTGAGCTCAAACAATCCTCCTCCCTCAGCCTCCTGAGTAGCCAGGACTACAGGTGTGTGCCTCCACACCCAGCTAATTTTATTTTATTTTTTGTAAATGTGGGGTCTTGCTATGTTGCCTAGGCTCGTCTTAAAACTCCTGGCCTCAAGCTATCCTCCCACCTTGACCTCCCAAAGTGCTAGGATTACAGGAATGAATCACTGCTCCTAGACTTTCCTTCCTTTCTTCCTTCCTCTGTTTTGTTTTTCTTTCCTTCCTTCCTTCTTTCTCTCTTTCTGTCTCTCTCTCCCTCCTTTCTCCCTCCCTCTCTTTCTTTCTTTTCTTCTTTCTTTCTCTTTCTTTCTTTTCTTTCTTTCTCTCTCTGTCTCTCTCCCCTTCCTTCCTCCTTCCCTCCCTCTCTCTTTCTTCTCTTCTTTCTTTCTTTTCTTTCTCTCTCTCTGTCTCTCTCCCCTTCCTTCCTTCCTCCCTCTCTTTCTTTCTCTTTCTTTTTCTCTCTTTCTCTCCCTCTTTCTTTCTTCTTTTTTCTCTCTCTCTTTCTCTCCCTCTTTCTTTTTTCTCTCTTTCTCTCCCTCTTCTCTTTCTTTTTTCTCTCTCTTTCTCTCCCTTTCTTTCTCTTTCTTTTTTCTCTCTCTCTTTCTCTCCCTCTTTCTTTCTCTTTCTTTTTTCTCTCTCTCTTTCTCTCGCTCTTTCTTTCTCTTTCTTTTTTTCTCTCTCTATTTCTCTCCCTCTTTCTCTTTCTCTCTCCCACTTTCCCTCTTTCTTTCTTTTTTTCTCTCTCTTTCTCTTCTTTCCTTTCTCTCCCTCTCCTTCTCCCTCTCCCTTTCCTTTCTATTCCTTTCCTTTCCTTTCATTTTTATGAGCCATTCCCATCTTTCTCCAATGGTAACCTCCTTTTAAAACATTTTTATATACCCTTTAACAGCATGTGGTCTTGTTTTGTGTGCTTGAATTATTAATTTATATAGACCATATTATGCTACAGACCTCATTCTGTTTCTTGATTTTCTCAGACAGCAACATGTTTTAAGACTCTCTCCATGTCTCCGTGGACTAGTATGACTAGTCTGTGGCTTCTGACTGATGCTTCATTCTCTGTGATGTCCCTTCATCTCATCTAACTCCCTGTTCCCTCCATGGTGGGTGGACACCTAAGTTGTCTACAGCTCTTTGCTATCATAAAGAAGTCCATGATGGACAGCCTCATGCATGCCTTCTTACTGACTTGCATGATATGGCAAGACTTGAATTGCTGGGTCCCAGGTATGCATTTAATCTAAGTCTTGCCAGATGGCTCTCAGAAGTAGCTGCATTAGTTTATGTTCCCCTAGTACTATACGGGGACACGTCTCTAACAATTAGTATTATCCAGAGAGGTAACCTTTACTTATATAATCAGTAAAACGTGATTTCTCATTGTCATTTTAATTTGCATTTCTCTAATTTCTAGTGGGTTTGAGCTTCTCTTCATATGCTCATTAATGATTGGCTTTCTTCTTCCTGTGACTTACTTTTTCCTATCCACAGCCTTGTAATGCAACTTAATATCAGGTACAGCAAGTCAGCTTATTCACCCCCCTTTTTTGAAGATGACTTAGGTCATGTAGACATTAATCTTCCATAAACAGTTTTTGAATAAGTTTTTTTAGTTCCTCAAAAAACTTCAGCTAGAATTTTGAATAGAATTGCATAAAATTTATAGACTTATTTGAAGATAGCTGAACTCTGTAATGTGATGACATCTCATCAAAGAGTATAGGATATTTCTCCACTTACTCTGATTTTTAAAAATATCCTTAAATAGATTTAACACTTTACTCCATAGTGGCCTTATAATACTCTTGTTTATTCCTGGATATTTATTTTGTATTGCTTTTTTTTTGTTTGTTTTTTGTTTTTTGTTTTTGACAGGGTCTTGCTCTGTCACCCAGGCTGAAGTACAGTGGCGCCATCATGGCTCACTGCAGCCTCGACCTTCCCCGGGCTCAAGTGATTCTCCCACTTTAAACTTCCAAGTAGCTGGGACTACAGGTGCCTACCACCATGCCTGGCTATTTTTTTGCATTTTTAGTAGAGATGGGGTTTTTCCTTGTTTCCCAGGCTGTTTCAAACTTCAGAGCTCAAGCACTGTATTATATATTTTTAAAATATATTTTATAGTTGGTTGGCTGTTGTTATGAATAAATGCTATTTATTCATGAGAGCTCATATCCTACTGGCAATTTTTCTCAATTCTGTTATTAGAAACAAAAATGTATTTATTTATCACAGTAAAGCTGTCTACACCAGAACTCCAAAGTAAACATCATACATAATGGAGAAATGTAGATAAGTTCCCTTTAAGACTAGTAATAAAACATGGGTTTCTACCGTTTTTGCTACATTTAACAGGGAGATATTTGTTATGCTTTAAGAGAAAAAATGAAGTAAAACAGTCTGAAGAGAATAAAGTAAAACTCTTATTATTTGTAGATAATGTGGCAATCTACATAGAAAAAAATAAAGCCAACAGAAAATAGCATTAATATGAATCAGAAATATTTAAAAACCAGGATTTTTTATTTAAAAATCCAGATGTTTAGCTACTCTTGAAAAATTGAAAAATCTGACAATTCTGCGTGCAAGGTCTTGCATGAGATTTTCATTAGTGAGAGAGATGAGTGGTGGATGCCACCTTTTGGTAACATGTATTTTCCATTTTCCCATATCCCTTACCCCTTGCTATTTTCTCTCTGACCCACTTCTCTCATCTCTGCCGGGGTCAGTATGTCTGTAGTTTCTGTAAGTGGAACTCCTCATTTTTGCTCCATATACAACTTGCACAGCTGTACATGCACCCTTGGGCCATTACTATTGCAGGTATTTTGGGATTGAAAGAAGGTAATTTCTTTGAAAATGGAAGGTGTATTTTCATCGAAAAATAGAAAATACATGTTTAAAAATAGAAAATACATGTTTAATAGAAAATACACGTTTAAAATTAGCATCTTAAACATGTATTTTTTTGAACTTCTCTATTTTGTCATGTTGGTATGATCCTTAAAATAATAGGTGAAGTTAATATGTATTAGTAACATGATGAGAATACATAAGGCATCATAAGGAGCCCTGTGCCCAGGATTAGTTAGGGATCGTATTCCTGTTATTTAAATATAGTTTCTAATAGTGACAAGATTGGGCAGACAAGGGAAATTCACCCCTCACAGAACCTGCACATAGTACATATTTACTTAACAGACCCTTCTGTAATACCCTGAGTAGCATGTTTTCTCTTGTCTTACTGAACATACTCTTCCTCCTCCTTACAAGCTAAGATTTATTGAATACTTACTATGGAGCCAACAACTGTTCTAAGCACTTTTCAGGTATTAACTCATTCATTATTTAATTCTATGTTGTTTAATAGAATATTACTTTATTTTAATTATACAGCAGCTTCTTAAGAGTAAACACGGTGATTTACTTATCACGTACTAATTATGGTGCCATGAAGTGGGAGGCCTAGTAAATATTGTTTGAATTTGGATTAATTGATATTTAGAGGATTTAAATTTTATTTCAAATTTTGTATTTGTTAAATTAAATAATAATTTACTCATATGATTTAAAATAATAAAATATTTTCATAAGCATACTTTTTCATACATAGTTTTAAAAGATATTTAGAAAATATCAAAGTATTATTGTTTATAGTTTAAATGTGCAATTTCTATATTATTTTGGATGTTGGAATATCAACAGGAGTAATCGATAGTATTTAAAACTTTTTATATATCCATGATTGTGGTAAGCATTGAGGGTCATAAGAAAAGGGTATTATAAAGTCCCAGGCCTCGAGAAACTTAGGATCTACATGGGTAAGGAGACTTAGGTATGCGAAACAATTAAGAAGCATCGTGTGACTTGTATGCCACATGTGGACAAGAGTATCACCCAGGAAAGTTGAGTATATTAAAATGGTTAAATGTTTATTTGATAAAAACTATGTACCATATAAGAACATGTCAGATTGGTGACAACCCTAACTAAAATACGTATTTTTAACACATAAGATATTTTGCCTGGATTCACTTTGTCATTAGCCACGAGGCTCCATGCAGCCTTCTGCTTCACCATTCTTAGAAAATGGCCCTTGTAGTCATGAGCTGCTTTGGCTCTTCATGATCCAAAAGTGATATTTGAGTCCCATTTAAAATAAATGGAAAAGAAGGTTAGAGTTTCCACATTTTGAGAAGACATTCTAAAGCACAGATGAGCACCTCTGTTTTATTTCTTTGGCCAGAATATAGTCACATGGACATACCAACCATCAAAGAGAGGTTTTTCTTAGCTGTGTGGTAATGTGTCTAGCTATGAATGGGGTTCTGTTACAAAAAAAAAGAGTAGAGAATGATATTGGGAATAACCAGCAATCTCTGCCAAAAATTAAGAATGCGGAATCACCTAAAAACACAGTGGCTATTTGGATGTCTGCCTTTTGATTAGTTATTATATCAATTTAATATTTTTTTGAGTCTCAGTTTAAAAGTATGAGTTGTAATTTTTTAATGTGCTGAAATGTACTTGAGATTTTCTTATTTGAGGCATACAGTGCATACAAAAAAAGTAGTTGCTACTTCTTCAATATCCATTTTTGCTTGAGAGGTAGAATTTTGCTAAGACTTTAATTTAGGGTCATAGTTTATGTAGAATTTATGTTCCAGGTATAGTTTTTACTCCATTCACTATGAAAGGAAGGAATTAATCATTTTACTTTGTAGCAAAAAGTTCACATTAGACTATAAATGCTCCCATACAGATAATTTTTTTTCTTTTGTTTTATCTTGCTTTTGAAAGCAGCTACTTGAAAATAGTACTACACAATATTGAAAAAATGTGCAAAATTAGTTAAGATAAAAATACAATGTATATTATTTATGCTATTGGTTGCATGCATAAAGCAACTTTCCTCTGAGATTCTATGATCACTCACTGATCTATTAAATATATTTTTCAGAGATTTAGTTACATGGGTATTGTTCAGTTCCTCTTATTGTGCCTGTTCTAAGAGCTCTTTAAATCAAGGATTTAAAACTATGTACATTATCTTCAGGATTAAAAAAGTAAATATATCCATTTTGTACAAACTGGAAGTAAAGCATATTGGTAAATATCTTCTTTCTGTATTTTCTTTGCCATATCTGATGGTAACTTCCAGTAAAGGATTTCAAATGTCAGGCTGGGTGTGGTGGCTCACACCTGTAATCCCAGCACTTTGGAGGTCAAGGTGGGAGTATCTCTTGACGGCCAAGAGTTTAAGACCAGCCTAGCAGTACAATAAGACCTCATCCCCACCAACAACAATAAAAAAAATAAAAATTAGCCAGTCATGGTGGCATACACTGTAGTCCCATCTACATGGGAGGCTGAGGCAGGAGGATCCCTTAAGCCCAGGAGTTTGAGGCTTCTGTGAGCTATCATTCCACCAATGCACTCTAGCCTGGATGACAGAATAAGACCCTGTCAAAGTAAAAAAAAAAAAGTAAAAAAATTCAAATGTCAGATATGGAGAACCAGTGACAGAGTTGAAAACAGAGCTCGAGTGGATTTTCTAGACATAACCTTTTGGTATAGAGGATTTTAAGGAGAAAGTCTAGTAGACCATCTGCTGTGAACAGACCTAAGTTGATTTGATTATGCACAATATGTTCACATTGGTAAAAAATGTATGTGAGTCACTGACATGTTTGAATTCGAAGAGGGTTATTTACTTCTTCACAGCCTCCTTAACTATATTACAATGAAGGTAAATCACAGTCCATACTTTGCCACGTATACTGACAGTTACAAAAATATGACACAAACCAATTCATACAACGTCTATAAGCTTCATGAAATCTCCAGTTCCTGTCCTTTTACGTGTTCCCACATCTACGTTGCATGAAAGATTTATTGGAGGCACATGTGATAATATTACAGAGGTAGAACTCTGTTACCTATACAGTGGCTATCAGAGAATGACAATTCCTCCTTTCTACTTGGCTGGACACAGTACACAGGACAAATATCAGTCCTAGAGAGCCAAGTCTAAGAGTACAGGTGCTTTTGAGTTTAAGAGATACATCTAAGCTATGGGATACAAGGGTGGTATGTGACTTTGAAATATTTTAGGTAATCCTCATAAGTAAAAAAATTATAATTTAACCAATGGGAGCCAATTATTTATCACAATTATGCTGATTAACAAGTCATGAATTTTAACAATAAAACCCATTTCTGACATTTATTATACTAATAATCTAGGGTTGATCAAAATATGGGTAATGGAAGCACTTGCAGCCGTTTCTCCAAAGCCTGGTCTTTCAGAGTGAATGCCACTGAACAACCCTGGGGGGTGGATTCCTGATTAGAGCAAGCAACTGCCTTTACTTTAGTGAAGTTTAGACCAGCACAGATATTTATAATACACTGTGGTGAACTATTTTAAAATAAATTATAGACAACATGTCATTATCTTTTTGCAATTCAAGAAGTGAAGTTTTGACCAGCATAGATACTTATAATACACTGTGATGAACTATTTTAAAATAAATTATAGACAACATATCATCATCTTTTTGCAGTTCAAGAAGTGAAGTTTAGACCAGCACAGATACTTGTAATATACTATGATGAATTATTTTAAAACAAATTATAGACAATGTATTATTTTCTTTTCTCAATTCGAGAAGATAAACTATTTCATTCTCCAAATATATTATTTGCCTAATATTGCTTTAAATGCTGTTAAAGTCACAAAACTGCCGTAATTTCAACAGTCATTAGTTTTGGCTTTGTTTTGTTTTGTTTTTTTGGTCAAGATGCTGTGTGTAACCAATTAATTAACTCACTCTGAGGAGCTCCAGACATATTTTACTGAGAAAGTAAAGCTACCGGACAGGAATTCTTTCATATCTCCACAATCATAGTTTTCAACCTACCTCCATCTGGGTTACTGCTTACCTTGAATTGACTCCCCTTCTTGAGTTCTGAATCCCATCTTCTCTTATCTTTTCAATACCTCCATCTCTACCATTCTCTCTCGCTTTCTTGCTCTCTCTTTCTTCTCAAGCATCATTTTTTTCTTTTCTTTTCTCCTGGTGATATGGTTTGGCTGTGTCACCACCCAAATCTCATCTTGGATTGTAGCTCCCATAATTCTCACCTGTCATGGGAGGGACCCAGTGAGAGGGAATTGAATCACGGGGACAGGTTTTTCCCATGCTGTTCTTGTAGTAGTGAATGAGTCTCATAAGATCTGATGGTTTTATAAATGGGAGTTGCCCTGTACAAGCTCTCTCTTGCCTGCCACCATATAAAATGTCTCTTTGCTCTTCCTTCGTCTTTTGCAATGATTGTGAGGCCTCCTCAGCCATGTGGAACTGTGAGTCTATTAAACCTCTTTCTTTTGTAAATTACTCAGTCTTGGGTATGTCTTTATTAGCAGTGTGAGAACAGGCTAATACATGTGGATTAACCATTAATTTCCAAAATGTGTTTTTGCCTTTCCCAACTTTATAAAATCTCTCCCTTAACTTCATGTCTTTAACCAGCTACCATCTCATTCCCTTCTTTCCTTTAATGGCAAAATGTCTGAAAGAAAAATTTACTTTCTTATTCCAAGTCTCTCATCAACCCATTCCTACAGGATGTCAGCTCCCTGCTACTTCACTGAAATCTCTCTTGGCAGGGTTATTGGCAATTCCTACATTACCAAATGCAATATTCAGATGTCTGTTTTTGTGTTCTTGGCCTCTCGACAGTACTGTATGCAGCTGACCACCTAGAGCATTTGAAACACTGTATTAACCCTGTTTTTCATGACACCACCCTCTCCTCAATTTTCTGTTCCCTCACAGGCCACTCCTTCGCAGTTTCCTCTTCTGAATGTCTGTCAGATGCAGTGTTTTGAGCTCAGTCCTGGACCACTTTCTCTTACCTATATACACTCTCTCCAAAAGACTCTTATTTAGTCTTGTGTTTGAAAAAGTAGATATGGATGTTGGTGTCTCCCAAATTCATGCTCCAGCCTGGGCTTAACTCTTGTCTTTTATAAACTGCTGTCTACTTGATATCTCTGTTAGGATGTCTAGCCTAGGTTTTATCTAAATCTAAAATATACACAGTAGCAGTCTTGATTTCTTGACACAAGCCTGTTTCTTATTTTAGTGATAGCTGTACCATTTCTTTATTACTCAAGCCAAAGTCCTAATGAGGTATCTTTGATTCCTCTTTTCCCTCATTCACCAGATTCAATCCATGAGTGATTCCCTTTGAGTTACCTCCAAGTTATATCCACCTACTTCTCTCTATCCTCACTACTATTATGCTAATCCTTCATGCTTCTGGGAACCTCCACCCTAGTCAGCTCAACAGGAGTGATAAGTGCAGAGATTAGGGTGGAGACATTTTGGATAAGGCCTTATAGGTTACAGTAAGAAGTTTGGTCTTACTCTAAATTTGATGGGAAACGACTTGAAGATTTTAAGTAGGAAGCTACATGATGTATATTTTTGACGATCTCTGTAAATGCTGTGTGGGAAATGAGGGATCCGTTGGAGTTGGGAAGGATTGTAGCAAAGGAGTGAGTGGACTGCGTCTGGGTATTATATAGACACTGATGCTTTACTGTGTCAACACCTTGACCGGGGTCCGAAGTAACTGATTATGGCTTTTGCTCAAGAGATTAATTCTCATGCTAGATTAAAGTGAATGCAATGTCTCAGTTATCTCTTACATGAAATTAAGGAAGGATGACCAAGAAATGGAGTTTTTGTTAACATTAAATTTAGTGTTGATGATTTGGGGTGGCTTGGTAATGGCGGTCCCCTGACTTCAAAATTATTAGCTGAGTATAAGTCAGCTAATACTCAGCTGAGTATTAAGGTCTTTTTCCTTAAGGACCCTTGAGATGTCTGTTCCATTTATCCATGGAATTCATATGTTGAACACTCAAGATTCATGAGGTATGATTAAAAATCAGCTTTGTTTTTATCCCACACTCTCAGTTTTTAAGAATGGTCAGGAAAGTACTTCTCTTGGCTTTGAATGAAAACTTGGATTGTTGCATGGATTTTCTGTTGTTTCTAGGTAATAAAATATTTTAGAATCTCTTTAAATTAGAAACATACTGTGGATTCAGTTATGAAAGGAGTCTAATCTTATGTAGCAATTAAAACCATGAATTTGATGTGAAGTTCAGTCTTCCTACATCTCGGGTTTGCTGCATTAGGAAAACTGTGGTCAAGAGAAGGGTGGTTTCCTTTTCTTATCCCATGATTGTGACGTACCAAAATTCCATATGAAAGGGATGCCTAGACGTAAATACATAAATAATTAGATTCATTAAGTAGAATATTGGACTGTGAAACATCCAGGGGAGGGGCAGTTATGAAATATTTTTTATTACAATATTTTTTGGAAAATCAAACAATGGCTAATTCCTTAAGTGGCTTTGTAACATTATGGCTAGAAGTTAAACAAGGTCCCTTAGAATGCTTTCTAAACCTATAGTTTGCCCTATGATTTTAGGAATAAAAGGTTAAAATTCATTTTGTTTAATTAGAGGCCATTGGCATAAAATACCAATTACATGTTTCTATCAAAAACAGTCTCACTAGACAAAGTTGAGTCCCTTTTGCTAATTCAATGTTAATTTTGAATTTGAGCAGATTATATTTTCAAAAGGAATTTAAATTTTTAACCAGAGCACTATTTTTACAATATGTTACTAGTGGTTTTTATATGATAATGATTCACCATCCATCTCTTTTGAGTAGTTCATATAATCTCATAAAGCAGTTAATAACTAGTTTCAGTTAACAGTTAAGAAACATTTGGATTTGGAAGGCAAATGGCTACAATCTTATTGATTTCCTGAATTTTTTCCCTTATTCAGATCCTAAAGAAAAAAATAGAATTTGTCTTTGTAAGGTAAATTCAATGAAATGACCTGGTATTTTGAGTCCAAAGCTACTTGCTTCAGTCATATCCAATTAATTATAAGCACTTATGAGACTTGATTAGTTGTTTTTTTAAATGAGACATGCCATAAATCAATTCAAATACTATTATATTGTTTACTTACTTAAAAGCATTAATTATTTTTTAAGCATAGTGATTAATTCCTTGGTAATCTTGTTTTCATGTTTTGCAAATCCTCCCTGTTGGAACATAATATGCAGTTTAAAGATAAAAGCATTGAAACAAGCACAGAAGAATTCGATATACACACCTTGACACAAACCTGACATGGATTTCTATCAGCTTTTTTGGCACCAAACATGTCTGCATATTTGAAAAGCTAACTATGATTTTTGATTACATTTTATGTTAATGCACTTTATTACTTAGTTTAGCATTTTCATTTCTTTACATGTTACTTTGACAGGTTGCTTCAAAGATGGTCAACATTATGAAGAGGGATCAGTAATTAAAGAAAACTGCAACTCCTGGTAATAAATTTAAGTGGCACAGAACTGAGTTCTACTGTGTGTGTATGTTTTCTTCAAATAAAAGAAATATTTGTGAACCAAAGTATACATTTATGTACATATAGGCAGAATCATACATCATAAGACATCATGTACCTGTAACTTTGTATAAGCATATTTAATTTTAAGGGATTTTGAAAATTTAATCATGAATATCTTTTAATGTTTGAGGTTGATGTTCTTGACAATGGGTCTTCATCATACAACAGGTCTTCATTAAATGTACCTCTTAATTATAATATTCTGATACCCTAAGGCAAATTGTGTTTTTTGAGCACAGTAACTATATAAAAACAGGCTGCTTTAAAAGGACTAGCCTGCAGAAAGTTTCCAAATACAAGTACATTGAATCTACTGTCCAATTTGGCTTGTTTTCAAACTTCAGCAGATGTGTGATCATATCATTTGTTAATTGCCTGGAGTAGAGGATTACAGCATATTGAGTGGTAGCTAACGTATGTTTTACAATTTATTTTTGCCAAGAATCAAATAACCATATGGCTAACATTAATCAAGAAATTATGTTTTATGCCTTAACAATGTATAACTCTTTTTACTAATTGAAATATACTTCATAAAGACCAAGCCACTTTTGTAATTGTCATATCTTTGCAGCACATGCTCAGGACAGCAATGGAAATGTTCCCAGCATGTATGCCTTGTTCGTTCAGAATTAATTGAACAGGTCAATAAAGGAGACTATGGGTGAGAGAAATCTTGCTTTGTATGTTTCTTGACACTGCCATTTACTATGCAGGTTTCAATGTATTGCTTGGTTTCTATAAATGGTCATTGTTTAAAAAGAAAGAGTGGGAGAGAAATAGGAAGGGAGATAGAAAGCATGTAAACCTGGAATGCAAAGGTAAACATTAAATAATTAAAATGATCAAATAATAAATCTACAGCATAGCTGTAAATTATCTAGGAAAGAGCAATGTCGTGGTGTAGGTAAGGGAAGTGGAGGGAAAGCTACTTTGGATAAGTATTTAGGCAAAATCAGGAAGTCAGCAAAATTCATGTATTCATACTAACCATTTCTCCCTCTGCTGCTGCCCTCACCAAGCCAATCACATGCTTAGCTATCATGGGTAGAATCTGACCTTACAAGGATGATATTCAAATAACAAGCCAATCTAAATAATTTCACTGAAATGATGGGTATCTAACCAATGTCACTTACGGTTGAATCAAAAGACAGATTGAGCTACTTTACTTTGCTAGTACACAAAAAGTAGGGATGATTGACACTGAAACATTGGAAATAACTGATGCTCTCATGCAGATTGAAAAATTAGGTGGCGTCTCCATTTACATAGAGGAAATTAAGATGTAGGCACTGGCCCGGCGAGGTGGCTTATGCCTGTAATCCCAGCACTTTGGGAGGCCAAGGTGGGTGGGTGGATCACTTGAGGCCAGGAGTTCAAGACCAGCTTGGACAACTAGTGAGACCCCATCTCTACTAAAAATACAGAAAAAATTAGCTGGGCATGGTGGTGCATGCCGATAATCCCAGGTACTCAGGAGGCTGAAGCACAACAACCACTGAAGCCTGGGAGGCGGAGGTTGCAGTGAGCCGAGATTGCGCCACTGCACTCCAGCATGGGAATCGGGGGGTGAAACCCTGTCAAAAAAACAAAACAAAACAAACAAACAAAAAAAAAACAAGAAACATAAAAAGATACAGGCGCCAACACTGGCTTTTATTATAGAACTAAAAGGAAGAGGAACAAGCCAGCTGGTATCTGCTTCAGGATTTCTCCACTGCCATTGAACGAATCTCGATATACCCTTGATAACATCTTCTACATTTCTGGAAAAGATTTCACATAAAAAGATCTATTATCAAGCAATTAGAAAAGTGAAATAATCTGGAGAAGTATTTTTATAAAATGGAAGTGTAATCTCCTTCCACATATAACATGTTGTTTCCCAGCATAATGGGGACACTAAATTTCAATGTATTCAAAGTTTTTTCTTGGAACATACAAAACATAGAAAGTCACATTTGTTGATATTAATATCCTTAAACCATTCTCAGTTCCTCTGTGTGTTTGTGAGTGTGTGTGTTTGTGTTAAACCAATATTTTAGAAGATAACTTGATGACATCTTCAGTATTTCCAGGGAAAACCAATTATAATTTTCTGTGGCAAATCATATTTAAATTATTCAAAGAAGATGAGAGTATATGTCATCTTGAGAAATTGAATCAGATTCCTAAAAGGGTTCAAATGCTAGACCTAATTAACATACATTCCTAGCTTTCCACTGTTAACAAGTACATGAGAAACTATAGTCTAAACCAATGTGGTACACCTAAGAATACACACTTAGGAGCACAGAGGTTGTTGGGAATGCTATTAGGTTGGTGCAAAACTCCACCATTACTTTTGCACCAACCTAATATCTTCCTTGGAAGGAGGAACTTTCTTTCCATGATTTATTTATTTTGAGCATGCCCTACGGCTGCTTAAGAGGCATGGGCTTTGCATTTTAGTAGCAAATATTAAAACATCACATAACTTTAAAAGAGTAGAAAGTGAAGTATAATTGGAGCAAAAGGAAACATATAAAAACCAAAGGAAAAAAGTTAAGTAAAAGGAGCAAGCTATAAAGACAAGAAATAAAACTAAAATTATTTACCAGGGCAAAAAAGGGGGGAAGTCTTTAAATTTAAAAGAAAGTTCTAATTCTCAGCTATTCTCTCTTCATTATGCTCAAATTGTTTTTATGTGTAAAAATATAACCATATTATATCATTCAATATTTATTAAGTGCTTTTTAAAATAGCCTACATCAAATATGCAATCTTTGGTTTAAAATATTTCTTTCCCACATCTTGACAGTATTTTAGATCCAAGTCTTTATTTATTCTATGTAATGTACTTCAGTGCTTATTTATTCTCTGTATTATTTTTTAATGTAATCAGTTGATATTAATAAAACATATGTTCCACTGATGGCATGGCTGAGGATACAAATAAATCATTTTGGCCTGGCGAAGTGGCTTATGCCTGTAATCCCAGCACTTTGGGAGGCCAAGACGAGCAGATCATTTGAGGTCAGGAGTTTGAGACCAGCCTGGCCAACATGGTGAAACCCCATCTCTACCAGAAATACAAAAATTATCCAGGTGTGCTGGCACAGGTCTGTAGTCCCAGCTACTCGTTAGGTTGATGCACTAGAATTGCTTGAACCCAGGAGGTGAAGGTTGCAGTGAGCTGAGATCACACCACTGCACTCCAGCCTGGGCCACAGAGTGAGATTCTGTCTCAAACAAAACAAAAAAACAAATAATTTTTATGTTAAGGGAATTTACCATCTAGTTGAGGAGCCAACACTATCATATCTTTATAAAAGGATTTCTAATAATAGGGGAGAATAGAAGCTGTAAATTAGTGGCACAAGTAATAATCAGCAAGTTAGTGGAATAAAGGGAGATATATAAGTGTTTCAATTAACTGCTGCTGTATAACAAACCATTCCAGGATTCAGCATTTTAAAACGATAAGCTTTTCATCTTTTCACATCAGCAATTTGGAATAGGTTCAACTGAGGCTCTTTTGCTGCTCTCTTTTGGAATTACTCCTGTGTCAACAGAGCCTCAACTGAGGCTGAATTGTCTGTGATGGCCTTACTCTATGTCTTGTGGTTGGTGCAGGATGTTAATTGGGCCATGTTTCTCCAGCAGGCTAGCTTTGGCTTCTTCTCATAATTATTATTCTAATGGGGCATACGTGGAAGTTGCCCCAGTCCTCCCTTAAAGCTTATGCTTGAAAGTTTCATGATATCAATTCTACCACTTTCTATTGGGTAAAGCAAGTTACTAGGCCAGCTTACATTCAAAGGCTAGTGAAATAGATTCTTTCTTATGAACTCAAAATTTGGTCTACTGGATAAGTGGCTTTCATTTTTCACTGTTTTCTCAAAACCAGCTCACCCCAAACTGCAGTGATTAACTTCTACCTATTCTTAGTCACTGGCATCTTGCTCTATCTGCTCAACTTGAAAATTTGATGTTAGTTTGGTTCTTCCTTCCTTTTACTCTCAGTCAGTAGGTATTGCTAACTCCCACACAAAAAGTTTCTCTTAGATATTTACTTCTTCCATTCTAGACTATATTCTAATGCATTTCTTTATCAAGCCTAGTTTGAAATTACCTGACTTGTTTCTGTTTCCAGAAATTCTCAATGGTACTCCATTGCTTGTGAAACATAAGTATTGTCCTTAGCATAAATAACATGTTGGTCCAAAAGCTTTTTTACTACCTTATCTTTTATACCGTTTTCAGCCCCTGTGTCCCTATCCTCTCTCCTAGTTTAAGCATTTTACTTATCTGTCATTCCCTAAACATGCCACCCAACTTCAAACCTGCATGCTTTGCTCAAGAGTTACTTTTACTTTAAACAAATGCTCTCTTCTTTCATGTCTGGTCACCAAGGTCATTCTCATCCTTCCAGATAGAGAACTAAATTTGCTTTATGTAAAAAATTTGCCAACTCCTTCAGTTGTGTTTGAAGCTTTTGATCATATTTTGATATATTGCTAACAAATGGCACATGCCAAAGTCATTTCTATCTTTGCAGTGTTTCTTAAGGTATGAGCTTCTTAAATGTAGAGAAGTTTATTCATATCTATGTTCTCCGTGTTTATCAGAGAATATGATAGATCAATTAAGAAAGTTCAATAAATGCTAAATTGGATTAAAATGAAACTTATGAGTCCAGGTCAAGAAGGATGTTATAGGTTAGTCATACCTTTCACACTTTTTGAGCATATCTCACAGTAGAACATACATTTTACTTTGTGATCTAGTACACACACACGTGCACAAGCATCAACACACACATACAGACACAGAGAGTTTATTACCTCAGTATTTGTAATAAACTCTACTATTTCCTATTATTTCTCCTATCTTCTATTTTACTTTCTTAAACTATCACCCTGCTCACCAAATTGAGTGCTGAATTAAATAACCTATGAATGTCTCTGACCTGATGTTTGAAAACTACTAACATAGGGCAACAAAAACATACTTACTGATGTCACAGTTTTGCCCAATTTTGCCCAGTTAGCCTTTTGAATTATACTACAATATCTCTTATATTCAGAGGTTCCCTTATTGAGATTGCACTTTAAATTGTAACCAAGTTTCTAAAGATTTTATGAACTAACAGATCTTGTACAAATTAAAAGCATTAACTTGTGAGGTATATTATTAAAAATTAAGTTGTGTTTTCAATGATTCATAAGAGCCTATCACATTATAAACGATTTTGGTGATAAACATAGCAGGACAGGGTTTAAATTTGATGTGAGTACTGAAAATATATTGACCTAAAGTGGTAGATAATTCAGAATAGGCAATGATTAAATTACTTGCATCTTTCTAATTTTTTATCCACTATCATCTAGTAAAAAATTTTGTTTGTCTTCAAATTTCAATATTAAATTTTGAAGAGAATTTTTTTTCTAATTAAGGGCACAAAATATGTCTCTACAAAAATATGCACTTTCACATCAACTGATTTTTTATTATTATTAATAACTAAGATGATTGAGCACTTAAAACAAATGAACTCATTTAATATATAATAGAATATTTCAATATCTGATTAATTAGATTTTTAATTAATTTTTAAAAATCTGATGTCATTTTTAAAAATTATACCTATTTTATCCTTCATTTTTCATGCATACTTTTTTACCTTGTCAATTTCTTTTCAAATCTAAATTTTAAAGAAAATGTATTAACCTATTTAATGTATAAGTGCATTTCTGTATATTTAAGCTTCTTTCTAAGATGCATTTAATGGCATTTAAAGGAAACTGCATATATTGGCCTTATTAACACTTAATCCCTTTGTGGGATTATGTTCTTCGTAAGAATCATTAAAATACTTGAAATGGACCTTATTTAGGAAGAGTATCTCATACCCTTGATTATAAAATAATCAATAATGCATCATTATATAAAGAATATCTAGCCTGTGACAATTCTCATATTGTGAGATTTGCTGCTATTAAATTTCAGAAATATAAAGGAAAATGTATTTATAAAAGTGATGTCATATAACCTGTATATATTTTTCTATATTTTTCTCTCATTTGTAAGGCAGATGGACAGCACAGAATTACAGCCAATTTTGGGGAATGACTTTAGAAGATGGTTTTAAATTTCGCCTTGGCACTTTGCCACCTAGTCCCATGCTCCTGAGCATGAATGAAATGACAGTAAGTGTTCCTTCTGATTCACGTATGTGCATGTATTTGTAAAAGTGTGTTTGTGTGTGCATTAAAAGCAATTATAAATCACTAAAATAATGAGTTTTGAGCTTTCAGTCATAATTTTGTCACATAAATAAAAAACCCTTTCCCTAAATGGTTGTTAAACCCCTCAAAAGTTTCATATGAGATTTGCAAGTTTACTGTTACCAATTAGACATAGTCTCCTTTAGGAATGATTGAATGGGCTGGCAAGATGGCCGATCAAGAACAGCTCTGGTTGGCAGCTCCCAGCGAGACCAACGTAGAAGGTGGATGATTTCTGCATTACCAACTGAGGTACACGGTTCATCTCATTGGGACTGGTTAGACAGTGGGTGCAGCCCATGGAGGGTGAGCAGAAGCAGGGTAGGATGTCACCTCACCCAGGAAGAGCAAGGAGGCTGGGAACTCCCTCCCTTAGTCAAGGGAAGCCATGAGGGACTGTGTTGTGAGGGATGGTGCATTCTGGCCCAGTTACTATGCTTTTCCCATGGTCTTCGCAATCCGCAAACCAGGAGATTCCCTCAGGTGCCTACACTACCAGGACCCTGGGTTTCAAGCACAAAACTGGGTGGCCATTTGGGCAGACACTGAACTAGCTGCAGGAGTTTTTTTTTTCATACCCCAGTAGTGCCTGGAATGCCAGTGAGACAGAACCATTCACTTTCCTGGAAAGTGGGCTGATGCCAGGGAGCCAAGTGGTCTGGCTCAGCATATCCCACCCCCGCAGAGCCCAGCAAACTAAGATACACTGGCTTGACATTCTCACTGCCAGCACAGCAGTCTGAAATTGACCTGGGACACTCGAGCGTGGTGGAGGGAGGGGCGTCGGCCATTACTGAGGCTTGAGTAGGCGGTTTTCCCCTTATAAACTGCCACCCCTTATAAACAAAGCCACCTGGAAGTTCAGACTGGGTGGAGCTCACCACAGCACAGCAAAGCCACTGTAGCCAGGCTGCCTCTCTAGATTCCTCCTGTCTGGGCAGGGCATCTTTGAAAGAAAGGCAGCAGCTCCAGTCAGTGGCTTATAGATAAAACTCCCATCTCCCTGAGACGGAGCACCTAGGGGAAGGGGCAGCTGTGGGAGCAGCTTCAGCAGACTTAAATTTTCCTGTCTGCCAGATCTGAAGAGAGCAGTGGATATCCTAGCATGGTGCTTGAGCTCTGTTAAAGGACAGACTGCCTCCTCAAGTGGGTTCCTGACCCCCCATGCCTCTTGACTGGGAGACACCTCCCAGCAGGGTTCAACAGACACCTCATACAGGAGAGCTGTGGCTGGCATCCGGTGGGTGCTGCTCTGGGATGAAGCTTCCAGAGGAAGGAGCAGGCAGCAATCTTTGCTGTTCTGAAGGCCCTGCTGGTGATACCCAGGCAAACAAGATCTGGAGTGGACCTCTAGCAAACTCCAGCAGACCTGCAGGAGAGGGGCCTGACTGGGTAGAAGGAAAACTAACAAACAGAAAGCAATAGCATCAACATCAAAAAAAGGACACCCACGCAAAAACCCCATCCGAAGGTCACCAACATCAAAGGCCAGAAGTAGATAAATCCACAAGATGAGGAAAAATCAGCACAAAAAAAGCTGAAAATTCCAAAAACCAGAATGCCTCTTCTTCTCCAAAGGATCACAACTCCTTGCAAGCAAGTGAACAAAATTGGACAGAGAATGAGTTTGATGAATTGTCAGAAGTAGGCTTCAGAAGGTGGATAATAACAAACTCCTCCGAGCTAAGGGAGCATGTTCTAACTGAATGTAAGGAAGCTAAGAACCTTGATAAAAGGTTACAGGAACTACTAACCAGAATAACCAGTTGAGAGAAGAACATAAATGACCTGATGGAGCTGAAAAAACACAACACAAGAACTTCATGAAGCATACACAAGTATCAATAGCTGATTCAATCAAGCAGAAGAAAGGATATGAGAGATTGAAGATCAACTTAATGAAATAAAGCATGAAGGCAAGATTAAAGAAAAATGAATGAAAAGGAACAAACAAAGCATCCAAGAAATATGGGACTATGTGAAAAGACCAAACCCACCTTTGGTTGGTGTACCTGAAGGTGACAGGGCGAATAGAACCAAGTTGGAAAACACACTTCAGGATATTATCCAGGAAAACTTCCCCAACCTACCAAGACAGGCCAACATTCAAATTCAGGAGATACAGAGAACACCACAAAGATACTCCTCGAGAAGAGCAAGCCCGAGACACATAATCACTAGATTCACCACGGTTAAAATGAAGGAAAAAATGTTAAGAAGAGTCAGATAGAAAGATCAGATTATCCACAAAGGGAAGCCCATCAGACTAAAAGTGGATGTCTCTGCAGAAACCCTAAAAGCCAGGAAAGAGTGGGGGCCAATATTCAACATTCTTAAAGAAAAGAATTTTCAGCTCAGAATTTCATATCCAGACAAACTAACTTTCATAAGTGAAAGAGAAATAAAATCCTTTACAGACAAGCAAATGCCCAGGGATTTAGTCACCACCAGGCTTGCCTTACAAGAGCTCCTAAAGAAAGCACTAAATATAGAAAGGAAAAACTGGTACCAGCCACTGCAAAAACATATCAAAATTTAAAGACATTGACACTATGAAGAAACTGCATCAACTAAGGGGAAAAATAACAGCTAGCATAATAATGTCAAGATCAAATTCACACACAACAATATTAACTTTAAATGTAAATGGGCTAAATTCCCCCAATTAAAAGACACAGACTGGCAAATTGGATAAAGAGTCAAGACCCATCATTGTGCTGTATTCAGGAGACCCATCTCACATGCAAAGATACACATAGGCTCAAAATAAAGTGATGGAGGAATATTTACCAAGTAAATGGAAAGAAAAAAAAGCAGGGGTTGCAATCCTGATCTCTAATAAAGCAGAATTTAAACAAAGAAAGATCAAAAAAGACCAAGAAGGGCATTACATAATGGTAAGGGGATCAAGGCAACAAGAAGAACTAACTATCATGAATATGTATGCACCCAATACAGGAGCACCCAGATTCATAAAGCAAGTTCTTAAAGACCTACCGAGACTTAGACTGTCAAATAATAATAGTTGAAGATTTTAACACCCCACTGTCAATATTAGACAAACCAACAAGACAAAAAATTAACAAGGAGATTCAGGACTTGAACTCAGTTGTGGACCGGGCGGACTTAATAGACATCTACAGAACTCTCCACCCCAAATCAACAGAATATACAATCTTCTCAGCACCACATAACATTTATTCTAAAATTGAACACATAACTGGAAGTAAAACACTCCTCAGCATTTGCAAAAGAATGGAAATCATAACAAACAGTCTATCAGATTAGAACTCAGGAATAAGAAACTCACTCCAAACTGCACAACTACATGGAAACTGAACAACCGATTCCTGAATGACTACTGGGTAAATAACAAAATTAAGTCAGAAATAAATAAGTTCTTTGAAACAAATGAGAACAAAGACACAACGTACCAGAATCTCTGGGACACAGCTAAAACAGTGTTTAGAGGGAAATTTATAGCATGTAATGTCCACTGGATAAAATGAGAAAGATCTAAAACAGACACCCTAATATCACAGTTAAAAGAACTAGAGAAGCAAGAGCAAACAAATTCAAAAGCTAGCAGAAGACGAGAAATAACTAAGATCAGAGCAGAAATGAAGGAGATAGAGACATGAAAAACCCTTCAAAACATCAATGAATGCAGGAGCTGGTTTTTTGAAAAGATTAACAAAACAGATAGACCGCTAGCCAGATTAATAAAGAAGAAAAGAGAGAAGAACCAAATAGACACAATAAAAAATGGTAAAGGGGATAACATCACTGATACCACAGAAATACAAACTACCATCAGAGAATACTATAAACACCTCTATGCAAATAAACTAGAAAATCTAGAAGAAATGGATGAATTCCTGGGCACATACACCCTCCCAGGACTAAACCAGGAAGAATTTGAATCCCTGCACAAAGACCAGTAACAAGTTCTGAAATTGAGGCAGTAGTTAATAGCCTACCAACCAAAAAAGTCTAGGACCAGACGAATTCATAGCCAAATTATTCCAGAGGTACAAAGAGGAGCTGGTACCATTTCTTCTGCAACTATTCTAAACAATAGAAAAAGAGTGACTCCTCCCTAACTCATTTTATGAGGCCAGCATCATCTTGATACCAAAACCTGGCAGAGACACGACAAAAAACAAAAATTTCAGGGCAATATCCCTGATGAACATCGATGTGAAAATTCTCAATAAAATACTGGCAAACTGAATCCAGCAGCACATTAAAAAGCTTATCCACCATGACGAAGTCGGCTTCATCCCTGGGATGCAAGGCTGCTTCAACATATCCAAATCTATAAATGTAATCCATCACATAAACAGAACCAATAACAAAAACCACATGATTATCTCAATAGATGCAGAAAAGACCTTCGATAAAACTCAACACCCCTTCATGCTAAAAACACTCAATAAACTAGGTATTGATGAAACATATTTCAAAATAGTAAGAATTATCTATGACAAACCCACAGCCAATATCATACTGAATGGGCAAAAGCTGGAAGCTTTTCCCTTCGAAAACTGGCCCAAGACAAGGATGCCCTCTCTCACCACTTTTATTCAACATAGTATTGGAAGTTCTGGCCAGGGCAATCAGGCAAGAGAACGAAATAAAGTGTATTCATAAAGGAAGAGAGGAAGTCAAATTGTCTCTGTTTGCAGATGACATGATTGCATATTTAGAAAACCGCATTGTTTCAGCCCCAAATCTCCTTAAGCTGATAAGCAACTTCAGCAAAGTCTTAGGATGTAAATCAATGTGAAAAAACCACAAGCATTCCTATACACCAATAATAGATAAACAGAGAGCCAAATCATGAGTGAACTCTCATTCACAATTTGCTACAAAGAGAATAAGATACCTCAGAATACAACCTACAAGGGATGTGAAGGATCTCTTCAAGGAGAACTACAAACCACTGCTCAAGAAAATAAGAGAAGACATAAACAAATGCAAAAACATTCCATGCTCATATGCTCATGGATAGGAAGAATCAACATTGTGAAAATGACCATACTGCCTAAAGTTATTTATAGATTCCATGCTATTCCCATCAAGCTACCATGGACTTTCTTCACAGAATTAGAAAATACTACTTTAAATTTTATATGGAATGAAAAGAGATCCCATATAGCCAAGACAATCCTAAGCCAAAAGAACAAAGATGGAGGCATCATGCTACCTGACTTCAAACTATACTACAAGGCTACTGTAACTAAAACAGCATGGTACTTGTACTAAAACATATATACAGACAAATGGAACAGAACAGAGGCCTCCGAAATAACACCACACATTTACAACCATCTGATCTTTGACAAACCTGACAAAAACAAACAATAGGGAAAGGATTCCCTATTTAATAAATGGTGCTGGGAAAACTGGCTAGCCATATGCAGAAAACTGAAACTGGACCCCTTACTTACACCTTATACAAAAATTAACTCAAGATGAATTAAAGACTTGAACATAAGACCTAAAACCATAAAAACCCTAGCAGAAAACCTAGGCAATACCATTCAGGACATAGGCACGGGCAAAGACTTCATGAATAAAACACCAAAAGCAATGGCAACAAAAGCCAAAATAGACAAATGGGATCTAATTAAACTAAGGAGCTTCTGCACAGCAAAAGAAACTATCATCAGAGTGAACAGGCAACCTACAGAATGGGAGAAAATTTTTGCAGTCTATCCATCTGACAAAGGACTAATATCCAGAATCTACTAGGAACTTAAACAAATTAACAAGAAAAACAAACAACCCCATCAAAAAGTGGGCAAAGGACATGAACAGACACTTCTCAAAAGAAGACATTTATGCAGCCAACAAACATATGAAGAAAAGCTCATCATCACTGGTCATCAGAGAAATGCAAATCAAAACCACAGTGAGATACCATCTCATGCCAGTTAGAATGGCAATCATTAAAAAGTCAGGAAACAACAGATGCTGGAGAGGATGTGGAGAAATAGGAATGCTTTTTTTACTGGTGATGGGAGTGTAAATTAGCTCAACCATTGTGGGAGGCAGTGGGGCAGTTCCTCAAAGATCTAGAACTAGAAATACCATTTGATTCAGCAATCTCATTACTGGGTATATACCTAAAGGTTTATAAATCATTCTACTATAAAGACACATGTACACATATGTTTATTGCAGCACCATTCACAATAGCAAAGACTTGGAACCAACCCAAATGCCCATCAATAATGGACTGGATAAAGAAAATGTGGCAAATATATACCATGGAATACTATGCAGCCATAAAAAGGATGAGTTTATATCTTTTGCAGGGACATGGATGAAGCTGGAAACCATCATTCTCAGCAAACTAAGACAGGAACAGAAAACCAAACACTGCATGTTCTCACTCATAAGTGGGAGTTGAACAATAAGGACATACGAGCACAGGGAGGGGAACATCATGCACTGGGGCCTGTCGGGGGATTGGGGGCTAGGGGAGGGATAGCGTTAGGAGAAATATCTAATGTAGATGATGGATTGATGGGTGCAGCAAACCACCATGGCACATGTATACCTTTGTAACAAACCTGCACGTTCTACACATGTATCCCAGAACTTGAAGTATAATAAAAAAAAAAAAAATAAAATAAAATAAAATTGATAATCCAGAAAAAGAATAATTGAGTGTTTATTTACATTGATAATGACTTCACAGAAATACAAATTTCGGATTACTGGTTATTCAGTGTGCCAGTACTTCAGCAAGTCATTGTTTCAATTTTTCTTTTTTACCTAAACACAGTTATTTTGTCCTGTCTATAGGAATATTCATTATCATATTAGAATAAAATAAATGTTAGTATCTTCAGACATATATGCCTTGATGATTAGTAAAGGTTGATCCTCAAAAATCCTCAAGATTTCTGTTAAAAGCATATCTTCAAATTTTGCCTGATGACCTGGCAAACTCCTTTGTAAAATTACCTCCAGTTTTCTAGCATTCTTATGCTTTGAACTATCATATTGGTTTTTCCCTTTCATTTTTAAGAGGTGTTATCATCTGCTACTAGGTATCTTGCACAAAGAAGTTTCTACCTCTCTTGTTATTACAAACCTGTTACTCACAAATCTGCCGTGTTACCACCCAATGTGTGGTGTTCTCCAGGCACATAGACTTTCCAGTTGAGATATTGATTGTATTCAAGGCCTGTTATGAATGCCCGGGGCAGAGTGGTGCTTCCAGGCTGCTGGAGTGTAGCCTCTCCACTCTCCAATGAAGACATCCAGTCTCAGCTGCCTAGAAGCTCTCAGCATCTTTAGCAGGCAAGATTATTGTTTCCTGTTGGATGAGTTGTAAATGCACAGGTTTCTCTTCAAATGTTTAATGTACTTTGCTTTTGAGTGATGTAATCACCTGAGTTATTGTTCCAATTCAAATTCCAGTAGCAGGGCCTTCTAAATTATAACTAGTATCAGAGAAGATAATAACAGATGTTTATGAAGTAGTTGTGTATTAAAGCACTTACAGTTTCGTACATGATCTCATTTAATTTTCCCAGCAGCATGATGTAGTGGATCCTATCATTACTCACATTTTAAAGACAGGCAAATTGAGGTTGAGAAGTTAAGTCAAGCCAAGATTGAGAGAGGTTAAAAGCCACCACAGAATTATTTATATTCATAGACAGGCCATCTAAAAAATTATTTCCCCTTAGTAGAGTTCCTGAATTGGCCAATGCTAATTGGAACTCTACTAAGTCTACTTACTCCAGTTAGTAGAATTCCAATATAGCGTTGGCCAATTCAGGTTCAAAGTAGTAAAAAGACTTTTAATCTCTCAACCAAAGCTAACTTTCTGAAATGTTCAGCTTTGATATACTTTAGGGTCTCCCCTACAATCATAAGATTTAAATCTTTATGGTTTTGAGTGACCTAACTGTATGATCAACAGAAAAAGAGTTTTTTTTTTCTGTTTTATTTCTCATTTTTGTTCTTACCCAGTGAGAAAAAATAGTGGGCAGCATTATTTAAGAAAAGAGGACAGACCTTTATAAGGTTTGCTCTTTCACTTGCTTTTATTGAGGGCCACGGTGGGCCACACACTCACTTATGTGTCTCTATATATTTCCTGAAAATTATTTCTAACATATCCTTTATAAACAAATTTCTGCAGCTTGGAATATTTTATGTTCTAGAGAAAATGATTTACATTTCTTTCCCAAGTTTCCACTCACCATAGCAAAGAAAAGGAAATTTAATTCAAAATCATTTACTGGCTCCTGGGGATTTGTTTGCATAAAAGTCACTCTGGTGATATTTAAATTAAAACTCTTAATGATGAGTTGGGAAGAATTTAAATTACCTAGTGCTTTGAATTATTGTAATAAGTTACAACACCTGGAATTGCCAAGTAATTCCAGGAAAGCAATAAGAAAAATTCAGCTGAACCAGTAAGAGTTCTATTACACTTACGATGTAAGTCAAGGAAATGCATCTTATTTCTAGGGCATGGTAGTTAGGACTAAATTTCTGAGTGTTAGAGAGGTTTTAATATGTGGTCAGGCAGAATAGAATCAGAAATAACAGCAAGTGTTTCTAGGAAGAACATGAAGTAAGAAAGAACTGAGTTGAACTGGAAGCTTTGGAAAGCTATAGCTACCAGTTAGTTTTATAGCTAGTTCTTAGTCTGTTGACTACATAGAAAAACCCAATATGTGATATCAAACTGCCTCCAACTACAGTGACAACGAATTTCTTTTTGTGGGAATTCTTCTCGATTAGTGGTGCACTCCCCTCACCGCCCTGCAAACACACTTTTCCCCAACTTTTAAAAAATCATTTTCAATGCATGATAGACTATACATACAGCCAGGGTGGGCAGTAGCCAACAGTGGTATGATTTCAAGCATGCTGAAAATTTCCATGCACCTCCTTCCATAAACATCTCCTTGGCCATATTGCTTGGGTAAGAGTTTAGATTCGGGAAATTATTTTCCCTGGATGGGAAAGATAAGCCATGAGTCATCCTGAATTCCTGGGGAAGCTCTTTCCTTCCCTGGCTGGTTTCCTGGCTTCATTCCTTTAGCTTAAGTCATTATTCCCGTAACATGTCTACTGGCTCCTTCACTTATTACCTCAGTCTCCTTCTGCACAAAATGACAATGGTGGTAGTATCTAGCTCATAGGGTTGCATAAGTCCCATGAAATACTTGATGAGAAATGCTTAGCACAGTACTTAGATTATAGTAAAGTTTAAATAAATGTTATTATGTAATATATAAAGGTGTTCTTTCTCCCTTGTATTGACCTTGGGAGAATAGCAGGGTTTTGAGGCAAGTTAATGTGGTAAGGACTAAGTTATTAAAACCTTCATTATTTGCAGCATTTTCTTTTATAAAGAAAGGTGTAGGCCTGGATTTATTGACTCTGATAGAGTTTATATATTTCTGGTGAACTGAGAGTTCTATGATGCTCTTATATCAAATCAAATCAACTTTGTACCTGATTGTTCTTCCAGACATAATGTTCAAGTGCTTGTGAATTTGGGAGATAGCACCAAGAAGCTTCACTGTGTTATATCTTATAAATATTAAAAATATTTTGAAAAAATACTATTTTCACATAGAAATGTGAAAATTAAGAGTTCATTTGTATGCTTGGCTCCATTAAAATTTGTTTCTTTAGCAATTTTGAAATTATTTTTATTTGTTTCCCAAGGAGACTAATTAGGTTACTAAAGCTATTACAGGTTAGTATTATGTCTAAGGTGGAACTATTTGGAAACAATTAAAATATTAAGAAGGCTAGTATGGCATTTAAAACCTGTTGGTGTACTATATTATTTAATATCAGATTGCGGTAAGTAAAATAATCTAAAATTGTTTGAGTCAATCTCATAGCTAACCAGAACAGCATCCTTTCTCGGTCATCCAATATATATTAAGGTATTGGCATTAACTAACAAAGAAAAAAATGTTATACTTTCTATAGTATGTTGGAAGTTAAAGTAAAATAATACTTTATTTATTTTATAATAAAAAATCTTTTAAAGCCAATGATTTTTGAGGTGAGAAATGGAAAATTTTTTTAATCATCTGGATACTTTATTATTCTCTAGATAACATGTAATAATATGAGGATTTTTTTTTCCTTTCAGAAATATATTTCAATGACAGCCAAGTACTGAGGCATAAGAAATATCTTTGAAAATCTTAAAGTAATTTTCCAAGTTTAGTTTCTACTGTTCATGGGATTTGAATTTTTTTTTTTTTTTTTTTTTTTTGAGACAGAGTCTTGCTCTGTTGCCCACACTGGAGTGCAGTGCTGCTATCTCTGCTTCCTGCAACCTCTGCCTCCTGAGTTCAACCAATTCTCCCTGCCTCAGCCTCCTGAGTAGCTGGGATTACAGGCATCTGCCACCAAGCCCGGCTAATCTTCGTATTTTTAGTAGAGACAGGGTTTTGCCATGTTGGCCAGGCTGGTCTCGAACTCCTGCCCTCAGGTGATCCGCCCGCTTCGGCCTCCCAAAATGCTGGGATTACAGGTGTGAGCCATTGTGCCAGGCTGGGATTTGAGATTTTTGATTTGACTAGGAATAACCCTGTCTGAACAAACATCTCCTACCTGATTGCAATACCATATGTCACCCTTATAAACAGAAGCCTCTGTGGAAACCAAAACGTTCAGTATAAAAGGGAAAAACACAGTTATATACTTTTTATAATATTGAGCAATAACGACCATTTTCTCCATAAAATTCGTGTTTAGCTCCCACACACATGAACATAAGGCAAATGGCATCAGGCTTCTGGAATACAGGAAGGGCTGATGGTGCGGTAGAAGAGGGGAAGAGAGGCAGGGCCAGATGTTACGGTGGAGACTGTGTTTGTATATGTTTCCTTCAGCTCATCTCAGAATTTTTTCATCCATGTAGGGAAAAGCCGAGGACAGAGTAGTATGATAGTCGTTCTTGCTGTCACTGAATTAAGAATTTTAAAATTCAAAGAGTGTCAAACTTGTGTTTCTTTCTTTTTACTACTTCTGTCTCTCTCAGAATGGAACCTCACACCCTTCGGTAAACTTAGAAAATATACGCCTGGCCTCACTCCTTATTCACCTACACTTTTAGCAGAATGAATGTCTTATCTCTCAAATCAATTTTCAGATTTCAATGTGGTATTTCTGCACTAGTCACAGTCTGATGTATAACACTGTGGTAAAATTGACTATGGCTTGAACAACACAGTGGAACCTAATTGATAACTGCAGGACAAATCTTCAAAAATAAATGTAAAAATTTATTATTTTCTTCTCTATGAAGAAGTATTTTAGGCTGTTAAAAAGTAGACTTCTAAAGTCATTTTGTGTGTTCATAGTACAGGCACCTATTCTCTGGCCTCTCCATGGCTGGGTCTGTCTTGACCTAAAGTATGTTCCATAAAACACTAGTTTGGCCGGGAGGTGTGGCTCACACCTGTAATCTCAGCACTTTGGGAGGCCGAGGTGGGCGGATCACAAGGTCAGGAGATCAAGACCATCCTAGCTAACACGGTGAAACCCCGTTTGTACTAAAAATACGAAGAAAAATTAGCCGGGTGTGGTGGCACGTGTCTGTAGTCCCAGCTACTCGGGAGGCTGAGGCAGGAGAATCATTTGAAACTGGGAGGCGGAGGTTGCAGTGAGCCTAGATCCCGCCACTGCACTCCCAGGCGACAGAGCAAGACTCTGTCTCAAAAAAAAAAAAAAAAAAAAAAAAGACTAGTTCATTGATCTGCTTCACAATAAAAATGATATGATGTAAATGAAATAAAATATTTTGCACTGGACCAAATCCTGAACATTTAACACCATGAACATTATTACCATGTTTTAGAGCTCACATACATTAGCAGTTTGTAAAAAACACTGCAGTGAAGACAAAAATCTAATTTTCAAAACCGGTGTTTCTCAGAACTATTTTATTACCTCCTTTTGTAATTACCTATTAAAATTCCTCAGAACTAGTGTTCTAAGGAACTCATTTAAGGAAATATCACAGTTCATCCATTTTCAGATGCATATTTTTTTCACCCATTAACACCTCTGAAATTGAGATGCTTTCTTACATTTGTTGATGCCTTGGGTTCAATGAAATATGACATTGCCCTAGCAACTTTAATGGCAATTGTGTGTGCTGTTTTAGTTATGATTAGGCTCAGCTGAAAGTGACAAAAATTTAAAATGACGGTTGCTTAAATAAGATAGAAACTGATTTCTCACCAGTAAATCTGGAAGTGGGTAGCCCTGTGCTGGAATTGTACTCTGTGGTGCTGGATACCCACACTTCATTCTTCTTGTCCTTCCATTGCCCAGCACCTTTATTTCCAAGGTCATATAATGGTTCAACAGGACTGCTCTATGTCTGTCTGCAATGCCTACATTTCTGCCAACAGAAAAATACGAAAGATCAAGACAAAGGAGTAAAAGTCAAGTGCCAGCTGTCTCTTAAGGAAAGATCTCAGAAGCTACTTTACATTCCACAGGGTACAACTTAGTGATAGCAGCCTGGGTAGGCGGGTTGAGGGGGGTGCATGGAGGGGCTGGGAAGTGGGCAATTACATTACATATTGATCTTTTTAAGAAGTCATTAAAAGATTACTCTATTATAAAAAACTAGAGACTTATCAAAGGATACCTCTTTTAAAGGTAAGGCACAAAGACAAATATTGTTGAAGATGAGAAATTCATTTAGCCATTAGCAACTAGAAAATTAGCCTTTTCATCCCCAGTATCAAATAGTTCCAAAATTTCTTGGTATTCATGGCCACTGACCTTAGATTGTAAAGGTCATAACAGAATTTCATTCTCTGTTGCTTCATTTGGTTCTCAGGTCACTATAAGCATCCAAGCTTAAATGGGTGGGGGGAAATACAACTGAAAATATAGGGCTGATGCACATAGAGGATATTGTGTGGATACAGACTCAATTGTAAGAATGTCTAGAATTTATTCTGAGGTTCCTGAGAAAATTGATCAATTTATCTCAAGCTATGCTATGATTACATTTCCACCACTCTTTTAGAGATTTTAATTTAATTAAATGCAAATGTTATACAATTCTCCAGTGTTTATTGTTGTATTTAATTCCCATATTTGCCAACAATATCTTTAATTTCTAATTTTTAAATGAAAATACTGAAACAGGGAGACTGTTCACATTGAACATCAAATTTGGCTAATACTGATTTGGAAATATGGTTAGATCCTGATTAAAATATTTTTCAACATTACAATGAAAAGAATTAAGCATATCTATATGAAATCCTGTAAGTCTTTCTTAAAAATGAATTTCTATCTACTCAAGCCAGTGTCATTTTGGAATTTCTGTCACTATCAGCTGATCTTCTTGATTCTTTTGTTTTATTAAGCAAAAAAAAAAAAAATTAAAAACAAATGTATCATTCATTAAAGCCAAACTTCTATTACCAATTCCTAACAGCCATTATTCTGTGATGCTTACCTTTATTTATAAACTCTAAACAATTTACTTTACAGAGGAATACAGTAATTGTGAAATAATGAAATATAAAATTTTCTGTGGTTTTATAATATCAGATTAGCTGATATCATGAGGCAGATAAAAAATATGTGCCTGCTGCTCCTCAAATCCTAGGAGCTCATTTTTAGTAAAAGCAGTAATAAATAAATGGTAAAAATCTTGAAAATCCAACAGATGATCTTCATAAATTGATCTGGCTTAGTGGATTGGTAAATAAGTTTTTAATAAAAGTGTCATTTTGCTTGTTGTTTCACTATTGCCTTGTCTTATTGAGACGGATTCACCATTTATATTTTTTCATTTTTAAAGAATAAATCATAAAAGCGACAAATGCATGCTAGTATTATGATTTAACTTAAAGTGCCTATGGAGGAAAACATACTTTTACTTGATAGATACGTATTTCATTATTATTATTAAATATTTATTGCATATCTCCCATATGCAAAGTACTCTGATAGGCTTTCAAATGTGGAGGTCAATTTCTAAATAACCCAACCCTGCTGAATTGTGTTTAAAGTAATAGTTATATGTTTATTTTTTCAGTAGAGTAGAAGGAACATATCCTAGCTTTGTCATTAAGTTGAAATTTTAAAGTGATAAAATAACAATTGACACTCCACTATTTTTCTGAAAACATGAGGCGACTTAGTATTATAAATGCCTAAAGGCACACTGACAAACCAATAATACAAAATTGAAGGGTATGAGTTTTAAGATATGTATATTTCTGCCTCAGCTAGGAAGGCACCTTTCAAAAGTGAGTCTGTATCTCTCAAATTATCTACCCAGAGCAATAAATGTATTCTGCCCCAACCCTAAGATTCTGCAATGCAGTCCATCTAATGTCATCAAAACCCCCAAATCACTTAGTTTTCTATGATACCATCCTTGAAGTTATCATGTAAGCACTTCACAATGATCTGCTTGATGTTTTTGGCACTTTCTTCCATCATCAAAATAGCAGCAATGGACCTCAGGATACAATAACTTTCTTGTCAGGTGGTAATAGTTTTCTAAGTCAAAACTGAACTCCCCTATTAAAATACAAATTTATAAATTATTTTGGATGAAAACCTTTTCAAGCAGACTTGTAAATTCTAAACATTCCTTGTTTTAATCTTGGAAGCTATTATGTACTTATCAGAAGTAATTTTTTTTTGCAAGATACCAACCAGATCAGTAATATGACTAGCTCAAGGCACAATCACAAAACTTTTAAATTGGTAAAAATTTTTAACATTTTACTTCTGCGGCAAATTAGCCATATATTTCTGATAAAGCAGGGAAACTATAGAAATGAAGCAGTTAAGAATTTAGAAGCCTGAGTGTAGTCCTAGGAGCATTTCTTGTTTAGCTGAGGGACTCAACATGTCTTTTAACTGCTAAAAGTTAGTTTTCTCATTCATAAAAAATAGCTAATAATATTTGTCCCTGAGTATATCACATAGGAATATTGAGAAGACAAAATAAAATAATGAGTATTAAGACATTAAAACACTTTCAAAACTTGAAAGAATGCTCAGAAATGATTGGGGTGTGTGTGTGTGTGTGTGTGAGAACACATATACACAACTGATGAAAAACTAATAAACAAATCGTTATTTGGTTTAAGCCTGATTCTTTTTGGAAGTGAAAGTCATCTCTTTAGAAAAGTTTGGGAAATAACAGGTTATAGTGTTCTAGATTTTCTTTGAATGAAATGAACAGAACAAGTTTACAATTTAGTTGGCTTCTTGGAAAGATGGCAGCCAAAACAGACTTTGTCAGGGCTTTAACCTGGGCTCTTAAGAAACCATAATTTTGCACCGTTGCTCTTTCACACTTCCTGAAGTCTTTTTTTTTTTTTTTGAGATGGAGTCTTGCACTGTCGCCCAGGCTGGAGAGCAGTAGCGCGATCTCGGCTCACTGCAACCTCTTGCAATTTCCACCTCCCAGGTTCAAGTGATTCTCCCACCTGAGCCTCCTGAGTAGCTGGGATTACAGGTGCCCACCACCATGCCTGGCTAATTTTTTGTATTTTTAGTAAAGACGGGTTTTCACCATGTTGGCCAGGCTGGTCTCGAACTCCTGACCTTGTGATCCACCCGCCTCAGCCTCCCAAAGTGCTGGGATTACAGGCGTGAGCCACCGTGCCCAGTCCTGAAGTCCTTTTTAGACTTCAAGTATTTTATAAATATCAACCAATTCATCCTAGTTGTATTTCCTAATAGCTGGTGTAAAATTGATGTGTTCCTTGGGGCTCTATACACATATAATACATAATTGTCATAAATGCACCCTTTCAAAATTAATTTCATCTCAGAATCACATAAACTCTTTAAAATAGGAGAGACAGAGAAGTAAATGTTCTTTATGAGGACAAATTTGAATAACACCATGTGGTCTTCCTATGGATGAGCAAAACTCTGATTCAAGGTGATAGAAACATTGGCTGATATTATTGCACTGTGCAGTAACCCAGTAAAACCATTCTATGTATTTTTCTCATGACCTTGTATTAGGTTATGAGTCCCCATATTGAATTGTCATTTTTAACCATAGAGTGAAATATAAATCCCACATAGCTGTAGTTCATCTGGAAACTTGGATGTATAAAATAATTTAAAAAATAATTATAACTTTATAAAAGGGCGTGACATTTTCCTATTGAGACATATTTGAGAAAATCTCATATATGTACCTCTTCTTCCTCTTTAGGCTTCTTTACCTGCAACAACTGATCTTCCAGAGTTTTTTGTTGCTTCTTATAAATGGCCTGGATGGACTCATGGCCCATTGGATCAAAAAAATTGTGCTGCATCCTGGGCATTTTCCACTGCAAGTAATAAAGTCATTTTAATTCCTTCCTTATAAACTACTCCTTTTGGCTCTAGAGACTGAGAGAATAATTGAACAATTTTAACAATTAGAATATTTAAATATTAGCATATGATCAAATAAAATCTCATTATGATGGAAGAAAGTAACCTGAAGATTATATAAAAAATCCATTTTTAGTCTAAAAGTTTTTTTTTTTTATTTTAGGGTGAAATTTTAAATAGAGAGCGAATCAAAAGAGTGACAAAATAAATTTACTAAAATGTGTTTGTCTATTCAGAGTTAAGGCCAAATAATAAAAAAGGATTAAGGTTCTTTTTCATTCATATATTATTTATAATTCTAATATACATATAGACACACCCACGTAATCCTCATACCTTTACTCTTTATATGATTTGCAAAAACAGTTATTAATCTAATTTGATGTGAAGTAAGACTTTAAACCTAAATAATAATGGATCAAATGGATTTTATTTCATTTTAAATAAATATAAGCAAATATATAGGTTCTGACTCAAAAGTAATGTAACTGATCTTTTAATAAGAATAGCTTCTAAATTAAGTCTACTGTTACTCAAAAAGTATAAGCAATGACTCTTTTATAGTTACTTTCATATAAATTCACAAATCCAATAAATTAGTTACAGGCTAACCCTCAAATTAGGTCTCCAAAATTGTCCTCAAAGGAGTGTTGAATATATTTCAGGAATTAAATGAAACCTAACATGATGATTGGCTGTCATTCAATTATCTTCATAAAACCATGCTCTAGAGTTTGCAGGTAATTTCAACAGTGTTCAAAGACAGTTTAAAGCCATTGAAGGATTGTGAACAAGTACATAGGCTGTTCAAGAAGCCAGCTCTGAAAGGCAGCATATCCTGGGACAGAGAAATGCTGACATCTTTGTCTAAATACCATTGCTCCATAGTATCAATCAGACAACTCCAGAAATGCCTTTGTTAAAATCATAATGGTAGCCAAACTCACCCCAAGTGGCTACATTTGTTAATTCACTGCTCCCCACACCCCCTCTCTGGCTATCTTATGATGTCCTTGATGTGTCAGGGACCCACATGGAGACCTTTCTGAGCTAAAATTTGTTTGTCTATTGATGGATAAGACCAGATAATAAAAAGAAGATTAAGGTTGTTTCAGATGGGTGGAGAGAGGTTTAATATAATAAACCGTTTGCCATTTTATATTCATGTGGTTAAGGTGTTACACCTAGATCTATAAGAATTTTGCCTAAAATTTATATTATGCCAGTATTTCTGAAGATATCTAAAGGAAAACATTTGTGGTGAAATACTGAAAGCAACTTGCTAGGGTGGAGGATATATTTTGGTGTTCCCAGGTCTCAACCCCACAGATAGCCTCTGCACTGTACCAAGTCAGGATTGTTCCCCTACCTAATTCACGGAACACCAGAGAGAGGTTTCCTTTTGTGATTCCAAAGGACATAGTTTTGTATCCTGTGAATTCAGTATGATAAATTAGGGCAATTCTTTTTTGTGTTAAATAAAGAAAAAAATAAACTAAATTATCATAAAGATCTAAAAAATTACGTCGAGAAGTATTAGTTACAAAAATAGATTATCTCTCAGAGAAACTAAAAGCTATACAATTGAATAAATAAGACTTAAAAATATGCACATATATTTTAAAAACTTATGTAATCAAATCAAATTCAAGCTATTTTTCAGAAGCTGAAGAGATAAAGGTGTTTGGAGTAGTGGGGGTAATATGTTTCACATACATTTGAAGACGGAATAAAATAAGCAAGGGAAAGAATAGAGTGTGTCTCAGAGGTACTGTCCAGTGAGAGTTTTTAAGAAGAGAGTGGAAAACAATTGGTTGAACTGAGTCATTCTTAAATATTCTGACCTTTTCTAAATATTTCAAGTGAATTTTAGCTAAACCATCATTGAGATTCAGAAATGTCGGTATAAGACCAACATATTGCATAACATTAGGATTTAAAACATTTATCCTTCAGTTGAAATCTACAGATTTGTGAGGCTGGAAGAGATTTTAAAGGTCACCTTATTCAAGCCTCCAGTATTATAAACGAGGCCCAAATAGGTAAAGTGGCTTATCTGAAGCCAAAAGATGAGAAATATCAGAAATAATCCTGGAGACCAGGCTTCCAACTTCTGGATTACTGTTTTCTCTACACTATAAAAGTATTTTCTGAATGAAAACACAGTTACACCATTTTTTAAAATTTCGATTTCTTTCTAAACCCCTGTGCTGAATGTCAGAGCATCAAAGAATTTCTCCTTTCCTTGATGAAATGGGGAATTATTTTCTTGAGACTATCAGAAGTCGTGTAATGCCATTTGCTCCTGTGAAATATATCCTAGTGCAATAGTAGATGGGAATTTAGTAGGGAGCTGGAGGTTATAGATTTAACACATATTGAGCATCTAAAGGATGCCAGCAATTTCCCTAAAGCATTGTAATATGCTGTAGTTACATTAAAAATATGTGTATACAAAGATACATATGTAAATGAATTAAATGAATTATTTTATAAAATTTTTAATTAGCACCTTGAGGGGTTTCAGGACACTAACAATTTTGATGAGAAAAAAAATAAACTTTCACTAAGAAAAGTGAATGAATAGAAGAAAGGTTATTATTTTGTTGCCTTTAATTAAAAGTGAGTAAGAAACCAACTTAGAACAAAACTGAACAAGACTGTACCAGATATTCAACAAGACTGTTCCAGATATTCAATAAAAAAGTCTGTACTAAAATGGTACCCACCCCAATTTTTTCATAATCTCATCACTCACATTAGTTTATTTTGGTACAATGATCAAAATGATGACATCTGTAGGGTTTTGCTACTGGTTAATTAGTTTCCCTGGTCTATTATTCTAAGAGGGCAGAACTATGTCTCCCTTGTTTCTTGTTCATCATTGTAATTTCCAGTGCTACAATGCCTGTCAGTTAGTAGGTGTTTAATAAATGTGTTGAGGAAAGGAATGAACTAATAACAATTACAATTCTAGGAAATCATATAACAAAAGAATAGAAGTTTTAATAATAAAAAGTTTGTGTGTGTGTGTGTATACATATATAATGATATTAGTTAACAATATGATAGTCATAAATATATTATTAGTTGTATATAGCATCACATATAATCAGTTACATATATAGCTATTAGATTGTATATATATAATTACATGTATAGCTATATATAATGAACTATATTATATGTAACTAATAGTATTAGTTAATAGTAGTTACAACAGTTAGTAACAGTAGTAACAGTAATTGTAACTAAACAAATATATTCACTTCGTTTTATATATATGTATAAACAAGCTGAATTCCATGTCTACTAAAACAAGATTAAGATAATAATTTTCATTTATATTATGAGCACAAAAGTGTGCTATGTAGCCTTTAGATACTGTATAAGATAGATTCATATTAGTCTGGATTAGCTTAAGTATGGTCTCCTGGGTAGTTAAATTAGATTAAACCAGTTTAAAAACAAAGAATTCAGTTTTACTCCAATATATCAGATGACTGTGGATGAATTTCCAATGAATATTTCTATGGTTAGTTTTCTTGATTGCCCTGGTTTAGTTAAATTCATTTAGAAAATATGTATTTTCCCATGACTATATGCAAGATACTGTTCTAGGTACAGGAAATAGAAATATAAGGAACATATGGCTCTTGCCCTCCAAGAGTTTCACCTGACAGATTCCTTAATGAGGAGTTCAGGAGTATACAGAACATCAAAGGAACAAGAAACTAAAAAAATCTTTGAAGTCAATAGGACAATTGAGTAATATCAAAATAGGACAAAAATTATAACTGAAAGTATGACACAGTTCAACTGTCTGGAATACATAAATATATTAATGCTCTTTGGCTTTAATTATAAATTATACACAGTTTTAAAGACTACGTTAGGGTTCAAACAAAAAGGGTTATGTACCTTATTAGAAATACCGTGTATCATTTCAATATTAATTGATATTCTATTTGAAACAGGTGTGGCTGCTGACCGAATAGCAATTCAGTCTAAGGGTCGATACACGGCCAATCTATCCCCTCAGAATTTGATCTCTTGCTGTGCCAAGAACCGTCATGGATGCAATAGTGGAAGCATCGATAGGGCTTGGTGGTACCTGAGAAAACGTGGGTAAATAGCTGCTCAACATGTGTTTCTAGGATTTTTATGAATGATGCATTGTGTTAGAACAAGGAAAATAATCCCAAGATTTTTACAAAAAAGTACTTAAAAATATATATACTACATCTACATGAATATAAATATGCTACATTTAAATGTATACTATATTTCTTATCTATTGGGATTAGAAGCTATTAGAAACACCTCCTGAAGAACGTATACATTTCTAGCTAAATTAATATGAATTTTACTTTTGAAGACTCAAGTAAATATTTTCTTTTTGTTGTTCTGAGCCAAGTGAGTCCCCACAGGCAGAATAAAATAATCAGGGTTGCTGATCTCTCTGCTGTGCTTTTCAGTTACCCAGATTGATGAACAGATAATGTCAGGTAAAATTAGGCTAAACATAAGAATAATAATATAAAGAAATAATTTACAGTTGTTTCAACTCATCAGTATTGTTCATTAATTTTCTCCACTCCATTTGATGAAAAATGGGGGCTGCATTTCCTTACTTTCATGTAGGCTGATACCCATATAACATCCTTGTGTCTTCTATAAGAGCTGATCTGCTAAAAAGCTGAGTTATTCAGCTAAGGAAGCTGCAGCTGATAAAGAGTGTTATATATATGTACTGCTCACTTGCTCTTCATCATCCACTCAGTGCTCTGGGTCTGCTATAGGACTAGTTAGATGCTGTAGAAAATAGTGTATGTCAGATTTTGATGGGTTGCAATAAATTGCTTTAAATTTTTTCATACGTTTTGCCTAAAATGTGGTACTTTGAATGGGCAACTTGGGCTGATACTTTCCTTGTGTACTAGTGCTTGGTTGGCTTGCATTTTGTATTATGATAAAAAATAACAGCCCTTTAAGAACTTAAAAATGTAAATTATTATTGAGACCTGACTAAATCTCATTGTATTGGATTGCTTGGGGTACTGTAACAAAATTCCATAGACTGAGTGTCTTCAACGCAAACACTGATGTTGTGGAGGCTGCAAAATCCAGGACCAGGCTGATTTGGTTCTTGGTGAGGGCTCTCTGGCTTTCAGATGGACACCTTCTCACAGTGTCCTTACATGATGAAAGAGAGCTCTGGTTTCTTCCTTTTCTTATAAGGGCACTAATCGTATCTATTATGGCCCTAACCTCATGACATCCTTTAAAGTTAATAATCTCCCAAAGGCCTACCTCCAAATATCATTACATTGGGTATAAGTGCTTCAACATATGAATTTTAAAGTGACACCATTCAGTCCACAGCACTCATCATTTAATACAAATGTAATGCATTTAATGCAATATTTTTTAGGTTGTTTGAGTGTTTTCAATGGTTTTGCTTTTGTCATGTTCTTTCCTCAGATTCTCATACTGTGTTGGAAACACATTACATTTTCATGAACCAATCCTTGTGGATACTTCTATGGCCATTTCAGCATAGAGTATCTACAATACCATTACCATGATTTTATTTCCCTTACAATTTATCTTTTTATTCAATATTATTATGTTTGAATTGGTGCCGAATAATTTCTACTTTGCTATGTTTACTTTCAAAATCAGAAATCAAAATCATTTTCTCTTTTAGATAATACACATGTCTGATAGTTTTCTACTTTATTAACATTTAATATTATATTAATATTATACTATTTCCCTCAAAGTATCACGAACTACAGATATATGATTGTTTGTATTATGTGAACATATCTATAACTTAATAAAAATATACAAACACAAAAACAAAACAAAATAAAAACTTTAAAGTTACAACTTACATAATTTTAATATCCCATCTGGAAATAGTCAGATTCATTGTCTGGTTTATATTAAATTTTAAATTTAGCTCTTCCAAATTATAATTATATAAACAGGTTGAAGGGGTCCTTCCCCTATTAATATTACCACAGACTTAATATTGACAGCCATTTTTTATCTTCAGGAAATTCTATACTACAGATAGAATTATTTATAAAAATTGATCAAAGCAAGATTTTTAAAATTATAATGAAAAAATAAGAGGAGGGTAGGGAAGAGTGTAATGTCATTGAGCTTCTGTGTTGGAGTCACTCACTATTTTGAAAATTATGCATGTAAGTAACCAGAATAATTTATGAATGTTTAATTCAGTAAGATTAAATATAAAAAGGATATTACGACATTCTCCTAAATATTACCTTTGCTTCTTTGCTTATTCCTCATAGACTGGTATCCCACGCATGCTACCCACTTTTCAAAGACCAAAATGCTACCAACAATGGATGTGCCATGGCAAGCAGGTCTGATGGGCGAGGAAAACGGCATGCCACGAAGCCATGTCCCAACAACGTAGAAAAATCTAACAGGATCTATCAATGTTCTCCTCCATACAGAGTCTCTTCCAACGTAAGTATAAATGGCAAGAATCAAGAATAGTTGGCTTTCTCAAATGTATATAGCTCTACTGTAACTAAAACAATTTAAAAACTAATTAAAACTATTATATTCTAAAATAAATATTATATTTTCATGTATAATTTTTAATATTTTTAAGGACTTTCAGTTTGGGTATGATGTCTTATCTTTGTAACATTAGCAGTGTAAAGGACTGACTTAAATTTTAAAATGTCCAAGGAAATAGGGTTTTAAAATTATGTTTCATAATATGTGTATATACATATATTTGAACTTGACAATTAAAAGTTAAGTTAAACACTTTTTCACTGACTTTTTTGTGGTATTAGCTCATTTTATCAATCCTTTGCCTCACTCAACAAAATAATTTAAGAGGACCTGGGTCTAATAGAAAAAAGAGTCCCTTGGATTCTAGTTTGTCTGTTAAAAGCCTAGGCGAATTTACTTCTTCATATCAGTGTTCCCCAAGCCTTCTCGTTTTCAGAATTTGTGAACCTCCAGTGTCTTCTAATTATCTCCAGAATACAATTCGGTGTTCTAACCATAGCACATTGGCCTTTCATGAGTTGGTTTTGACGTACTACTTTTATACACTCATGTCCTGCCAGCATCTGCCACTCTACCCAGCCATAATGCTCCTAATACATAGAACTAGTCTCTTTTCCCCAGGTACACCATGCTCTGTTATACTTTTCCACTTAGCTAGGTGATAATTCCTCTGATGCAAATGGTTATCAAGCCTTTCCATCTAGAATGCCAAGCAAATGTCAAGGCCCAGGTAAAAACTTCATCTTCTCTGTGACGTTTTCCTTGATTTCCAGGCAGAATTAATTTTCCTTTTTTGTTTGCAAACGTAACACTTTGCGCTTGTCTCTACAATGGATCTTATTAAATAATAATGAAATTAGTAGTGTCATTCAACCAAAATGTAAATACCTTGAGTATAGGTGCAGGGTCAATATTTGTTCCTGTCATAGTTTCTGGCATGTACTTTGTGCTCAATATGTACAGAAAAATGGATGAATGAGTGCCCTGCCTCCCTACAGAGGGCTTCATTAAACATTAGGAGACATCATAGAAATATTTGTACTAAAGCTACTGAGACATCTAACTAAACAATCATTTGGGATATCTCTTGTGAGAAAAAAATTAGAGGTACTAGTAATCTCCACTAATTAAATATTGCTTTAACTTACATTGTTTCTTTATAACCATAAAAGGCTATTGTATTTTGTCTCCACTCCAAATTTACTATTTAGTGATAAATGTCATTAAAACAAATGGGTGCATCTTGTCTTTAACAATTTCATTAATGTAGCATAATATACGTGAGTTTTTCAAAGTACAATTGAGAGTAAATTGCAAACACTTAACATTGTACACCAATCAATGGGTTTAGTATGCTCTGATAACAATGATATTGCTTATTCATATTTTTCCATCCAGGAAACTGAGATAATGAAAGAAATCATGCAAAATGGACCAGTTCAAGGTAAGCTTGAATGAAATACGGTTTTTTCTTACTCATTCCTTTAATAAACAACATTACATTGAGCTCATGTAATAGGAGTTTAATAAAATAAAGAAAATTTTTACTTTAAGAGTATCCAAAAGGCTTCAACAGTTCTAAAATGAGTGCAGTTATGAGAAATATGCTTACCTATATCTTAATTAGCTGCCATTTTATTTTCAGAAGATAGACTCATTTATAAATTGAACTCTTAAAAATTAATGACACATTTGATGAATAACTCCGAAATCTTTCCAAAGTGATCATGGACCAACAGAAAGTCCAACATGAAATGCCAACTGACTAATTTGTAATGAAGCTTACTTTATTTATTCAGTCATATTTAAGAATCATACATACAGTTTTCTTATCTTCAGTTTAAATAGATTAGGTCGTGGATTGAAAAAATTGAGGATTAATATTTTCCTTCTATTAGCTCAAAATAAAGCGAGTAAACTAGTGTAATTTTACATTTTACAAAAGGTTTTCAATTTTGATCAATTTTGTAAATGTTTTATTTAGAGTAACAGTAAATAATGAAATCATACAGTTACTTGTATATTGCCTTTGATTTATATCATCTCTTATGATAATTTATTCTGCTTACCTGTTGAATTTTATTTTGCATCAATGACCTGAATAAGGGTATACTCACAGAATGTATTCCCTGTATAAACATTGGCTTGAAGTGCATGGAAGAACAAATCCAATGAGGTCTAAAATGAAAATTTAGGTTGTGAATACTGAAGGGCCCGGAATATATTATCAATGCAGTGGAATAAAAAATAGGCCAAAATTAAATGTAAAACATTTGGTACACACTTAAGGAACTGTTGCCAATTTTAATTTTTCTGAATACTGATCTAATTAGTATCGGTTAAATATATATAGGCAGGAATCATGGATTTTATAATTGTGTTGGATGAATTTTTATTGATCATTATCACCACTTAGCATTTATTGAGAAACCACAGCCTACATAAACATGTCCTGAATTTAATTTTTAAAAATTATGGGAAAATTATGGGACATTACCCAAAACCTGAAACAAATGAAGAGAAATTTTCTGTTCCCCCTTACAGCTGTTGGTTATTTGTTGGTTATTTGAAGAGTGAGGGAATTAATCTCTAATTTCAATGCATGCTCCATTAAGTGGTGCTTGTGTGACAAATTTAAAAGATCACAGGCATTTGGACTCAAGGTTACACTAAAATATCCCAACTTTGGCATTTGCTGTTTAAATAACTTTGGGCAATTTTCTTAACCTTTCAGAATCTTCAAGTTGTTGTATTATTGTTTCAAGTGTTTTTTTTTTCTTTTTCCCTCTCTCTCTCCCTCTTTTTAAATCAATCAAACAATTTTGAATTGTAATTATTTAAAATTGAGAAAATTTAAATACCTTAGATTTATTTTATGGCCATATACTGAAATGCTCATAAATTTCACAGAATGAATAAAAAATAAAGACATAACATTTCAAAGCAATAAAACAAAAATGCAAGTTATTCAACATTCATTTAACAAAGATTTCTTGAGAACCTGCTTCCTGCTAGCCTAAGCCAGGAGCAAGAGACGAGGAACAACCAAACATCTCATCCGTGTTATAATTCTGTATAATGAGTTTGCTGCAGTTTTCCAAAAGTAAAATTGCATGATTGTAACTTATATAGTTATATATTCGTGAATTTATCAAGTCTGTTTGGTATCAGAAACTGCAGAAAGAAGCCATCTTTCAGGTAATTATGGTGGCTTCTCATCCTTTTTCTTAGGTGGCAGTGTTTTTCAGGAATAATGAATACATTTTATTTATGATGCTTACAGGAAAGTTGAATCATAAGACCTCAAAGAGTCAATGGTTCTACAGAAAAGAAAAGCCACTAGCAATATCTTCACATTTTTATAAATGGATAGAATGCTGGTTGACTCTTCTTGCTATAAATGTTACAGGATTGCCTGGCCTGGCATACGGCATTTCCCCTGTCTCAGTACGAAAGAGTGTAAAAGCCAATAGAACCCTGAATGAATAACTTTGTGTACATTCTTCTAAAATCTGTAGGATTGAAAATAAGTATAGGTGATGGATAGAGAACAAAAGCAGAGATCTGCGTAAAGTACAGTTACATAAATTCTTAAAATCCTCTAGGAATGTGTTTTAGAGTAGATAAAGAAGTTTTAACCTCTTTTGCGACTATTTGCACAGCATCAGAAAAGGCATGGAACATTAAAAAATGAAACAAAAACTGGAACATTGAAAAGTTATATTTAACTTTGGAGTATAAGCTTTTTTAAAGGATCTGTCAAACACTAGTTACCTTACTTCCTATTTTATTTAAAATGCTTGTCAAATTAAGACAAGTATTGTACACAGTTATCAAGCTATACATATCTAATCCCAATTAAAAATTTTCAAATTCATATCTTCTATAAGAGAAGTTTAAAGGCTTCACCCTGAATTGCCAAAGCCCTTCAACAAAGCAGCACACAATAGAGAGATGAAGTAATTTAGGTGAAGGAAGGAAGGAGAGCTTTCTAAAATATAAGCCCTGCTTTTTAAAGTGTACAACATTGCTTATCTCTCCAGAGCTGGGAGGATGAAATTCTGTCAAAGTTTTATTTTGCCAGGAGTTTGCTTTTTTATTCCAACTCACAAAAGAAAGGTTTGTATTTACTTATGAGGATTAACAACAATTGCTTTAAGCTCAGTTTGCTAGGCTCTGCTAGCTTAATTGGGGTTTTAAAAGGCTTGTGGTAAAGCACAAGGTTAGTGGAGAAATAGCAATCACTGACCAAGTATAGTATGCTTTTGTTGCAAGCGCTTAATTTTTGGTAGTAGCGTCTCTGTTGATTAAGACTAGATGGTGTTTTAAAAGCATAATGTGTACTTAATATTCTAAATAGCTAAAAGTTGTTTTTATAAGATAAAAAAATATTGCAACTAATTAATTAAGTAGGAAAGAAAATTAGGCTGAATCACACAGCCCCTTCTTAGATTCATCTCCTTGCAATTTACCCATTGGTTGTTCCGTGAAATTTTCTGGTGGTTTTTAAAGATGATATTTTAATACTGTGCCATTTGTTCTGTTGGATTTTATTTTAGCCATAATGCAAGTCCGTGAAGATTTCTTCCATTATAAGACAGGGATATACAGACATGTTACCAGCACAAATAAAGAATCAGAAAAATATCGAAAGCTTCAGACACATGCAGTCAAACTCACTGGGTAAGGCAATTAAACAAAATTCATTTAATTCTTTTGGAAAATGAAACTGAAAATAAGAATATGCAGTGTTTTAAATGCTAGAATCCCCTTTGTAGGAGAGATTGTGATACAAATGAAAAATGATCTAAACCTTGCCACTATTTAGTCATTATTTTAAAGTCCAGTAAAAGGCTAACTCAGCATTCTGGGAAAAATGATCTTTTCCTACCTCTCACTTCTTGTGATTATGTCCTTAAGAATCCGTTCTAAGGGCAAAGAACATGTATTATTGAAATAAATTCTACATAAGGCATAATCAAGGGAAGAGAGCAAATCCAAGGCGTATTATGGTTTGGGGAGATGGTTTTGAATAGAATTGCAAATAGCAAAGATTAAGCAGGAAGAGAAGGTCACCTATAATTCAATATAAGGTTACTTTATATTTATGTGAGAATTGTAGAAATTAGATTGATCAATTTTTAAGTAAAATATATTAATCTATGCAAGGGAAAGAAAGAAGTTCAAAATTTGGTGGTGGCATTTCAAGAGTGAGTAATTTTACAAGTAGGCTGTACTCTGAAAGACAGTGTGGTTATGAGACCACTTTCCCAGCGCCTTCTCAATTTTATTCTGACTAAAACATCTCATAATGTCTCACTCTAGTTCAAATGAAATGCTACAAAGTTTTATTTTCCATCTAAAAATCTCACTCTTCTCATATTGCATATTATGGTAAATAACTTCATTCCCATTGAACATGTCTTTAATGACTTAATTTTATTGAGCCTACGCAAAACAACCTCACCTACAATCAAATTGTTGTCTTCTCCTTACTGATCTTTGAAACACCTTTAAGTCAGTTCTAAGCTATGTAGACAAGCTGTCCTGTGTGATGCTTCCTTAATCGTTGTCCTTCCTTTATTTTAAATACTCTAATATTTCAATTACAAAATTATCACATTTCTTTGAATCTAAGATAATACTAATTTTATGACTGTGCTGATTTCATGAATATGAAAATACATGTATCTTAGGATTGAAGAATGTGATTTTCATGTTAATGTAGGATGCTGAATCTACAAATTGGAAAAAATGTAACGTGTGTGTGTGTGTGTGTGTGTGTGTGTGTGTATTTATAAATGTTTTCACCATTCCTAGATAATAACCTCTGTTGAAATCTTGGAGTATTTTTAATGAATCTCCTAGATATATAACTATTGAGAAACAAAGAAAGAAAGAAGGAAGGAAGGAAGGAAGGAAAGAAGGAAAGAAGGAAAGAGATTTCACAGGAAAACAAGATAGTGCAGTACTTCAAATTTTTTGAAAAGGAAAATTTTGCTAATGTTTTTCTCTAGCAGTATATAAAAATGCCAGTTTCTCAACATTCTTTCTAACACTGGGTTTGAAAGAAACACTTTTCCATTTTAATAGGGTTATAAAACTGAATAGTTTTAATTACTCAGCATCACTGGTCTTTGGAAGCCTATGGTAGCTTCCTATTACCCTACTTTTTAAGGTTATATGGAACAAGGTGCTTGCCTTAATTTTTAAAAAGTGTATCATTTTTAATAAAATGAAGATACACTCTCTACTAAAATTAACAACTTAAAAAGAAGATAGTAAAAAATACCAAATCAGGCCAGGTGTGGTGGCTCATGCTTGTAATCCCAGCACTTTGGGAGGGCAAGGCGAGTGGATTGCTTGAGGCCAGGCATTTAAGATAAGCCTGGCCAACATGGTGAAACCCTCTTTCTATAAAAAAAATACAAAAATTAGCTGGGCATGGTTGCAGACACCTGTAATCCCAGCTACTCAGGAGGCTGAGGCACGAGAATCGCTTAAACCCTAGAAGTGGAGGTTGCAGTGAGCTTAAATCTGCACTCTGGGCAACAGAGTGAGACTCTGTCTCAAAAAACAAAAATTCCCAAATTATGTCATATTAATGCTCAAAGATCATTATTATCATATTTGGTAAAAAACATGTCAGGTAAGTCTTCTCTTGCTCTCTCTCTCTCTGTTAGTGAAAAGTTTGACAAACAAAAATAGAAAGACAATATAGGATAAGTCATTTGAAACTATTGCTATTCAGGCTAACTTTACTTGAATTTAATAAAATTTAATTAAAAGAGACATTTTTGATTCTTCAACAAAGGATAAGTTCTTGTCTAAATCTCTCTTCATTTATTGTAGACTCCAGGCCCTCTTAGCTATTCAAGGACATGCAGAAGCAATTTCTCCTTTTTCTTCTCTGTAATCATTTCTATTTCTACCACCATACAAATAGTGTTGTTATCCCTCAGATTAAAAAAAAAAACCTCAGCACTTTTTTGGACTCTGCTTCCTCCACACTCCATTTATGTTCATTCTTTACAGCAAACTCCTTGCAAGATTTGCCTGGAATCACTTTCAGTTCTCTTTCCAATCTTTCTTAAACTGCACCAATCATGTTTTCATTACTCCCGTCCTCTTCACAAAAATAGCTATTTCAAGGTTATCAAAGGCATCCACATTGCTAAATTCATTGGTCAGATCCCAGACCTGCCCATCCTCTTCATCTGATTTTTTTCTTTTTGGCCACAACTTTGCAGTGTACTTTGCTGCATTTTCCCCCCTGTACTTCTACATTTCTTAACGTTGACATGCCCTAGTCTCAGGTCTTGTTTCTTCTCTTGCTTCTAGTCTCACTGTGTCTGGTGAGCTCATCATTCTCTGAGTTCATCCTGGCTTTAAGTGCCATCTAAAAGCTGACATCAACTGAATTTATATCTCAGCTCAGACCTCTTTCCTGAACTCCAGACTCATACATTCTATGACCTATTTGACATCATCACCTGGATACCTTATTAGGGAGTAAATGCTTCAAATTCAACACTTCCAAAACAGAACTCCTGATCTTCTCCCTTTATTCTTGCTAAACAGCATCAATCTTTTCTATCTTAATTAATGACAGCTCTGTTCTTCCATATTCTCTGCTGGAAGCCTTGGAGTCATCCTTTATTCCTTTACTTCACAATTTACTTTCAATATGTCACAACCTCTTTTGGCCCTTTCAACGTATATCCAGAACTCAACCACTGTTTACTATCTGAACTACCATCACCCTTGCCTAAGCCACCATTGCCTGTTATTTTGTACCTGGATTACTGAAGTAGCTTCTAACAAATTTTACTGCATTGATCTTCGCTCCTTGACAGTCTAGTCTCAACATAGAAAACAGGGTTTTCCTTTTAGAACTTTAGATCTTGTTATTCTTTGTTCAGAATCCTACAATATATTCCCAATTCCATCAGATTAAAAGCCAAATTTCTCACAATGGCTTATAAAGGGCCAACATATTCTGAGGACTCTCCTTCTCGCCGACTCCCACTCCCATCAACTTTCTGATCTCAACTCCTACCCATCTGTACCTTGATTTCCTGCTCTAGTGATTATTTAATGTTTCAGCAACATGTACCCCAGTGCCTTTCCCTCTACCTAAAATGCTCTTCTACTGTATATACAGTTCCTTAGTGTCTGTGTCTCCACCCAGTCTCTGGTCAGGTCTCACCTTCTTAATATGTCCTCCCTGGCTGCCCTATATAATTTGTGACTTGCCCTCTGCTCCAGCAATCCTGATCCCCCTACCTGCTTTATTTTTAAAAATTTTATACAATTATCACTTTTTAACACAGTGTATAATTTAATTAGCTTTTTTATGTTGATTGTATATTGTCTGTCTTCTTTACTAGAATGACGTTCCATGAGAGCTGGTGTCTGTATTATTTACTGAGGTAGCCAAACCACTAAATACGGTACTGATCCGTTGATCAGTAATGCACTTAATGTTTTCTCTTTTCAACGAATGAATGAGTTTTTTCCTTATGGTCTGCACTAGTTTTCCTTTGCTGTTACTTATATTTACATGGAGAAGTTATTCGTCAAAAAAAAAAAAAAAAAGATTAGGGAGAAATTAGAGGAGATAGCTGAGGCACTCTTCAGCTTCGATTCAAGTTTGTAAATGTTGAACCTGTGCTCATCAGATCAACCTTTGCTGTTATCCTGGGAGTTCTGCCCTTAGTTTATAGCTCAGATAGTTTGATGGGACTTATAATAAATTCCTTACTACTACTCTTTGCCTTTCTTTTTTACTTCACCCTGCTGCATCATTTAGCCATCACCCCTGAAGGGCTGGCCTGGACTTTGGCAACCCAATTGACTTCTAGTATGAGATTTCTTTTTCAGCTGACCTCCAGTGGGTAGTACGGGAAGGGATTGACATCTGATCGCATTAGCTTGCAAATGGTCCTCATTACAAAAATCTTAAGGGGTGTTTCTAGACTGCATTATGTACTTCTAAGGGGAAATTTTTCCTATTCAGGTCCAGTGGTGCAGGGGAACGGTTTTGGTGAATGCCGTCTCAGCACCCATTTTTCTTCGGTACAGAACAAAAGGTTTTTTTGTTATTCAACAAAGTTGTGTTTTGAAATTATGACCATTTGTTTGAATTTATTAAAGACAGAAATCATTAAGGTCTTAAAATTCATTCCATTTTATTGTGCTTTTCCATTCTTTTTCTGGGGCTTTTTAGGAAGGTAAATGGAATAAAATGTCTTAACAGTGTCACTGTAACTGGAAATTCAGCTCTACCTAAGTTCCATTTCCAGTAAGTTCAAAAGTCTAATTCCTTCTAAACTTTTTCCTATATATGTTTCATTATCAATTTTTGCCCAATCTAGGGGCTTCCTTGATCTAGAAAAAATTTTCTACCACACACTAGGTAATTGACTTATACTTTTCTATTATTCATAGAACTAAAATTCCATTCACTGTTTGGAGCCTCCTTTGATTTATTAGAACTGACCATTTATAACTTCTACCACCTATTTAGTCATATTGGTCATGTTTTCTTTTCTCTAATTCTATATTCATTTATGCTCAGTTTGAACAAGATGTAAATGTGTTTACATTTAATCCTCTATCATTGTGTATTCACATTTGGTGTGTCAGTTGCAATAGTGAATTCACTTTTATAAACTCCTAGAAAATTGGGATCTTTATAAATTTACTTTACTCACGTAACAATTAAGGCCAATTCTGCTAGTAGGCAAATTAGTTTTGGAAAATATATACTTTTTTAATTTTACAAAAATCTTAAGTCACCTGAGCATTGGTAGGTGCCCTGGAGCAGTTAGATTTTAATTCATTTATCCATTAGGATTTCCTGATTTGGTAATTACTACATTCAAGAAATGAATGCATTAATGAATTAGAGAGCAATCAAATAGCTCAAGTAAGTAAATATTCCTTATCAGAGAACTTAATATACTCCTAAGAAGTACCTAACTAATGTAACACGACAAATTCTGTTTGCTGCGCTTTTTGTAGAAGGTGAAACTATTAGATTAAACTTATTGAAAAAATGAATTTGATCTTCTATCAAGTGCCCAGAACTGGGAAATACAAGGAGGATTGATTTATAGTCCTCCTCTTAAGGAGTTTAGCGGGTGAGGCAGATACATTCGCAATTGATTCTAGCATAAGGTGATAAAGGCTATATATTCCCATACATATAACTCACAGGACTGTGGTAGGTAGATACAAACCTGTAACACATATATTTGCTCCTAGTAGCCTTATTTCCCCCCTCTCTCTTCCCTTTCAATAACTCTGTCATCCCCATTTTGAATGCTATGGCTATAGATGCATTTAATTGAATAAATAACACTATTTATTTTGAAATACGGCCTTATTTTATATACCAATAAAAAGAGGAAAATATTTCTGATTAAACTAAGAAACTCCATCGATTATGGTATGAATCCCAATTTTAGAGATGTTAAAATGTCATAAAAGTGTGTTTTACTATCAACAAAATATGGTATTTCAGATTTTTATCCCACCCAATATTCTCCATATTATGGTCCTATTCCACATCTCCATGCCCATTAGAATTTGCCCTGTGTCCCTGTCCATTGAAGGTCTAAGCTTTATTTAATCCCCAAGTCTCAAGTTGGTTGTAATGCATTAATGCCATTTACTTTTGCTTATAAATCTTAGGAATTAGTGCAATAACTTAAATGAATAAATTCAACAGTAACATTTTTAGAAAATTACAGGAAAGAATTAGTATAAACATTGACTTTTTTTCATCTTGTCATCCCTGTTTGTGGAGCAGAATCTTACTGAAGATATATAGTCCTACCTCATCTTATTGTGCTTTGGTTTCTTGTGTTTCACAGATACTGTGTTTTTTTTTTTTTTTTTTTTTTTTTTTTTTTCAAATTGAAAGTTTGTGGCAACCCTACATGGAGAAAGTCTGAAGGTATCATCTTTTTCAACAGCATGTGCTTGCTTGAGTCTCTGTGTTACATTTTGGTAATTCTCACAATATTTCAAACTTTTCCATTATTATATGTGTTATGGTGACCTGTGATTGGTGATTTTTGGTGTTATTATAGTAATTATTTTGGGGTGCCGCAAACAGCACCCATATAAGATGGCAAACTTGATTGTTAAATATTGTGTATGTTCTAACTCTTCTATCAATGGGGCGTTCTCCCTTCTCTCTCTTTTCCTTAGGCCTATCTATTCCCTTAGACACAACAATATTAAAATTATGGTAATTAGTACTCCTATAAAGGCTTCTAAGGGTTCAAGTGAAAGGAAGATGTATTAGTCCATTCTTACACTGCTATAAAGAACTACCTGAGACTGGGTAGTTTATAAATAACAGAGGTTTAATTGACTCATAGTTCCACAGGCTGTGCAGGAGGTATGACTGGAGAGGTTTCAGGAAACTTACAATCATGGCCAAAGGGCAAAGGAGAAGCCATATCTTCACATGGCGATAGGAGAGAGAGAGAAGAGGGAAGTGCTACACACTTTTTAAACAACCAGATCTCATGAGAACTCACTATTACAAGAACAGTAAGGGGGAGATCCACTCCTATGATCCAGTCACCTCCCACTAAGCCCCTCCATAATACTGGGGATTGTAATTCAACATGAGATTTAGGTGGGGACACAGAGCCAAACCATATCAGAGTAGTCACACATTTCTCACTTTAAATCAAAAGCTAGAAATGATTAAGCTTAGTGAGGAAGACATGTTGTTGGAGATTGGCCAAAAGTTAACCCTCTTGTACTAAAAAATTGGCCAAATTGTGAATACAAAAGAAAAAACCTTGAAGGAAGTTAAAAGTGCTAATCCAACAAATATACAAATATTAAGAAAGCAAAGCAGCCTTATTGCTGAAATAGAAAAAGTTTTAGTGGACTGGAAAGAAGATCAAACAAGCCACAACATGTCCTTAAGCCAAAGCCTAATTCACAGCAAGGCCCTACCTTTCTTTAATTCCATGAAGACTGACAAAGGTGAGTAAGCTGCTGAAGAAAGGCTTGAAGTTAGCAGAGATTGGTTCATAAGGCTTAAGAAAGGAGGCCGTCTTCATAATATAAAAGTACAAAGTGAAGTAGCTAGTACTGATGGAGAAACTGCAGCAAGTTATCCAGAAGATCTAACTAAGATAATTGATGAAGGTGGCTACACTAAATAACAGACTTTCAATGTGGGTGAAACAGTCTTCTATTGGAAGAAGATGCCATCCAGGACTTTTATAGCTAAAGATGAGACATCAGTGCCTGATATCAAAGCTTCAAAGGACAGGCTGACTCTCTTTTTAGGGTCTAAGGTAGCTGGTGACTTGAAGTTGAAGCCAATGCTTATTTACCATTCCAAAAACCCTAGGGCCCTTAAGAGTTATGCTAAATTAACTCTGCATGCATTCTAGAAGTGGAACAATAAAACCTGGATGACAGCAAATCTGTTTATAACATGGTTCATTGAATATTGTAAGCCCACTGTTGAGATCTGCTACTCAAAAAAAACACATTCCTTTTAAAATACTGCTTGTCATTGAAAATGCACCTAATCACCTAAGAGCTCTGATGGAGATGTACAAGGAGATTAATGTTGTCTTCATGTGTGCTAACACAATACCCATTCTGCAGCCCATGGAACAAGAGGTAATTTCTACTTTCAAGTGTTACTACTCAAAAATGCATCTCATAAGGCTATACCTGCCATAGATAATTATTTCTCTGATGGATCTTGGCAAACTCAATTGAAAACTTCTGGAAAGTGTTCTGCATTCTAGATGCCATTAAGAACACTTGTGATTCATAGAAGTTCGACATATCAACATTCACAGGAGTTTGGAAGAAGTTGATTCCAGTCCTCAGGGATTACTGTGGGTGGATTTCGAGACTTTAGTGGAGAAAGAAACTGCAGATGTGGTGGAAATAGAAAAACAACTAGAATTAGAAGTAGAGCCTGAAGTTTTGACTGAATTTCTGCAATTTTATTTTATAAAGGAAAGGTAGAAAGTGGTAAGAAGACATATGATAGATTTGGCCCAATTTTGAAGATCTGAGAAACGTCGCTGAGGAAGTAAAGTCTGAGCTGGGATTTATGGGTTGTATAGAAACATGCAAAGGGAGCAACTTGTGTGAAGTCCCTATGCTTAGAAGACTACACAACACTGTGTGGACACAAGGAAGATTGTATTTGCTGAATCACAAATGGCAGGACTTGTAGACTATATCACAGATTTTTGTCGAGGATGTTAAGTATGTGGTTAAAGATATAAAGAGCAAAGGAAAGTAATTGAAGTTTTTTAAGTAGAAAAGTGGCATAATCTTTGTTTGCATTATTTAAAGATTGCTCTGAGTATAAAGAGAGTGATATAGAGGCAAATTTCTGTATTGCAAGTAAAAGACAAGAGTTTGGACTTGGTAAGATGGTGGAAGAGTTGGGAGATATGAGTGGATCAAGACATATTTGGGGAGAAAAGCTGTAAGACATGATGTGAGTTTGTAATGGGGCATGGTGAAGGAGAAGTCAAGAGTGATCCACCTTTAGAATTATGGCAGGGAACGGTGTCATACAATGAGATGGAGAAAAAGTCTACTGTGGGATCTCATAGTTTAGAGATGTTTTTGAGACAAAAAAGTGCCAACGGGTATCAAAAAAAAAAAAAAAACAGGCAGATTTACTGATCTCACAGGAGAGAGAAAAGTTGAGCATGGGTAGGGCTACACAGAAAAAGAAGACAGACTGATTGAGACTAAGCCATGAGAACATTCAATATTTATTTACTGACTAGAAATGGATGAGTTTACAGAGACAGAGTGGGAGAGGCCAGTGAGGTTTAAAAAGAAAAAAGTAGGAGAGAGTTGCTAATGTAGGGTTTCTTAGAAAGCTGGAAGCCTGGAAAGGTTGGTATTCAAAGAGCATGCATAGAAATTGGTCTTAGAGAGGGGACCAAGTGGTAACTCTGTTGTATCTGGAGAGAAAATGAGGTTAGTTGAAAATGTTTTGGTGTTTAGAGTAGTGGTAAGTTTAGAAAAATTTCTGTTGGAGTGCCTCTTTTATCTTTAGGAGCTAGAAGGTTAGGTTATCTGTAGAAAAAAGATGTGGTGGGAGGAGAGGAATGTACAGTTAGAAATGTGAGGAAAATTAGATAGTTTGTAATGGTCATCTAGGTGTTTAGGAGGGGAAGATAACCAGGGGAACCCAAAGGGATCATTAGGCATTGGTAATAGTACCTTTCTGCCCTCTTGTGTGTGCTTTCTGCAGTTGTGGTCAACTGCTCATCTGTATGCAAAGAGAAATGGGAAAATGAGTTCATCCAAGACTGATGATTTTCCAAATGGGTGCAATAAAAAGTCAGAAACGAAAAAAGGGTTTAGGATATGCATAACACATCAACTCAAAGATTGATATGTTACTAAAATGACAGAAAGACTGATAAATGGCATAAGACTGATAAAAGGAGAGAATTGAGGAATTTGGAGAAGATAGAAAAATGATTGAGTCAAAATAGACTAAAAATATTTAATAATTCAAATATATTAATAGAAGTTTATTTTTTGTTCACATAATAGTTTGTCATGATAATTCTGATCTCAGTGATTTTAGGATTCTTTAGTTTCTTTTTTGTTAGATTTTTAAAACCATTATGAGAAAATAAAAAAGTAATTATGTAATAATAAGGAAATAATATTTTACAGGTTAAGAATACAGTTTTATAAAGTGATTAAAAGCCATAGTTTTCTATTTTAGGTACCTCAATAAGTTACCATACTTTGTAGTCATAAACCATTGATATCTCTATATCTATCTATCTATCTATCTATCATCTGTCTATCTAGCTCTGGTTAAAGATATTTGCCCTTTAGGAGAGCAGAAAAATAATGCCTCAGTACTGAATTTTAATGTATTTTTACCATATTTTCCATACAAATAAATTTTAAGAAATCCAAGATCATAAATTATTATTTAGGGCAATTACAAATTATTTGACATAGTTTTGTTGGGGCCACCATTTGTTTTTCTCCATTTATCTTTTCTTTTTCCTCTGTCTTTTTGAAAAACAACTGAATGCTAAGCTGAATTTTCATGCTATGTTATGTTTAACCTCTGGCAAATTGATCAATTCAGAGCAGATGTTTTAATTAGAGGTTCTTAATGCATGGGGAAGTCTAAGACAGTTGAATGAACATTTCTACTATGCTTATTTAGCAAATGCAAATAAATGTGCGATAATTAGTATAGACTTTGCAATAACATTTAATTCGGGTGTTAGAATGTCTTTCGATTGCAAAAGGCTTCTCTCCTCCTTGCACTTTTCTTTTTTGGTGGGGTGCACTGGTTTGAATAACAGTAGCCACTACCACAAATAGACTCAAAATATTTAATAATTCAAATATATTAATAGAGGTTTGTTTCTTGTTCACATAATAGTTTAGGATGGGTGCTTTTAGTTGTTGGGTGACTCTCCTTTATATGGTTTCAGGGCTTTGAAGCTCTTCCCATTTTCTTGATCTATCATCTGTGAGGGTCACATGTTGTGATCTCATCCAGCCTAGGGACAATGAAGAAGAGCATAAGGAAGCCTTCTTAAATGTGCTTCTTAAAGCCTTAACTCAGAAACAATCCACAACTCCATTCATATTCCTTTGGCTAGAACTCATTCAATGGCTCCACCCAAATGCAAAGGTGACTGGAAAATGAAAAGATTTGATGGGAACATTTTAATGAGTTATATTTTGGAGTAGAATTCCAAATTTGCATAAATTTTAAAGGAAAAACCCATTAGAGATTCAAATTTTGAGTTTGTAGAGAGCTACCTTGGTCTGTATCTCTCAGGGTCTCTGAGATTGTATGTTCTCTCTTTAGAGAGTCTTCACTGAGAAATTTAGAGAATCCCTGCTTTATAAGCTTGAACAGCCAGGTGCAATGGTGTGTGTCTGTAGTACCAGCTACTTAGGAAGCTGAGGCAAAAATCTTGTTTGAGCCTAGGAGTTCATGAACAGACTGGGCAACATAGAGACCTTGTCTCAAAAATATGAATAAAGTAATACATGCTTTTGATACCAACTATATCCATAATCACGGTAGTAGAACTATCACTAAACAACTGTAGTAGAACTCTCACGAAATACAACCCTCATACTTTTAAAATCCTCATGAGGTGGGAATTATTATTTCATTTTGCCAGAAATAAGAGACTGAGAGTGTTAAGACAACTCTTCAGGTTATCTGACTTCAAAATTAATGGTCTATGAATACTGTATCTATATGCGTACACGTACGTGTATGTGTGTGTGTGTGTGTGTGTGTGAAAAGGAAAGATACAGTGTCAAGATTCCTCAAAGTCTGGTTGCCTCTTAGGTTTTCTCAAACAATTGCTCTGTTCCCTCTTTTACTAGAAAATTCTTTAGGATAAAAACAAATGCAGTTTTTTTAATATCTAAAATTATATTCTTTCTTGCTTTGAACTACATGTTTAATATATAGATTAAAACATTTGCTTAATTTTTCAACAAGAAATTCTTTAAAAACACATAATACATGTCAAGTACCATGGCAGGCATTAAGAATACAAATATCAATAGAATAGTGCCTCTGTCCTCAGCATCGAGATAGAGAAGAGGGAGGGAGGGAGGGAGAGAGAGAGAGAGAGAGAAGAAAGTGCCAATGTCCAATGTCTTAAGTGTGTAGATGGAGATAGGATAGGGATATACATTGAGTAGCGAAGATGTGCATTATCTAGGAAGGCACATAATTCCAAATCTGGGGACCAGGGAAGGTTGCCAGGAAAAAATGACACCTACTGTGGAATGTAGTCAGGCAAGTAGAAAGTATTAAGGATATATGAAAACAGAAAGCTGCTCCAGGAAATATGAGCAGGAAATGCCTAATCTCACAGGGAGATAGAATATGACATATTAAAGGAATCTGAAGGAACTTATGAGTAAGTGTAGAGCAAGGAGGAATCTAATAAAAAATGATACTAAGAGGTAGCCAAGACAGGGGGCCATTCTTCTATTTAATGATGACTACTTACTGATCTTGGAGCCTATCCTGGCTTTCTTCCCTGTCTCTGAGTTTTCTTTACATTCTTCCATTGTTTCTATATTAACTTACATGCCTTTGCAGCAACATTGTTTGATTTACAGTGTAAATTCTAAGACGTGTTCATGTGACATCTCTTTTCCCCGTATCCTTTGAAATGATGTTCCTGATAAAGAGACCAATATGTCTTTTACGTTTGCAAGCAGTTCAGTTCAGCATCCTAGTTCTGAGTCATTCTACTTTGAGATAAATCTGAGTTTAGGAACTGTGACCAAAGTAAAGAAAGAGGATTTCAGTAAACTGCAAGGCAAGTAGTGGAAGCTGAATAACATTTAAAAAGTAAAAGGAATGTTTTCCTGATGCACTTTGGCAAAGATGAGCTCCGGGAAATACATACATAAATTTGCCTGACCTTGAAGTGCACATAGTCTAATAGTGGAGACAGCTACATGGACAGGTAATATTGTAAATTCATTGGTTTAGAAATGAATGGCATAAAAGTATATAGAAGCAAAGAGAAGAACCCTACCTGAGCATGTGCAGGTGCTGTAGAGATGGTACAAGTGAAAACTGGAGTAGAAAATGGCCCAGAATTAAAGGCGAACGTGTTAATTATTCATTTGAGCATCCTCTACTGTGAACTCTTTATTGTTGTTCTTTGTTTATTTTTCTAGTAGAGTGCTAGTTTTTAAAACTTGTTGTGTATGAGCTCATTATGCATTGAAAGCTGTCTTAGTTCCTTCAGACTGCTGTAACAAAAATATCATACACTGGGTGACCTACACAACATTTATTTCTCACAGTGTTGGAGGATGGAAAGTCTAAGATTGTAGTACCAGCATATTTGGTGTTTGATGAAGGGCCTGCTTTCTTGTTCATAAATGACTGTCTTGCTGTGTCCTCACACAGGGGAGCTCTCTATGGTGTCCTTTATAGGGGCTAATCCTATTTATGAAGATTCCACCTTCATCAAGTAATCACTCCCAAAGACCCCACCTCCTAATACCATTGCAATGGGAGTTAAGATTTCAACATAGGAATTTTGGGGGGACACAAACTTTGAGTCCGTAGAGAAGAAATATCCCTTTAGAATATTGAGTAAACCCCATTATTGTTGGATTTTGTAATTTTATTTCTGATGGTTTTGACCTGTATAATATTTTAACTTTTATTCTAGATTTTTAAAAGTTATATATTATACTAAATATTATGTTACATATGTTATAATATACAACATATAATATATTATAATGTATTATATATAACATATTATATAATTATATGTTATATATTAAAGTAATTATTAAGTAATAATCAAATAATAATTTAAATATTAAATAATAGTTATTAAATCATTATATTAATTATTATTATACATTATTAAATTATTATGTAATTATGTCAAAAGTATGCCTGAAAGATATTTGGGCATATGATGTGTGGTGAAGATCTAATTTTTTTCTTCAAACTCTGAACTAAAAGCTTCAATATTGCATAATTAATAATGTACCTCTTCCTCACTCTTTTAATGCATTTTATTGCTTATTAAATTCTTATATAAATTTATTAGGGTTTGATTCTAGGGTGTCTTGTTCAACATGCTCACTTTTATAATTCAATGTATTCCACTTAGTTTTACTACCAGGTATTGCACGCATTGCTTCATTGCTCTCATTTTTCTCAATATTTATGTAGTTATTTTCTTGTTTATTTTTCCAAGTGAGATTAAAAAACAAAACAAAAACCTCAGAACAACTTAAATTGAATTTTTTTAACTAATAAAGAGATAATATAGGTATTTTTACTTTTTAAAAACTACTATTAAGTACCGTGCATTTTGTTTTCTTCAGATAAATGCTATATTTCAGAGATTCTTACATTGAAATTTTGAAGGCTTGTACATTTTTTATTACACATTTGAAGGCTACATGTAGATATTTATGATATACAATATATGAAATATATTCAGATATATTTTTAAATAATGTTTACTGTTTTCTGATCATAAAAGTAATAACGTAGATATTTGACAGTTTTGAATCGAACATTCCTGGTTTTTATGACTTGCAAAGTAGCCCTAGAATTCAAGAGTTATTTCAATATGTAATGTTTGTAAGAAAATTTGAAACATGAGCTGTAAGGCTGGTGTTTGAAAATAAGTCACTTATGCTTGCTCCTCATGAGCTTACTCATCTCCATATGCAGTAATTCTCACACGATTTTTAGAAAATCACTTTTTGCTTGTAAAAAGATGACATTCAGTGATAGTGAAAATTAGTATAATTTAGAAAAGAAAAGAACTTTGGTCTATTGATATGGAAAGAAATACACTATTATACACATTAAAACAACTCAAAAGAAATCCAAAAGCTTTGTTTCATGCTTACTAAATTGTTTGGAACTTTTAGAATGCAAGAGCACACATATATATGATAATCTCTATATGTATACTATATAAATAAATTTTAAAACTTAAAAATATAATCCAGGAGTTTTGAGCTAAAACATTAGAATCTTGTTATTAAGGTACATTTTAAAATTATACATTTCATGTTTAGGAATATTTTTGGCTGTATTAGGACTAGGAGCATGGCGTTGAGTTAGTGTATGGGAAGCAGTTAGAACAGCATTAAATAATTGAAGCACTATACACAGAGTTAGCAACAACTGTTACTATTTTAAATATCATCATTATAATTACTGCCATTATGATATTAATAAAGCCAACTCATCAATCCTTATGATTTAATTTTCTAGAAACACATAAATTTAATCTGAGTTGAAAATTAGATTAAGTAAATGATTATAGGGTTAAACCATTGAGGAAATAAATTAATACTACCCCAAATAGCTTTAGGTCCAGATAGTTTAATCTGAATTTTTTCAATGAAAAGTTACCTTATAATTACCTCCAGAAGATTTTAAATTACTGAAGATTATCAGAAAACTAAAAAGAAATGGCCAAACAGGGAAGAGGAAAACAATGAGGAGTTGATGTCACACAGACCTAGAGGAAAGAGAGTTCTAAGAAGGCAGGAATGGCCTGTAGTGTGGAATGTTGCTGAGATGTCAAATAAAACCAGGACTAAAAAAATGCCCAGTGAAGTCTGAAGAAAAAGAAATAAATAAATGACAGTTGGTTCTTCTTGCTGAATCTTTGAATTCGTGTCTGCTGTTATAATTGCATGCTCAAATGTCATTACAATATTATTTTATGCCCACCTTAAGTCCTGACAAATATGATTTCTTTTATGTGAGTTTACTTGGCATTAATATATTTCTATATTGTGGGTGTATTAAAGGTGGTGAAAAGAAAAGATTACATGAAGGCTAAGAAAATCCTTTGGCTGTTATGTTGAATGACTTCCAAAAATATTTGAACCTTACTACAAAGTGAAAAAAATGCAACCAATATAAATTATAAATTATGAAATATATAATATGAAATAGAAATTATTTCATTTATTTATATACTCTCAAGTTTATTCTTAATTCAAACTTTCAACAAATTTTATTGAGTGATGGTTGTGTACCAGGCATCCTGCTAGTGCTGGAGATATGGAGATGAATAACATGGAGAGCCTTGGTAAATAAAATAAAGTAAATTATGACCCTTGGATTTGTTGCAGCCATCAATTAGTCACTCAAGGAAGCCACTGAGAGGTCCCACAGGACTGTTGGGATCTTTTGAGCTGAACTCACTGTCGGAAGAGTAGAGGTGCAGAGGGCCCTGGGGATGTTGAAACTGATAGATGGGCTTTATTTTTTTTCTGTTTTCAGTGCTGATTGAATCATGTTGCCTTGTCTGTCAGTACTGAATCAACTTGACAGAACAGTTTGTGTTCCATTTGTTTTGTCTTGTTTGACACTGGTCCTTCATTGATTCATCATCTCAAACACTGATCAGGTCTGTTCCACTCCGTAAGTGCTATTGCTATGAACTGACCTATTACAAAACAAAGCAAGACAAGGCAAATAACAACAGTAAGAAGGAAAAGCTTTCTTTTTATTCAGGCAAAGACATTGTAGGAATGTTGTTTTTAAAAGAATTCTTAGAAAGCTATCTTTACATTCCAAAAAAATGTCACTTACGAAAACTGTGTGTGTGTGTGTGTGTGTGTGTGTGTCAGAGAGAGAGAAAGAACTTTTTGACTTGAGGTCAAGTGTAGGACTAGTCTTGATTGTGAAGGAATGCTTTATAGCATAAAGAACGAGGATACTGGGGTCAAGCTTAGATTCAAATGCTAGTTCTGTCCTCGCTGGGTGATCTCAGGCAGGTCGTATGATCTCTCTACATCATGGTTTTCTCATCTATTCCACTGGGATAATAAGTTTCCCTCTGTCTTATTGTGAGGATTAAATGAGATATGTGTCTGCTCCCTTATGCTCACTTTATACTTTCTTTAGTTTTTAAAATTCAAACGTTCTTTAACTTTTTTATTACTCTGAATGTATTTTCAGAATTAAAAAAATAGAATTTAGAATGATTCTAATTATGATATTAATGAGTATTTATCTATAATGTGATATAATTTTACATTTATTTTTAAAATTTATTATTTATTTATTTAATTTTGACCTACCTTACCTTGATTTCACAGGTAGATGAATAAAGGTAGTAAGGAAAAGAGAAATGTAATGACAGGAAGAAACAATTTCTTTGGTAAATGCGATAAAATTTTTTATGATCTTAGATAATGTGATTCTATTTGTTTAAGAAAGACACATAAGTGGTAGGAATTTGGTCATTTACACTTAACCTCTATTGGATTGCATTAAATCACTGTGGTAGAAAACAAAACTTTTTTAGTTGGGAAATACCAAGGACAGATGCAGTGCATGAACAATTGTTCAATTAGGGAAGGTGATTACAGTCAGTTCCTTAAATTTATAGAGATCTGGGAGCAATGGATTATACAAAGTTTGAGATTATGCTTTAGCAGGTTTATAAAATGGCTTTCAAGTCATGTTTTTTTTTTTTTTTTTTTTTTTTTTTGAGATGGAGTTTTACCCTTGTTGCCCAGACTGGAGTACAATGGCATGATCTGGGCTCACTGCAACCTCCGCCTCCTGGGTTCAAGTTATTCTCCTGCCTCAGCCTCCTGAGTAGCTGGGATTGCAGACACCTGCCACCATGTCTGGCTAATTTTTGTATTTTTAATAGAGACGGGGTTTCACCATGTTGGCCAGGCTGATCTCGAACTCCTGACCTCAGGTGATCTGCCTACCTTGGCCTCCCAAAGTGCTGGGATTACAGGTGTGAGCCACTGCGCCCAGCCTCAACTAGTTTTAATGTCTATAGACACTTCAGATTTTGGGATGCCTGTGAAATAAAATGTTATTAGCCCCTGGTACAGTGCTACCTTCCAAAGTTAGCTTAATACTTTTTGGTGATTTTATTTTATAATTGAATACCTCTGTCATAGGTGTTGCTCTCAAATTATCAAATATAATAGAATTCACATAGTGATTTAGAAAGTTTATGTTTGTGAATTTCCAGAGATTTGGGGGTGAAGGGAGAGGACATCAGGGCTAAGCTATAAGGTGGCTTCTGACTTCTGTCAACTGAAATATGGATTGGTTGTCCCATGAAAAAGAGAGCACTTGCTGGGTTATTACTATACATCTGTATATGCATGTGATATGAGATTACCACTGCAGAATCTAGGGTTAGGATTTTATCCGATCCTCCAAGAATATTATATAAATACATACATATATATATATATATATATATATATATATATATATATATATATACACACACACACACATATACATGACAATTCTGATAATGAATGAACCAAGAGTTTTGTTAAAAGGCATATGTTGCTATGGCAATTTGCAATGTCTTCTCTGCACAGAAATATCTAGGATATTACTGATTACTTCAATAAGACCAAAGAGAAAGTCAGCCCAAGTCTGAGCCACAATAAAAAGGAAAGGGCTACAGAAAAAACAAATTTTGCACATGATTAATGAGTACTAGCTGTGGCATTAAGTGACAACTTTGATTTATTTTGATCCTTAAGATAAATGCATTAAATATTACTCTTCTCCATTCCCATCAATGTAACAATTGTGTTCATTACATTTCTTGATATAAATGAGACTTGGATGTGATAAATGCAACCCTGGTTAGAATATTGGTATAATGACCCAACTGTTTCCCCTACCTCCAACCCCACACTTTTCCATTTAATATATCTTGTTCACCATCACTAGTTTGATCTTCCTATGGCTGCCTACAATCCCTCTCTCTTCCAAAACTTTCACGATTTCTCTGTGAATGCATGAAGGCCACCTCCTTACATTATTTGATGCTCTTCTCTCTCAGATACGCATTCATTTCCCCTGGCATCTTCTACAGATTATCGAAGGCCTATTATGCCTTTCCTCTTCACCACAGCTAGAAATGATTCTACTCTTTTTCTGCCTTTTTCTAGTTCTAATTTTTATTGCTTGTGTTATTATCTGCTTCTAAGACACTAGTGATAATTTAGCCACTTAAGCATATAATCTTGAAATGCTATTTAACCTTTTGGGCCTCAGTCCCTTTATCTATGAAATATATAAAATGAATTAGAGTCTGATTGGTTTTGTGGGCCATGGGGTCTTGGCTACTCAATTCTACCATTAGCTGACATGGACGATATGCAAATAAATGAGCACGAATATTCCATAAAATTTTATTAACAAAAACAGGCATCCCAGGCTAGATTTTGCCTGTAAACCATAGCTGGCCAACCCTTATAGTATGCTATAATTTCTGAGTCTCCTTCCAGTGCTAAGATTCTATGAGAAGGCAAAAAGCCATTTCTATTCCTAACATCAAAGGGATAAAGTTTTCCCTTAAAGTTTCTCTTCATAAGATATTACCCTAGTCAATTGTCATTGATCATGATATATGATTTTGGTCTTTGCTCTCTCTTTGCTTAGCACATGTCACATTGTTGTAGATGTATAGATGTTTTAATGCATATTCTGTCAGCATAGTAAATACAGAAGGACAGTTCTCTCAGTTCTACAGCAGGTCATTCTGACCAGAGTATGAACTGGGCACACACATTTATCAATTTTCTCCAAACTTCTTTTCATAGGTCAAATTACATGTGATACTACACTTGTAATCTTCTTGCTTCCTGATACATCAGGATATAAGGAATATGGTAGGCATTGTATAAAGCTGTTTAGATAATTAACGTTAGGTACACAGGATCATGTGTGATATTAATATTTTCATGTGAAAAATGCTATTTCATGAGCCATCATCTGCTCCTCAACCTGTGATAAAATTTGTAGCTTCCTGGCAGAACATATCGATAAAAGTACCTGATCTTAGATATATTGAACCCTAGCTTGATTAATATTTTGCTCAAGTAGAAAATTAAGTGGTGGTAGGGAATGCCCACATTTCATGTTGCTTTCCTGTGGAGTCTGTTTCTATCCATCTTTGATCTAGCATTAATTAGCACTTTTTCATATTCAATAACACTTCATTTACTAGGCATGAGCTTTTCTTAAAAACGAAGTTCCTAAGCATCTCAGGTAGAACATGTATAAGAAAATAAAAGCCTGCATATCTTTTCCTTATTCTTCCTGCAGTTATCTTTCAAATCTTTGTGTAATGGGAACTAAGACTCTATCTGTAGTCTTACCTCTGAAAGCAAAATCCTATATCCAGTGTAGTTGTATCATTGTTATTGACTTGAAGCCCATCTAGTGGTTTCTTTATCCTGATAGCCTATCTGAGTTTCATTTCCTTAATAAGAAGGGTTGGAGTTCCATATCAGGTTATATGATATATTTGCTCCTTGTTTTGCTCCAAAATTTCCTGTTCAAGTAGGGTGTCCTGTATAAAATATCTTTACATGTCCACTGTTTTAAAACTGTTTTTTTTAATCTGTCTGGATCTATATTCACTAATACAGAGTTTGTCTGCCCAGAAAACATGAATTTGAATCCCTGTTATCAGTCTATTGGGTACGTGCAGAGACCCCAGAAATAGCAAATCTTCCAAAATATTGGAACATTTTTGTCTGGGTGATTCTGCTACAGTGTAATATACCTACCATCATAATAAAATAAAACTATTTTTCTTTTTCTTCTAACTCCAGATTCTTAGATGGTTGTGAGACTGGCTTTAAGGAATCCAATCCCTAAGCAAATGTGTTCTTAACACATGAGTTAGGAAATAATTATTCTCATCACAGAAGAATTCCTGTAGAGAAAGATTGCTTCAGAATTTCTTTTGGAAATTAGTTTTTCTTTGTTCTTAGGCTTATTGTTTGTCAGAAACACAGAAAAGCCATTAATTTAAAGGTTTATGTGTAGAGCCATATCAGTAGAGAAAATCCAGAAGAAGGTGAAGCAATTCTGTAACCACTGTCTTAGGCAATGATAAACTAACCGGATAATCAGAAACACATCTCTGTATAATATGAAGTTCACCTCAAGTAGTGCACATTTGATGTACCTATTCATTCAACTTTGAAATGCTGTTGCTAACCTTGACTCTTTCTCATCCCTTTCTTTCCATATAAATTGGCCAACAAATTCCATCACTTTTACCTTCTAAGTAGTTCTCAAACTTGTTCCCTCTCATTTATTCCCTCTGCCAAGGTACTTCAATTCACTGGCTCAACAAATATCTATTTAGGGTCAACTGTGTGAAAGTCATTGCCCTAGATGTTTAGGATACAACTGTTAAAAGAACAAACAACGTTACTTTATGGGTCTTACATTCTTATTCAGAATTTCATTATTTCTTGCTTGAATTGCAACATAAATCTTTTGCTTCTAGCCGGCTCTCACTGGAGACTATACCCGATGCTAACACCAGAGCTGTCTTTCTAAAAGATAATCCGGATCATGTCACATTCCATATTCAAATGGCTCTTTATCACCAACTTTGTAAATGCCACGTCTGGTAACCATCTTGGAGGACTGAGCCACACCTGCCTAACTTCATTCTCCACCACTCCCATCCCTTTTCTTCAGTCACACTGGACTAAGTGCTGCTCCTAGAATAGGCAGAGATGAGGTTTTCATGGCTGTATGACTGCACCTGCTGATTTTGCCATAAATTCTACACTCCCATGTCAAGAAGAAATTTCTACTCAACTCTGAACAAAGTCATCTTTGCCTTTGGCGGAGAGTTAATGTTTTCATGTGTTAACTTGTAGAAATGTTCAAAACATGCTCTTTTTAAAAGTGACACTTACAGAATTCTATCTATTTATATTCTTGTTTTTCATTCCTCAATATCAGTCCCATTAGACTGACAGTTTTTCGAAAGCAAAATATATGTCTTCTTTGGGCTAACCAGTAATTTGTTGAAAAAAAAGTAGAAACTAACAGGTGTAGTATACAAGAGAGATTCTGTGCTTACCTTAAAAGGGATACTTATAGGAATATAAATTTTGCTTTAATAAAGTTTTATTTTCAACCCTCTCTTATTTATGGCATCTAATATGACTTCACTGGGTGTATGGGCCTCATTGACAAAATCTACCAAAACCAAAGAAAAGAAAAAAATATCATTTAAAATCATATGCAAATTATTCTGTTCCAATAATTTTACTATCTAGGCATAACTTAAAATAGGGCTTAGAAAAGTTTAGTGTTTAGCATAGTTATCTAAAAAGAACAATATCCCTTTTAAAAGGAACATGCATGGAAATATTAATAACCTTAGAAGTACAGGATCTTAAATCACTCTTTCATGGGTTTTAATACCTTACTCTGCAGGAACTTTATGGTCTTTCCATAAAGACTTTTCATATATATAAAAAAGTAGTGTTTCTGGAACTCATGAAAAGTGGGCATATAAAATAAATCCTGAAGGAAGAGCTTAAATAATTATGTGCATTGAGTGAGAGACGGAAACCCAGTCTCAATGTAGGGAGACTGAAGGGCTCAGGCAGCACTCATGCATCCTTAGGGAATGTGGTAGATGGGCTAAGAGCTGCCCAGATTTTTTTCAAAACCAGCATATTCCCAGGTATCACTAAATTTTGAGAGAAAAAGTTATTAATGAGTCTTAAAAAATAATTGAAACAATTTAATTTAATGAAGTAGAAACAATTTAAAAGAACCGTATTATGTGGATTTCCTTGAGGAAAAACAAAACAAAACAAAAACCAAATAGCCAGTATTAAGATCTCTCAAGCTTGTGAACCCACTGTGCTCACAAAGGTATAGAAATAACCTCAGTAGGCCAGGTACAGTGGCTCACACCTATAATCCCAGCACTTTGGGAGGCCGAGGCGGGAGTATCACTTGAGGTCAGGAGTTCAAGACCAACCTGGCCAACATGGTGAAACTCCGTCTCTACTAAAAATCCCCAAATCAGCTGAGCACAGTGGCACATGCTTGTAATCCCAGCTACTCGGGAAGCTGAGGCAGGAGAATCGCTGGAACCTGGGAGGCGGAGTTTGCTATGAGCCGATACTGTGTCACTGCACTCCAGCCTGGGCAACAGGGTGAGACTCGGTCTCAGAAATAAATAAATAAATAAATAAGAAATAACTTCAGTAAAGTAAGGTTCTGGTCTGTCTAAACAAATGTTTGTAAATAATCTTCAAATGAAGAGGTATATGTAAAGGGAAATAGAGTACACATAGTTATATTTAGAGCAAATATGAATATAATGAAGATCCTCATATCCTCAGAGACAGTCACTGACTTATAAGAGAACATTTGTGAAAATATATGCATATTTCTAGAATTTTCAACCTGTTGGTATAATAGCAAGTAAAGGAATGGTACCACAATTTAGGAACATACATATATTAGGAAAAAATGCCCTCAAGAAGACAGGAACTCTTTCCTGTAAGTGAATAAAATGAGTAGCCTTCTGGTTTTGCACTAGTTAACCTTTATTTTAGTTTAAATAAAGGTTTTAACCACAGGAATTTGCTATAATATCATCGGGGAAAGAACCCGCAGATCTATTTTTTTTTTACAACATCCCATTGCAACTCTATGAAATATTTGATAACTGTCTTAGAAGCTGTCTAGAGAAGACAGAGGAGAGGAGATAGCTGAAGGTTGCAGTGCAAATGTTAAATCCTGTGATGAATGGACTTTGCTTGTCATTTGACACAGAGGCTGTAACATAGGTGAACTAACTGCACAATAGCTTCTGTGGTGTTATTTTTCCATGTGTGATATTTTCTTTTCATTTGAATTTTGCATAAAGGTTAACACCTTTTGTTAATTTTTTTATACCAGCACCTTAGTCTCTGAAACTATTAGATTCAGTTGCCATACTTTCCTTTTCCTCTGTCACCTCTAGTCAATGACTTGGATAATTGGTTTGGCTGCCCATTTTGAGAAAGCATGTAACAATCCGAATGCTGCTATTCTCTCTGGGTTTAGAATGACTGGTGTTTTAAATGAGCGTCTTAAAATTATATATAATAAACATGTTTCTTGAAAAGAAACTTACAGCAACTCTAAAGAGCTGAAAGATTTGCAAGAATTATTCTTGTCTTTTGCATCATTGAAATTATTTTTTGGAAAATTGTAACAAAATATGTAGAAACATAATGAAAACTGATAGCAGTTGAACAAAAGTAAAAGTAATAGTTCGTATTTCTTAAAAGTTTCCAAGCTAAGGGAGTTTATTTCACTTTTAATTTATTCAGTAATACTAAAATAATAAAAGGTATACACCACATTCTGAAGTGCCTCTTCTCCTTTGTATGACTTTTCTATTTCTTCTTCTTTCCATGCACCATCCTCAATGCACCAAGCTCAAGAAGTCTGAAAGATCTTACAAAGTGGGAAGGCAACCTAGTCTCTATCAGGAATAGGAGAAAGCAAAATTATTCTTCATGTTTTCTCACACCCCAAATCACTTTTTCTTCCCTCACTCTCATGCCAAAGGATCCAAATACATTATATTTTGTGTGTGTGTGTCCCAAGAGCCCTACCATAAACTTGTCATCTTTAGGCAATACCTCCGTGCTGTGGTGCCATCATTCTATTCTGTGCCCTATTAAAAATAGCTTTCTGCAAACTCACCAGGTTGGAAATTTGCATCTCTTCTAGGAATGTTTGTTCTGTAATGACAGACCATAATTTAGCTTAAAGGAGCCCTGCTGTTGGAAGTTTGAATATTAGGTTTAGGTTAATGTGGTAATACACGGGCAGAATTAATTGTGTTCTCATAATTCACCAAATTACATGAAAGTAAGTACACACTACAAGTGGGGCCTATATGTCTGTAAAAGAAAAGCAATATAATGTATTAAGAAGAATGTGAGACTTGGAGCCTTGGCTCAACACTTCCCAGTGTATGATATTGGACAAGTCTCCATTATCTCAGTAAATAAAACAGGTTAATAATACCTACCTCGCTGGATTTAATCATGAAGAAAAATGAAATCGTGTACGTTTAGGTTTTTTATGAGCTGTCATGTGCTACATTCAGAATGGACCAGTAGTGGAAATATAAGCTTCTGTATCCATACATACATGTGTTTACAAAAATTCTACGTTAGGCACAAAGCCACTTTATAAAATAATATGTATATATAAATATTTTTACATAAACTACAAAATTATCTGTGTTTTCATTATGGTTTATAACAGTAGTTCTGGAAATGTTTAGTTTATGCCATTTAAGGTAGAGTGGTAGATTTGTTTGGTAGAGTTTCAAGGGGCTAGACATAAAGAGGATAAGTATTTTAATCAATTTATGACTTTTAATTTCTTCTGTAATATGGTTGTACCTCCTTTTTTAATCTAATTTTTATTTTTCTTTTTTTTTAATATTATACTTCAAGTACTGGGGTACATGTGTAGAACGTGCAGGTTTGTTATATAGGTATACACGTGCCATGGTGGTTTGCTGCACTCATCAACCAGTCATCTACATTAGGTATTTCTCCTAATGCTATCCCTCCCTAGCCCCCGACCCCCAAACAGGCCCCAGTGTGTGATGGTCCCTTCCCTGTGCCCATGTGTTCTCATTGTTCAACTCTCACTTGTGAGTGAGAACATGCAATGTTTGGTTTTCTGTTCTTGTGTTAGTTTGCTGAGAATGGTGGTTTCCAGCTTCATCTATGTCCCTGTAAAGGACATGAACTCACTGTTTTTTATGGCTGCATAGTATTCCATGGTATATATGTGCCACATTTTCTTTCCAGTCTATCATTGATGGGCATTTGGGTTAATTTGAAGTCTTTGAGGATAAGTATTTTTTAAGTCCTTTTAAAAACTTTGTACCCCAGTTGCCTTAGTCTTTCTCTCCTGTGGTCAATGAGTTTGATTTCAAGCCATTTATATATAAATGAGTCTGTTCTGTGCACATAAATAATGTTATGGTAAAGAAGAAAACTATATGAGCACATTTCTGTAGGGCAATGGTGATATTTCCATTGTGAAACAGGATGGGACAGAGAGAAAGCACAAAAGATGTAGGAATGACAATAATCTGCATTCTCTCAAGAAGCAAACCAAACATTTTAACCATACCAATCTTTATTATTGTTATTAATTGTAGATGGGGCACACTGAGAGGAGCACAAGGGCAGAAAGAAAAATTTTGGGTATGTAACTCTTTCCAGTTGAATTCCTGCTGTGAAGTGAATATGTTCAAATCTTCTGTTCCTCTGCTACCTGCTTTGTATTATTTAGTCACATCCTCAGCTGTGTAATATTGTTGATAACATCAGTGTTTTCGCCAGCACAAAACTTATTATAAACATTTATATTGTATTTATAGTTTTCCTCAACTCTCAGTATTTCAAATTGTAAAAGAAAAATCAGTGTTTATTTTTCCCCAAGTTGAGAATCAAGAGGGTAACTTTGTTCTATTATCTTCTATATTAAACTAAAAGTATTGATCAAACTTCCCTCATATATATTTATATGGCAATGAACTTGATGCTTTTGTTATGTTAGTATCATATATATACATATATATGTATATATATCCTATAGGATATAACCTATAGGATATATATATATATTTATATGGCATATATATTTAGATGGCAATGAACTTGATGCTTATGTTAGTATCATATATATATACACATATATGTATATATATCCTATAGGATATAACCGATAGGATATATATGTATATGTAACCTACAGGATATATATACACACATATGTGTATATATATCCTATAGGTTAAGGCTTTTTTTTTTCTTTTTGCCAAATATAACATATGCATGTGTCTTTACTCAGAAAGAACCAATATCTAGTCTCAAAATAACAGAAAGTTTCAGGTAAGAAACAATTTGAAGAAGATTGGAACATATTACCTCAAATATTCGGTTTATTACAACAAGCTGGTCAATTGTCCAAAGTCCTAATATTATATACTTTTTTTATACAGATAGAATAAAGTCTATGTGGTAATACTTACCATGGAATTTAAATTTAAATGTACACAGTAGAGGGCATATTTTGGCTTACAAAGCACTAGGTGCTAGAACTTGTACTCATCAGAATGACTCTTGGTATATTTCTTCATAAGGCACTCACAGAATTCAATCACCCAATTATGTGTTCGTACCTTATATTTGTGTTGTTGATACATGGAGGTATGATGCTTTTAAGTAGAAGGATTCTTCTTTATATTTAAACTGTGCTTTTAAAAATATAATTTTTCTCATTAAAATAAAATAATTAGTAGCCAACAATCAACATTAATGTCCAATAGTTAAAATAAATAAGTTATAAACTAGGATATGTTATTTGAATACCTACTATTAAGTTTCTGCATAGGATTTTTATTAAATAAATTTGAACAGTTTTTTAATCTCATAACGATGTAATATTTAGAGAAAAAATCAAGTTCTTTGATTAATGTATTTAACTCACAACAGTTCTTAGCATATAGCACTTGATGGCCATTTGCTGAGTGAATATGAACGAATGTGCAGAGGAAAATGTTTTGTGATCCTTTCATCCTCAACCTGATCATTCCCACCCTAGATCCCTACCTCTAGGTAGTGTATATGTGTACACACACACACATACACATACGCTGAGTATGATTATCTACTCACTCATTTTCATATATTTAACACATACATGCACACTATCCCTTTTAACTACATTGTTGTACTTACTATCGATTCTGAACTTACTACTTATCAAACATCTTCAAAGAAAATTTTATTTCATGAGGCTAGGGGTAAGATTTCTTTCTGCTATGATTTGTTTGATAAATTGTTGAATGCAAGCAGTAGAAATACAAGAATCAGACTAAAATTTATAATATTTTGCACATTAATTGAGGCTTTTTTCTCTACTGAACTGTGTTCTCCTCATGAGTCAGGATCATATTTGACTTATTTACCAATGTATCTCAAGGGTAAAGTATTTTGATTGGTACATAGTGAGAATATAAACAATACTCATTGAATGAGCAAATGAATAATTTTAGTCTATGCATTCAGGAAAAACTAATCAAGTAATTAAAATAATTTTATTTTTTATAAAACATACTAGTGGTTTAATTAAAATATGAAACTTTAAGTACTGTTGTACTGTTTTGTGAAGAATTGTGAAAGGTCTGAGATATTATCCCACAGATATAGATGATATAGATATTGGTATAGATATAGACCTAACTAGAGATACAACACCTGGGTCAGAAGTAAGGAGTTCTTAACAGATACTCATAAATAGATCGACAACCAGAGTAACATAGCAGCATGCATCTCCCACACCTTAGTCTTACAGTGATGTGATAAGAACCAATAAAATTTGTCTACACAGGTAGCAGTGTATGTCTCATAAATGATGGACAAAGAACAATAGATTTTCTCCATTTGTTTACAGGAGAGAGACAAGCAGATTCCTCCTTTCCCAAAAGGAAGGAAAAATCTTTCATTCCATTATGATGAGTTGAAGAGGAACCTATCTTCTCACCATAAACATTAGGAATATAAACATATCTTTCCAAGGTCCAGCTAGACAGCAAATAAAGTCTCCAGATGATGGGCTGCATTTCTTTTGAGATGTAAATACCAAAGGATATAATGTCCCCACACTTCTGACACCTTAAAGCTTAATTTAGGACCTTGTCTCTGCTCTCTTTGAGCCTCTAGAGGAGATAAGAGAAGTTTTGTTATCCCTTCAGATCAGATCATTAAACTAGATGAATGGCTACATATCTAATTGTCAAGGTATGCGAAGAGTAGAATATTTTTGGGAGAAGTGAAAGAAAACATTCCCTATCTTTATATTATATACAATGTTTTGTGGGTCAGGAAAGCAAAAACTTTATTCAAGAGCACTGAGAAATCTAGGAAAGTTTTATTTCTGCACAATTATATATGGATGTTTCAAAGCATTTACAAATAGTCCTATGATATAAACCTATTTTTATAATAAAAATATTGAAAGTCTTTCACTACTGAGTAAAATGTAATACATAGCAGCAAGCCATAAATTCTACTAAATAAGTAGAAAATAGCAGAATTTTTCCAAAATTGTGTTTTTAAAAAAATGAGAGTGCTAAATCTGGAGAAAAATTTTTGGCCTAGGAGCATTTGGTAGGTTTGGGCATAAAGTGAGGACTGGGTTTGTAATAGGCATGCTATGGTTTGTTTGAGTTAAATTATGAGACAAGTGAAGCAGAAAGATGTGACCAGCAACCAAGGGAAAAATACTATCAATAGAAGCAATAGATGATACTTTAGATGTAGGCTTTAAAATAACCATTATTTTAAAAAATTAAGAAAAATCTAGATGAAAAGATGGAGAATTTCAATCTATAATTAGTTCAACCATTGTGGAAGAGTGTGGCAATTCCTCAAGAATCTAGAACCAGAAATACCATTTGACCCAGCAATCTCATTACTGGGTATATACCCAAAAGATTATAAATCATTCCATTATAAAGACACATGCACACACATGTTTATTGCAGCACTGTTCACAATAGCAAAAACTTGGAACCAACCCATATCCCCATCAATGATAGACTGGATAAAGAAAATGTGGCACATATACACCATAGAATACTACGCATCAATAAAAAAGGATGAGTTTATGTACTTTGCAGGGACATGGATGAAGCTGGAAACCATCATTCTCAGCAAACTAACACAGGAACAGAAAACCAAACACTACATGTTCTCACTCGTAAGTGAGAGTTGAACAATGAGAACACATGGACACAGGGAGGGGAACATCACACACTGGGGCCTGTTCACGGGTGGGGGGCTAGGAGAGGGATAGCATTAGGAGAAATACCTAATGTAGATGATGAGTTGATGGGTGCAGAAAACCACCGTGGCATGTGTATACCTATGTAACAAACCTGCATGTTCTGCACATGTACCCCAGAACTTAAATTATAATAAAAAATGAGTTCCTGAATTCATGAATGCAAACATTGCAAGAAAATCACACTCAAACTTTTCACGATCAAACAGCTGAAGATAAAAAATAGAAATTTAAAAAGTCACTATTTAAAATGACACATTATTCTCAAAAAAAGCAGCACTGACTGACAGCTGGCATTTCAACAACAACAATAAAAAAGGAAAGTAGAAGACTGCAAAATGACATTGCTAAAATGCTGGATAAAATAATAATATTGATAATGATGAAGATAACGTGCCAACATGGAATTTTATACATGGTGACATTTTTCTCCAAAATAAATACAAAATTAAAGCACGTTTGGACAAAAGCTGAAATAACACAATTCCAAAAAAACATACACCAAAAGTTACAGAAAAAAAGTAGGCAAATATTTAAACATATCTCAGTATCTCATAGAAATAGCAGCTAAAAATAAGTAAATGTATGAAAGATTGAAAAAAACTATTAGCCAGCTTTATGTCATTGAAATTCATAGGATATTACACATAAATATTGATGAATATACATTCTCTTTAAGTGCACATGAAATATTTGCCAATATTGACCACATGCTGGTCCATAGGGCATGTTCAATAAATTTAAAAAATTGAAATTGTACAGAATATACCATGATGAAACTTTTGTTATTTAGCTAAAGCACTACTGAATGTAATAGAAAATGCATGCATTGGAAAAGAAGAAAGGTTAAAATTGATTCATGTATTTTTAAAAGGTTGAAAAGAATAATTCAATAAGCTGAAAAATTTAAACCGAAGATAAATGAAAGAAATAATAAACAGAAAAGCAAAAAAAAGTAAAAGAAAACAGACATATTATAATAGATGAAAATCAAAAAAGCAAAGAGTTGATGCTTTGCAAAAAATGATTAAATGTCTAGGAAGACTGAAAAAGAAACAAGGAGAGACAAATTGCCATAGAAATGAAAAAAGAGAACATTGCTGCAGATTCAATAGATATGAAGTAGGTAATAAGAGGATATTATTAAAAAGTTATGCCAGTATAATTGAAAATATAGATGAAATGGATAAATTTATCAGAAAACAAAACTTATCAAAAACCTACACAGGATGAAAATAGCATAAATAGTTATGGAACAATTTGAAAAAAAAAATGAGTCTATTTAAATTACTTTCACAGAGGAATTCAGGCTCAAAAGACTTCACTGGTGAATTTTCCAAACATTTAAGGAATAAATGAAACGAATTTTACAACAAATCCTTTCAGGGAATAGGAAATAAGGAACAGTTACTTCCAAACTCATTTTATGAAGCGGTAACACCAATACCAAAACTTGATAAGACAATACAAAAAAGAAAAAATATAGGCCGATATCTCTCATGAGCATAAAATTCCAAACAAAATATTACAATTAAGAAATATATAAAGGGATAACACTCCATAAGTGAAACTTATGTTAGGAATGCAAGGTTGGTTTCAAGTACTAAAATCAATCAATATAGTTCATCAAATTATAAGAGTCAAGGAGAAAAAAAAACATGATTTTTTTTTTTTTTTTTTTTTTTTTCAGACGGAGTCTCACTCACTCTGTCGTCCAGGCTGGAGTGCAGTGTCGTGATCTTGGCTAACTGCATCCTCTACCTCCCAGGTTCAAGCAGTTCTCCCTACCTCAGTCTCCCGAGTAGCTGGGAATACAGACACCCGCCACCACACCTGGCTAATATTCGTATTTTTGGTAGAGACGGGTTTCGCCATGTCGCCCAGGCTGGTCTCAAACTCCTGACTTCAGGTGATCTGCCCACCTTGGCCTCCCAAAGTGCTGGAATTACAGGCGTGAGCCAGTGAACCCGGCTTGAATATCTTAATTGGTGCAGAAAATGCATTAATAAAATTCAGCACTTACTGTTCTACTGTTGTGTAACAAACTATCACAGATTTAGCAGATTGAAACAACATACATTTATTATCGCAGTGTTTCTGTGGGTCAGAAATCCAGTGTACCGAGCTGGATCCTCTGCTCATGATCTCACAAGGATGCCATCAAAGTGTTGTCTGAGTTGTGTTCCTTTCTGGAGCTTACAGCCCTCTTCCAAGCTCACGTGGTTGTTGGTAGACGTGTTTTTTTGGTTGTGGGTCCAAGCCCCCATTTTCTTGCTGACTGAGGATATTCTCAGATCTTAGAGGATGCCTGAAGTTCCTTCCATGTGGCTCCCTCACACAGAGTTTTACAGATCCTCTCTCAACAGAGTACCTTACATCTTCAAGACCATTAGGAAAAACAAAATTTCTGACTTCTAAATCCTCTTTTAAGGGGCTTCTTGAGCCACATTTGGTCCACGAGCCATGGTTTGCCAATACATAGGTCACAGAAACTTTATATACATATGAAAAAAAAAAACCTAGATCACTTCCTCACTAAATACAGACAAAAACAATTTGAGATGGAGCAGAGACCATGTAATTGCAAAATAATAAAGTTTCTCGAAGAAAACATAGGCAAATATGTTTGTGATATCTATTAGAAAATGCTTTCTTAAATCGGGCACAAAATAAACTTTTTAAGAATAAATTATCAGACTACATTAAAATAAGAACAACTATTTAAAAGACAGTATTATAAGAAAAAGTAAGCCACAGAATGAGAAAAATGTATCTATCTATCTATCTGGAAAGGTATCTGACAAGTCCTCACATATACAATAAATAGACATTCTTACAAATATATAGGAAGACCAAGATAACTCAATAAAATAGAACTCTTAAACAGAAACTTCAAGAAAAGGGGAAATCCAAATGGCCTAAATAGCCATGTGAAAAGATGGTCAATGTTACTAATTATCAAGGAAATGCAAATTAAGACCACAATGAAATATCACTTCATATACACTAGATTAGCTAAAATTAAAAGGATTGATAATATCCAGCATAGATGAGGATTTGGAGTAAATAGAATCTTATACTACTGATGCATGTGTAAATGGAGCCGCTACTTATGTTCATCATGTTTATCACCAGGAGAATGGATAAACTGTGGTATAGTCACACAATGAAAATAAATAGTAATAAGATGAATTAATTGCTTACATATGCCAAACATAGATGAATCCCAGAAACATTATTTTGAGCTAAAAAAAAGTCAACCTCAATATATTTTGCATTATTCCATTTTTGTAAAGATCAATTATAGGAAAACCTGATGGGGAGTGGAGGGTGGATGGACAGGAAGGCAACATGGTAGACCTTCTGGGGTGCTATAAGTGGTTAATAGCTTAATCTAAGTGGAGATTACATGAACATAAACTTCATAAACACATGTATAAATTTACTAAGTTGTATACTTAAGATTAATACACTTTATCTATGTGACTGTATCATATATCTCAATACAAAAGATGAAAAGTTAAATCTTTAGAAATTTTCTCCCCTTCATTGCCACCATTTCCTTTATAATTAAATACAAACAAATGTAGGCATTTGGAAGAAACAAACAAAATAAATGCTGAAATAGAAGAAATGAGAGTAGGAAGAATAAGATTAATAAACAAAATACATGTCCTGAGGTGTATTTTATTAGCACTAATTTTTACAGTGTCTTACTCTTTATAATTATGTGGCCTTTCTTGCAAACATATGATTAGCTCTCATTAGCACATAAATGCACATTTGCTTATACAATCTTTATATACCTTTCCCATATTTACCAAGAATGTAATTATGAAATTTTGGATAGTAATAATCTTCAGCCATCCAAATGAGAATAGGCTCAGTGTTATATATCATATTTGCAAGAATTTACAAATATTACTATTCCTAGCCATTTGTTAGGTTGTGACTAATTTTATTTGATATATAGATACAGATATATGAACTGACTAAAAAAATATGAAAATTGACATTTAGTGTATTTCACTGGTGCTAGAACTCTCACACACATTGACGCTGTTTCCTTCTCAGCTATTCAAAGTCCATTTCATCTTTGAAATGATAAATTGAACTTACAATTTTAAACATAGTTTTGAGAGTGCTCCTTTAAAGTATCAGGGTTGATTAAGGAGGCAAACAGCCAAATCTTAAAAAGAAATGCTGATAAAAATTGGCTATTTCTTAAAGTTGATGTCATGGCAATTTCTGATGCTGAGTCAATCTGCCCCTCTCTTACATTGTAGAAAACAGTGAAAGCTCAATTCGACACCTTATGTCTTGAGAATATTTTCTTAGTCCCAGGGTAGGGTAAATGGGAGGCGAGTGTGAGAGCTGTTGAGGTGAAGCTGCTAATTTATTGGGCTTTTCTGCTGCATTTAGTTGTGGAACTAACTCCCTTCTGTGTGTCCTTTGGCCTTCATGATATTCTCCATGTACTCCATTGATACTTTTGCTCCATCACACACTTATTCGTTCAAGCTTTTAACCCAGGAGTCATTTTGGACTTACTCCAACCATCCAATCCAACCATTTTTGCATTTTAGAAAGAGGAATTAAAAAAAAAACAAAACTAATTCCTGTTGATTTTACTTTCTGAAGATTTCTCAAATACTTTATTTTCTCTTATCCAATTGAATTATTACAGGAGTCTACTAGCTAGTCACTGCCTCTTGTCTGTACCCTCTTAAATCTATCCACTTGATGTCATATAGGATAATGTAATCACAGTATGAATTTGCCCACCTTTCTTTCCTGCTAGAATCAACTCAATGGCATGTCATAATTTTTCCCATTATTTTCTCATTATGGATGTTCTTTCCTCCCCTTCCAGCCTCATAACCTACCATTCTGCTTCTGTCTCGTGATCTAACTATAACAATTTTATTGCTTAATTTCACTGCTTCATACTATTTCATGCTTTGGTGTTTATGCTTTTACTGTTTTCCTTTACGTCAATCTCCCTTCCTCCTTTTACATTGGTGAATTGATTCTCAGGCTTTAATATGCATCTCATGTGACACTTCTTCAACAATGTCTTCGCTGAACCATCCAAGTAAATGAGATGCCCTTTCTCTGACCTCAAAAATACTCTGTACTTATTTTCACCTTAGCACTTGCCTTATGTTGGTCATTCTTCATTAGATTATAAACTTCCTGAACATAAGATAATGTATTATTTATCTTTCGTCTTCCAGCACCTAGCACAGGCTGTTGTTCACATAGTAGACAACTCTATAACTGCAGCTTGCATGCCATCTTCTGATGTGGCATTTCAAACGCTCAGGCCTATGTTACCTTAGTACTCTGGGAAACTCAGAAGAGTCATATCAATTCTGGCTATTGCCATCATTCCTGCATATTAGTGTAGTTGATACATAATACAACCATTATTTAAAAATAGGTAAGTTCTTGATAATTATAGTCTATGATAAATCAAAGGCATTTAAAGTTACAAATGAGTTCTCCATGGCTTTTTTTAAAAAATACCAAAGTATGTTTCTCAACTTTTTTGTTTGTTTGTTTTTCTGCAGATTGCTGCCAATTCCTGGGGAAAGTCATGGGGAGAGAATGGCTATTTCAGGATTCTTCGAGGAGTAAATGAGTCCGACATTGAAAAGTTGATTATCGCAGCTTGGGGCCAACTGACGAGTTCTGATGAACCATAACATATCATTAAATTTCCATAAGGTCATGCCTTTAAGTAACCCCCTAAATTGAAGTTTAGCAATATGACATTCTTGGTGACAGTGGAATCTTTGTCTCTTCACCGTGTTAACATAATCTATCTATTTTCTTATTTTCCCCTCTGGTCTATGCTTCTGCTTCCTTCATATTACTGAGCATTAACAACACCAATAAAGGACAGCAGAGTCCCTAAATGTCTTTAAAGTTCCCAGGTTGCCTTATTTTTCTGTCATGATGGTGTCCCTTTTACCTTTAATTGTTCACAAACAGTGTGATGGCATCTGTTTTCACAGTTCTTAGGACTCATTTGTAGAAATAGTGTGGTTTCTCTCTTTGACCAGTGAGGACCTTAGACAACAAAAAGCAAATTAGAAATTCAGCAATTTGCCATCTTTATAAATTTCTTTTCATCCAAGTTGAACAGTTCCTTAGTTCAAACCTTGCTTATGTTTTGCTTAAGCAGTGGAAATAGATTATAAGTTGTTTATCTCAATAACTTAACATTTTGTTTCCTCTCATTTGCCTAAACCTACCTTGTAATCTGTTCACAAAATGAAAAGCAACTATCCACAGGAAACAATTACTCTCTATTGTACTCTGCAATGGCCTGAGAGGTGGAGATGTTAAGTAATGGAAAAGCTTGGAGGCTAACAATAGAAGTACAGTTCTGACATACACACAGCCCTATTTTTGGATGCTAGTATATTTTATGTAAAGTCTATTAAAATCAGCTGCAAAACAGTATTTGGAAAGATAACAAAAGATTTACCACCCCAAAACAGCAACTTGATGCCATGATGCAGAAAGAATATGTATACACTTTTATCACAAATATACTTTTATCACAGTTCACTGCTTGAAATTCTAAAAAGTAAGCTAAATTGGCACTCATTTGCATGTAATTTTTAGTTCTCTATAGTCAGAAAAACGAAAATAGCATCATAGCAATGGTTGAGAAAGCAGATAATCTCTTAATAACTCACTGGCATCTTAAATGGAAAACTAATAAATGCAGAAGCAAAGCTGATCAGTAAGTGAACACAATTGATTATAATTACAATGGTGGGCTCTCCAAGGCCTGAATTTCTGGTCCCTATCATGTTAATTTTGATAATTGGGATTTTTTTCTGTTATTGTGTCCAAAGATGCCCTGATTAGAGAAGCTAGACATGATGAAAATGTGAGGGAACAGAGCACAGAAAGGTGAAGTGTTGTTGCAATTGTTGACTTCTTCATTAATCAGTGTAGCTTTATCAGAAGCAGCATTTATTTACTTGGTTCTACCCTAGAAAATATGCATGAGGGTGTCACCTTGTTGGGGTTGGCTGACATTTTCCCAAAGAGTAGAGAAATAATTTGTTTTTTTCTCTGTTTGGGGTCCTCTAGAAGCAGCCCATAAGACAAAGTTTTGAGCACAAACAATTTGTTTCGGCCATGAAGGGAACACTGAGAAGGCAGTGAGGAGTGATATAGGCTAGTGATGGCGGACAGTAAAGGGTGCGTTGGCCTAGTTCTTATCCCACTGAGGACTCTTGCTACATTCTTCAGATCCATAACACCTGAGGAAAGAAGTTTTCTTTGGTTGAGGACTGCTCCTGGGGTTCATGGATTCCTTGTTCTTTCTAGTCTGGCAAAAGAGGGGGAAAAACAGATTCCAGTGTCAGAAAAAACTCACAAGCAAAGAAAGGCAGGTTCTGGTACTTTGATGTCCACTGAAATGGTACAGGTGAGGTAATGTGGGCAGGGCACCAACAGTGTCTGCAGTGGATGTTAAAATACTTTTAAAACGCTTTTAATGCTGAAGACTGCTGAAGTAATAAATTCTAATGCACCAAAATGCCAGATGACTAACATGCCTATAAAAAACACGGGATTACGTTGATGCACTTTTACCTTTGTTATACAAATGGATGATAGATATTGGAATTAATTTTTCACGTTGTGGTTTGTGAGCCTAGGTTCTGCTGTTTCAAAAAGTCCTAACTTTCGAATGACACCAAAATCATGAGGAAACTAAATCCAAAGTGAAAGAAAAAGGAAAAAGAAAATACCACGTTAGTGAGACCCATAGGAAAGCACACAGTGTGTTCATCTAGCAATTACAGACCTAAAGAAGATATAGAAACTAGTTGGGACAGACGGGTATCAGTGGGATAGGGAAAATATTATTATTGAGGTTTGTTGAATCAGTGTCTTCCCTTTAATAGTGTTATCATTTTTACAACTTTAAAGAGCTTGTTTAGTTTTACTTATTATTCAAGGGCTCCGAGTCAACTTTCAGAAACTAATGATTAGTATATTCCTTGCCCCACCCTAGGGATTGAGTAACTATTTGCAGAATTAATTGACTGATGCCTAGATGGTTTCCTCCCACAAATTGAAGTAGGAAAAACTTAGAAAATAAAGGTGTATGGCCTCCTCTATTTCATGACATTTGTATGATCTCATTTTATTCTAAATAACAAATAAGCTTTCCCAGTTTTTTAAAATGAAATTCAAAAATTCTCTTAAAAATACATAAAATGGAATGAAGTTTATTAGTTGGGGTTCAATCATTAAAAAGGAAACCTCTGTGCTTTGAACGAAGGAATGTAGTGAAAGAAATTGCTCACCTAGGCAGTGGGGAATCTGGGGGGCAATGGGGGATGGTGAGCCAACCCAGAGCTGAGCAACAGTAGAAAGCTGCCATCACCTCTAGACTGAGGGACAAAGCAAAGACAAAGGTGGGAAACTGGGATCTAGGGGCTGATGTTATCCCACCAGTAGCTGTAAGCATGACTGATGGAAGCTGGAGCCATGAAAAGACATGGTGCTGCCAAATTTGCCAGGTGAGGCAGAGAGGAAGGTGGAGAAACATTGTGGCCTCCCCCTTTCTCATGCCCTCCAAATGTTCATCAATACTTCTCATTGGCTGACTCAGCTGAAAGACAACTGGTATCAGAGTTTATAAAATTGAGCTGTCAGGGTTAACCCCAACCCTTTACCAGATACACGGGAGAATAGGGTAAGGGTGAGGGATAAAGTAAAGGGTAAATGTAGAAAATTAATTTTTGACTGATCTCATGTAGATATTGGAAATTAAGATTACAAAAAAGAATATTCTATCAGGAGTTGCTTTATAAATAATAGTTTATGAACTTGGCCCCTTAGTTAATGCATATGTCTTAAGTACTATAATGCCTGCTATTGCACATCTCTTTTTTGGTTAATCTCTCTTGTCTTATAGAAAATATATCAATCTATGCAAGAAAGATATTTTCCCACTTTCTTCACAGTAGTTCATAGAGATCTGTCTGAAGTTTACTATCACTGTGAAGTGGCTACGTTGTCTGGGGTAAATACCTGGGGTTTGTTGTCTCGCACCAAGAAAACTTAGGACACAGACACATATGAGAAGTTTAAAAGCAGAGGTTTAATAGGCAGAAAAAAGAGAAAGGAGAAGTGAGAAAGAGTGGCTTCTGAAAGGGAAAAGGTCAGCAGGTGGCAGAGTTTTTCGTCAGATTTTACATGTGGAGAAGGCTGGCCACCCCATCGTAATTTTTTTTTTTGCGCCGGAGTCTTGCTCTGTCTCCCAGGCTGGAGTGCAATGGTGCAATCTTGGCTCACTGCAACCTCCGCCTCCCGGGTTCAAGCGATTCTCCTACCTCAGCCTCCTGAGTAGCTGGGATTACAAGTGCGTACACGTGGCTGATAAAAAGGATAGATAGAGCCGCCATTTTGAACATGATTAACCCAACGTCTATGTCTGCAGTTGGATTTTACAGGCTGCTCTTTGTTAGAAAGGAAAATGATTTGGGGCTGCTTGTCATTTAAAGGAAAACCTTACTGAGGACTTCTGTATCCTCACTATCCACCTAAGTAATTTCTTCTTAACTCCTACACCAATTGCCTATCAAAACAATTATGATAATCTCATCTCAGGACATTTATTTTTCTTTGGGTGGAAGTTGATTTAATTTCAAAGGAAAAAAAGGGAGGGAAAAGGGAGTATTATCTCATAAACTACCATTTTATGAAATGTGTCGAGAGAGAAGAGCATTAATATATCAGATATCATTGTATCAGAAAGCAGGCTTCTAAAGAACACACAGACATTTCTTTCCCAGAGACGCTAAAGAACATACAGACATTTCTTTCCCAGAGGCGTCAATGAGAAAGGAAAAAAATATTAGCCCAGCACTGTCCAGAATGGAAGATTGAATGAAGGGAAAAGGTTTCTCCATTTCTAGCCATGAATACTATTGTGCATTATTTTGATATTATATCTGATAGAAATGTTTAAAAAGTAATTGATAGGTAAATCCAATAGAGTGAGATTTCTCCACAAAGACGACACCAGTAACAGCCCCATTAGTTAGAAAAAAAAAGGCAAAAACTCTTGCCTCTCTATACCACCTCCTCTCTATAACCTCCACCCTCTGGCAAGCAGTTTAGCTCTGTGCTTCCCAAGTTATTCCGTGAAAGACTTGTTGATATGATTAGGCTTTGTGTCCCCAGCCAAATCGCATCTTGAATTTTAATCCCCATAACCCCCAGGTGTCAAGGGTGAGACCAGGTGGAGGTAGCTGAATTATGGGGGTGGTTTCCCCCATGCTGTTTTATAGTGAGTTCTCATGAGATCTGATAGTTTTATAGGGGGCTCTCCCCACTTTGCTTGGCACCTCTCCTTCTTGCCATCTTGTGAGGAAGGTGCCTTGCTTTCCCTTCACCTTCTGCTATGATTGCAAGTTTCCTGAGGCCTCCCAAGCCATATGGAACTGTGAGTCAATTAAACCTCTTTCCTTTATAAATTACCCAGTCCCTGGCAGTTCTTTAGAGCAGCATGAAAACAGACTAATACACTTTTCTTCTGAGATCATAAGGGGAAAAAAGTCTAGTTATATTGAATTTAAGCTATATATGTTGTATTGTATTCTCTACTTGAAAGATGCACAGTTCACAGGTAGGCTGTTGAGAAATCCAGCAAGTCTAGCACGGCTGGATTTCAGTCCTCACTCACATCAGCCATGCATCCTTTGTGATGGTCACCATGTTCAATTATACACAATGACTCCAGATATGACCGCAGACTCTTTTCTCCTAAAAATTCCCATTACATCACACACTATCCAGTCAATATTATTATATGCCTGCAGGGTGTTAGTTACTGTGCTAGGTATTTGAAATATAACAGGAGACCCCCAAGGCAGACAATCTCTGCCCTCTCTTAACTCACAAACTACTCTTTTGTAAAACTCATTTTGGGAGACACTGGCCTAGATACAGTTTTAAATAGGAAGTTATGTAACTAGCTTTTAGAGAGAAGCTGGAGTACTCTGAATTTTGATATAGCAGTGTGCATTTATCCTTATCTGTAAATCACCTTTGGTGCCACTATCAGAATGTAACCTTAGGCTGGCTATAACTTAGATCTGAGCCAGTCTGAAATTTCTTGTGACAGTGCACTGGTTTATAAAGTCAAATGCTGTGCCATGTTAATGCCATGAAAGTATGTGAGAGAACATTTTCCACTTTGTCCCAGGACTATTTATGTAAATAAGTTACCTCAAGGTTTCAGTCTTTGTTCAACACAGGCTATTGCGAGTAATGATCCCTTACTTGCCAGCTTTTGGTAAGCCATAGCAGATAGGTAAGCCAGCTACAGTTCCATGGATAATCATTTCCTTTGGGTCCAACGTCCCTGCCCATTAAATAAGAGGGCAGGAGAAAATTTTGGAGGTGATGGGTAAGTTTATGGTGATGATTTTAGGAGTATATACTTACCTCTAAACTTACCAAGTTGCATACATTATATATGTACAGCTTTTTGTATGTCAATCATACCTCAACAAAGTGGTTTAAAAGGAAAATTTACTTTACCTGTAAAAGGTTGTCTTATTATATTAGTGACTGATTGAGAGAGCCTCATACTGGCCAATATTAAGTATTTCATAGTGTCTTCTGTAGCAATCTTCTAAAATGATTTTATTTTATTGTATATAATGGATATTTTTAACAAATGCATGCCTAATGAAGCATAATAATAACAGGAACACTTGGTAAATAAAAGATAAAACACTATAGATATAATTTTACCTACCTGGGTACTCTTCACCTATTCCATTGCTTTACTTCAGTTCCAGAGAGAAACACTATCCAAAATTTTTGTTTATCATTTTAAGTAGATTTATTATATATTTATAATACCTAAACAATCTATTGTTTAATTTTACTTGGTTTAGTTCTTCAAAATTGCAGTCGTTCTGCATATAATATTCTTTAACTGTCCAAGATTTACCCTTGTCGTTGCATATAACTATGGTTTATTTGTTATGGTATTCCATGTCAGGGAACATTTAGCTTGTTGCTAGATTTATTTGCTATTATGAACAATGCTGTTATGAACATTCATGTATATCTCTTGTAAAATGAATACGTTTCTTGAGTGTGGTGGTTCTACAGGTATGGTTCTGGGATCAGAAGCATTGATGCCAACCACCCATGAGCTGTTAGAAATGCAGATTCATGGTTCTCAACCTGAACTAATAAATAAAAATATCTGAGAAGGGGTACAGAAAACTTTAATAAGCCCTCTGAGTGATTTTGATGCCTGATAACATTTAACAATCATTACTGCATAGCATATATATGTATATATTAATATGTATGGAATATATATGCATATAACAAAATTATTGTGTTAGACCATATCGAGATGTTGAATCTTGTAAAATAATCACAAATTGCTTACCAATTTATATGGGTACTAGTAATATATTAATTCCCATTAATTCTCATTCTCACTAACAATGAATATTTTCCAATCTCTCAATGTTTTCCATTCTCTTAGGTGTAAAATGATATTTTATTATGCTTTTAGTGGGGAGAGACAGAATGAGACAGAGAGAGACAAAGACAAGAAATCAAGCACTATGTTGGAAGATCTTACTGTACATTTTTGTAATCTGTTATTTTTTATTAATAATCCCTATATCAATAATCTTTTATCTTATATTTACTTCATATTTAAATCTCCCTAATTGTCCCCAATATATTCTTTATTCTTTAATTTTTAACTATTCCCTTTTTTGTTGATATATAATATTTGTACATACTTACAGAGTACACGTGATATTTTCTTACATGCATAGAACTTGTAATGATCAAGTCAGGGTATTTAGAGTATCAACTTCCTTGAACATTTATCATTTCTATGTACGGAGAACATTTCAAGCCCTCTCTTCTAGTTTCTTTATCCAAACCCAGATCAAAACCAGAATGGTACATTTCACTGACAGTTATATCACTTTAGGGCACCTTTTTAAAATGACATTAATTGTTAAGAGACAAGACCAGTCTCTTAACTGGTCTTGGGATCATGGCTAGCGACTTTTTTTCTTCTTCTTTTTAAAAGTAATTAATGGGGGCCAGGCTCGGTGGCTCACGCCTGTAATCCCAGCACTTTGGGAGGCCAAGGCGGGCAGATCAGGAGGCCAGGAGATCAAGACCATCCTGGCTAACACAGTGAAACCCCGTCTCTACTAAAAATAAAAAAAAAAAATTAGCTGGCGTGGTGGCAGGCACCTGTAGTCCCAGCTACTCGGGAGGCTGAGGCAGGAGAATCGCTTGAACCCAGGAGGTGGAGGTTGCAGTGAGCCCAGATCGCACCACTGCACTCCAGCCTGGGTGACAAAGAGAGACTCCATCTCAAAAAAAAAAAAAAAAATTAATGGGTGTTCAATTTTAGCAAGTGTGTTTTTCTTGAGTCAAATAGATAGTTACGCATGTTTCTTAAAGATTTTCTTTTTTCTTTATCCTTTCCTTGCCAGATTTTGATAGTAAGATTATTTGAAGGGGCCAGGGGAATTTTATCTCTTGTTTAATTATTTTGGAGAGATTATGTAAGGTCATAATAATTTGTTTATTGATAGCATACTCAATAAGCCCATTAAACCACCAAGACATGGTGTTTCCTGCAAGTAAAAATCTTAAATTCCTTATTGAATATCTTTATATAAATCCCTCTGGCTATCTTTACTTCTTTAGTGAGAAGGCATATATATATACATATGTATATACACACATATATACACAGATATTTACACACATGTAAATATGTATATTATATATATAAATTTGCCTATTTTATGTAAGTTTTCATTTATTATAATATGTTAAGATCATATATTGTACATAATTATACCATAGTATTATTAATATTGTTTTAATCTTGCTGGATCTAAATTTGTTTCTCACTTTTACTTCTAATGTTATTTATTCCTTAATTTGGGAATTCTCCTCCTTTTTCTTACTTTCTGAACAAGCTCATCAGAGATTTGTCCATTTATTTTTCTTTTCAATGAAATAAGTTTTAGTTTTATTGATACTCTCTATTGTATATTTGTTTTCAGTTTAATTAATGACTTATTTTTATCATCTTTCAAATTCCTTAGAATCTATTCTGATAAATTTTTCAAGCTTCATATGTTGGACTCTTGGCTCATTAATCTTTAGCTTTTCTTATTTTCTAGTCTAGACATTTATGTAGGTTGCTTTCTAAATGATGCCCCTCAGTACAATCATTGCTTCCTTTAACTCTTTATAATTGTTATTACTCAATTTTTAAAAAAAGAAAGCACAGTTTCTGAATAGCTAAGCCTGGAGAAAAGTTGTGTCAGTTCTAGTTATATTTGATTTCTTATGTACTTTCTCAGATCATCTCTGCTCAGTAAGTTTTCAAATACAATGTAGAAATAATTTAATAGTATAATATGCAAACTACGTGATTTGATTACCTAACTACACTGATGTACTTTGTGTTGCAAGAAACATATTTTATTTATTTAGGTCTCTGATATCTATTTGAAACTGGAAAATTCACAATAGGCTACTTCGGGGGCTAGTTTACTCATAGAAGCGATGTTTTAAATCAGGGGCCACTCGCTGTGTCCAGACTGCTAAGTGGTAGTTCATTAATTTTAGGTAAAAACATTCTTTTTTTCAAGAACTGCAAGATATAGATTTTTTTTCTTAGCAAACTAGGTTCCCACAGAGACAAAGGAAATAGAGTAGCAAAATGTTACCCAAGATGTAAATGACTTTGCCATTTAAAATTCTGTTTCAAATTCTGTAACATGTTATATTTCTCTTTAAGGTTTTTTAGTATTTTGATATGTTAATTAACAATTATGTTACTAGTGAAGAGATATTTGCCTAAAATGTAAGGTTTATTCATATCATTGTAATAATGTGGGTAATTGCCATTTACAATCTTTTTAGCATTTAACCAACTCAGTCTAATTTATGGTTTTGGTTTGTGATTTAATATGGCATGAGGTGTCTTTCTTAGGATATAAATATTAGTTTAGATTTGAAATAGTTCCACAGATAGACAAGACCCCATTTTTATTGATAGAATATTTATATATTGACGTACATACAAACAATGCTTAAAAAGATTATATGTTTAAAATGATTAATGCTTAAGATGATGGCATAGTTGATATAATAAGAACATTTTTCCTACTTTAACACAGTGGTGAAAGACACTTGTGAAACACAGTAAAACTGGGCTACAATCTTCTTTATGAATATTAAATTATCAGGTACAGTAGCTTTGAAACCTTATGGAAGTTGCTAAACCTCTATGGCTTTATTTGTTCATACACAGCTACATTATTATATTAATCATACTAACATTTACTGAACTTTTGCTGTATACTGACCGGTATGTTACAAGCTGTTCATACAGTCTCTCACTTAATTTAGGAGGCATTCATGCAGCTGAATAAAATATAATTTAAATAGTAAAGGAGTAAATATCTCCTTTACTAACCTAGGAATTTTCTCCTCATCCTAACATGATGGTAAATGCAGTGAAGGCAGAAGGAAGAGAACAAGATGTTTCAAATAAGTCTTAGAAGGAGTTCTCTCACTCCCTACAATCACATCCTGCAGGTGGCTTAAGAGCAAGCAGCTCTCCCTCAAAGTCATCCTGTGTGAGGTCAGCGTCCACATTTTCTGAACCAAACATCAGGATGCCTGGTTGGATATGTACAAATGTACTTAGGGAGATAGGAAATTATTCTAGTTGACATTATGACTTCTCTGGAAGATCTAGGACCCATGAATACTGTGTCCATAGAGGTCTCTAAATAGACAGAAATCTACTTTTCTCTGGTTTTTAAGTAATTCACTAAGGAATGCCAGTGGCAGGGAGGTGGGGTGGGGAATGAGGGTTCCCAATTGCCAGACAAAATCTGGAAGTAACTATTTATGATCTTATTTTAGGAGATGGCAATGGGAGTGTCTGTCTTCCAGGATTCTCAGGCTCACTGCAGTGAGCAGGAGGGACTGAGCTTTAATTTGCTGCCAATGGTTTTAATAATCCAGTATCTTTTATGGTGAGAACACACATGTGCACGTGCATATGTGTGCCCATGCTCACACACAGTCTTTTTTGGAACTTTGGAGGTAGAAGTCTTTTTCATGTGTACATCTGGAATTTTATTTAAGTTGGAATTTATCAAAGGCCTGCTCTGTGTTAGACTCTCTGCTAGGTACTGGGGATATTTTGGACCAAAAGTCAGATTTCAGCCCTACTCTTACATAGCTTTTGGTCTGGCATGAGAAAACACATATTAAATAAATAATTATAATAAATTTTGAGGGCTATTATGATGGAAGAAGTTCACAGGACTATACAAAGCTGTAGCAGGAGGAATTGGTATGGTTCAGAGGGCTGGTGAAGGCCCTTTCAGGAAGAATGCTTAGAATGATACCTGAAAGAAAAGTAAGCCAGAGAAAGCAAGGCATAGAGAGCAAGTAATAATGTTTTCGGGAGGTCTGGCTGGAGGAGTTATCTGAAAGAAGTCAAATAGAGATTCATTGATAAGTGAGTGAGAGAGAGTGGCAGGGATGGGGCTAGAAATGTGGGCAACAGGCCGATTGTAGAGGGTTGTATCGACTGTGTTAAGGAGTTTTGCCTTTGTCCTAAAAGAAATGAGAGACTACTAAGTGGAGAATAATGCGGTGAAGTAGGGTGTCATGGGGTAGGAGGAGGAAAGGACTAAGATAAGTTTAGAGAAGTGGCAGAGGACAGGTCCATGCTGACAATAAAGGCCATGGTGAGGAAGTTGGCTTTTATTCTCAGGCAATGGGAAGCCATTGAATAACTATTATCTTAATGACTGCTGTGTGGAAAATAGGTTGGAGGGGACTAAAGACAAGGCAAAAACCAGTATGCAAGCTATTTCATTAGTCTAAATAAGAGGTAATGGACTCAGATCAGGGCAGTAACTAAGGAAGGAGCGATAAAGAAACTAGGAAGAATGGGGGCATAATTAAGAAAGATTTTAGGTTTTTTCCTTGATGAAATAGGCTGATGATGCTGTCATTTATGGAGATGGAGAAGAATGAGGAAAAGCAGGTAATAAGGATGAAACTAAGAGATCACATTTGGACATGCTAAGCTGATATGATTTCAAGTTTTCCACAGTCCTAAAGTGACATAAGAGATTGAAAGGCTGCTATTTACCAGACACAGACAAATAAATGGTAAGAGTGACCTCTAAGCTTGAATGAATTCGACAAAGTAGACTAGACTAGAGATTGACAATCGCAATGGATTAAGGATGGTTCTGCCCTAAACCAGACAGGAGAAGTAGCGTCATGTTTGCAGATGCCAGTGTGGGTGAGTATAGATAACAAGTTGCCCCTGCCCTGCTAGGATCTAGTGAATGCTAAATAAGTCCAAGGAATTAGCTGCCTCCCAGAATGCAGTCAGGGGAGAAATAAAACTTCAGTTAACTCATTTTGAAATAGAAATGACTATGTTTAACCAATAATTATCTAATACCTTTTTTTGCTTATAATACTGAATGGGCAATTAAAATAGAAATTAAGTCATATTATAAAAATACTAAAACAAATACGTGTGTGGGTATGTTAGCCTTGTTTTTTTTCTTTTTTTTAAATCATACTTTAAGTTCTAGGGTACATGTGCACAACGTGCAGGTTTGTTACATGTGTATACATGTGCCTTGTTGGTGTGCTGCACCCATTAACTCATCATTTACTTTAGGTATATCTCCTAATGCTATCCCTCCCCCTCCCCCCACCCCATGACAGGCCCCGGTGTGTGCTGTTCCCCATCCTGTGTCCAAGTGTTCTCATTGTTCAATTCCCACCTATGAGTGAGAACATGTGGCGTTTGGTTTTCTGTCCTTGCAATAGTTTGCGCAGAATGATGACTTCCAGCTTCATCCATGTCCCTACAAAGGACATGAACTCATCCTTTTATATGGCTGCATAGTATTCCATGGTGTATATGTGCATTGTTGATTGAAATCTTCTAGAGAGAGGATACTTGCATCCTCAATAATGCTTAATGGAGTGATTGTTCTCAACAGATATTTAATATATGCTTGCTGATTAATAACCAATATTTTTAAACGCAGACAAGATAAATGAGCTGCTGCAAGGTTTTGGTGAGCTTCCAGTGTTTGGCCAAGTTTAATATCAGTAATGTCTGTAGAATGAAATAATTATAATTAATAAAAAACCAAGAAAACAAAAAAAATGGGTTTTAATACACCAGGAATTTAAGCCTAATATGATGCAAATAAATACACAGACAATTCTTACTAAAATTTAGATAATCCATTCCTTGGCTACATATATAAATATTACAAATATTTCATGTTGATGAAACTCTATGTATTCTTTTGAAGTTTGTTCAAGAATAAAATATCTAATGACAGGAACAGTCAAAACTGACCACTTCTGCTATTTTTGGTCTAAAAAGTGCTAAATCAACTATAAAAGGTTGATTTTTAAAAAAGAAAAAAAAAATCAAACTTCTGAAATGCCGTGCTTCTTCATTCATATAAACACTAAGTAAAATAGCAGAACAGCATGAGCTCTGCCTTTTGACTTTGTAATGCTCTGTATGAAACCTAATTTAGACTTGGGAAAAATTATATCATCACCAGAACTAGCTTTGTACTTAAAGCATTAATGAGAAATGAAGGACTTTTCAGTGAAGTGTAAAGAAAAGATCCTTAGAAATGGGAGAGAAATAAAAGATGAAAAGACTTTGATTTTGGCTCTGTGGGGGAATTGAGAGCTTGTGCAAAGAAGGCATTACTTATTGTGTTAATCACCTAGCAGGATCTTCAGAATTCTTCTCCTGCACCTTCTCAGCATTACTCTGTGTCTTCCTACTTTGTTTTCTGGAAACGAATTTAAGCCTCTGAATAGATATTGTGTTTTCTGGAAATGAATTTAAACCTCTGAATAGATTCTGTGGTTGGAGTCACTCAATAGTTGGTAAAATAAGTAGTACAAACACAAAAATGACAGTTTCTCCCCAGTATGGGTATTTCCCAAGCAAGAGTGCTGGAAGTATGGTTATAAGTAAGTGAGATATTATGCTGCCCCTATATTATTATAATTTGAACTCTGTTGATGAGATATTTCAAAACCCAATTGAGAGAGATGTGCATAGAAAAAACTGTGCTGCAATTAAATACCATCTTTAATGGTAATTCAAAATAATTATGTGTATCTATTTCTTAAGAAACCAGTCACCAGTGAACTGATACTCTGTGCTATCCAATGTATTCTAGAGTGTGACACATGAAAATGATGAACCTATTTGAAAAATGACAAATGACTTTGGTACAAAATATTGCATATATATATAATATTGTTTTAAATAAATATGAAATACTGTTATAACAATATCTATTGTTTTATATATAACAGTATTTTATATTTATATTAAATAATATTTTAGATAGATTGATATATAGATAGATAGATAGATACATACATACATACATACATACATATGCCTGAACATCATCTTCATGAAGAATCAAACAGGCCAAATGCCATGCATTTTTCTGGGACCTTTCTTAAATAAAATTTGGATCATTAAATGATACTGTTATTAAATTTTCCTTTATTTTTTGAAAACTGAGTAAAAGTAATTTTTTTGCTCTCAAAAAACAGAAAGCTATCTCAAATTAGGGTAAGCTAGCTAGGACAGTTATTGATTCATATAACTGGGAAAAATAGAGGTGGAGCCAGGCCTGTGCCTGGGTCAATTAGATGCAGAGCCTAAGTGGTGACATTATCATACCCTCTCTAACTCATCTCTTTATTGCTGCTTTGTCTGCAACTCTTTGAGCTTTGGCCTCATTACAGACAACAAATAATAATGATGATGATGAAAATAGTAATAAGCAGGCTTTATACATGTTGCAGGGTAATTAGTCACTTGTGGCTTTAGGCTTTCAGCCTTCTAACTTAGTGATCACAGAGGAGTGATTCTCAAAGTGTGGTCCTTGGACTAGCGGCAACAGCAACCTAGAAACTTATTAGAAATGTAAATCCCAGGATCACATCAGACCCACTCTGAAACTCTGGATGTGTGGCACCTCACCCAAGTCTGTGTCTTAACATACCTTCCAGGTGATTCTGAAGGATTCTAAAATTTGAGGAACATTGCCCTAGAGAAAAGAATGAGTGTCTCTTCTTTCAGCATGCAGCAATCTCAGAGTGGGATGCTTATTGGTGTGGCTTCGATAATGTTCAAACTTTTGAGTGAATGACTACATGCAGAAAAGTAGAAAATGGTAACAGTGTTGGCCCAAAGCATATGTTCACAACTCTGGACAGGAGAATGACATGCTGTGTTTAGAAACCCCTTCTGAATCACATGGGTAAAGCAAGAGTAGAAACTATTCTCAAAGTCAGGCAGTGTTGTTATGTAATAAAGGGGGAAAGTGTGCAGGATTGACCAAAACACAGTAGACCTCTCCAAGTCAAAAATGACCCAGTTTAATATTTACCCCATAACATTTCTTGAAAGAAACACAGAACAGGTACAGATGCTACCGATTATATATTACTAACATTCTTGGGAAACAAGAGTCATGTATTATTAATGTTACCCTTTACCACTGTGGAAAATTACAACATAGAAAGGTTAAATGACTTGTTCAAGGTTATTCATCTAATTATAAAGGCAAAACTAGACTAAACTGTACAAATGGGCAAGCTGGGAAATGTACTCTGTTGCCCAATATTTTGCTAGTATATTGTTTTGTAATTATAGCAAAACAAAGTTTTGCTAGTGGTTTTGCTAGTGTGATCCTGTGGTTGATAATATCTGGATGATAACATTCTCTCCTTCACCTGATTATTTAACTTTATGTAACTCAAACTAAATATGTAGAAAACAGAATAGATTACAGGTTAGATTAATTAGCCAAGGCAAAAGAGTATGTCTTTATTGATGAAGAATATCTCCTAAAACTTGAAGCTGTTGAAGCTACCTGGCAATAACATCCTTTGAAAAAGTTGTACCATAAAAACCCCAAAAGCTAGAAAGCCTACATTAAAAGAAAACAAATAATGTTTATAATCGTACCTTAAGTCTAACAAAAGTTCAACTCTGAAAGCACAGAGAGCAGCAGGCTTCATTAATCATGTCACTGACAAACAGATGTATTTCAACTAATTCCAATGACACTTTAACTCTTTGAAGAACATAATTTCAGAAATCTACTTTGATTACCTTTCCAAACAACTATAACTAAGATATATGAACACTGTGAACTTTACAATTTAAAAAATAAGCTTACCTGAGAACTTCTTTTCAGGAAAGTGCCTAAAAATCAATAAGCTATGGTACATCTCCATGCAAAAAAAAAAGCTTAGAAGATGGTTAGGATTTATTTTTTTCTCCTAACTTGCTCTATACATTTTTACAAATAAGAGTGATATTTTTGGAAAGGTGTAGTAATCATCTATCATTCAGAGATGTCCAAAATCTATGGAAAATTCACTTCACATTTTGAGAAGTCTCTATATATGAACATATCTTTTTTATTTTATTTTTATTACACTTTAAGTTTTAGGGTACATGTGCACAATGTGCAGGTTAGTTACACATGTATACATGTGCCATGCTGGTGTGCTGCACCCATTAACTTGTCATTTAGCATTAGGTATATCTCCTAAAGCTATCCCTCCCCCCTCCCCCAACCCCACAACAGCCCCCAGAGTGTGATGTTCCCCTTCCTGTGTCCATGTGTTCTCATTGTTCAATTCCCACCTATGAGTGAGAATATGCGGTGTTTGGTTTTTTGTTCTTGCGATAGTTTACTGAGAATGATGATTTTCAATTTCATCCATGTCCCTACAAAGGACATGAACTCATCCTTTTTATGGCTGCATAGTATTCCATGGTGTATATGTGCCACATTTTCTTAATCCAATCTATCATTGTTGGACATTTGGGTTGGTTCCAAGTCTTTGCTATTGTGAATTGTGCCACAATAAACATACGTGTGCATGTGTCTTTATAGCAGCATGATTTATAGTCCTTTGGGTATATACCCAGTAATGGGATGGCTGGGTCAAATGGTATTTCCAGTTCTAGATCCCTGAGGAATCTCCACACTGACTTCCACAAGGGTTGAACTAGTTTACAGTCCAACCAACAGTGTAAAAGTGTTCCTATTTCTCCACATCCTCTCCAGCACCTGTTTTTTCCTGACTTTTTAATGATCGCCATTCTAACTGGTGTGAGATGGTATCTCATTGCGGTTTTGATTTGCATTTCTCTGATGGCCAGTGATGGTGAGCATTTTTTCATGTGTTTTTTGGCTGCATAGATGTCTTCTTTTGAGAAGTGTCTGTTCATGTGCTTCGCCCACTTTTTGATGGGGTTGTTTGTTTTTTTCTTGTAAATTTGTTTGAGTTCATTGCAAATTCTGGATATTAGCCCTTTGTCAGATAAGTAGGTTGCAAAAATGTTCTCCCATTCTGTATGTTGCCTGTTCACTCTGATGGTAGTTTCTTTTGCTGTGGAGAAGCTCTTTAGTTTAATTAGATCCCATTTGTCAACTTTGGCTTTTGTTGCCATTGCTTTTGGTGTTTTAGACATGAAGTCCTTGCCCATGCCTATGTCCTGAATGGTTAGTCCTAAGTTTTCATCTAGGGTTTTTATGGTTTTAGCTCTAACGTTTAAGTCTTTAATCCATCTTGAATTAATTTTTGCATAAGGTGTAAGGAAGGGATCCAGTTTCAGCTTTCTACATATGGCTAGCCACTTTTCCCAGCACCATTTATTAAATAGGGAATCTTTTCCCCATTGCTTGTTTTTGTCAGGTTTTTCAAAGATCAGATGGTTGTAGATATGTGGTATTATTTCTGAGGGCTCTGTTCTGTTCCATTGGTCTATATCTCTGTTTTGGTACCAGTACCATGCTGTTTTGGTTACTGTAGCCTTGTAGTATAGTTTGAAGTCAGGTAGCATGATGCCTCCAGCTTTGTTCTTTTGGCTTAGGATTGACTTGGCAATGCGGGCTCTTTTTTGGTTCCATATGAACTTTAAAGTAGTTTTTTCCAATTCTATGAAGAAAGTCATTGGTAGCTTGATGGGGATGGCATTGAATCTATACATTACCTTGGGCAGTATGGCCATTTTCACGATACTGCTTCTTCCTACCCATGAGCATGGAATGTTCTTCCATTTGTTTGTATCCTCTTTTATTTCGTTGAGCAGTGGTTTGTAGTTCTCCTTGAAGAGGTCCTTCACATCCCTTGAAAGTTGGATTCCTAGGTATTTTACTATCTTTGAAGCAATTGTGAATGGGAGTTCACTCATGATTTGGCTCTCTGTTTGTCTGTTATTGATGTATAAGAATGCTTGTGATTTTTGTACATTGATTTTGTATCCTGAGACTTTGCTGAAGTTGCTTATCAGCTTAAGGAGATTTTGGGCTGAGACAATGGGGTTTTCTAGATATACAATCATGTCATCTGCAAACAGGGACAATTTGACTTCCTCTTTTCCTAATTGAATACCCTTGATTTCCTTCTCCTGCCTAATTGCCCTGGCCAGGACTTCCAACACTATGTTGAATAGGAGTGGTGAGAGACGGCATCCCTGTCTTGTGCCATTTTTCAAAGGGAATGCTTATAGTTTTTGCACATTCAGTATGATATTGGCTGTGGGTTTGTCATAGATAGCTCTTATTATTTTGAGATACGTCCCATCAATACCTAATTTATTGAGAGTTTTTAGCATGAAGGGTAGTTGAATTTTGTCAAAGGCCTTTTCTGCATCTATTGAGATAATCATGTGGTTTTTGTCTTTGGTTCTGTTTATATGCTGGATTACATTTATTGATTTGTGTATATTGAACCAGCCTTGCATCCCAGGGATGAAGCCCACTTGATCATGGTGGATAAGCTTTTGGATGTGCTGCTGGATTCGGTTTACCAGTATTTTATTGAGGATTTTTGCATCAATGTTCATCAAGGATATTGGTGTAAAATTCTCTTCTTTGGTTGTGTCTCTGCCAGGCTTTGGTATCAGGATGATGGTGGCCTCATAAAATGAGTTAGGGAGGATTCTCTCTTTATCTATTGATTGGAATAGTTTCAGAAGGAATGGTACCAGTTCCTCCTTGTACCTCTGGTAGAATTCAGCTGTGAATCCATCTGGTCCTGGACTCTTTTTGGTTGGTAAGCTATTGATTATTGCCACAGTTTCAGAGCCTGTTATTGGTCTATTCAGAGATTCAACTTCTTCCTGGTTTAGTCTTGGGAGGGTGTATGTGTCGAGGAATTTATCCATTTCTTCTAGATTTTCTAGTTTATTTGCATAGAGGTGTTTGTAGTATTCTCTGATGGTAGTTTGTATTTCTGTGGGATCGGTGGTGATATCCCCTTTATCATTTTTTATTGAGTCTATTTGATTCTTCTCTCTTTTCTTCTTTATTAGTCTTGCTAGCGGCCTATCAATTTTGTTGATCCTTTCAAAAAACCAGCTCCTGGATTCATTAATTTTTTGAAGGGTTTTTTGTGTCTTTATATCCTTCAGTTCTGCTCTGATTTTAGTTATTTCTTGCCTTCTGCTAGCTTTTGAATGTGTTTGCTCTCGCTTTTCTAGTTCTTTTAATTGTGATGTTAGGGTGTCAATTTTGGATCTTATTGAATGCTGTGTTCATTCAATAAGGTACAATGAATAAAACTGTATTCCCCAACTTCCCTTCCCAGAAAAATGCTTTAGATTTCTTCAATGAGATGCAACTACCTTGAACTTTGATTTGTAATTTAGCTATATGAAGAAACAGGCTCAACATGGACAATGTACTTTGCTGGCTTGGGTAGAGTCAGAGACTCCTGTTTGCATGGTTGACAGCAGTGACAAATTCCTAATACAACCAGCTCAGCATTGTGTTTCTGGGGCTGGTAGTGGGTAATGCGACAGCTTCTTCAATTAGGAATCTCAACTGTGGCAGAGCCAAAGTTGTTCTGGTGCCATTAGGGTCAGGAGAATCCTCCTCAACACAGTTCTGTGGTAAGAAGTGCTCCTGGCAATGGAATTTGAAGCTCAATGATTCTGTGAGCATCCAATGTGGCTTAATCAATTCTTTTCTACTTAAACTAGCTAACTCTTTCTTATTTTTTTAATATAGGCATGTATCACTATAAATTTCCCTCTTAGCACAACTATTGCTGCATCCGATAAGTTTTCGTTGGTGTATTTTCATTTTTGTCTATCTCAAGATATTTTCTGATTTCTTTTAATTTCTTCTTTGACCCATTGGTTCTTCAAGAGTGTTGTTTATAAATTTCCATATGTTTGTGAATTTTTCATTTTTCAAAATTCTGTGTATGTTTGTTAGTTTCATAGGTCTATAGTTTTATTCACACCCTCTGTTTCCTTATTGACTTTTTGTCTTGATGTTCTGTCAATTACTAAAAGTGGGATATTGAAATTTCCTACTATTATTGTGTTGCCTTCTATTTCGCTCTTCAGTTTTGTCAATGTTTGCTTCATATATTTAGATGCTCTGCTGTTGGATACCTACATATTTATAATTTGCAGATCTTCCTGGTGGATTGAACTTTTTATCATTGTAAAATGTCCTTTCTTATCTCTTATGACAGGTTTTAGCATAATGTCTATTTTATTTGATATAAGGATAGCCACCCTACCGCTTTTTTGGTTACAATTTTAATAAAATGTCTTTTTTCACCCATTCCCTTTAAGCATACTTGTGTCCTTAAGGCTAAAGTGAATTCTTGTAGGTCGCATACAGTTGAGTTTTTTTTTTTTTTCAATCCATTCAGCCACTCTATGACTTTTTTTTAGGAATTTATTCCATTTACCTTTAAAGTAACTATTGATAGGAAAAAAGTAACTATTGCCATTTTATGAGTAGTTTTCTGTTAGTCTTGTAGTTCTTTTGTTTGTCCTTTTCTCTCTTTCTATCTCTCTTTGTATTTTGTTGATTTTTGTATCTGAAATGCTTTAATTTCTGTGTGTGTGTGTGTGTGTGTGTGTGTGTGTGTGTATGTGTGTACCTTCTATAGGTTTTTTTATGGCTACCTTGGCACTTAAGTAAAATATTTTATAATAGTCCATATTAAGCAGATAACAGCTTATGTTCAATTGTATCCAGTAACTCTAACTTATTTTCTCCCTACACTTTATATTATTGTTGGCACTATGTTCATTTATTCATATTGTATATCTTTTACCATATATTTATTTATAGTTATTTTAACTAATTTTGTCTTTTAACATTTACAGTTGAATTAAAAGTGTGTTACCCTCCATCATTACAGTAATATTCAGTATTTGTCTATATATTTGTATTTACCAATGAGTTTCATACTTTTCTATGCTATCATGTTGCTGTCTAGCATTTTTTTATTTCAAGTGGGAAAACTCCTTATAACATTTTTAAAGGCCAGTCCAGAGATGATGAACTTCTCAGTTTTTGTTTAATTGGGAAAGTCTTCATCTCTCATTCATTTTTGAAGGACAGTTTGCCTAGTATAGTATTATTATACTATTATTGATTGGCAGCTTTTTATTTCAGCTCTTTTAATATATCATCCTACACACTTTGCTTATTCATTGTTCTTTTAAACTTGGTGGACATATTATGACTTATTTTTAATTATCTTTCAAGAAAATAATATAACTTCATTTCATTAAGACCTATTTTTGGAGGTCATTTTGTTTCTTTCTTTGGAACATTTCTCCCTAATTTTTCATTTTTCTTGACTCTTTTTTTCTTGACCGGTTTCTGTGCATTACCAAAACAGGCCCCTCTCCAAGTCTTTATGAACTGGCTTTGTACAGAAGAAATCCCTATCAATATGTCTGGTCAGAGATTCTGGAGGACTCTACCATCTGTTTCCCTCCCTAGGAAGAAGCACGTGGCTATGGTTTTTGTCCACTCACTCTGCTGAGCCAGAAGTGGAGCTATAGCATGTACCAGCCCAAACCTCTATCTCCATTCTTCCCTGGGAAGCTAGACTGTAGTGGCTCATCTGAACTTCAAGACTGGTGAGATAGATGCTAGTTCATGGATAGCCTCAGAGAAATTGGCATACTCTATGTACTGATAAACTCTTTCCTACCCAAGAGAAGGCTGAGAGCTGAGATTTTTTTATCCACTTTCTCTGTGCTGAGCAGTGGCAAGGATGAAGATTACCTACCATCCCAAGCCATTATGTCCATTCTCCCTGGCTAGCTACATTGTGCTGGACCCATCAGAGCTCCAGGACTGGTGAGACAGTTGCTAATTATTTGGACAGTCCTAGAGAAACATGAGGTGCCAGACAAAGGGGTTAACTTTTTCCTCCTCAAAGGGAAGCTGAGAGCTGGAATTTCTCATCTGCCTGCTCTGTGCTGAGCAGAAGGGAGGATCAACTGTGTCTATCCACTCAAGTTGCTATCTCTACCCTCCCCTGAGTGACTAGACTACGCCACACCTATCAGAGCTCCAAGACTGGCAGGACAAAAGCCAATCCTCTAAGGAGGCCCCTTAGGAAATATGGGGAACTAGACACACATACCGACATGTTCATTCTCCTGGGTGAAGCTGGGCACTAGGAGGTCTCTTCCTGATTATATGGTGCTATGCAGGGAGTAGGGATTCTAGACTATGTCATAAATCTCCCTACTAGCTACAGTGAGTCTGGTTTCACATTCCCCTGGGGTACAAGGGCCTTCTAATTGGTTTCTGTTTTCTCATAATGAGACTGTATCTGTGAATTGTTGTGGCATCAGTATGTTTGTCAGGGAAGGACAGAGTTCAAGGCTTCCTTCTCCACAATCTTAGTGACATCACTTGATTCATTCATTCTTAATATTGGTATCATTCATAACTTGGCATTGTGCCTTCTTTTTATAATAAATCTTATTTACAGTTTGATAAAAATTTTACAGATCTTTATAAACAAATTTATGTTTCACTGATTTTTTCTTTAATATTGTCATTTTCTATATAATTTACTTTCATTCATTTTTATTTGTTTCCTTATACTTATTTTTGGTTAAATTTGTACTACTTCTTAGTTTCCTGGGGTAGAAGCATGATCTATAATTTTAAAATTTTGTTTTTATAAAATAAGCACTTACAGTTATAACTTGTCTTTAAAAAGTATTTTAGTTATACTCTACAAATTTTGTTCTGTAGATTTGGTTTGAAATAATTTCTAATTTCTTTTTTAAAAATCCTTGATGGCTTATTTACAAGTGTGTAGATTTCCAAATATTTGCCACTTTCCAGGTACTATTTTGTTACCGGTTTTAACTTAATCTCAGCCAACTCCTGGTCAATCTGCAAGTTGACTAGGAGAATAAGTGCAAGTTTTTTAAAGCTATTAGACTATGGCCTGGGTTTCCTTCAATTTCCAGTTATCAAAATCAGTCAGTCAATGATTAATCCTTTCATCATTTTTGGCTATTAGATTTCTATTAAAATTAATGAGATATGTCTCCTTCCTTCTAAGTTTTACCTTTCCATTTGTAAACTAGATCTCATTTTCTTTAACCTAATCAGGGACTTTGTTCTAGCTATTATAATAGTTTCTCCTGCATATTCGATCTCTCAATTTTTGTGGTGAATTAATATCAGCATATCAACATGCTCAAGTATGCTTTGTTCTAAAAAAAAATCCATGTCCCCTTCCATCTACTTCTCTTTATTTTTACATTTTCTTCATAATCAAATTTCATGAAAGACATATCTATATTCATGGTTTCCACTGTATCAAACTATTCAGTCTTCAGTTTGCTGCACTCTGGCTTCCACTCTGACAAGTCCACAATTAGCCAGAGATTTAACTCCTTGCATATGACGTCTTGACATAAAAAATATTTGTATAAACCCCCACAATGTTCCATAAATGCTTCCAAAATAGACAGAAAAGGAAAAAATAAAAACTACCTACAATTTCCTATGCCTATATCGACAGGCTTTTAAAACAAACTTTTCAAACATTTATAAAATTTAAAGACCTTTTAGAGAAAATTTAATCAACAGAATATGGTCTAACTTCTCTTTACAGGTAAAGAATCAACATTCCATAGGGGTAAAAAACTGTGTAGTTATACAGTGAAAAAATCAGGGCCATAATTTTTATTTCTAGAAATCTGGATAAAATGTGTTCCTACTCTTTCAATCCAGACATGTTCATTAGAAACATTCACAAAATATGAAACAATCCTTTGCAACCTAACAGATTTATAACATATACTACACTTACATAGACAGTAAGGCAGATAAATCTATAAAAAAAGAATTTAATTAGTTTGCAATGAGAACATTTCAGAAGATGTTTAAGTGAAAAATCTGCCTTTTGCTCTCACTATCCTCACACACCAATGTAAAGATACACAAAGGAAATTAACTCATAAAGGCAATGAGAAAGTGATAAGTTGAAAATCATCAGTGAATAAGAGATTACCAGAATATTAAATTAAAATGACCAGAATATTAAGTGAGAATAATACAATGACCAATGAAACAAACAGAGCAAACAGCTACCAAGAATATGCTGTAAAGACTATAAAAGATGGGAGCCAAGCATGCGTGAAACTCTGGCATTTTGGGGGGCTAAGAATCAACACATAGTGAGAGGGATGTGAGGCTAAAAAGAGGTGACTAATGTAAGTTTATTTATGCAGTAAATGAATATTGGAGTCCCAAGAGAAAATACGCAAACATCTGGGGGGCACTTGGTTTCAAATGTAACTCCTTGGCCATTGTAGTATTTTGGAAACCCATAGCATGATAACCAACTTTCTGTCTTGTTATTCTATAGTAATGCCTGATTGTTGACATGCCTTACCATATTGAGTTTCATGACTCCTTAAAGATGTAAACAGGTCATTAAACAGAAATGATGGTCTGAGCAAGAGGAAGTGATGGTGGAACCACTTCGACTCTTGGTGTTTAGCATGCCAAGGACTTGAGACTTTTCAGATATTTACCTGAAGTGGGTAAATATTGGAAAATAGGTGAATGTGGATTCGCTTGTGTGTACTCAATCTCAGGTAAGCGGTTATCTAGCAGTAGAGCCCAGCATCAAGAAGCTGTCTAGTTCTAGCACAGAAGGAAACTGGTATGAACCTATCTCCTAACCCAAAACAAATAAAGCATTAGAGAAAATATACAAAATAATTGTTTTCAGACATTGAGACAACAGATAGTATAAGAATATTTCCCCCAAAAAGAAAAACAAATAAAATTAATTCTGTTATCACTTTAACTTTCTGTCTAAAGGCAATTTCTTGGAGGGAGAGAGGGTGTGTGTGTGTGTGTGTGTGTGTGTGTGTGTGTGTGTGTGTGTGTTGGGGAAAGTCCAAGCAGAGCATGAGGCTCTTGCTGAAGTGAGGAGACAGAGAGTAAAGTTAAGGAAGCTGGACCAGCTAGAGTTTACAAGGCAGAGAAACAGAAATGAGGGAGTTATACATAGTAAGACCTCCAGAAATCTACATGCCAGTTTTCTTGAATCTTTGGTTGAATGCTAATCTGTGCATACCTAGGGTAAAACTTCAGGAGACTTGGCAAGAACAAATGTTGGGAAGTTATAAGATGATCAGTTTCTCAAGTTCATACAGAATTAGGAGATATTTAAATTTAATCCAATCAAAATAGAGAAAACTCACTGGAAACTTGGGCAATCAGTAGAGGTCATAGAAGGGTCATATTTTAGTAGGTACAACTTTTCCCTGGAATAAAGACTACTAATACTACAGTACTTAAAAAACAAGTCTTTTTAAAATACTTTTATTTTAAGTTCAGGGGTACATGTGCAGGTTTTTTATGTAGGTAAATTGTGTGTCGTGAGGGTTTAGTGTACAGATTATTTTGTCACCTAGGTATCAAGCCTAGTATCCATTAGTTATTTTTCTGATCCTCTCCCTCCTCCCATCATTCACCCTCCAATAGGCCCCAGTGTGTGTTTTTCCCCTCTATGTATGCATGTGGTCTCATCATTTAGCTCCCATCTGTAAGTGAGAACATGTGGTATTTGGTTTTCTGCTCCTGAATTAGTTTGCTACAAATAATGGCCTGCAGCTCCATCATGTTCCTGCAAAGGACATGAACTCATTCTTACTGATGGCTGTGTAGTATTCCATGGTGTATATATGTATCACATTTTTAAAATCCATCCTACCATTGATGGGTGTTTAGGTTGATTCTAAGTCTTGGCTATTGTGAATACTGCTGCAATTAACATATGTGTGCATGTGCTTCTATCATAGAATGATTTACATTCCTTTGGATATATAACCAGTAATGGGATAGCTGGTTTGAATGGTAGTTCTATCTTTAGGTCTTTGAGGAATCTCCATACTGTTTCCCATAATGGTTGAATTAATTTGCACTCCCACCAACAGTGCATAAGCATTTCTTTTTCTCCACAACCTTGCCAGTACCCGTTACTTTTTGACTTTTTAATAACATCTATTCTGACTAGTGTGAGATGGTATTTCATTGTGGTTTTGATTTGCATTTCTCTAATGAATAGTGATGTTGAGCTTTTTTCATATGCATTTTGGTCACATGTATGTCTTCTTTTGAGAAGTGTCTGTTCGTGTCCTTTGCCCACGTTTCACTGGGGCTGAAAACACAAGATTCTTAAGGATTAATCTTATCTACAAATAACTTTCTGCCAAAACAAACTTCTATACCCTTTAAAGAAACACAAATATATGCAAACACTCAGCAAGGTAATATTTGCTATGTTTGATATTCAATAAATACTTTCTAAATATATTAAGAGGTAGTAAACTGCGACTCAAAACTGAGAAAAAATTTAGTTAATATAAACAGACCTAGAAATGACTGAGAGGGTGGAATTAATAGACATGGCCTTTAACATAGTTATTATAATGCCATCCATAAGTTCAAGCATTGAAAGAAAAATATAAACACAATGAAGAAAGAAATGTATGATAATAAAAGCAACCAAATGGAACTTCTGGAGATGAAAGTCAAAATATATAAAGAAAAAAATCACTGGATGGCTTTAACTGCAAATTAGACTACAGAATAAAAGGTCAGTGGACATCAGAAGAGTCTATTTAAAATTAAGCAGATAAATGAGAATGAAAAAGACAGTGCTTCAATGGCTTGATATTAAGTGGGCTGATGTCTACGGGATTCGAATTACAGGAGGAGAGGAGAAGAAGGTAGAAGCCAAAAATGCTGAAGAAATACTGGCTGGAAATTTTCTAAATTTTATGAACAATATAAATTCATGATGCTCAGAAGACGGACAAACCCCAAGCAAAATAAACACAAAGAAAATCACATAATAGCATATAATAATAAAATTGCTGAAGACCCATGATGCCTCACTCAGGTATCTGTGCTCAACCAGCAGGTCATCTGTGGCTTAGCTTGCTCATCTTGGCTGTGTTCTCTCAGATACCTGCAGCTTGGCTAGCATGAATTCACTACTCAGATCCATGTGGTGGTTCATGCTTCAGCAGGCTAGCTCAGGATTCTTCACATGGTAGTTTTTGGAGTCCGAGAAAAAAAGTAGAGATGGACAATGCCGCATGAGGCTTAAGCTCATAATTGGAACATTGGCTCTTTGTTTCCTATTGAGCAAATCATGTAGGTAAATATACAGATTTTTATATGCATGTGCACACACATATATATATACACATATATACACACATACATATATATGTATATACACATAGATATACACATATACATATATATGTATATACATATACACAGGCAAAACATATTTTTAGAAAAAACTTGTTTAGAAAAAAATATCTCAACTGGTGGGATAGTATGGGAAATACTTGGAGGTTTGAAACAAAGAGAAAATTTAAGCCCAGAGAGGTAAACTAGTGCCAAGAGCATATAGAGATCCAGTGATGTGCCTGCTGTGTTGGAGACAGGTGACAAACTCCAGGCAGCCAAATATGAAACATCTCTGCACATTGTATCATACCTGACCCACAGAAGATGACAATTGCAGTGGCTTAAAAAGCTGTCTTTCACAGGGCAATGGTGAGACTGCCCATTTGTCCTTGTTTTTGAATAGGAGAATAAACATTTTTTTTAAAAAAATGAGGATCTCCTTAGAATTCTTTTTTTTCTTTAAAACTTTTATTTAAGTTCAAGGGTACAAGTGCAGGTTTGTTACATAGGTAAACTTGTATCATGGAGCTTTGTTGTACAGATTATTTCATCACTCAGGTATTAAGCCTACTACCCATTAATTATTTTTCTTGATCATCTCCCTTCTCCCAACCTCCACCCTCCAAAAGGCCCTAGTGTATGTTGTTCCCCTCTATGTGTCCATGTATTCTCATCATTTAGCTCCCACTTATAAGTAAGAAAATGCAGTATTTGGATTTCTGTCCCTATGTTAGTTTGCTAAGGATAATGGTCTCCATCTCTATCTATGTCCCTGCAAAGAACATGACCTCATTCTTTTTCATGGTTGCACAGCATTCCATGCTGTATATGTACACAAGCCACGCAAATCCAAATGATCGAGAGACATCAAAAACATCAAACAAAAGAATCAAACCCTAACATTAGAAGTTTAAAAATCTAAAATAAAAAGAAACAAATAACTTATAATAATCAGATAATATTAAGATAATTATCAGAAGAAATAAGATAGCCCCAAATAAAGGTTAATATTGAATATATGATACAAATATGAAGTTGTCAAAATTACCCTAATTTTGAAAAATAGTTAAAATATTAAGTGTGTAATTATGATATAATAGAGAATAGTGTATAAGTTAAATAGAGAGTTAGACACAATTGAAGGTATTAATAAATTGGATAAAATAAATATATATATATATATATATATATATATATATATATTTTTTTTTTTTTTTTTTTTTTTTTTGAGACAGTCCCGCTCTGTTGCCCAGGCTGGAGTGCAATGGCACAGTCTTGGCACACTGCAACCTCCACCCCCTGAGTTCAAGCGATTCTCCTGCCTCAGCCTCCTGAGTAGCTGGGATTACAGGCACGTGCCACCATGCCTGGCTAATTTTTGTATTTTTAGTACTGACGGGGTTTCACCATGTTGGTCAGGCTGGTCTTGAACTGCTGACCTCATGATCCACCTGTCTCCGCCTCCCAAAGTGCTAGGATTACAGGCATGAGCCACTGTGCCTGGCCTAAATTGCATAAAATATCTAAAAAGAAATCCAGAAAAGTTAGGAAAACAGATGGGAAATATCAAAACGGGCAAATCACATGGATAATAGAATGACAAATTTTGGTGACTATTTAATCTAAATTCCAGAAGAAGCAAATAGAGAGATGTGGAGGAAATAATATCTGGCTGCAGAGAGAAAAGGCAGGCTATCTACAAAGGAAAAGAAATTAGAGTGATGGAAGAGATATCTTTTTAAAAGATACCTCTTTAAAGTATTAGAAGCCAAAAAATAGTGAAGTTATGAAATGATAACTTCAAACCTTGAGCAAAAAACACTTATAATCTAGAAATACTAGAGTTCTATAACAAATGAAACTACAGTTAAAATAGAAGTAGAATAAAGATATTTTCAGACAAATAAAAATGACTTTGTCACCTACATATGCACACTAAAGGAAATGCCAAAGGATGTACCTCAGGAAGAATAAAAATAATCCCAGAAGGAAGGCCTAAAATTGAAAAAGGAATGGTTAACAAAAGCTGGAATCTTTGTGGATAAATGTAAATAATTATTGACTGTATAAATTAGTAATTGTTCCTAATTTCTGGAGTTAAGACTAAAAAAGTTAAATCTAAAATATTAGTTATTAGGATATAATGGAGAATGGATGACAAGAGTTAAAGCATTCTACTGTCCACATATTGCTTGCACTATTGGTAAGACTGTTGACTAACTTTACATTTTGTTAAGTTAAATGTACGTTTAAAATTTTAAGATAACACTAAAATATAGTAATATATTTTATAATTTGAAAACCTGTAAAAGGAAAAGTAACAAGAAATATCAATATAGAAAAAGAAAAATAAGAATAAAAAAGCATAGTAAAAATAGAAAGCACAACATAACACAATGTAACAAAACAAAATATATTTGTTATCCTAATAAATATAAATGGCCTAAACTCTTTAATTAGGAAGACAAATTTGACAGGCTAATCATTTATTGAGCACCTACAATGTGCAAGGGAATATGGAATATAAAGCAAGCCTGGTTGGGATGGATATATAAAATACAATCCCTGCATTCAGCATGAAAATATTCTATTCATAATTAACCATCTTTTTATATGAGTAGGGTCTATACTGACTCTTATGCAGATTAGCTAGAAAAAGTTCTACAGCATTACAATGAGTTATTCCTGCAGGTTAATGGACCATAACAATTCATACAATGTATCCTTTGTAAAATAGAGTAAAGCTAACATCCTGAGGCTTCTTTGAAGCAGAAAGAAAATCTCTATGCAGCAGCCTAAAAGATGAACATGGTTGTTGCTTCAACCATGTCCTATGGAACTATATAGCTGTTTACTGCCTCTTTTTCTCCCCTGTCTTCCATGGCACAAAATGAATATAGATGGGAGATAAAGAGAAACATTTAGAGCAGGAGAATTGAAGCTGGAAGATGTGACCATATTTCACATTTATTGAGGCCTCTATAAAATATAGTGTCTTAAACTTCTTAAAAAAAGTCTTATATCTAAAATAGGAGCTCAATGATTGAAGTATAGCTCTACATGGAATTTTGACTGCAGTTGAAAGCACGGCAAGTATGACAACTTGTTTTGGAAGCTTTTACTTTCGTCTGATGCAACAAATATTTGACTCATGCTGGAATCAGCATTGCACATGTAATAGAGCAATGATCTAATCCAGCATGACAAATCCTATTTTCCTCTGTGGCGGTGATTTGAACAGAAAATGTGGGTCATCCTGGGTAAAAATATAGATAGGTGATTTTTAATAAGACTTCTGCTTTTTATCTTCCTTCTATCATTTTAGAGTGCACAGAGTGTATCTTCCTGTAATAACTTACTCACTAGAGCTTTCAATCATATCCAGTGAATACTTACCAATATAATAAAGTCTGCTTTAAAAAACACATTCTCAACTTTCATTATAACATAGCACAAATGTATCCTATAAATTACTTTTATTTTTTTTAATTTTATTATGCTCACTTATGTACTTTGCCTTTTCTAAACCTTTTCTTTACCAAAACTTTTCTGGTTTAAACCAAATGCTGGCACAAAGTTTAAAATTTAATCAGGTCTGAGTTAAAGTTTACTTCCTAAGGGATGCCTTCCTCAATAACTTTCTTCATAGAGCCCTTTACTCTCAGGTCTACTTCCTGTCTATATTACTATCCATTTTTTATATCCTTCTTAGACCTTATCACAATCTAAATTTTTTTGTTATTTTATTGAATTTTTCTCCCACAAGAATGTCAGTTTTTTTAGATCAAAAACATTTTCTTTCTTGATCATTCTGTACCCTCAGAACCATAAACAATGACTTATATACACTAGGTTTTCTGTAAATATTTATGAAATTAATAAAATTGTTAAATCAATTTTATTTATGGCATATATATGCTATTATTGTTTAACAATTTTTTAATAATTTTTTAGCTAAAGCCTCCTAAGACCCTAAGGTAATATATCTCAATTAGATCAGCTGAACTTATAGAAATATAAATTCCTAGCATTTATAGAACTATAGCTTTTTCATACAGGTGTCAGTATAGCTCTTTGAGTGGTCTAGTTTAATAGTCCTACTTTAGAAGATTTTCCCCAGGATAGACTTTGACGTGAAGTGTTAATGGTCCATCTTATAGGAGCACATCATCTAGCTGGTGGTTGAAATTGAAACATTCTCAGCCTCTGTCCTTTGGGTTCTCAGAATGGATTTTAAAAACTAAATAAACCACTGTTATGCAGGTCTTAAAGTTTAAATAACTTCAAGTGTGAAGTTATTTGAAGATTTTGCCTAAAATATTTTGACTTAGAATCCTACATTAAATAAATTGTTGATTTATCTGGAGGAAGTGAGAGGTGAATTCAGACAAGAAGGCACTAATGCAAGAGGGGAAAGTAGAAAGATTCAGAAATGTCTGATAATTTTGAAGAAAAAGAGAAATATCAAAGAAAAATTAAGAGCTTGTACATCCAAAAGTCCAGCACAAAAGTTGGAGGTGTTTGGGGAGGTTGATATTTTTTGTTTAATAGGATACTAAAGTAGAAAACAAGTGCAGAGGTGTCTCTAAATTCTAAAGTCTTAGACCTTGTTATCCTAATGACGTTCAGCTACACCATAGGAATACATTTTACTATAGATAAATTCACAGAAACTTACAACCTACCAAGACTGAAGCATGATGAAATATAAAATCTGAAGGGATCAATAACCAGTAAGGAAATTAGATCAGCAATAAATAATCTTCCATCAAAGAAAAGCCTGGACTGGATGGCTTTATGAGTAAATTCTATCAAAAGTTTAAAGAAGAATTAAAGTCAATCCCTCTCAAATTTTTTCAAAAAATTGATGAGGCAACACTTCCAAACTCATTTTAAGAGTATGGGATTACCCTGACGCCAAAAACCAGGCAATGACACTAAAATAATAATAATAATAATAATAATAATAATAAAAGTACAGGCCAATATGACTGAAAACTCAAAGCTTTTCCTCTAAGATTAGTAAAAAGACAAGATGGCCACTCTCACCACTTCTATTCAACATTGTACTGGAAGTCCTAGCCAGAGCAATTAGGCACAAGAAAGAAATAAATCAAGGCATCCAAATAGAAAATAAAGAAGTAAATTTATCTCTGTTTGCAGATGACATAATCTTAAATTTAGATCATAGACTATATATATAGAAAATTCTAAAGATTCCACCAAAGAACTGTTAGAACTAATAAATAAATTTGCAGGATGTAAAATTAACATATAAAAATCAATTGTTTTCTGTACACTCACTAGGAACTATTTGAATAAGAAATTAAGAAAATAATCACATTTACAATAGCATCTAAAAGAATAAAATACTTAGGAATAAACTTAACCAAGGAGGAAAAGTTTCCATACACTGAAAACAATGGAACATTGATGAATGATATTGAAAAAGACACAAATAAGTGAAAAAGTATCCTATGTTCATGGATCAGAAGAATTAACATTGTTAAAATGTGCATACTACCTAAAATGATCTCTAGATTTAAAGTAATTGCTATCAAATTTCTATTGTCATTTTACATGGAAATAGAAAAAAATAATTGTAAGATTTGTATAGAACTACAAAAGACCCCAAATAGCTAAAGCAAGAAGAACAAAGCTGTAGATATTACACTGCCTAACTTTAAAATATACTACAAACTTAGTACGCAAAACACTATGGTCCTGGCATAAAAACAGATACATAGGCTGATGCTCAGAATAGAAAGCCCAGAAATAAACCCACATGCACATGGTCAGAGTTACCTAGAATACACAATAGGGAAGGAATAGAAGGAATAGTGTCATTAGTAAATGGAGCTGAGGAAACTGGATATCTGCATGCAAAAAAAAAAAAAAAAAAAAAACCCACAAAAAACAAAACAAAACACAAGGATGTTTATTTTACACCATACACAAAATCAACTCAAAATTTATTGAAGACTTAAATGTACAATCTAAAACCATAAGACTCCTGGACAAAAACATAGGGAAAAAGTTTCATGACATTGCTCTTGGCAATGATTTTTTGGATATGATACAAAAAGCATAGGCAATAAAAGCAAAAATAAATACATCATACTACATCAAACTAAAAAGTTTCTGCACAGCAAATAAATTAATCAACATAGTAAAAAGGCAACTCATGGAATGTCAGAAAATATTTGCAAACCATATATTTAATTAGGGGTTAATATCCACAATATGTGAGGAACTCATGCAACTCAATAGCAAACAAAAACAAAAAACCTGATTTAAAAATGAGCAAAGAACCTGAATTGACCTTTCTCAAAAGAAGATGCACAAATAGCCAACAGATATTGTATATGAAAAAGTGCTCAACATCACTAATCATCAGGAAAATGCAAATTAAAACCACAATGAGATATCAGCTCATAACCATTAGCAGGACTATTATCAAAAAGTCAAAAGATAAATGTTGGCAAGGACATTGAGAAAAGGGAAACTTTATACATTGCTGATAGGCATGTAAATTGGTACAGTCATCATAAAAAATATGCTAGTTCCTCAAAAAATTAAAAACAGAACTATCATATTATCCAACAATCCGACTTCTGGGTATATATCCAAAGAAAATGAAATCAGAAAATAGAAGATATATCTGCAATCCCATTTCTTGCAGCATTATTCACAATAGCCAAGATATGAAATCAACCTATGTGTCTCTGCGCAGAAGAATGGATATGATATGAAATCAACCTATGTGTCTCTGAGCAGAAGAATGGATAAAGAAAATGTGGTATGCAATGGAATACTATTTAGCCTTAATAAAAGAAAGAAATCCTGCCTTTGCAACTACATGGATGTATCTGGAGGATATTATGCTAAGTTAAATAAACCAGACACAGAAAGACAAATACTGCATGATTTCACATGTTTACATGTGGAATCTAAAAATGTTGAACTCATAGAAACAGAAAGAAGAAAGATGGTTTCCAGGAGTCAAGTGATGGAGGAAATGGGGAGATGTTAATCAAAGTGTGTAAACTTGCAATTTCAAGATGAGTAAGTTCTGGAGATACCATGAACAGCTTCGTGACTATAGTTAATAATAATATGTACACTTAAACTTGAAATTTGCTAAGAGAATGCATCTTAAATATTCTTACCATACAAAAAAGGTAACTATGTGAGATAACGGATATGTTAATTAACTTGATTATAATTATCATTTCCCAATGTATACATATATCAAAACACCACATTGTACACATTGAATATATACAATTTTTGTCAACTATACCTCAATAAATCTGAAAAACAAACAAAAATTCCTCACAAAACCCCAAGCAAAAGAATAGATTTTACTCTTTCAAGGCTAATTCAAGGAAATAATATTTTGCTAAGACTCTTAGCCATGATCTCCGTCCTATATAAATATTTCTCCATGTTCTCTATCATTACCATAAATCATAACATTCTAAAATTTGAAAAGATTTATTGGGACAAAAAGCAGTAAAGTCAGCTTCTAATGTTGTCATTTGGAGGCCTTGCCTCCTTTTTGAAGTTTCAGGACTACAGCATAACAGGGAAATCATGTGGATTACAGATGTCTCCCAATAGTTCAAGCTTCCCTTACTTTTTATTTTAATTTTATGTATGTCTTCCCCAACAGCCAGTAGCCATTCATCAAAATTACTAGAGGAAAACTAGGTTCCTTCTCCAGAGAGCAGTAAACATTGTGGATAAAAAGAAATGTAGAATGTGGTGGAACCAAAGAAGATCATTATGCGAATGATGGGTCACCCTGGTCTATTCCATTTCTTGTAGATTCCTAAGACACAGAAATCAGAAAACTATTTTAGGGGGAGAAGGTTTATATTGCCCACTAACATAAACAATTTCAAATATCTTTAAGTATCAAGACTCCAGGTGGTAATATTATGCTGCTATAATATTAATAATTTTTACAGTGATGACTTGAGTCATTAAAAAAAGGTTTCCATTTCTTTTAGTAACCTCTGTTTAATTTGGCTGCACTATGTCAGTATAAAGCTCTTGATTTAATGAGAGGCAGCACTGAACTGTTAAGATATACCAGTTATTGCTCCACAAAACACAGCCACTATGCCAGGGAGGCTGGTGTGCTAACATCATCTCTCCTCCTGTACACTCTGGCCCTTAGGTTGGACATCAGACTTCCTGCCATTCGAGTGCATCACTGGTGTCCATCTGTACCAGCAGACTTGGCCAGGAGCCATGAGGGCAGGGGCATTGTTTCCTGCTGTGTTCCTAGTACCTAGATTTGTTTGACCCTTAATGGATAGATGAATGAATGCATGAATGAATGAATGAATGAATGCATGAATGCATGAATTCACCCAGTTAGCCCCCTGACATTGGATCTCATGAAGCATGACTGGAAGTCTTGGACCTTTTCTCTTCCAAAATTATTTAAGCAAATTGTTCTAGCCCTTCCTCCAAGATTAACTCTATATACCAAAGTGATTATAGTATTTTAGGCTGTAAAAGTTAACATTACATTCTTCCTATTGGACAAAAATGCTCCTCACTCTCATTAAATAGACATTATTTCTTAATGAGATTACACAATGTATTCTTCTCAAGAAAGAGAAATTCTGTTTTAAAATGATGGCTTGTTCTTGTTTTTATGGGGGGGCAGCTAGCAGTTTATCTCACCTTCATAGGGCAGGCTGTTTCTTTGCTGACTTAGCAGACATGCTATTTCAAAGTCATAGTTATGACTGTTACATTCATAAAGAGTGCCACTAAAATTGTTGAGTGTTATTATCAATATGGGACATTTTTATTTATCTGGAAATGTAATATATGAAGAATATTTTATATTTCATGATGCTGGATGAATACTGAACTAAAATATGGTTTCAGGAAAGAGAATGTTAGTTGCAAGGTATTTATTAGTGCTTTTAAAATACCAGAAACCCTTAGGTAGTCACATATATACCCCAAAGTTATGGTCATTTATGGCCGAATTGCATGAAAATAAAATGAATCATAGGAACAAAAAAAATATGCAAACAGAATATTTCTTTTAATTCTATGCGTCATCTTATAGGACAGTCGGCTTATGATCAAACTGTAAGAGGTGCCTAAATTGGGTATATTGTTGACAAAATGATATGACAAGGCATTTTTATCAAATTAAAACAAAATTTTCTGATGATTTGTATTACTAAAAAGAGGTCAAACTGCCTCTTCTGCTTATGTTCAACCAGAGGCTTTGGGATCACTTACCATGGATGCTGGAAAAGGAGTCTGTGTTGGTGTGAAGATTTGAATCCATGTCCATTAATATCCTTCGCAAAACAAAAGTCTATGATGACTCCTGCGGCTTTCAGTGTACTTAGTATTGTTTCTAGTTTAAATCTCTAACATGTTTCCAACATATACTGCTGCTTAGAATTAAAAATAAATAAAAATTTTTAACACATGCCCATCTGAATCTTTACACAATGCAGTTATGTATGTATCAACCACACTGCCAAATATTTTTGTGGTGGTTGTCAGTAACATTTGTTTTTCAAGAAAATAAAATATACCCAAGAAGAAACTTAATTTTAGTTTTCTTACCACTTCCTTGAAGAATCTTTCTTCCCTTAGTATGACTTTATTCATCTTTTTTTCTTTTTCTTGCTTTTCCATTTATAAACCTTTTTAACTTTTTTTCTTTTTTTTTTTTGCTTGAGGGCATTTGCTATAATCACAAAAGTTTCTCTTTCAGCCTGAATCATTTTTTTTCTGTGAGTGCATTTTGGTGTATTTTAAATCTAAAAGACAGAAACAGGTATAAACATTTCAATAAATAATATGTAGCATAATGAACTATCCTAAGTATTTTGGATGAATCAAAATTTACCTTTTGTAGGTATCTTGAACCTATTATCTATTGTTTTGTTGTGTTCCTGACATAGTTAGGTGGTGCTCTTATAGGTACTTTATATCATTAGTTATTCTCTAGGTGTGTAGAACATAGTCTAGTGAGACTAAGTTTTAATACATCAATGAAATTCTATGCAGTTGTCCAATTTTATACAATTTGTATCAATACTGTATTTATTTACTTGCCTATTTTTACCTGCCTTGATCCAAGGGACTGTCATGTAGACAGGTTGGTGTTACAGAAAGTCACAAGATTTATGAGGCTAAAAATAACTGAAGACTTACTTCATCATTTTTTGGTTTGGAGCTACTACTATTCTCTCTACTGGGGTCATTATGTGCTCAGAAAATGGTTACAGTTGAGTTGTTAGAGGGAAGGTTTCAGTGACTCCTGCTGAGGGAGCCTGGGGAAAGGCAGTAGGTGGCAAACTTTAGTGTAACTCAGAATCATCTGAAGGCCTTGTTAAACCAGAGTGCTGAGCCCCCTCCCTGGAGTTTCTAATTTGGTAGGTCTGCCTGATAAGTTCCCAGGTGATATTGACACTGCTAGTCCAAGGATGCACTGTAAGTATGACTTTGCTAACTGCCTTCATCTCACAATTGTGTCTGAGTATAGCTTTGACCTGTAGCTGTAGCTCTTTTCACAGCTTCAAAGTTCTTTCTATGTAGCAATACCTTCTGAGTATTCACCTTTTTCCTTAATCTCATGCACATTTACAGTAAATTTAGTTCATGTCTTCATTTCATTGTGAATCAGTCAATGCCAAACACATTTATGTTAGGGTGGGAGGGGATACGTGGGAGAGAAGCAGAGAAATACAACTTTCATCTTGTACTTTGATGGCTTTCAGTGATTCAGTTGCAGGTCATAGAGAATTACCATGTCATTAACAGGGAATGTTTTTCCACAGGAAGATATTTCTCCTTTCAAAGTCATGTTGCCTTAGGGATTTGAAGGTCTACTGAATTCTGAATATTTTACTTGGCCTGGATACATAACTGAATATTTTATTTTGTCAAGTATATTCTTGTCTATTCAGTGCCTTCACTAACTCCCTCTCCACCTATGCTGACTCCAAAGGTAACCTATAAAAAGCACTTCAGCTAATCCCCAAGTCCCTGGGCACCTTTTTCAAGTCTGGCTCTTTTAATATAAGTTTTAAACCTTCTCGTACTGGTTTAGGGGTCTGTTTGGTCTTTTGCCTCTTGTTTATATTCTGACTTACTGTTCTCTATAACTTGATGCCCGTTGGACTTCCTGATTAGCTTGAAAATTTCAGTTTTCCTCTTTTTTCTGTTCCGTGAAGCCCATATCAATCCCATTTCACTTCTTCCTGTTCACTTCCCAGGACTCCACTGTAAATCTAAGTCTCTAAGTTCTTATTTCTCTCTGTATTTAGATAAATCTTAGAATATTTTTTCCATTCACTAGATTAAAAGATGTTGTAATGTTAATGGGAAAAAAGTCTAATATCTAGTGTTATGATTACTGAATTTATCATTCATATTCAAGATTATTTGAACTCAATGTATATCCATTACCATATTTTCAGTTTCAAGTGACAGAAAACCTAACCCAGTGTAGCTTCAAGAATATATATTTTATGGGTCACACAAAGTGAGATGCTGAGAAGACTACCTTTAGGTGTAACTCAAAGCAAAGTTTCAGATTATAACACCAAGGTCTGATTTCTCTCTTTCAGTTTTTCAGTTCCACTTCTGGGTTGGTTCTTTTTTTGTAAAGAGGCTTTGCCTTAGTGCAGCAACTCTAGTCAATTTACATCTTCGTGTTCAGTGGCAACAGAGGCACACTTTCTCTCAGCTGCCCATAATTCCTGAGATCAGCTTTGACTGTCCTGGCTGGGGTCATGTGACCTCCTCTGAACCAATCACTGTGGCCAGTAGAATGTTAAGGCTAATAAATTTAGACCTGTGTTTTATGATCCATCCCAGGAACTAAGCTCTAAGAGTTTCAGTCAGACCGTCTGGTGAACTGATTGTTGAAGGGCAGATCCACACGCAAAAGATAGAGGGCCCCTCCCATGTCTACTGAAGCTTTTAGAAAGTATCTCTTCTTTATCTGTTGATCTTTTATTCTTTCCCTTTCAGATCACAAGTCAGCAGTATTTCTGATGCTTTTTCAGAGTTGAATGCAAAGAAAAATGCTCTTTGTTGCATCAGGATTTATAAGAGACATCTAGTATTTAGAAGGACTGTATTCATACCACAGAATTTTGTGGTTATTTTTTCCTGTTAACTTATTTAAAACCAGGTCAGGTCTAGAGTTCAAGCACCAGAATTTTGGGATAATAAAAAATAATTACATCAAAGACAGTTTGGAAAAAAAAAGACACTTCACCTTATTGTTGGCATCAACAGAACATCATGTAAGCTTTGCGATCCCTCATGCCAAAAATGTGCAAAAGGGAAGATCAACAAAATTAATTAACTAATTAATCATGATAACTAACTAGCAAATCATAGCATTGTTTTACAGGAATATTCTCACATCTTAGGAGATCTTTCACATCTCTGCACAGAGGTATCAGAGTGGTGCCTTTTAAAAGAAAGTCAGATTCTGTTGCTTAGATGTTGAAACTCCACTGACATACTTCCCATTTCACTTAGAATGAATCCCAAGTCCTTACTGTATCTATACAGCCCTGAATGCTCTGGCCCTGTTATGTCCCCAGGTGAGATGTCTGCCTCCTCCTGCTCACTCACTGTGCTAGAGCTACACCAGTTGGATCTCAATAACTATCAGCGTCACATGCACCAAAGGTGTGAGTGCTACAGAGCTTTCATGTGGCCTACTCTCTCCATCCCTTTATGACATCTGTTTGGCCCCCTGGCTTCCTCCTTCATTTCACAAGTCTCTGCTCCAGTGTCATCTCTGAGACACCTTCTCTTTTCCCCTTATCTAATGTGGCACCCCTAACTTATGCCTCCTCATTCTTGAAGTCTGCTTTATTTTTTCTCCATTTACTGTTAGCTCTAGAAAGCAAAGGCTTGGTCAGTATCGTTAGTGCTGTACACTCAGCCAGAACAGTTCCTAGCCTGTAGTTGGCTCTCCATAATTAATTGTTTAATAAATTAATGGATAAATACACTCAGTATTTAAATTTTACCTTGTTTTTTAGTAGCTTATAAAGGTTTTCAAAGTAATATTTTACTGTAGGTGAAAATTTGTGAGCTGTATATAAATATCTTCAGCAGTTAAAGAGTGATGACAATTCTGGCTCATGTAGGTTTCCTAGGAGACTGATATTTTCTTCTGTGACGAGGTTTAGTCACAGTTTGAGACTTTGCTGTTATTTTGACATCTGGACCTGGGAAACACTTATTTTCTCCTTTTGAAGGGTTTGGTTGTTTTGTAAGGGCAAGAACTTTTGTAAGACCAGTCTTGAAAAGAAGAATGGTGAAAGACTGCCTTCCAGAAATTCATTTGTAAATTGAATTGCTTCAAAATTGGAATGCTTTTCCCCATATAGACAAAGTCTCTGTACCAGTCAGGGTTCCCTAGAGGGACAGAACTAATAGGGTATATATATATATATGTGTGTGTGTGTATATTTTATATATATATATATATAATACACACACACATATATACACACACATATATATACACATATACATATACATATATATACACATATACATATATATACACACACACATACACACACATAAAGGCGAGTTTATTAAATATTAACTGGCATGATCACAAGGTCCCACAACAGGCTGTCCGCAAGCTTGAAGAGCAAGGAGAGCCAGTTCGAGTCTCAAAACTGAAGAAATTGGAGTCTGATGTTTGAGGGCAGGAAGCATCCAGCATGGGAGAAAAATGTAGGCTGGGAGGCTAGGGCAGTCTTGCGTTTTCACGTTTTTCTGCCTGCATTATATTCACTGGCAGCTGATTAGTTGGTGCCCTCCAGATTAAGGGTGGGTCTGCTTTCCCCAGTCCACTGACTCAAATGTTAGTCTCCTTTGGCAACACCCTCACAGACACACCCAGGATCAATACTTTGCATCCTTCAATCCAACCAAGTTGACACTCAGTATTAACCATCATAGTATCCATGCTGGTTAGGCTCATAGTCCAGTCTCCAGTGGCTGCTCATCCCTTAAACATTTGAAGTATTATTACTATGACTAAGTCTATACTTGAATCTCCTTCATTATATCATTTTTTGTGGGATATTTCATTGCTAATTATGGATTTCAGCATCAAGCCCCTCAGCTTCCCTCTTTTTGTGTTGCAGGGGACTGGGATTAGAAACCCTTGCACATAATATTTAAGTGTTCACATCTCTTATAACTGTGTAAAGGACCCTGAATATTCTGAAGTGATTAACACACCAACTGCACTTTTCTTTCCACTTGGAGGATTGAGTGAGAGATGGCTGAGAGTTTCTCCCACAGGAAGCTCTAGACTTGAGCCTACATAGGTAAGGATCCGTTTGTAGAATATTTGAGAATTTGCCTGTACATATAAAATAAGAACTAAAAAATTGTCAAAGATTCAAAAGAAATACTTCTGGCCCGTTCAAACTGTAATCATATCATACAAGTTAAACAGAAGCATAGGATTGACATGAAACATTGAGTTGGGAGTCAAGGGGGCTAAACTTGTTTTAAGTGACAAGCTGAGGAACGAAATGGCTGCTTTTTAGGTTTTCCAAACTTTTAGGACATTATTAGATAGTGTCTCAAACCCTGCAGCTGACCCCAGTTTTTAGGAAACATAGATTTCAGGAAATCAGTCATTTGTTTGGAGTTTGAATCTTTGCCAACACTAATTCATAGCAGATTGGAAAACAAGCTTTAGGCAATAATATGCCAAAAACTTCCTTTCATTGTCAGCCTACAAGTCTATGAGGACAGGGATTTGGGTTTATTTTGATCACGACTGTATCCCAGTGCTTAGAACTGGTGCACAGCATATACTCAAAAAGTACTTGTTGAATAATTTAGTGGGACACAGTGTGCTCCTTTCACTAAGGAAGTGAAAGAAGGGTAGTCATCTTTATTCCCATACCTGACATCAAAGACAAGAATATGTGGCCTAGGCATAGCCACAACACACACCTTTCAGGGCATTTGGACCTGGAGGGAAAGATGCAAGTCAGTTAGATAATATTCACAGAGCAATATTGGCATCAGCCCCCTGGAGCAGGGATTCCAAGTCTCCGTGTCAGTGGCTGCAGTATTCTGCAGCATCATGGCAGCAGAACAGAAACTGGTTTCTAATCAACCCTTTATTGGTTCTGGGATGTGGTTCTCACTGCACAGCCTCCGTTGGGGTCTGACCCTTTCCTAAATCTGATTTTCTGGCTTTTCTACTTAGTCTTTATGGTACCTATTATTATCATGTTACTGAATACCATATGTTAGCTCAAGTTGGCTTCTGTTGCTTACATCCAAGAATCTTAACTGATACTGGTCAGGAGATAACAAGAGATCCATAAAAATGAGGAGTTAGGATTAGGAGATTTTTTAGTCCATTTCAGCTGCTATAAGAAAACATCCTAGACTGGGTAGCTTCTGAACAACAAAAATTTATTTTTCACAGTTCTAGAGGCTGAGAAGCCCAAGACCAAGTTACTGGCAGATTTGTTGTTAGGTAAAACCCATTTCCTGGTTCACAGATGATATTTTTTCACTGTGTCCTCATGTGGTGAAAGTGGCAAACAAGCTCTCTCAGGCTTCTTTATAAGGGCAATAATCCCATTCCTGAGGGCAGATCCCCCTGATCACATCCAAAAGGCCCACCTCTTAATACTCTCACATTAATACTATCACTATATTTTTGTTGTTTAACCCTATCACCTAAGACGTTAGGAATTCAACATGAATTTGGGGGACACAAAAACACTCAGACCATATCAGAGATTAATAGGTAGCATATTTTCTATGAACTCTGAAGAAGGAAGCATAAAGGAAGCATCTTAATCTTCAGAATTGGAGAAAAGTCTAATGGGTATTTAGTAACAGGATCAGTTGGGTAAAAGTCTAGTTACTGAATCCAGGTACTAGGTCAAGGGAGGACTAGAGGAAAGTTTTACATTAAGACCGATTCATTACTTTAGTAGCCTCTATTTGAATCTGTAAGGCAAAGTGCTGGTTCCTGAGACACTTCAAATCAACATATGAACAACATTATCTTTTGCTATCATTTTCTATGATAATTAATGCCATTATCATCCCGCAGTTAACCAAGATAGAAATCCCAACATCATCTTAGGCAGCCTCCCACCTCCACCTTCTTTGGCCTATTATCCAATTAATCATCTCTCAATTCCCACTCGAACTGCCTTAGGTCAAGTAATTATCATCTCACCTCTAACTATTACAATCACTACTTAGCAAGAATTGCCGCACCCTCCGAAAACAGTTCTCAAATGTACAATGTATACTCATTAGTTCCAGAATCATTATTCTAAAACAATAATAAGATATTTTTCCCACTTTCTGAAATATTTTCATGGTTCTTTTTTTTTAATAAGTCAATAGGAACACTTTATTATGAAACTTAAAATTAAAGCTCTCATTAATTTTTGGTGGGAGGTGGGGAGTATGTGAACTATCATGGACACTTTTCAGTTTTTGACATTGCCAGAGAAATATATGGTCAAATATATTTAAATATTTTTAGTATTCATAATACATTTCTAAAATAAAAGAATCCGGCTATTGGAAATTATGAAGTGGCAAAACTTCTAAAAAATGTACTAAATTGCAGAATAGAGGTGATCTGACTAATATTAAAGTTGAATTCAATATACAATGATTTTAAAAGGATAAGAAGAATATATAATATAATGAAAAATCCAAGGTAAAACAAACCATGAAGAAATGATAGATAAAACTTTATATAACAAAGAAAATAGGATCAAAACAGTCAAGGCAAAACTGGTAGCTACACAAAGAGAAACTAGCAACATGAAAATCCTAGTGGGAATCTTTAACATGACTCTCAGAATTTGCAATTCATGCAGAAAATAAAGAATACCTTGTTCAATTTTCTTTAAGCTTCTGATGTTGCTGAGAAATTGTGTTCTTCTGTTGTAAAGTATTTTAAATGTGAACTCACTTTTTTTCTCTCTCTCTGGAAGTGTTCCAGTTCTATTTATGTTTAGTCCTGTTAATTTTAGTGATGATGTCTATTAAAGTGGGTCTTTTTTCACTGTGCTGGTCACTCAGTGGGCCCTATTCATTTTGGAAACATATCCATCAGTTCTGAAAAACTGTTTAAATTATTTATTTGATAATTTCTGGCAATACTAATGCATATTGAGTGTTCTAATCTTGTAATAATATTACTTTTTTCTGTTATTTTCATCCCTGTATTTCTGTTGTTATTTATTTGCTCTACTTCTCCTATTGAACTTGTTCTCTCATATTTTTATTTTCCAGAACCTAGTTCTTATGATTTGGATACCCTCCTTTGAAAAATTAACATCCTGTTTGTGTTTCATAGATAAAACATCTTTTCTTACTTTCCCAGTGTAGTAATTATTGGTATTTTAAAAAATTTCCTCACTGTCTGTTTTTAATTTTTTTAATTTTTAATTTGTGTGGGTACATAGTAGGTATATATAATTATGGGGTACATGAGATGTTTTGATACAGGCATGCAGTGTGACATAAGCACAACATGGAGAATGGATTATCCATCCCCTCAAGCATTTATCCTTTGTGTTACAAACAATCCAATTACATTACTTTAGCTATTTTATGTATGATTAAGCTATTACTGACTAAAGTCACCCTGTTGTGCTATCAAATAGTAGGTGTTATTATTCTGTGTTTTCATACCGATTAACAATTCCTGCCTCCCAGCCAACCACAACTACCCTCCCCAACTCTGGTTACCATTCTTCTCTCTACATCCATGAGTTAAATTGTTTTGATTTTCAGGTCCCCCAAATAAGTGAGAACATGTGATGTTTGTCTTTCTGTGCCTGGCTTATTTTATGTAACATAATGATCTCCAGTTCCTTCTACGTTGTTGAAAATGACTGAATCGCATTTCTTTTAATGGCTTAATAGTACTCCATTGTCTGTATGTACTACATTTTCTTTATCCATTTATCTGTTGATGGACACTTAAGTCTCTTCCCAATTTTAGCTATTGTGAACAGTGCTTCAACATGTGAGTGCAGATATCTCTTCAATATGCTGATTTCCTTGCTTTGGGGTATATACCCAGCAGTGGGATTGTTGGATCATATGGTAGCTCTTTCATAGGTTTTTAAGGAACCTTCAAACTGTTCTCCATAGTGTTTGTACTAATTTACATTCTCACCAACAGTATACAAGTGTTTACTTTCTCCGCATCCTTGCCAGCATTTGTTATTGCTTGTCTTTTGGATATAAGCATTTTAACCGGGGTGAGATGATATCTCATTATACTTCTGGTTTGCATTCCTCTGTTGAGCACCTTTTCATATGCCTGTTTGCCATTTGTATGTCTTCCTTTGAGAAATGGCTATTCAAATCTTTTGCCCATTTTTGATCAGATTATTATATTCTTTCCTACAGAGTTGAGTTCCTTATATATTCTGGTTATTAATCCCTTGCCAGATGTGTAGTTTGCAAATATTTTCTCCCATTCTGTGGGTTGTCTCTTCACTTCGTTGATTGTATCCTGTGCTGTGAAGAAGCTTTTTAACTTGATGAGATCCTATGTGTACGTTTTTGCTCTGGCTGCCTGTGCTTGTGGGGTCTTGCTCAATATATTTTTTGCCCAGACAAATGTCCTGGAGAATTTTCCCAATGTTTTCTTACAGTAGCTTCAGAGTATGAGGTCTTAAGTCATTAATCCATTTCAATTTGATTTTTGTATATGGTGAGAGATAAGGGTCTAGTTTCATTCTTCTGCATATGGATATCCGGTTTTCCCAGTACCATTTATTGAAGAGACTATCTTTTCCCCAGTGCATGCTCTTGACACTGTTGTCGAAAATAAGTTCACTATAGCCGTGTGGATTTGTTTCTGGGTTCTCCATTCTGTTTCATTGGTTTATATGTCTGTTTTCATGTCAGTACTATGCTGTTTCGGTTCTATTGTTCTATAGTGTAATTTGATGTCAAGTAATGTGATTTTTTTCTGTTTTGTTCTTTTTGCTTAGGATAGCTTTGGCTTTTCTGGGTCTTTTGTGCTTTCATATAAATTTTATGATTCTTTTTTCTATTTCTATGAAGAATGTCATTGGTGTTTCAATAAGGATTGCATTGAATCTTGCTTTGAGTAGATCACTTCGGGTTGTATGGACATTTTAATAATGATGATTCTTCCAGTCCATGAACATGAAATATGTTTCCATTTCTTGGTATCTTCTTAAATTTCTTTCACTGGTATTTTATAGTTTTTATTATAGAAATTTTTCACTTCTTTGATTAATTCCTAGGTATTTAGTTTCATCTGTGGCTATTGTAAATGAGATTACTTTTTAAATTTATTTTTCACATTATTCACTGTTGGCATATAGAAATGCTATTGATTTTCTCTGTTAATTTTGTATCCTGCAACTTTATGAATTTGCTTAACAGTTCTAATAGTTTTTTGGTGGAGTATAGGTTTTTCCAAAATAAGATCATATTATCTTCAAACGAGGATAATTTGACTTCTTCCATTCCAATATGGATGTCTTTTATTTTTTTCTCTCTTGTTTGATTGCTCTAGCTAGGACTTCCAGTTCTATACTGAACAGTGGTGAAAGTGGGCATCCTTGTCGTGTTCCAGATTTTAGAGAAAAGGATTTCATCTTTTCCCCATTCAGGATGATAGTAGCTGTGGGTTTGTCATATATAGCTTTCATTATGTTGAGGTATATTCCTTGTATAACTAGTTTTTTGAGGGTTTTTCTTTGTCATGAAGCAATGTTGAATTTTATCAAATGGTTTTCAGCATCAATTGAAATGATCTTATAGTTTTTATCCTTCATTCTCTTGATGTGATATATCATATTGATTGATTTCTGTACATTGAACCATGCTTGCATCCCTGGGATAAATTCCACTTGGCCTTTATGAATGATCTTTTTAATGTATTGTGGAATTCATTTTGCTGATATTGTTTGAGGATTTTTGCATCAATATTCATCAGAGATGTTGGCCTGTAGTTTTCTTTCTTTGATGTGTCTTTGGTTTTGGTACCAGGGTAACACAGGCCTCGTAGAATGAGTTTGGAAATCTTCCTTCCTCCTCTATTTTTCAGGATAGTTTGAATAGGATTGGTATTAGTTCTTTTTTTAATGTTTGATAGAATTCAGTAGTGAAGCCATCAGGTCCTGGGCTTTTCTTTCCTGGGATAATGTTTATTACAGCTTTTATCTCATTACTTGATATTGGTCAGTTCAGGTTTTGGATTTCTTCTGGTTCAATCTTGGTAGGGTTTATGTGTCTAGGAATTAGTTTATTTATTCTAGATTTTCCAATTTATTGGCATATAGTTGCTCACAGTAACCACGAAGGATCCTTTGAATTTTGGCAGTATCAGTTGTAATGTCTGCTTTTTCATATCTGATTTTATTTATTTGGATATTTTCTCTTTTTTCTTAGTTGGGCTAAGTTTTGCCAATTTTGTTTAACATTTCAAAGAACCAACTTTTTCTTTCACTGATCTTTTTGTATTGTTTGCTTCACTTCAATTTCATGTATTTATGCTCTGATCTTTATTATTTCTTTTTTTCTACTAATTTTGGATTTGGTTTGCTCTTGCTTTTCTAGTTCTTTAAGATGCATTGTTAGATTGTTTACTTGGAGTTTTTCTCTTTTTTTGATGCAAGCACATTATTCCTCTAAACTTTCTTCTTAGTACTGCTTTTGCTGTATCCCAATAGATTTTGGTATGTTGTGCTTCCATTACTATTTGTTTCAAAAAATTTTCAATGTCCTTCTTAATTTTTTCACTGATTTATTGATCATTCAGGAGCATATTTTTAATTTCCATGTGTTTGTACAATTTCCAAAATTCCTCTTGTTATTAACTTCTAGCTTTATTCTATTGTGGCCACAGAATATGCTTGATATTATTTCAATTTTTTGCATTTTTAAGACCTTTTTGAGGCCTAACATATGGTCTATCCTTGAGAATAATCTATGTGCTGAGGAAAAGCATGTGTATTCTGCAGCTCTTGGATAAAATGTTCTGTAAATATTTATTAGGTCCTTTTGTTCTGAAGTGCAGATTAAGCCTGATGTTTCTTTGTTGTTTTTCTGTCTGAAAGATATGTCCAATGCTGAAAGTGGGGTGTTGAAATCTCCAGCTGTTATAGTATTGAAGCCTATCTCTCTAGCTCTAGTAATATTTGCTTTCTATATCTGAGTGCTCCATGTTGGGTGCATATATATTAAGAATGGTTACGTCCTCTTGCTAAATTGATCCCTTTATTATTATGTAGTGACCTTGTCTCTTCTTATAGTTTTAGTCTTGAAATAACATACAATATATAATATATTTTCATATTATTATGATATATAATATGCTTATATATAATGTATATTTTAATATATTTTGTCTGATATAAGTATAGCTACTTCTGCTCTTTTAGTGGTTTCTATTGGCCTGGAATATGCTTTTCTATCCCTTTATTTTTAGTCTATGTGTGCAATTTTAGGTGCAAGATGTTTCTTGTAAGCAATAGAACAATGGATTTTGTTTTTCATCCATTTTGCCACTCTATGCCTTTTTTGTTTGTTTGTTTTGTTTTGTTTTTTGAGACAGTGTCTTGCCCTTGTTGCCTAGGATGGAGTGCAATGGCGCAATCTCGGCTCACCGCAACCTTCGCCTCCTGGATTGAAGCGATCTCCTGCCTCAGGCTCCAGAGTAGCTGGGATTACAGGTATGTGCCGCCATGCCCAGCTAATTTTGGATTTTTTTTTTAGTAGAGACAGGGTTTCTCCATGTTGGTCAGGCTGGTCTTAACTCCTGACCTCAGGTGATCCACCCACCTTGGCCTCCCAAAGTGCTGGGATTACAGGCATAAGCCACCGCGCCTGGCCCTATGTCTTTTGATTGGAGAGTTTAGTCCATTTACTTTCAACGTTATTATTGATAAGTATGGACTTACTCCTGCCATTTTGTTATTTGTTTTCTCATCGTTTTTGGCCTTCTCTTCCTTCTTTCCTTTCTGTCTTCCTTTAGTGAAGGTTATTTTCTCTGGTGATATGATTCAGTTTCTTGCTTTTTATTTTTTGTATATGCATTGTATTTTGGTTTCAGGTTACCACAACGGTTGCAAATGCTATCTTATAACCCACTATTTTAACCTGATAACTACTTAATACTGTTTGAATAAACAAACAAGCAAAAGAAAACTAATAAAAACTCGATGCCTTAATATTGTCCCTGCTTTATAACTTTTTGTTGTTTCCATTTATATGTCTTGAAAAATCGCTCTAGTTATTATTTTTGATCAGATCATTTAGTCTTTCTACTTAGGATAAGAGTAGTTTATACACCACAGTTACAATGTCATAATGTTTCTCTGTTTTCCTGTGAACTTACTATTATTGGTAAGTTTTGTACCTTCAGGTGATTACTTATTGCTAATTAACTTTCTTTTCTTTCTGATTGAAGTACTGTCTTTAACATTTCTTGTAAGACAGGTCTGGTGTTAATGAAATATCTCGGCTTTTGTTTGTGTGGGAGAGTCTTTATTTCTCTTTCATGTTTGAAGGATACTTTTGTTGGATATACTATTCTAAAGTATTCTTTTTTCTTTGCACATTTTAAATATGACGTATTATTTCTCCTGGACTGTAATATTTCCACTGAAAAGTCTCCTGCCAGACATATTGGAACTCCATTGTATGTTATTTGTTTCTCTTCTTTTGTTGCTTTTAGGATTCTTTCCTTATGCTTGACGTTGGGAGTTTGATTATTAAGTGCCTTGAGGTAATCTTCTTTGGGTTAAGTCTGCTTGGTGTTCTACAACCTTCTTGTATTTGGATATTGGTATCTTTCTCTAGGTTTGGGAAGTTCTCTATTATTATCTCTTTGAATAAACTTTGTACTCCTATCTTTTTCTCTACTTTCTCTTTAAGGCCCATAACTCAGATTTGCCCTTTTGAAGTGATTTTCTAGATCCTGTAGGTGTGTATCATTGTTTTTTATTCTTTTGTCTTTTGTCTCTTCTGACTGTGTATTTCCAAATAGCCTGTCTTCAAGCTCACTAATTCTTTCTTGTGCTTGATCAATTCTTCTCTTAAAGGATTCTGATACATTTTTCAACTCCAGAATTTCTGCTTGATTCTTTTAAATTATTTCAATATCGTTGTTTATTTTTTTCTGATAGAATTCTGAATTCCTTCTGTGTGTTATCTTGAATTTTTTTGAGTTTCCTCAACACAGGTATTTTGAATTCTGTGTTGAAAAGATTACATTTTCTGTTTCTCCAGGATTGATTACTAGTGGCTTATTTAGTTCATGTTGTGAGGTCATTTTCCTGGCTGGTGTTGATGCTAGTAGATGTTCTTTGGTGAATGGACATTGACAAGTTAGGGATTTACTGCAGTCTTCGCTGTTTGGGCTTGTTTGTACCTGTATCTCTTAACGCTTTCCATATATTCTAAAAAACTTGGGTGTTGTGATCTGAGCTGCATCTGCTTTAGGGAGTACCGCAAGCCTGGTAACACTGGTTCTTGCAGACTTGTAGAGGTACTGCTTTGATGTTCTTGGACAAGATTCAGGAGAATTCTCTGGATTACTAGACAGACTCTTGATCTCTTCCTTCTACTTCTCCTAAACAAATGGAGTCTTTTTCTATTCTGAGCCATCCAGCTGGGGATGGAGTGACACAAACACCCCTGTGGCCACCACCCCTATGACTATGCTGAGTCACACCTGAAGCCAGCACAGCACTGGGTCTCCCTCAAGGCCTACTGTAACCACTCCCTGGCTACAGCCTATGTTTGCTCAAGGCCATGGGGCTCTGCAATCAGCAGGTGGCAAAATCTGCCAAAACTGTGAACTGTCCTTCCCTTTAGGGTAGCAAGTTCCCGCAGGACCCAGGTGGGTCCGAGGTCCAAGGTGCCATCTGGAAGAAGGGACTAGGGTCAAAAACCTTAGAAGTCTACTTGGTGTTCTATTGTACCGTGGCTGAGCTGGCACTCAATCCACAAGACACAATCCGTCGCACTGTTCCCCACCCTTTCCAAAGGCAGAGGAGCCTCACTTTGTAGCCACTGCCACCCAGGCACAGGGAATACTGCCACACTACTGCTGATGTTCCCTTAAGGCCCAAGGGCAGTGAGCTCCCTTCTGGCCCACGGCACATCCCAAGATGCTACCCAAGGGCTCTGAAGTCAGCTTGTGGTGAATACTGTCTGGCCTGGAGCTCACTCTTCAGGGCAGTGGGCTCCCTTCTGGCCCAGGGAGGTCCAAAGATGCTGCCTAAGATTCAAGTCCTGAAATCAGGGACCCCAAGAACCCACCTGGTGCTCTACTCCCCTGTGGCTGTGCTGGTATTGAAATGGGAAAATTTCTCTTGTCTCCCTTGCAGGGTGTGTGATGAGGGTGTGGCTCACTTCTTCAGTGTCCGGCTGCTCAAACCTCTAGGGGAGCATACAGATGGGCAGGCTGTGGAGCTCTGATCCCATGGCAGTGTCTAGGGGTGAATGTTTACAGCTGAAGCCCCAGTGGGCATGTGTTACAGGGTGCTCTTTTAGTTTATCTGCCCATCAGCAGCTTCTGTTAGTCAACTCAATTAGATCCCTGTCTTATTGCAAGGATAGAGGGCTCTCTGTATCCCAGGGTTCTTAGCTTGGTGTATGGGAAGAATTGGATCATATGTGGGCTTGGGGAATGACTGCAAAGTTTTCGTGAGTAGAATTAGCTCTCAGCAGACTGTGGAGCCAGAAAGGACATGGTATTCCCCTGGGGTTGGGCCACTTGGCAGCCCGGGCTCTCCTACGACTGCCCCAGCCAAACTCCATGTTGTTCCACCTGTCAATGGCCTGCTGACGTGGTGGTGTGCTCCTGTGGTGGTGTGCTCCTATGCCAGTGTGTTCCTCTTGACGTCCAGCCGCCCATGTGTTCCTCCACTGATATGCTCCTGTAGATGTCCAGCTGCCTGTGTGTGTGCCTGCTGGGGTCTCAGGGTTTTTATAGGCACATGATGGGGACTTGACAGGCCAGGTGGTCTTGGGAAATGCAACATTTGGACTCCAAGGCAGGAGTGCTCATCTTCACCTAGGTCCATGGGCACAGGCCTAGGGGTGGAGCCCTTGCCAGGGACTAGCCCTTCTCCTCCCAGCACCTCCCTGCCCTGCTTCCGCATCAGTACCTAAGGAGTCAAACAAAGTCTCCTTTACTTTGCACTCTACTTTTCTCAAGCACGAGGAGTTTGGCCCCACAGCCACCACAGCTGGAAATGTGCTGAGTCTCACCTGAAGCCAGCAAGTCTCAGAGGCTCACCCAAGGCCCTCAACTTAGTACCTGGTTATCACTGCTGATTGTTTAGGGCCCAAGGGCTCTTTAGCTAGTAGGTGATGCCAGTACTGGGCCTTTTCATCCAAGGCAATGGCCCAGGGTGTGTCCAGAAATGTCATCCAGGAGCTGGATCCTGGATTGTGGGCCTCACAACTCTGACTGGTGCCCTATCCTGCTGTGGTTGAGGTAGTATCCAAGATGCAAGACTAGTTCTTCCCACTCTTCTGTCTCCTCTCCTCACGCAGAAGGAAGGGTTCTCTTTTGGAGTCATAAACTGTGCAGACAAGGGTTATGGGACGGGTGATGCCAGCACTCTCTTAGCCATCCTAGGTGGTATCTTAGTAGGTCATATGTCCCCCAAGTCCACTGTCTCTGAGTCCAGTTTAGTACTAGGACTTTCCTATGAGTTACAGTACTTATGGCCTAGCCTGCCTTTCCAGTTTATTTAGAGCACAAAGCACTTAGCCCATGGCAATAAAGTTTCAAGGAACTCAAGTTTGGTTCTCTGGGATCAGCGATCCCCTCTGGCTAGGGCTGTTTTAAATGTTTTCTCCATGGGCAGGCATCAACAGAGTATGGTCCACTTTTCCTTTCTGCTCTAACAGGACAGCAGTACTGAGTCCAATGCCTCACCATTACTGTGCCCTCCCCCAGTACCCAGAGATGCTCTGCATACCACACTGCCCCTGCTGTGGGGGTGGGGGAGCGGTGGTGTCCATGATTCGAAACTGTTTTTTCTGTCTCTTCAGTGCCTCTTTCAGTGATACAGAGTTAAAACCAGGCACTCACCTGATTTTTGGTTCTTATGAAGGTGTTTTTCTCTTTGTAGACAGCTGTTAACTAGGTGTCCTTGTGGGGATGGAAGACAATCAGTGGAGCCTTCTATTCCACCATCTTGCTCCCTCAATCTCTTTGATTACTTCCTTTTTGTTTGCTTGTTTTTATGTTAGAATATTTCCTTGATGTCTAATGTTTCTTGGATATCTGCTCATATTTATGAGTGAGAAACTTAAAAGTTGTTTGAAGCTTTGGTTGTGTAGGTATTGTTTATTGACTATTGGGTAGGACACTATAGAGTGATTTAACAGAGAACCTGTTGTTATTTTCTGTGTGACCTTCAACAAGTAGCCTAATCTTTTCTCTTTTCATTTGTAAAAACTGGTGGATAATGGAGCTCAGTTCAGAGGTTGATTTGGAAATCATATAGAACAATAAATTTACAATGCCTCAAGTGCCTCCCACAGTCAATGTATGATGCCAAACCCCTATTAACCTCAATAAGGAAGGCATCAGGTTCAAGATACCCAAGAAGAGGCCCAGAGCCAGCTAAAGAGACATGGGGTTTTATTAGGGGATTATATACAGGGAAGAGAGTCCAGTAGCAGAGGGCAGGATAGGAGAACTGCCTTACATACAGAAACAGTCCAATGGCAGCAGGCTGGACAAGACATTCACCTCACATACAGTCCACTGGTGGTGGGCCTTATGTATCTGCCTTCCTATAGTCCAGTGGTAGTGGGCTGTACAAGATAATGGCACAGCCAAGTGGCAGTGGGCTGGGCAGGAAAATGACAACCACTTACAAACAGCATGCAGTTTATGTAGCATTTTCACTTAATACCTACCCGTTAATGACCTCCAACTGACAGCCTTCATTTAACCCAAAACTCAGGGCCCTAATCCCCTGTATGGCCTGTGTTCCACAGGATGGGGTGAAGGCTCAGATGCTCTTCATGGACAAGGAACAAATCTCCAGGTTGGCCACTGCTGATTCCTTAGCTCAGAATACATATTCAGGTGCATCTACCATACAGGGTTATTTTAAGAATATGCTTAAGTTATTGTTATTGTTATCAGATATGTTTACTCTCCAGATGTATTTGTTTTGTCTGCAATATAAACAACTGTTTAGACAGCTTACTGCAGGATCAGGCAGAAATTGAGTTTTGTATAGTCCTTTGTTTCTCTCCCCAGTTTGTAGGGTTGTCTACTGAACATAGGGTTTAGAACATGAATTGCAGATTTGAATAGATTTGTTTTTTGACTCCTGCCCTACCTGTTCTTTAGTGTGTAACTCTGGGCAAGTTACTTTAGCTCTTTGCTTTTCAGTTTCGTCATTTCAAAAATTGACATTATAATAAATAGTATCTATGTTACAAAGTTTTTTGTGTGGAATAAATGAGATACTGCATATAAGGTGCTTAGCACATAATAGAAGCTTAATAAATTTGACCAATAATGATAATATTGCAAATTACAACAGTAGCCACATATGTTTGATAAGAATTACTAGTTAATTCATTACAAATGCACATTTTTCTGTCCCATTGTCTTTTTCATTGATTCTCCAAATCCCTTGATAAGGATAGAGATGGCATGTATTCATCAGGTAAACCCCAGATTAAGAATTTGACATAATATATTTTAAAGTAGAGTTTGGTAAACCTTTTGTATAAAGGACCAGATAGTAAGTATTTTAGATGTTGTTGTCTCGGTCGAACTACTCAGCTCTACTTCTGTGTCGTGAAAATGGCTATAGACAATATATAAATGAATGGATGTGTCTACATTCCAATAAAACTACTTACAAAAACAGGCAAAGGAGAGGAATTTGGTCCATGGGCTATAGTTGACCAAACCCTGCTTTATACAACGTGGTTCTAGGTTAGAATAACAACAGATTTGACATAGTCCTGTTGCTATTGCAGACAAAGAAGTAGACATTCTTGACACTTTTCTGCATATCTCATTATTGGCTAGATAATTCATTATTGGCTAGATAACTGTTTCCTTTCTTATATGTTCTAAAGTGTTTTCCTATAAATGAACATCTTCAGAAGCTATTTACATTAAGATGCATGTGGCGTTAAACCAGTAAGTGCATAGCAAGACCATTAGCAAACAAAAGTTTGTTTCATTTTTTCCCTTATCCTTCTGTCTCTAAGGATGATGTCAAACCCATGTATCTCAACAACCACTTTGAATCTACTTACAATTGATGGTAAATGCACAGAAGTGTTTTTCCCCTCAAATTTGTTCTTATAAAAGAGATTCTGATTTTAAGGGACTCTGTAAAAGATAATGAATCATTATGAAAAGATGACTCACCTAGAAGGAAAGCAAATCTCTGTAATAGTGCAACTTGGGAAAACATTTTTTTAAAAAGTAAAATCCACATATATAAAACTTAAGTGTCTGGTATAGTTGTATGGGAAATAATTTATATCACATTTGTGAAATATTTTACCCATTTAAGATATAGTTTGACTTAATATCTTTTAAGAAATTATATGTTAATTTGGCAATCATATGAGAATATGGATGTGTTATGCCTATTAACCATAGGCCTAGAACAATAGACTTCTCTCTGGCTACTCTTTACGGTAATAATAGTTTACATGTTGTTAGGCTATATTTTTATATGATAAAAATATGATAAAACAAAAGGAAAATTGTGCTTATTGATCAGTCAACCAACCAATAAATATTCATTATTAAGTCCTAGACAGAGGGTCAAACGCCACACAGGATTCAGAAGTACATGTCATGGCCCTTGTACTGACCACGTAATAATGGTAACTGTAGGAATTTATAGGAGAAAGAATACGGGGATTGAAATATTTGAGTAGACTTCATGGAGAAGATGACACTTGAAAGAAAGAGTTCAAATGAATACAGAAGGAAGGACATGGTAGGAACATCATGACCGAATATGTAAGTATGTCATGGCGGGTTTGCTGAAGAGACTAGAATGACTAGAGCACTTGGGGCATGTAGGGACAAGTGGCAGATAAGCCAGATAATTGTTCTGCTCTAAAGAACAGAAGATACTAAAGAGAAGACACATGTCCTCCTACCTTCAAGAAGCGTAGTCTCCAGGTAGAGAGACAAATTGCATACTCTGGAACCATTTGTAACAAAGCACAGAATCTGCTAAGAGTCAACTGAGTGATACAGACAATACCTTTACCTGTTAAATGGTTACAGAGGAAGAGTAGCTCATTCACTGCAAAATGGATAAGGCTTTAAGGAGGAGGCAGAATGAGATCATTACTTTGAAGAATAATTAGAATTTGATTATTTAAGGGGACTATAAAATGTCATAGAAGTAATTGTGTAGGGGAAGTCATTGAAGCCTAAGTGTGCCAGACTAATTTATAAGACAGCAAATAGACTTGACTGCTGGAGTAGAAACTGCATTTTAGAAACTAAAAATAGTTTATGTATTTATTGTGCATTTACTATGAGCTGGATATCTATTTTATTTCACTTAATCTAGTCTTCTATCTCAGGAATTAGAGTATATTACTCCCCTCCTTTGCAGATGAAAACACTGAGACTTTAAGGAATGAAGAAATGTGGATGTAATCATGTACAAACTGATAACCACTGAAGGTTATAAAAAGGAGAGTGATAAATAATTTAGGATGAGTTGTCTGTCATCAGTTTCTCAGAGTGTTATACAAAGTAGCGTTGTAGGATTTAAAAGACCAGACTCAAAGAGGTTAGGGCATAAACAAGTGCTATGTGTCATATGCAGAATACAATCAAGACTGTTGACTAGTATGGGAAAGAGGTATGGTTACTGGTAGAATGGAAGCTGAAAAAAATGATAAAATTAAGGGGTTTCAGTTGATAATAGACTATTCAAGTAAAAAGGTCTTTTATGAAATTATACACAGTATAATTTTGAATTGAGGTATTATTTGAAATATAAATTGGGAAATTATCGTAAAATATCTAGTTGAAGCATTGAGATGAGATGAAAGCAACATGAGTATTGAGTTTTGGAAAAGGCTTACGAGTTAAGCGAGAGGTATGAAATCGTAGGAGAGGAAGGGGGTGGCTGGATGGGTAGGGGAAGTACTAATCTTAATGCCACAGAAAAAAGTACTTCAGGAAGGAATGTCAATAATAACCAGAGTTAAATTGAATTCAATGAAAATACACAAGCAGGTTTCAACAACAGCAATAACAACAACAACACACACAAACACACATACATATAACCACTAGACAACTTAGCACAGGTGTTAACAAAATGGTGAAGATGAAATTCAAAAAAATAGGAGTTGCAACAAAACTTGGAAAATTCGAAACTTGGAAAATTCTAAGGATAAATTTGAGGATGTTTGAGAATAAAAAAAAACAGTTAAAATATAACCTAGAAGAACATCAAGGTCAAGAAAATGTCTTCTTCCTACCTCCAACTTACTTTAATTATAGGAGACCCTAGCTTGCTTATGTGCAAGAGAAAAGAAGTCAGTTGACATAAAATAGAATATTAATAGTAATAATAACAATAGGGGCTATAATACAAATAACAAACTGAGTCAGGATCCACCTTTCTATGTATGGAATAAAGAGCATCTATTTGAAAATTGGCTTTCTAATTTATAAGCTGTGAGATATTGAATAACTCCCGGATTCATTTTGTCTTAATTCCCTAATCTATAAGATGAAAATAATACTCATTCATTTGCCCCAGATATATTAATTAAGCAATCATAATGTTTCAGACACTGTGCTAGGGTTCAAACACTGTAGTAAAGATATGGGCTTCAGGACATTAATAGTTTAGGGAATGAGATGATGAGTAAATAAACAATTAGATTACAGGGTTAAGAGCAACAATATATATTTGAACAAGGTGCTGTGAGAACACAAAGGCAGCACATTTAAATTTAACTAGTGTAATTAAATGAAGAAAAAATAGAGAGGTTAGTCAAGTGATCAGATTAGGGGGCCACTCAAGGCAGAAGGCAAGTTTACAAAGATACAAAGGTTTGAAATAACATGATCCTTTTTTTTTTTAAATACAAACATGTACTTTGGATGACTACACAGAAAACCACATGTTAGAGATGTGGTGGGAATTTAGAGAAGTGTGATAGGTAGTTTCTCAATAATCCTACCTCCTAGTATTCACACATTCATGTAATATTCTCTCCATGAGCGCAGGTTGATTTAGTGACTTTCTTCTAACTTATACAATATAGCAAAAGTGATGAGATGTCACTTTCATTATTCGATTACAGAGAATTTTAACTTCTATCTTGCTAGCAGAGTATCTTTCTATGTTTCATGAAACAAGTTACCATGTTAGAGAGGTCCACATAGCAAAAAATTGAGGGTAGCCTCTGGCGAACTACAAGCAAAGAACTGTGACCTTTAATACAACAATCCACATTGAACTGAATCTTGCCTATAATGAATGCTCTTGGAAGAAAATTCTGCCCCAGTTGAACTTTGATTGCAGCCTTGTGAGAGACCCTGAAGCAAAGTATTCAGCTAAACATTGCCAAAATCCTGATAGAAACTTTTACAGTTTCTATTTTACATAATAAGTGTGTTTTTAAATGTTCTTATTTTCGTAAAACGTACATAACATAAAATTTACCCTCAACCATTTTAAGTATGCAGATCAGTGATATTAGACTCATAATGCTGTGCAACCATTGGCATCATCCATTTCTCTAACACTTTCATCTTGTAAAACTGATACTCTGTACCCATTAAACAATGAGAGTCTGTTCTCTCACATCCACCCAACCCTAGACAACCATCATTTTACTTTCTGTTTTTATGATTTTGACGATTCTACATACCTCATAGAAGTGGAATCATACAGTATTTGTCTTTTTGTGACTAGTTGATTTCACTTAGCATAATGTCCTCAAGGTTCATCCATGTTGTAGCGTATATTTGGATTTTCTTCCTCTTTAAGCTTCAATAATATTTCATCCTATGCATATACTACATTTTGCTTACCAATTTATCTGTTGATAGTGTCTTGGGTTGCTTCCATGTCTTGGCTATTGTAAAAATTGCTACTATAAACATGGGTATACAGATATCTCTTTGAGACCCTGCCTTCAATTGTTTTGTATATCTACCCAGAAGTGAAATTGCTACATCATATGATAATTCTATTTTTAATTTCTGGAGGAATCACCACATTGTTTTCCAAGCAGTGGTACCATTTTACCTTGTCACCAGTAGTGCACAAGGGTTCTGACTTCTCCACATTCTTGCCAACATTAGCTGTTTTCTGGGTTTTGTTTTTTTTTTATTTTGTTTTTGTAGCCATTCTGATGAGGCTATTATCATTAGTCTCATTATCATAATGTGAGGTGCTATCTTATTGTAGTTTTGATTTGCATTTTTCTAGTGATTAGTAATGCTAAGTATTCTTTCATGTGCTTATTAGCCATTTGTATATCTTTTTTGGAGAAATGACTACATAAGTCCTTTGCCTATTTTTGAATCAGGTTGTTTGTTTTGTTGTTGTTGTTGTTGAGTTTTAGGAGTTCTCTGTATACTCTGGTTATCTACCCCTTATCATATATGTGATTAGCAAATATTTTCTCCAATTCTGTGGATCACCTTTTAATTCTGTCAATAGTGTCTTTGATGCATAATTTTTAAAAATGTTCATGAAGTTCAATTTGTTTATTTTTTCTATTGTTGTCTGTGTATTTGGTATCATATCCAAGAAATCACAGCCACATCCAATCTCATGAAGCTTTTACTGTATGTTTTAGATATTACATCTAGGCCTTTGATGCATTTTGAGCTAACTTTTGTATATGATTTTAGGTAAGGGCCCAATTTGATTATTTTGCATGTGAATATCTAGTGACCCTAGCAACATTTATTGAAGATTGCCCTTTTCCCATTGAATGGTTTTGGAACCCATGTCAAAAATTATTTGAAGAAAAATGAACAGAGCCTAAGGGACCTGTAGAATACCATCTAACAGACTTAATGGAAATATATATATATATATACATATATATATATAGGGAATTCCAAAAGGAGAAGGGAGAAGGGGGCAGAGAGAATATTTCAAGAAATAATGACTGAAAACTCCCCAAAGGATTGATAGAAGACATTGATATAATCATCCAATAAGCTTAACAACCTCCAAGTAAGATGAACTCAAAAAAGAAAACCCACACCAACACATATGATAATTATTTGAAAAACAAAGACAGAGTCTTAAAAACAGAGAAGCAACTCATCACACACAAAGGATTCTTAATGAGATTATCTACATATTTCTCATCAGAAACTTTAAAGGTCGGGAGGTCAGTGGGTCAATTTATTCAAAGTGCAAAAAGAAAAAAAAAGTACCAGCCAAAACCCCTATATATAGTAAGACTGTCCTTCAAAATTGGGGGAGAAATTAAGGCACTTGCAGATAAACAAAAGCTGAAGAAGTTTCTTACCACTAGATCTGTCCCATAAGAAATGCTTAGGGGAGCCCAGCAAGTTGAATTGAAAGGACACTAGACAGTAACTAGAAGGCATATATAGAAATAATAACCTTAATAAAAGTAAATACATGAACAATTATAAAAGCAAGTAGTATTGTAATAATGGTTTATAACTTCACTTCATTTTCTATGTGATTTAAAAGATTAAAAAACAATTTTTAATCTAAAAGCTGTTACTATTGGTTCATAAATCCACTTTTTTATATATAATATAAGGGGCTAATGCATTTCAAATAAATATTAGTTTGGGGCACACAACATATAAAGATGTAATTTTGTGATATCCACCAGAGAAAGGGGTGGGGACAGAGCTTTTAAAGGAGTAGAGTTTTTGTATTTTGTTGAAGTTAAACTGGTATAAATTCAAGTTACGGTGTTCTATCTCTAGGATGTTAAATGTAATATCCACGGTAACCACAAAGAAAATAGCTATAGAATATTTACAAAAGTAAATGAGAAAGAAATTTAAATGTTTTACTACAAAAAAACCCACTAAACACAAAATAAGCTAGTAATATGGGAAATGGAGACAAAAAAGCTGTAAGGCAAATAGGAAACAAATAGCAAAATGAGAAAAATAAGTCTTTTTTTGCCCAAGCGTGTTTTTTTTTCTCGATCACATGTTTACCCTACACACAGCACAATCCAAGAGCAATCATCAAGTTCTACATCCTTTGGTAGGAAGAATTCAAAAATATGTTATACATGGTTCCTCAGAAGGTCACAAGTGGAAAATCTCAGAGGTCCTCAGTTACACACAGCCATAAATGCAACCTTTAATAACTTTCTTCCTCTTTTACTTTTCCTACTCCCTTACTCTGCCTTCAGGAATAACTCGCCAATAAACTATTTGCCCTTATATCTTTGTCTCAGGAGCTCAGATTTGGACCTTTAACAACCTCATACCGAAAGTAATTAAAAGATGATTGAGCAGAAGCCAGCAAAACTATAGAAATTAGAGTAATAAGAGTGAAAAGTGATGAGAACCTGAAATAATACAGTGGCAGAAGAAATACAAGGAAGGGATTAATTTAAAGATATCAAGGAGGTAAGGAGCAGTGAGAAATTGTGAAATATTGGAGTGAAATACTAACAAGGGAGGAAGAATCAAGGATAATTCTAGTTCTGTGGCTTAGGCAATTAGTTGGATGAGTAATGGGGGAACCACAACAGGAACAGGTATGTGTATGTATATGTGTGCTTATTAGTGCAGACCACATAATGAATATTATTCAGATACCTGTGGAAACTTCACAAGGCAATCTTAAGTAGACTCTTGACCATCTAGTCTGATACTGGAAAAATTTCAGAGGTATATATTAGGGAGCTGATGTCTCTGGGACCACCATTGACCAGTAGGAGATGGAAGTTGGTAGACAAATACTTTTAACTTTTGTCCCCTGGGTGGACAGTTGTTGTATTTCTCAAGACTTCTGAGAAGACTGCACATTAACAAGAAACAGTTGCTTGTTGTGGTGACCAATTTAAAATTATATCTTTGTACTTGTTTTTCCTTATTCTCTGTTTCATTCTTCTGTTTCTCATATCCTGTCTCTCTCTGGGCATAATCCCAATAAACTATCTGTACAAAATCCTTCATTTCAAGCTCTGCTTTTGGGAGAATCCAGGTTAAGACAAAGAATAAGTTAATGCAGAGATGGAATTGGAAGTATAGATGGGATAATTAGCTTGGAGCAGGAGCAGAGATGTCTTTCAATACATAGGTGAAAATAATGGGTGTAGCCATAGGTGATTTTTGTAAGTGTATTAGTTTGTTTTCACACTGCTAATAAAGACATACCTGAGACTGGGCAATTTACAAAAGAAAGAGGTTTAATGGACTTACAGTTCCACATGGCTGGGGAAGCCTCACAATCCTGGCAGAAGGCAAGGAGGAGCAACTCACATCTTACATGGATGGCAGCAGGCAAAAAGAGAAAGCTTGTGCAGGGAAACTCCCAATTTTAAAACCATCAGATCTGCCGGGCACAGTGGCTCATGCCTGTAATCCCTGCACTTTGGGGAGGTGAGGCGGGTGGATCTCCTGAGCTCAGGAATTCGAGACCAACCTGGCCAACATGATGAAACCCCATCTCTACTAAAAACACACACACAAAAATTAGCCAGGTGTGGTGGCAGGCACCTGTAATCCTAGCTACTTGGGAGGCCTGAGGCAGGAGAATCACTTGAACCCAGGAGGTGGAGGTTGTAGTGAGCTGAGATGGCACCACTGCACTCCAGCCTGGGCAACAAGAGCGAAACTCCATCTAAAAAAAAAAACAAAAAAAAGACAAAAAAACAAAAACAAAAACAAAAAATCAGATCTCATGAGATTTATTCACTATCACGAGAACAGAATGAGAAAGAGCCACCCCCATGACTCAATTACCTCCCACTGGGTTCATCCCATGACAAGTGGGAATAGTAGATGAGATTTGGGTGGGGACATAGCCAAACCATATCAGTAAGGGATAAAATACTTTTTGTTTCTGCCTAAATATTTTTGGCAAAATAGAATGCAATTTCACCTGCTGAGGTTAAGGGAGGATGTGGCTGTGTAAACATTTTCTGAGAAATGTGAAAATTTGGAACAGCAACTGAGGGGAATGGAGTAGGTACTACCTAAAGATGTGTAGAGGGTTGCCCAGGAGGATTTTAAGACCTAGCTATGATTTATTTATTATTATTATTTTTTGTAGCGTCAATTCTCCCTAGTAGGTTCTTTTCTCCAGAAGAAACTTTAATCACTAGAAAGTAGTCTTCTCTGGGGATTACAAGGTTGGTATGGTGGGTAGAATGGAGAATAGGGTTATGAAGCTTAAAGAGCTGGGTCTTGGAGGAAAGCTGCATAGCGAAGGGAATGAACATAGAACTACATTGATAGATTTGTAACAAATGATATAGCTCTGATGTGGCTGTTGTGTAGAATGACTAAGAAAGAGAAGAGGCTATATAGAGACAAGTGTATCTCTGTGAAAAATTTCAGGAGTGTAGCAGATATGAGTTGTGATAAGTTCCAGGGTGTGGCTGTGTAAGTGGATTTGGGGAAGGTCATTGGACAAAAAGATAGGCGGCTGAATAAGCCTTGATCATAGACTTTGACATCACCCAAAACACTTGTGAAACTAGAGATGGAATAGACGACTCTAGGCCATATGTATACCTTAAGCCCCTGTGGTTGGCAGATGATAGTGCAAAAAAAGGAGGAAACAATAGTGATTCTACCAGACAAGAACCACAAAGGGGGTTTGGAAATGGTAATGAGGGGCAAGAAAATAACTGAATTTCCTCTTTATTGGTTTCTGGTATCCACAGAGCTTGGACGATAGGAAAGGTACAGTTAAGACTGATTTTGAATATAGGGGGCTGGTATTATTTCTAACTTTAGGATTGTTATGAAGACTCAGTATATGTGAAAACATTTTGCCAGCAGTGGATTACTACTCTTACATAAGTTAATAAAATATAGAGAGGAAGCAATTGAAAAAACAAGGTCAAAAAGGATACTGGATGACATCAAGGGATATAAATAGAAGTTGAGAGCAGCATTGTAAAGAAAGATGACTATTTTCTCTGGGACTGGAGGGTAATTTGAGAATGTAAGAGTAGAAATGGAGACATTGCTATCCTCATCTATTCTAGAGCACATTCAGGTTCGTTATGTGGAATTTGAACATATCTGCCAAAGTGACTGGGTTATGAAATCATTAATTCAGGAGACTGGCTTAGATTTTAAAGCCATTTTGTTTTTGAATTTATCTTTAATATCATATTTCTACTTTCAGAGGTAATGAAATAGCTTTGTTGTGTAGCAGCCCAGATATTTAGGAAACATTTAGGCATACTTTCTAGTTATTCATCATTATCCAAGTCCTGGGTGAGTTTTGTAGCAGGTGATCATTAAATGCTAGTAGGACGTTAACAATAAGATGGAAACCTGTGCTTGTGGAGGTTGCTGCAAGGCAGGACAGAACTGATCTTTTCCAAAACTGTTAGCTTGACTCATTGCATCCTCCTCTTCACCTTGTTTGCAACTGTAAAAATACAAATAAATGGAGAAACTCTGGAAAGAATATTAAATGATTCAGAACAATTATGTCTCTGTATTTCTTGATATTTCAAATAAAGGTAAAAACATTTTTAATGTTTCAAAATGATTTTAAACTCAAAATATTGCCTACTTTATACATTATTTCTATCATCAAAATATGAATTATGGGATTGGGCAAACACATTTTCTTCAGAGACTGTCTTTCAAAAATTTTAATTTTAAGTGATGTCTTGCTTTATTCTTTTCAACAGAGTGAAGGGGAGATCCACTAAAGAGAATATAAGGCCCATTTGTCACTTGTGTAAATGCCCTGTTTTGATATAGACTGAAAAAGGTGCAGCGTGTGTAAATTCAACTTTACAGAGAAGAATTCAAGCTGAAATGTAACAGTGACTCAGTACAGTTCATTACATATGGTGTAACTAGTTGGCACCATTGGTTAAGTCCAGGAACAAGTGAAGCCTGGGATTGCATGATTTGTAACCTAGGACAAATCATCTAATCTGTTAGTGCTGGGGTTTCCTCATCTATAAAATACAACACTGTAAAACTCATAGAACTGTGATAAGGTTAAGGATAAGCTGAGAGAGAAAACAGAAGTCATCAAAAACAGTACCTACCACATATAAGTATTAACTTTAATGTCCACTCGGCTCTCTTACGTCTGGTGAGATATATTCAAAACTATTTTTACTTTACTTAATGCTCAATGTTTTAGTATTATATAGCTATTAAATAATATTCTTTTGATGCTTAAATTCAGAAAAAAATATTAAAAGTTGTAAAAAGCAAAATTATCCAGTTATTTAAATATTGATTAACACTAAATATACAATCATGTCATCTGAAAACAGGGACAATTTCACTTCCTCTTTTCCTAATTGAATACTCTTTATTTCTTTCTCCTGCCTGATTTCCTGGGCCAGAACTTCCAACACTACGTTAAATAGGAGTGGTGAGAGAGGGCATCCCTGTCTTGTGCCAGTTTTCAAAGGGAATGCTTCCAGTTTTTGCCCATTCAGTATCATATTGGCTGTAGGTTTGTCGTAGATAGCTCTTATTATTTTGCGATACGTCCCATCAATACATAATTTATTGAGAATTTTTAGCATGAAGGGCTGTTGAATTTTGTCAAAGGCCTTTTCTGCATCTATTGAGATAATCATGTGGTTTTTGTCTTTGGTTCCGTTTATATGCTGGATTACATTTATTGATTTGCGTATGTTGAACCAGCCTTGCATCCCAGGGATGAAGCCAACTTGATCATGGTGGATAAGCTTTTTGATGTGCTGCTGGATTTGGTTTGCTAGTATTTTATTGAGGATTTTTGCATTGATGTTCATCAAGGATATTGGTCTAAAATTATCTTTTTTTTGTTGTGTCTCTACCAGGCTTTGGTATGAGGATGATGCTGGCCTCATAAAATGAATTAGGGAGGATTCCCTCTTTTTCTATTGATTGGAATAGTGTCCAAAGGAATGGTACCAGCTCCTCTTTGTACCTCTGGTAGAATTTGGCTGTGAATCTGTCTGGCCCTGGACTGTTTTTGATTGGTAGGCTATTAATTATTGCCTCAATTTCAGAGCCTGTTATTGGTCTATTCAGGGATTCAGCTTCTTCCTGGTTTAGTCTTGGGAGGGTGTATGTGTCGAGGAATTTATCCATTTCTTCTAGATTTTCTAGTTTATTTGCGTAGAAGTGTTTATAACATTCTCTGATGGTAGATGGTATTTCTGTGGGATCGGTGGTGATATCCCCTTTATCATTTTTTATTGCATCTATTTGAGTCTTCTCTCTTTTCTTCTTTATTAGTCTTGCTAGCAGTCTATCAATTTTGTGGATCTTTTCAAAAAACCAGCTCCTGGATTCATTGATTTTTTGAAGGGTTTTTTTGGGTCTCTATCTCCTTCAGTTCTGCTCTGATCTTAGTTATTTCTTGCTTTCTGCTGGCTTTTGAATGTGTTTGCTCTTGCTTCTCTAGTTCTTTTAATTGAGATGTTAGGGTGTCAATTTTAGATCTTTCCTGCTTTCTCTTGTGGGCATTTAGTGCTATAAATTTCCCTCTACACACTGCTTTAAATGTGTCCCAGAGATTCTGGTATGTTGTGTCTTTGTTCTCCTTGGTTTCAAAGAACATCTTTATTTCTGCCTTCATTTCATTATGTACCCAGTAGTCATTGAGGAGCAGGTTGTTCAGTTTCCATGTAGTTGAGGGGTTTTGAGTGAGTTTCTTAATCCTGAGTTCTAGTTTGATTGTACTGTGGTCTGAGAGACAGTTTGTTATAATTTCTGTTCTTTTACATTTGCTGAGGAGTGCTTTACTTCCAACTGTGTGGTCAATTTTGGAATACATGTGGTGTGGTGCTGAGAAGAATGTATATTCTGTTGATTTGGGATGGAGAGTTCTGTAGATGTCTATTAGGTCTGCTTGGTGCAGTGCTGAGTTCAATTCCTGGATATCCTTGTTAACTTTCTGTCTCATTGATCTGTCTAATGTTGACAGTGAGGTATTAAAGTCTCCCATTATTATTGTGTGGGAGTCTAAGTCTCTTTGTAGGTCTCTAAGGACTTGCTTTATGAATCGGGGTGCTCCTGTATTGGGTGCATATATATTTAGGATAGTTAGCTCTTCTTGTTGAATTGATCCTTTTACCATTATGTAATGGCCTGGTCTCTTTTGATCTTTGTTGGTTTAAAGTCTGTTTTATCAGAGACTAGGATTGAAACTCCTGCCTTTTTTTTTGTTTTCCATTTGCTTGGTAGATCTTCCTCCATCCCTTTATTTTGAGCCTATTTGTGTCTCTGCACATGAGATGGGTCTCCTGAATACAGCACACTGATGAGTCTTGACTCTTTATCCAACATGCCAGTCTGTGTCTTTTAATTGGAGCATTTAGCCCATTTACATTTAAGGTTAATATTGCCATGTGTGAATTTGATCCTGTCATTATGATGCCAGCTGGTTATTTTACTCGTTAGTTGATGCAGTTTCTTCCTAGCCTCGATGGTCTTTACAATTTGGCATGTTTCTGCAGTGGCTGGTACTGGTTGTTCCTTTCCATGTTTAGTGCTTCCTTCAGGAGCTGTTGTAGGGCAGGCATGGTGGTGACAAAATCTCTCAGCATTTGCTTGTCTATAAAGGATTTTATTTCTCCTTTGCTTATGAAGGTTAGTTTGGCTGGATGTGAAATTCTGGGTTGAAAATTATTTTCTTTAAGAATGTTGAATATTGGCCCCTACTCTCTTCTGGCTTGTAGAGTTTCTGCCGAGAGATCAGCTGTTAGTCTGATGGGCTTCCCTTTGTGGGTAACCCGACCTTTCTCTCTGGCTGGCTTAACATTTTTTCCTTCATTTCAACTTTGGTGAATCTGACAATTATGTGTCTTGGAGTTGCTCTTCTTGAGGAGTATCTTTGTGGCATTCTCTGTATTTCCTGAATCTGAATGTTGGCCTGCCTTGCTAGATTGGGGAAGTTCTCCTGGATAATATCCTGCAGAGTGTTTTCCAACTTGGTTCCATTCTCCCTGTCACTTTCAGGTACACCAATCAGACGTAGATTTAGTCTTTTCACGTAGTCCGATATTTTGTGGAGGCTTTGTTTGTTTCTTTTTACTCTTTTCTCTCTAAACTACTCTTCTCACTTCATTTCATTCATTTGATCTTCCATTACTGATACCCTTTCTTCCAGTTGATCGAATCAGCTACTGAAGTTTGTGCATTCGTCACGTAGTTCTCATGCTATGGTTTTCAGCTCCATCAGGTCATTTAAGGACTTTTACACACTGGTTATTCTGGTTAGCCATTTGTCTAATCTTTATTCAAGGGTTTTAGCTTCTTTGAGATGGGTTCAAACTTCCTCCTTTAGCTCAGAGAACTTTGATTGTCTGAATCCCATTGTCTCAGCCCAAAATCTCCTTAAGCTGATAAGCAACTTTAGAAAAGCTTCAGGATACAAAATCAATGTGCAAAAATCACAAGCATTCTTATACACCAATAACAGACAAACAGAGAGCCAAATCATGAGTGAACTCCCATTCAAAATTTTTTCAAAGAGAATAAAATACCTAGGAATCCAACTTACAAGGGATGTGAAGGACCTCTTCAAGGAGAACTACAAACCACTGCTCAACGAAATAAAAGAGGACACAAACAGATGGAAGAACATTCCATGCTCATGGATAGGAAGAATCAATATCATGAAAATGGCCATACTGCCCAAGGTAATTTACAGATTCAATGCCATCCCCATCAAGCTACCAATGACTTTCTTTACAGAATTGGAAAAAACTATTTTAAAGTTCATATGGAACCAAAAACGAGCCTGCACTGCTAAGTCAATCCTAAGCCAAAAGAACAAAGCTGGAAGCATCATGCTACCTGACTTCAAACTATACTACAAGGCTACAGTAACCAAAACAGCATGGTACTGGTACCAAAACAGAGATATAGACCAATGGAACAGAACTGAGCCCTCAGAAATAATACCACACATCTACAACCATCTGATCTTTGACAAACCTGAGAAAAACAAGCAATAGGGAAAGGATTCCCTATTGAATAAATGGTGCTGGGGAAACTGGCTAGCCATATGTAGAAAGCTGAAACTGGATCCCTTCCTTACACCTTATACAAAAATTAATTCAAGATGGATCAGAGACTTAAATGTTAGACCTAAAACCATAAAAACCCTAGAAGAAAACCTAGGCAATACCATTCAGGACATAGACATGGGCAAGTACTTCATGACTAAAACACCAAAAGCAATGGCAACAAAAGCCAAAATTGACAAATGGGATCTACTTTAACTAAAGAGCTTCTGCACAGCAAAGGAAACTCTCATCAGAGTGAACAGACAACCTACAGAATGGGAAAAATTTTTTGCAATCTACTCATCTGACAAAGGGCTAATATCCAGAATCTACAGTGAACTCAAACAAATTTACAAGAAAAAAACAACCCCATCAAAAAGTGGGCAAAGGATATGAACAGACACTTCTCAAAAGAAGACATTTATGCAGCCAACAGACACATGAAAAAATGCTCATCATCACTGGCCATCAGAGAAATGGAAATCAAAACCACATTGAGATACCATCTCACACCAGTTAGAACGGCAATCATTAAAAAGTCAGGAAACAACAGGTGCTGGAGAGGATGTGGAGACATAGAAACACTTTTTACACTGTTGGTGGGACAGTAAACTAGCTCAACCATTGTGGAAGACAGTGTGGCGATTCCTCAAGGATCTAGAGTTAGAAATACCATTTGATCCAGCCATCCCATTACTGGGTATATACCCAAAGGATTATAAATCATGCTGCTATAAAGACACATGCACACGTATGTTTATTGTGGCACTATTCACAATAGCAAAGACTTGGAACCAACCCAAATGTCCATCAATGATAGACTGGATTAAGAAAATGTGGCACATATACACCATGGAATACTATGCAGCCATAAAAAAGGATGAGTTCATGTCCTTTGTAGGGACATGGATGAAGCTGGAAACCATCATTCTCGGCAAACTATTGCCAAGGCAAGAAAACCAAACACTGCATGTTCTCATTCATAGGTAGGAATTGAATAATGAGAACACTTGGACACAGGAAGGGGAACATCACACACTGGGGCCTGTTGTGGGGTGGGGGGAGGGGGGAGGGATAGCATTAGGAGATATACCTAATGTAAATGACGAGTTAATGGGTGCAGCACACCAACATGGCACATGTATACATATGTAAAAAAAAAAAAAAACTATCTGAAACTTGAAAATGAAGTAAAAGGGTGAGTACCATGTCCTTTAAAAAAAATTGATTAACGCTTAATTAGATTTCTGAAACATGTAATTAAAATCATAAGTATATTATATCACATTTAAGACTTTCAGTCACTTAAATAAAGCAGGAAAACACTTGAAATTATCTCAAAATTTTAAAAGATTTATACCTAACCCAGTTACAAAATTATCAATACAGTGGATGTAGCCTTGTTTTCATTATATATGTTATTATTCTCATTCTTGTTAACATGTTTACTCTTAAATTTCTTCTTGGGTCTTCTTGGGGTTACAATAAAGTCATCAGTCATATTGTTTATTTCCTAAGGATATAGCCATCTTCCAAGCCAAAAATAAAAGATTATTGTCTCATTGAAGCTGAAGTTGCAAGTTCTGGATGATCAATTGATTCTTTGTTGGCATATGGACTTAGTTGTATTTCCAAACCTTGGCAGTAATGCTCCAGGCTGGACATCATTTACTTTCTCATCTTTACTTGCTACATCCACAGAACTCCCTGAGCCCAAACATTTCCACTGAGCTTTAGCTTTGTAGATCCTGTTCCCTTTCCCAAAATTGTTTAGAGAAATTTTACTCGATCATTATTACATCCCCACTGTTTGGTCCTCTTCTATTAATCCTAAGTGTTAGCATAACGGAAAATTAATGCTTAACCTATTAATATGTCATTATAAATAATTTAACCAGGAGACAAAGGATTGAGTCTGCATAATTACTACTCCTCTTAAGAACATTTTTAAGCCATTATTTGGGAACACATTGTTAACTCCTTTTTGTTTGGTCTTTGTGTGTACAATGACACATTCTTCATACAGTTCCTACATTTCTCAGGAGTATTTAGCATAGTGTCCTGTTATCATTTATTTATTCAATTGGTAGAGAAAGTTTTCTTCTTGATGAGTGAAAATGTACTTAATAGTAGAAACAGAATACTCAAATACTCCCATACTAATAAAAATCAATGAATCTAATTATATATTATTTGAGCTGCCATTCTTTTGCATTATAAATAACTGTTTAAGTGCCTTATATTTATTTTCCTATTTTAGACTTGTGAATTTTCATAGATTTAACTGGTTCTATTTAATTAGGTTTTTCATTGTGGCTGGACATTTGACAATCTGATATAGCTCCTTTACAATTTGAGCAATACCCCCAAAACCCATGAAATAATTCTTGCTTTTTCTCAAGCTAGTTTAGCCTGCCTTGAATGTTCCTTGCTATGAGATACAAAATAAGCTTCTTTCCTTGTTCTCCTCTTTTAGAGGTGTTAGGGTGCACATAAGATGGTCTTAGTCATATTGCTGGTAGCCAAAATGATGCTGTGCCAGGGTACGTTAGTGAGAGAGGTGCAAAAGAGATTTTTTTTCTAAAATCATGAATGCACAATGTTTCTAACTTAGTAGTGATCTCCCTGTATCTCTCATTGTTCCAATATGTATTTTATTTGCATTTTTTAACAAAATACCTATTTAACTGATTAACTCCTCAAACAAGCTTTTATTACATTTCCTTTTTATACTCCTTTGAGGCCTCATTGACAATTATTTTTGGTTATTGTATTTGCTGCTGAAATTCCATCTTTTATAATTTTGTGTTTTCTGTACCAGGTTCCATTTTCTATTACTTTTATTAGAGAATCAAGGTATTTCAATGAGATCTTATAAAATATGAAAATATATTGTTAATTTGTCCCAAATTGCTGTGTATATGAAGGTATTCTTTTACAAGTGCTTTCCCCAAAATGATTGAAATTTCTTTTATACTATGCATGTATTTTATAGATGAAAGGACTTTCATTATCCACATATTATTTTTGATTGAATAACTATGTCTTTTGTTAAACTAGATTTCATATAGTATTAGCAGAATATTGTACATCTGTGAGTGAATGAATAAAACATGTACCTGCTCTACACTCTAATTTACCAGAAATTTGGAACAATTTGGGATTGAAATTGTGTAATTGGTTTGGCTTCAGCAAAAACACGTTTTAGACATGAAAGAACAGAGCTCACCAAGAGTAATAACAAGCTCACGATGGGCCTATCAGTTGGACAGACGGTGATAATTCTGGTTAAGTGTCCTCTTCTGGACTGCCTGGAAGCACAACAGGTATAATACTTAAAACTAGAATGAAACACAAAATCTCAGAACTATGTGGATGTTGAAAATAACAGAGTAAGACTCTACAATAACATCGAACCTAATTCATAGATAAATTTTAAATATTATTCTCAATGACAAATGATTGTTTTGAAATCATAATTGAAAATTTGATTTGATCTGATTTGAAATCATGATTTGAAAATTCAGTAAGAGTGGTTATATTTGTGAATATAACTGCCTAGCGTTTTATTTGTAATCTTTTGAGTTTAAATGTCTTTCTGAATCTGAAAACCTAAAATGAGAAAATCCTGACATTGGTCCTTATTTTATTCACTGAGAAACATTTAATGGAATTTTATTTTGCTTTGAAATATGATGTTTTATTAGGCCCTGTATCTGACAGGATAACTTCCTGTTCTCTCTTTCCTTCCTCTCACTTCCTCTCCCTTGTTCCTTAAAATAGGAAGACCTATCACTGGGGAGAATGAAATACCTTCTACCTTCATTTATGATGTAGAGAACTGTTGCTAGCACTACTAATAACTCAGTGGTTGTAATGAGAATGTCTACAATTGAAGAGAGAAACTAGCAGCTCTGCACATAGTCCAGCCATAACAGTAGCAAGAATGCAGAAGTCTCCTTAGACAAAGTGTAAGTTGTATAATCGATATTGACTATTTGAGTTTGCTTTGCCAACATTTTAGTAATTTTTCTGATATAGTTACTTGTAGCAAAAAAAATTATATTCTACCATATTTTTTTCATCACACAGCTATTCAATAAGAGCGAATAACTACAAGAATGAGTGATTTGTATTGAGATGAATTCATCTACATCATATAAAGAGCCATGCTTTTTCTCAGTAACACAAAGCATATAGTTCCACTTTTGGTTTGGGTTTTTTAAAGAAACAATTCTTTCTTTTTTCTTTGAGCAGCCAGTGTGCTGAGACTAAGTGGCTTTTCTCACCTCTCCTGCACCGCCTCTCTTGCAGCATGGTAATCAGTCACTTTGCAGTTGTTTGTGAAAAGAAATCTGTGCTTTTCCCTACAGATTATGAGAAGACACTATGCTTTTTTAGACTATTTGAGCCAATATGCATTTTCCATGACTTTCTGAGAAGTCCTAAATAAGGAGGGAGAAAAGGGAACATATTTCATTGTAATTAATTTTCAGTTAGCTGGGGTGAGAAAATCGGTCCTAATTAACACATTCAGCTGAGTAGGGAGTAGGCTGTGGTTTTCAAATGTTAGTGTGCATCAGAATCACCCGGAGGGCTGTTAAAATACAGACAGCTGGGCCATCTCTGGAATTTCTGATTCAGTCGTTCTAGGGTGAGGCTCAAGAATTTGCATTTGTATTAAGTACCAGGTGATTCTGATTGTGCTGGTCTGGAGACCCACACTTTAGGAACCACTGCATTAAAAATACATGCTCTGTGAATCCACTGGATTGTTAGGTTGTGGCCCTCACAGAGGAGTAACTTTCTCTCATCACTCCTCCTCTCACCTAGTATGCTGCATTGAACACGATAAATTCTCACCAAATCAATATTTACTAAACATGTAACTCAGGTGGCCCCTAGATTCCTATCAAATTCCAATTTCCCCCATTTTGCCTCTTGTATTAATCTGTTTTATTTTCTTCATATAATTTATCAATATATAAAATTATTTTCTCATTATTTGCTTATCTTTTATTATTTGTCCCCCACTCACACACTTACACTAGTATTTAAAATATGCATCTATATTGTTTAATATTGTACTCCAGTGCCAAATAGTAGGTATTAAACAAATGCCTGGGGAATAAATGAATGAACTGTGAAATCTCTTTAACAACTGTCCATTCATTCATTCATTTATGGATATTTATAAAATGCATTCATTTCCAAAATATCAATCGGACAGTGGTTGCAGCTCATGTTGTTTTGACTTACAAAAAAATCAAGTCAGCTTTAACCAAAATTGAAAAGTACTTAATAGCAAATAGCTCAATCATGTTTAAAATAATGCAAAGATGGGGTTATGGTAAATATGCAAATATTTATTATTTGCATTCCCTATCCTTTTCCCTACCTTATAGAAACTTAATGTCCTTCTCTCCCTTCTAGTCATCTTCCTCGCTACTCCCCGACCTCTGCCCATATTAATTCCATTCTTGATTTCTTCATTCTCACTGGGATATAAAGCAGCTGATTGCAGATTGCTATGTTAACTTTTCCAGCAATGCCTGGATTTTAAAATCAAGGTTTAATCATTCTTAATATAAAGTTAACATATGTGTTCATGAAGAAATCAAATGTAAAAAAAAATTGATTAAAAGAAAGAAAAAAGTCACTTCTTTGTACAACCAGAGTTGACTACTGTTAACACTTTGATACCTTTTCTATCAAATCTCTTGTGACGCATTTTCTACCTAACGATGATAAAATAGTATCTATAAAATTATACCATTTATACGGCCTTTCAACTGAACATAAATGCAATGATAATCACAGAGTATAAACATTCAATAATTCGTAAAGGGGAAAAACATGAATAATTTTGTCATTTAGCAGTAACACTAACATTTTGGTGAATTTCCTTGCAAAGTCTTGTTGATGACACATACACATAGAATCTGTCACAGTGTAATTTATAAGTCTTCCTGAGTTAAAATGAAAATAACTTTGTGTTTGAAGTCATTCAAAGATAATGAAAATTATCACTTAAATTTTTAGGTAATGAAAATTGCCATTGCAGAGCTCTATCCATCTCTTCTTAATGTGGAGGAAGAAGAAAGAGAAACAGAGATTTTATTCCCTCCAGTAATGTTACAATATCAAAAATAGTTTGAATTTGGAACTATATACAACCAATTATTGTTTTAATTGGTTGCCATGGTTGGCAATATATTGCATTTGAAACATAAAGTTTGTATAATGAGAAATTATTGGTTGCAAAAGAAGTTGCAGGAAAAGATAAAATACTGAGAAAAGTACTTTAGGTCATATTTTGGGAAGCCATAAAATGTACCTTACAACATGCAGTTCAACAGGGTTTCTGAAGTTAAAAAATTAAAAACATAAAAAAGAAGTCTTTTTTTATTTTTAGGTTCTGATTTTTTAGTCATTTATTTTTAATTTTCTTTTTCATTTAAAGAGAAATCGTGGTAACCTTCCTGAGCCATTACATATTTGAGAGTTTCTTTCAGTAGCCTTGATACATTAAAGAAAATCAAGCTCATTATAAATTCCTTAAAACACCACCATCTCTTTTCATAGTCTATAGATAGTGTTCCACAGTTGTTGGGTTCCTGTTGCAGTTGAAAAGACTGAGAAAAGCCCGTCTTTATTATTTGCTGATCTTTCTCTTCTTTCTTTCTCTCTCTCTCCCTCCTTCCCTCCCTCCCTCCCTCCTCCCTTCCTTCCTTCCTTCCTTCCTTCCTTCCTTCCTTCCTTCCTTCCTTCCTTCCTTCCTTCCTTCTGTCTCTCTCTCTCTCTCTAGCGCTTTCAGTCTGAATAACCAGATGATTTTTCAACTCTGGAAAGTTTTCTTAACTGTATATTTACTTATAGTTTGTATTCTATTTTTTTCTGATCTCTTACTGAGTAGCAATCACTACATACCAAGCACTGTTCTGGCTGTTGGAGATTAAGAGATGCCACAGTGAGTGAGACAGAAAGGGTCTCATTTTCATGGATCTTAAATTTTAGCAGGGAGAGATTAATAATAAACAAGTAAAAGAAAAAAAAAGGTAAGTTGATAGAAAGCACTGGTGAGAGAAGAGAGGGAGCTGGTCAATTTTAAATAGAATAAGAAAGGACTTCTCTGAAGAGATAACATTTGTTTGGAGACCTGGGGACTGTTCAGATAAATGAGAAACAGAATGTTGACAGCATAGCGAATGTGGCAAAAAGTGGTAGGAGCTAAAATCAAAGAGGTAGGATTGAAAAGTTTTACAAAATGAAAAAGATATGATTTGGTCTACATTTTCAAAATATTTTCCCTTGTTATTATTTCACAAATGATTATAAGAGGTAAGAGTAGAAGCAGGAAATCCAGTTAAGGATCTCATACAGCACTTCAGGTGAGAGCCAATGGTAGCTTGAACAAGGGTGGTGATAGGCAGAGAGAGGGCAGTGAATGGATTTAGGACATATTTTGGAGGTTGAATTGACAATACTTGCTGAGAGATTGATTATGATGGTTGAGGAAAGAACTTTTAAAAAATGCTTCTGGTTGTTTATTTGTAGAAAGGCATGGGTAATAGAGACTAGCAGAAGTAAAAGTTTGGGTAGATGGAGAAAGAAGAGTTCTGGAATCTAGGTAAGAGATGGAGCAGAGTGATGAGAGAAGATGAAAGTATGACCAATATTGAAAATGTAGTTGGGTTAATGGATTAAAACTCTCAGGGCCCTTGAGGGAATGATGGTATGGGGATTCCAGGTTAGGTGAACTGGAAGATATAGAGGTGATCATTAGAAGAAAGGATACTTGTTATTGTGAGTTCGAAGGTGGGCCACTTGCTACTAAAACAAAATCAAGGGTATAACCATGTGCTTGACTACTGTGGGATAAAAGAAATGATCACTGGATTTTGGAAGGTCAAAGAACTGAGAGGCCAGAGGAATTATCCAAATGAGAATTGATGCCATCAGGAATGGTTGTGAAAGTACAGGTAAAGAAGAAGACATTGTGTCTTTTGCAAAAGAAATATGGATGACATATAAGTGAGGGTGGGAAATGGCAGAGTCTCAGAGCCTGACTTTCATAGAGATTGAGATTTGTGGGGGGGACAAAAAGAACAAAAATGGTTTGAAAATAGCAAAGAGGAACAAAGAGAACCTTGACCCATCTTTACAAACTGGTTCACATGGTGAATAAAATAAAAAGCAGCTTTGACATAAGAAAGTTGTAAAGAAAGTGTCACCCTTGGGGAAAAAAATCAAAAACAAACAAACAAAAAACAGAAATATAGACCAATAGAACAGAATAGAGAACTCAGAAATAAGACCACATACCTAAAACTATCTGTTCTCTGACAAACCTGACAAAAAGAAGCAAAGGGGAAAGCTCAACATCACTGATCATTAGAGAAATGCAAATCAAAACCACAATGAAATACCATCTCACACCACTCAGAATGACTATTTTAAAGAAGTCGAAAAATAACAGTTGCTGATGAGGTTGGGAAGAAAAGGGAATAGTTTATAATATGGTTTGGCTGTGTCCCTACACAAATCTCAACTTGAATTGTATCTTCCAGAATTCCCACGTGTTGTGGGAGGGACCTAGGGGGAGGTAACTGAATCATGGGGGCCAGTCTTTTCTGTGCTATTCTCGTGATAGTGAATAAGTCTCATGAGATCAGATGGGTTTATCAGGGGTCTCTGCTTTTGCTTCTTTCTCATTTTCTCTTGCTGCTGCCGTGTAAGAGGTGACTTTCACCTCCTGCCATGATTCTGAGGCCTCCTCAGCCATGTGGAACTGTAAGATCAATTAAACCTCTTTTTCATCTCAGCCTCAGGTATGTCTTTATCAGCAGTGTGAAAACAGACTAACACAGTTTATACACTGCTGGTGGGAATGTTGATTAATTCAATCACTGTGGAAAGCAGTTTGGATATTCTTCAAAGAATTTCAAACAGAACTACCATTCAATCCAGCAATTCCATTACTGAGTATATACCCAAAGGAGTATTAATTGTTCTCCCATAAAAGCACATGCAGACATATATTTATCACAGCACTATTCACAAGACATGAAATCAAGCTAAATTCCCATCAATGATAGATTGACAAAGAAAATGTGGTACATATACACCATGAAATACTATGCAGCCATAAAAAAGAATTAGTTCATGTCCTTTGCAGGGACATGGTTGAAGCTGGAGGCCATTATCCTCAGCAAACGAATGCAGGAACAGAAAATCAAATACACGTTCTCACTTATAAGTAGGAGCTAAAGGATCAGAACTCATGGACACATAGAGGGGAACAACAGACACTGGGGCCTATCGGAGGGTGGAGGGTGGGATTAGGAAGACGAAAAGGAAAAATAACTAATGGGTTATCACTCAGGCTTAATACCTGGGTAATAATTGGAACAACAAACCCCCATAACAGAAGTTTACCTATAAAACAAACCTGCACATGTAATCCTGAACTTAAAATAAAAGTTAAAAAAAATAAAATACAATAAAGAGATGTCTGTCCTGCCTATTGAAAACAAACAAACAAAAAAAAAGCGTAATCCTCAGGACATATTTCAATAAGGACTAAATATAGGGAAGATGTTGGTTACAGAGCATGAATTCCAGCGGGCATAGTGAGAAGATCTGGGAGGACTTGGGTTTGAGCCAGTGTTTTCTACTTCACATGAATACCATATTTTTCTGGTTCTATCATTTTGAAGTTTGACTTTCACATCAAATGTTTAAATTTTTATGGCATTAATTCTTCTTTTTATTCATTGGAAGTATCTTTGAATTCTGCTATTGTATGTGTTACAGTACAATAAAATGGAGACCAGACCTGAAGAATCTGAGCAGACAAAGCTACTTAGGCTTCATAAGTGACCCCAAGCTTGCTTGATTTGCAAACATAAATGAAACTTAACTTGAGCTATTTCTTGTAAATGCCTATATTAATGAAAAACAGAACTTAAGCTCAACCAATGAGAAGTAGCCAACAAATTTATGTTATATAATTAGGGACTTTAAAATGAGATACACAAAATAAGACACTGTATAAGAGCAACCAATCAAATATTTTTTATTTTGTTTCTGTACTTATCCCATAAATACCTGTCCCTACTTGTCATCAGAACTGATTTGTCACCAAAACCCTTTCAGTCTGATGTTCCACAATTAATGAATTACTTCTTACTCAAGTAAGCTCTTTAAAATGTTATTGTGCCTTAGAATTTTTTAAACATTTATTTTTATTCTTTGATACAATCTCTTTTCATTTGATTCTGCTTTTCCCTCATTTGACATTTTTACCTCTTAAAAGTATCTGGTTATATCCACAGGATGTGTCTTCTGGAATCATATAAAGATTTTCAAATATTTTAATCATCTTGTGCTTATTTCAGAAGGTTATTTTCAGATATTTGCTTATTTTCTGAATGATGTTTATTTTTCACCTGAATTCTGTAATTTTATTTCATAAGTGTGAAAAGATCAGTCAGGGTTTTGGTCATGCTCAGTTTTCTTTTCCAATATGTCAGAAAACATAAAAGGCCAAGGGTAGGAGCATGGGTAGGTCCTGTGCCAAGGGTGACCCTATCCAGATGTCAGAGACACATGACCTGGCAAGGTGCTAAGACCTCAGCACAATATGAAGGGATACTAATTAGTCAAGCTATGCATACTTTCTTCTCTCAAATTTAGATCAGAAAATGAAGATCAAGATGTCTGTTGGGACAGGGTTCGCTAGCTACTAGTGAGAGGGGAGATGGGTAATTAAGAGAGATACTATGCACTCCACTAAAGAAAGTTTGTTGTTCTCAGGTCTGCCTCATTTATCAAAGCCTTGCCCATTTCATTTTATTTATTCATGCAAAAAATCTTTATTTTTAAGGAGTTTAATTTGTATAGTTTCTCAGATTTGCAGAATAAGGGTGTGGGACATATGTTGTTTCTAATAATTGTATTCTCTGTTGGGAATACTAATTCCACAAAATGTCCAGGGAAGAAGGTGTTGCACTTTATGGTAAACATTTTTTGGTAAATACTGCAAACTATGCAGCTTGCTGTCCCCATAGTCCTGATTACAATTCATATTAGCATAATAAAAATATGATAAATCTTATTAGGAAAATTGCTTTTTAAAAATAACTTATTTTTTCAGTCACTTGAACACAAGATCCTATATCTTATTCATTTGCGTGCATTATGTAATATCTATGGTAGTTATTTAGAACTTGAGTACTTGGAAAAATATAGACTCAGCCCATTCCCTGTATCCAAAAGGCTCTTTTCTCTTTCATCTATGTTAAAATGGGCCTTCATTTATGCTCATTTTCTGGAGCCATGAAACATCGAAGTAAAGGAAAGAAGTACATGAATAACTTCAATTCTCAGAATGCCCATGCATTTGAGAACTTTTCCTCTTTCTGCCAAATCTACTTTGCACTGTAAGAAACATTATTCCCATTAAGCAATGTGCCAATTCCAATCTACTCTGCACAAAGTTCGACAAACTTGTTTTATTGTTGTTTTGTTTTGTTTTTTTCAAGCATTTCTGCCTCTCAATGGCATCGGAAAAGAAGACTGATTAGAGGGAAGAGGAGGAATCTACTAGCTGCCTTAAACAAGTGGCCACAAAGTAAAATAATAGAGGTCTTTTATTCTGGTTTATCCAAACCTGAGTCCAAAAGAATGAGAACTTACAGGATTTTTCAATATATTTGAAGGCAATAATAGATTTACTGGCATTATATCACAGTTTCTATTGATTGGGCTTTCTAATTCATTTCTCTTTTTTTTTTTCTTAATTTAGTGGAAATTTTGCCATGATTCTGTGAGTGAATGGATAATCAGTCCCACTTTATATAGAGGTCTGTTTTCAAATTTTGTGTGTGTGTGTGTGTGTGTGTGTGTGTGTGTGTGTGTAAGTATAACTTCCTAAGTATTTCAGAGGAACATAAGCTGCCTGCCAAACAAATATCAAACAGCAATTCTCATCCTAAACCTGCTTTTCAGGAATCAACATTTTTAACTAAAAAACTGAGACTCTCAATATGCAATTTTGCATATGAGAGAATGGGTGGAAATTTGTAAATATGGGATAGAGTGGCCTCAAAAGACCTGAAAACATACCACATGGGTGGGTACACACACATAAATCTCTCCCAGAAACATACACATAAAATTATGTGGTTATATGTATATGAAGATGGGCATGTTTATATAAACTACTTTATTTTTAAAATGTTTTCCTACATCCAGAACAAATCAACAAAACAATATTAAAATTATATCATCAAGAAATTGAAACCAAACTATTAGCAGACACTAGGTAATGAGAAAAGTGGAATAATTTTTAAAAGTAGAGATAAAGTTTGATAAATACCACACAGGTCTGTTAAAAAATGATAATCAAAAAGCAATTTCTGTCTTCACTTTGATCAACATATTTACCTATTCTGCAGTTTACAAACTGAACTTATAATTTTGACTGGAATGTGAAACTGATCAATTTCTTTGGCAGCATCCACAAACAAGTTGAGTTATTCCTCAAGAAATCACAGGAAAGAAGATTTTGGGAAAGAGCAAAGGGGAGTAACCGGTAACTTATATGCCAGAGGAAGTATACAATGGGTTCTTTTAGTGCTGGATATTGAAGAGAGAATGCTCTTGAAGTTCCCATAAAACATTATGTAAATTAAGCTAAAATGGCAATGACTTATAAAAACAAAGAAAAATGCCTCTTCTCTCTAATTGCCTTTTGGAATCATTAAACATTCTGCAATTTGTTTTTAAGAATTACCTTTTTCCACTAGATTTTTGAAGAATTAATGAGAAAAAACTGTGAAATTCTTTTGGCGACTATTAAAAATAATAGGGACTGTGTTTTGGTGTACTCCTGACTTCCTCTGAGTTCCCTAGGTATTGAAATGGAGAGCTGGATAAAGTGGACCGAAATAAGTATAAGCTTTGTTTTCAGGCACTCCAGAGAAGTTTTAAAAAAAATATTTATACTTAATTCATGTAACATGAGAATGTAACATTCACTCCCCGTCTATCTCCATCTCACCTGTCTGTGGCCTTAAGTGAAAGAAAAACACTTTCCCTTCCTTTTGTTCAAAGCAGAAATTGACATCACCATACCTTGTTTATGCCAGTTAAATGATGCATTTGTAAAAATAATTAGAAGATTTTTCTGAGGAATATGTAGGAGAAAAAGCAAGATAATCAGAAATACTGTTGTTGCTTTTAGTACACTTTCTTTAATAAAACGTTGTTTACTATTCATATTATCAGCAGTTATTTGCTTAGAAAAATTTTCTGAATCCTACATAAAAATAATGAGATGAACATAGATGTGAAGGATATAGAATAATCCATATTATAACCTACCTATCCTCAACTTTCACTTGATATCTCGATATTTGGTAGGCAAAATATTTATAATGTTCAAAATATGTTAGACCATGGAACATTACAGGGTTTGGCGATAATGCTATGGGAATTTGACAGTTGTTTCCGTTACTTTTATGAGCAAGGTAGCAGAACACATTTACCATCAAGATACAAATGGAGTACAATGAATACTGGAGGCTCTCTTACAACTTATCATTTCCACCCAGCTTATATTCTCTCCCAATAACACCACCATTTTAGTCACTCAAAGCTTCTGCAAAAATGACTATCAAACTAAAAAGAGTAATAAGTAATATTTATTATGCATCATGAAATATTCCACTTACTTTATGCAAATAAGCTTTTAAAAAAATCAACCCTAAGAGGTATGTATTGTTATTATTCCACAGCGATAGGCAGAATTATAAGATGCCCCCTGTGATTTCTGCTTTCTGGGATCCACACTTTTGTGTAACCCCCTTCTCATTGATTGCAGGTAGAACCTGTAACTTTTTTTTCCTTCTTTTTTTTTTTTTTTTGAGATGGAGTCTCACTCTGTCACCCAGGCTGGAGTGCAGTAATGTGATCTCGGCTCACTGCAGCCTCTGCCTCCCAAGTTCCAGCAATTCTCCTGCCTCAGCCTCCCAGGTAGCTGAGATTACAGGCACATGCCACCACACCCAGCTAATTTTTTTTATTTTTAGTAGAGACAGGGTTTCACCATGTTGGCCAGGCTGGTCTCCAACTCCTGACCTCAGGTGATCTGCCTGCCTTCGCCTCCCAAAGTGCTAGGATTATAGGTGTGAGCCACCGCGCCCAGCCTAGAACCTATAACTTCTAACCTGTAAACCAAAAATAAAATTCTAAGTTTCCTGCAACCCTTCAAATGAACCCCTCCTTTTGGCCAAGGCATTCCGAAGCTAACCTGAAAAACTGGTTCAGGCCATGAAAGGAGGGTCAGAAATGATTCATTATACCCTCTTCCCTTTTGGAATTCAGAAAAAGCTGACCAACATTAACATTAACACAGACTTTAAGTCTGAAGAGAAACATTTACAATCTATTCTCTCTGAAGCCTGCTACTTGGAGGCTTCATGTGCATGATAAAACTTTGGTCTCCATATCCCTTTACCATCCCAGACATTCCTTTCTATTGATTCCAGGTCTTTAGATAACAGCTTAGCTCAACCAGTTGCCAATCAGAAAGTGTTTAAGTCTACCTATAACCTGGAAGCCGCTGCTTCAAGTTGTCCTTCCTTTCCAGACCAAAACAATGTACAACTTACATGATTGATGTCTCATGTCTTCCTAAACTGTATAAAACTAGGCTGTTCCCCAACCACCTTGGGCACATGTTCTCATGGTCTCCTGAAGGCTGTGTCATGGGCCATGGTAACTCATATTTGGCTCAGAATAAATCTCTTCAAATATTTTACAGTTTGACTTTTGGTCGACAAACCAATAGAATATGGCAAAGGTGAAAGGATTTTCAGGAGGCAATTAAGGCCTCTAATCAATTGACTCTGAGTCAATAAAAAAGAATATTTTGGGTGGTCCTGACTTTATCAGGTGAGCCCTTTAAAAGAAGACTTATGCTGTCCCTGACAGAAGAAACTGGAAGTAGGAGATGTGCTCTCATGCTGGCCTTGAAACAAATAGCCACTGTGTACTGCCTATGGAGAGGGGCAGTCTATAGACGCTGAGGATTTCAGTCCTACAACCTCTGATATGGTTTGGCTGTGTCGCCATCCAAAATCTCACCTTGAATTATAATCACCATTAACCCCAATAATCCCCACATGTCAAGGGAGAGGCCAGGTGAGAGATACAGCTGTGGATGATAACTTGGACTCTAGCCAGGCCTTTCTAATTTAATGCTTTCCGTCAATCAATATCAACTCTCCAAGTGAAAAATGACATAATGCCATTTGAAAACAAAGTAAAGCACATTTACAAAGCCAAATACAGAGATAAAGTAGGATCATGAAAAGTAGGTTTTAGTTCTTAAGTGCTTTGCACAACTGTATTATCAAATGCAGTTGCCCTTAAGTGAGAGGTAGCCTAGAACATAAATGGCTTGCAAAAATCTTGTAGAGGTATAGTTTTTCATGTGACATTTCCTTTTTTAAATAACAAACCCTAAAGATTTGAGGGAGATACCAGAAGTTACACTATCATCTCTGAGGTAGATTTCACTTTTAAATTACTGGGAACCAAAACAAAAGCCTTTATTTTAAGCAAATTTGCTTTATTTATTTGCCTGTAGATGTCTGTGTTTCTTCATCAGTAGCATGAAATTATGTTCCAGTTATTTTATGGTTTATCATTTCTGTATCATTCCTGTATTCATTTTAATTTGAATAATAAATCAAGTTGCTAAGTCATAGGAAGCTCAGTGTTCTGTGCCAAGGATTCACCAAATAGTGCTTCTCTATGAAGACTGCCTCACGTTTTTACAGTGTTTCTCAAATATTGGTATGCAGCAAAATTAACCGGAGGGCTTGTTAAAATGCTGACTGTTGGGCCTCAACCCCAGAGAGCTGTTTAAATAGGTCTGGGTGGGACTCAATAATTTGCATTTATAACTTATTTGCAGATGCTGCTGATTTGACATAAAAATGAGGACCATTGCTATATTAACTTCACTGCATTGCTATAAGGTAATATTTTTAAAATAAGTTTTACTCAACAATACAATCAAGTCTGACAACTCAAATCTATTTTTAAGATATTTTCCTATATGATGTACGTTACCCTAATAATACAAACTAATATTTATTGAAAAAGTACCACCTGCTATGTATATTTATCGCAGCACAATTCACAATTTCAAAGATGTGGAACCAACTTAAGTGCCTAGCAGTTAATGAGTGGATAAAGAAAATGTGGCATATATACACCATAGATTACTACTCAGCCATTAAAAGGAATGAAATAATGTCTTTTGCAGCAACTTGGATGCAGCTGGAGGCTATTATTCTAAGTGAAGTAACACAGGAGTGGAAAATCAAAAACTGTTCTCACAAGTGGGAGATAAACTATGAGTATGCAAAGGCATGCAGAGTGATATAATGGACTATAGAGACTCAGAAAGGGGAAAGTGGGAGGGAGGCTAGGGATAAAAAACTACACATTTGTTACAGCGTCCACTACTCTGGTGATGGGTACACTAAAATCTCAATTCACCACTGTATCATTCATGTAACAGAAAACTACTGATAACGCCAAAAGCTTTTGACATTTTTAAATGTTTAAAATAAAAATAGTTACCATGTGCTATGTAGTCGTATATGTATTCATTTAATTACAATAATTCTATGAGGCTGGTACTATTACTTTACAGGTGAGAAAAGCGTATCATAGAGAATTTAGGGTCCTACAGTTAAGAGATGGTAGATTGGTGGTCTAAATCTGGTTATCAACTCCAGAGCTCCCTCTTTTAACTACTACACTGTTGCTATGGACTAAATATGTCTCCTCAAAATCCATTCATATATTGGAACCTTAATCTCCAAAGTGACTGTACTTGGAGAGAGGGCTTTGGGGAGGTAATTAAGGTTAAATGAGGTCATAAGGGTGGGGTACTAATCTAATAGAATTTGTGGCCCTTATAAGAAGGTAGAGGGAAAGAGATCTCACTCTCCCCACATGCATCTAGAAAAGATTTTGTGGGTACACAGCAAGGAGGCAGAGAATCCCACCTTGCTGGCACTCTGATCTCAAACTTTCAGCCTCCAAAACTGGGGAAAATAAATTTCTGTTTAAGTTACTGAGTCTATGGTAGTTTGTTATGGCAGTCTAAGCAGAGTAAAACCACTGTTTATCTGTCATACAAATATTTTTGGCAATCTTCTTGAATGAAATTAGTCTATTACTTTCTATATATTTGTCTTCAATGAAGTAATGGCAAAGGGCACACAACATTCTCACTTATAACCACAGATTAGGCCAACATCCTTGGTTTCCTGGGCTCCTCAGAGTATGGGAGAGTCTGGGTAGAAGGCATTAGAGATCACTTTAATCTGGTACTACTAGAAAGAGTGATGAGAAGGTATTAGATTCATTTTCTCTCTGCTACATTGCTTTACTAGGGATCTGATTGCCATTTCTGCTGTAATTTAAATCACACTCTTCGGATGACATAGAAATGCTTAGTCGTTCAATGGATTTTTGAGCTTCAAAGTGATGCCTTGGTTTAGGCAAATTTATTCAGACTATTTAAAACTCTAAATGATCATTAAGCTGTTGAGAATCAGAAAAAAATTCCCAGAGAAAACAGATCAGGGTAATGAAATAGCAGATAATTAGTAAGTAGGTTTCCTACACTTATCTGGGTAGAAAGAGAAGAAACTGGCAATGTTTGTTAAATATAGATAGAAAACTACTTAACAGCAATACAAATTAAGTACCTGGAAACAGCATTAACAAGAAATTTTTAGTTAATACATGTACTATTTGTGGATTAAAATATATTTTTCATTGAAGTATATATCATATCTATAGTAATGTATATAAATCTTAAGTACTATATATAAGATCAACAAATTTTACACCCAGACTAAACACTATACACTATACCAGACTATACACTAATCACTATAGTTTTGCTTGTATTTGAGCTTCACATACATGTTCTTCTGTGTGGCTTTTGTTCAACATTATGTCTCCGAGATTCATCCATGTTACATGCAGCAGTTATTCATTTAAAAAAATTACTCTAATTTTTGGTTGCGTAAATATACCACACTTTATCCATTTCTTTCTAGATGGCTATTTTCAATGTTTGAATGTTGTAAATGAAACTTTGAATATTTTTATGTGCCTTTTATGGGACATAGATTCATTTCTTTTGAGTATATCATTAGAATTAGTTTTTTTTAGTTGTATAGCAGGCATATATTTAGCTTTATTAGATACTGCCAGTTTTCTAAAGTGCTTATAAACATTTTATAGTCCCACCAGTAATATGTGAGCATCCCAAATATTTTATATATTTACCAACACTTGGTTTTGTCAGTTTTTACCATTCTGGTTGGTGGCAGTATTCACTGTGATTCAACTTGCAGTTTTCTTTATGACTAACGATGTTGAGTATCTTCCCATGTTTACAGCCAATTTGTATATCTTTCTTTCCCCTTTTGTGAGAAATCTTTTGCCTATGCTGACATTTTTTGACTCCTCTTGGACTGGACATCATCCCAGTAGATCATTTTCCATTCTTGTGGTGGCTGTTCTTCTCCCTTTCAGGTTTTCAACATCCACACAGATTTAAAGTTTCCTAAACTTAAATGTGCATAGGAATTTCTTAGGGTAGAAGGGAAGTTTATTGAAATAAAGAATCCTAAGTCCCACCATACACTCAGTGAATAAGAATCTTCAGGAAGAGATTTACAAGCTCTCCTAATGATTCTGAATACAGATGTTTTACAAACAAACTTTAAACATATCATTCTCTATTTTCTTGTACATGTTTGTTTCACATAGTGTTTCTTAAAATTTAAAAAGTCAATTGTGATATGTTTATCTATTCAATTCTTATTTACACCTCTGATATTTGGATTCTTACTTTACAGAAAGATTGTTTATTATGTTGGTTTCTGGTTGATTCTATTAAGGTAAACTTTTAAAACTAATTGTTAATTTCTATGTGTTTCATTATTCCATCTATTTTGAGTGTGCCAGACATAGTTCTAGGTGCGGGAGATATAGTAATAAGACAAGGAAGTAGATCCCTGTCCTCATAGAGGTTATAATCTACCCTCTTCTGTTTATTTTACAGTTGTTTTCTCTCTACTGTTTACATTCAAGTTTATGTTAAATGCATAGTTAATGCATTCTCTCCATTCCCTCTCTAATGAAATTTCTTGAGGCTACAATTTTTCTAGTGAGTACTATTTCAACCATAATACATATGTAGATTTTTGTGTGTGGTTCATCAACTACGATTTCACTTCACTTTCAGTTTACATGAGTGTTTTAACTTCCCAAGGTGTTAGGTATTGGTGTCTTTTTGTTACTGAGGTCTAGCTCTATACTGGGAGAAGTGTATTAATATTTTTTACTCTAATTATAACTTCATCTGGCTCTCTTTGTATTTCTAAGATTTATGGTACAAGTATCAAGATGAACTATTAGGAGTAGTATTTATGTGAATTCTATGTATTAAGATGAATATGACCATTATTATATATTCTTTGAGGACTAAACCTTTTACCAATATAAAATGTTTCTTATCTTTTTTAATGCTTCTTTAAATTCAACCTTGCCTGAAGGCCTAATGTTTACATTTTCCTGTCTTTTTTGTTTGTTTGCTTAACATAAGCCTGGTATACGTAGGTTTATCCTCTGATTTACAACTATTCTGTGTCATTTTATTTTCAATTTTTTTATTGTAAGCAATGCATAGCTCAATGTTCTTTTTTAATCCATTAGGAAATGTTTGTCTTACATTGGAAAAATTCAATTATTCACATAGGCTGTGGTTAATTAACATTTTCTTTTCCCCTCCTTCCCTTCTTTCCTTCCTTTTTGCTTTCCATGTCTTATGTCTATTGTTTCCTTTTAGTTATTTCCCATTTTTACAGTAATTACTAAACTTCTATGGTTGCTTATTGTGGTAGTAAACCTATAAGAGCCCAGTGATTCCTCCTGGTGTTTACAACCTTGTTTGGTTCCTTCTTACAATGAACCAGGATCAGTCTGTGGGGTGAACAGAACAAGGGAGAACTGACAGCATATCACCTCCAATAATAGGTTGGGCACCCTTCTCTCTCACTCTCCGCAGCCCCCAATCTTTGTTCTTTCTCTTATCACTCACTGGGAGAATCCAAATGCCATGTGCTAAAGACACTCAGGCAGTCAATGCAGAAGTAGATAGGACAAAGAATTGAAGTATCTGTCCAACAGCCAGTGAAGAACTGAGGTTTCCAAGCAACTATGTTGGTGAGCCTGGAAATGGAGTCTCTGTCCCATATGAGGTCATTCAGCACTGGTTGACAGTCTAACTGCAACCTCAGAGCTTCTGAGCCAGAACCACTCAACTAAACCATACCTGGATTTGTGAGCCATGGAAACTGACAATGTTATTTTAAGCTGCAGAGTTTTGAGGTAATTTGTTATGCAGCAATAGATAACTAATTTGTTGTTGTTGTTTCTTCCTCTGTTGGATTTGAAATTCCATAACCTATTTAAATTTTATGTCTAGTTACTCATAAATTTTTAACACATATTTTCACCCAATTTTTAATCTATATTCCTCTGAATTTGGTGGCATTTTTCATGTTTTTACTGTTGCTTCATTTCTCATATGCTAAGATTTCTTGAAATAATTAGTTTTATTTCAGATAATAGTTGATTTTATTATACCACATTTTTCCATTTTATAATTCTCTTCAAAATAGTTTTATTTACTAATACATGTTTTACATTAAAAATTATATATAAAAAGGCTTCACTAACTTCTTTTCTTATCCCAGCTTTTTGTCATTTCCCATTTTAAAATATTTTGATTTCTTATTGTCCTGAGAGTCTTTCAAATTTTTTTCCCTTAAAGTACATTTCAGTGTTATATACTTTGATTCTTTCCTCGTTTAATAATTTAGCTAATTGGTTCTCATACTTCAGTGATTTTTGTTTATTTACTTGTTTGAATATAATTCTTTCTTTTGTTGTTTTAATTATACTTTAAGTTCTGGGGTACATGTGCAGAATGTGCAGGTTTGTTACATAGGTATACACGTGCCATAGTGGTTTACTGCACCCATCAACCCGTCATCTACTCTCCTAATGCTGTCCTTCCCCTAGACTCCCATCCCCTGACAGGCCCCAGTGTGTGATGTTCCCCTCTGTGTCCATGTGTTCTCATCATTCAACTCCTACTTATGAGTGAGAACATGTGGCGTTTGGTTTTCTGTTCTTGTGTTAGTTGCTAAGAATGATGGTTCCCAGCTTCATCCATGTTCCTGAAAAGGACATGAACTCATCCTTTTTTATTTATTGCTGCATAGTATTCCATGGTATATGTGCCACATTTTCTTTATGCAGTCTATCATTGATGGGCATTTGGGTTGGTTCCAAGTCATTGCTATTGTGAACAGTGCCGTAATAAACATACGTGTGCATGTGTCTTTATAGTAGAATGATTTATAATCCTTTGGGTACCTATCCAGTAATGGGACTTCTTACATCACAATTCTTGTCTCTTGATAATGAAATGGGAAAAGTTCCCTTGTCCCCTTTGCTTGCAGGGTATGTGATGGGGGTGTGACTCGCTTCTTCAGTGCCCAGCTGCTCAAACCTCTAGGGGAGCTTAAGGACAGGCAGTCTGTGGGGCTCCGATCTCACAGCAGGTTCTAGGGGTGAATGTTTACAGCTCTTGAAGCCCCAGTGGGCATGTGTTACAGGGTGCTCTTAGTTTGCCATCTATAGGTGGCTGGTGTTAACCAGCTCAATCACACTCTCCACCTTGTCACAAGGACAGAGGGCTTTCTGTATCCCAGGTTCTTGCGTTGGTGTACCAGAAGAATCAGATCACACATGGGCTTGGAGAATGAGTGCAAAGTTTTATTGAGTTGAAGTAGCTATCAGCTGATGGGGGAGCCAGAAGGGAGATGGTCTTCCTCTGGAGTTGGGCTGTTTAGCAGCCCCACAGCCCTGGCTCTCCTCCAACTGCCCTGGCCAAACTCCACTTGGCCGATGGCCAGCTGGAGTGCTGGTGGTGTTGGTGTGCTCTTCTGCTGAGGTGCTGCTCTCCACCACCAGCAGCTTGTGTCTTCTTCTGTTGATGTACTCCTCTGGAAGTCTGGCCACCTGTGTGTCTTCCCGCTAGGGTTCGGGTTTTTATAGGCCCAAGATGGGGGTATGGTGGGCCAGGGTGGTCTTGGGAAATGCAACATTTGTGCAGGAAATGCCTGTCCTCACCTAGATCTGTGGGGGTGGAGCCCTACCCAGGGACCACGCCCTCCCCTACCCAGCATTTCCCTTCCCTTGCTTCCATATTATTTAAAGGGACCATGCTCTTCCCTTCCCAGCACTCCTTTATCAATAACAGGTAGGAATTTTAATATATTCTATTTTGAAAATAATCTAATTTTATTCTGTTTGTTGTTAACTTGTTTATTCTCTCTGGAAACTTACATAACAGTTGCCCTCTTGAAATTTAATAAAATTTATCACATTTTTTCTAAAAAGAAATATTCTTTTCATGTCTCCCTCTTTTGCCCTCTTATAATCTTAAAACTTGACTCTTTAGTCACCTTAAGAAAAAAAATTAATTTATTATTTTCTTGATTATTGCTTCTACTTTCACATCTTTGTCTTTACATATCCAATTTTATAAATATTCCTTTGGATCACCATGTCACGTTTTCACTAATTCCTTTTTCTTTGTTTTTTGTTTTACAGTCAGAAATAATTCGATTTGTCATTTCAAATAACTAATTTGAGCAGAGTTTTTATTTTTATTTTGTCCCTCGAGTTTTTTATAAGCATATTTAATATTTTTGTTCTGAATCTTCTCTCTACCTAGCAAGTCACTCTTATTTCATGGATGCAAATAGCTTTGCATATCATTCTGTGGGTAACAAATAGAGATAAAAATAAGCCAAGTCCTTTTTTCTGCATATCGTCTATTTTCTTGAGGAAGTAAATTTTGAGAATTTAGCATGTTACTATTCTTTCATGATGTCGATTTTTCCTCAAGTTAATTCTGTATTTTCCATCAATATGATTAAATGTAGGATTAAATTAATCCATATTAATCATTGATAGTTGTTGCTACTTCCTAAAAAATCACGTGGATTATTTTAACATAAATTCCACATAATAAATATACACTTTAAAGTTTGGGAAGTTCTGACCCCAAAAATATGGTTCCTGGTGGCATTATCACTTAAAAATTTGTTAGATATGCAAATTGTGGAACCTCACTACAGACCTGCTGAATCAAACTCTGAGGTGGAGCCTAACAATCTGTGTTCTAATAAGCCCTTCTGGTGATTCTAGTGCATGCTCAAGTTTGAGAACCACTGATCTAAATGATACTCTAGAAGGTGACTATGGATTTTCTGATGGTGTGTTCAGGTAGGCAACAAGTCAAAGTATTTGTTTCCCCATCACCTTCATCAAGGAATTAGGAAAAAAGCTGCTATGGAAACTGAGCACAATAGATTTCCCTACTTAAGCTACCTGATTTTATCTTCATGCTTCTCATGGTCCAACATTAGGTAGAGGCCATACCCTGTTTCTTTTTCTGGTCTGCAGTGGGTTCAATTGTGTCCCTTAAAAAGATTTATTCAAGTTCTAATTTCTAATACCTATAAATATGACCTTGTTTGGAAATAGGCTCTTCTTAGATGTAATCAGCTAAGAAGATGTCATATTGGATTAGGGTAGGCCCTACATCCAATGATTGTTAGTATCCTTATATGAAGAACAGAGGACACAAAGATACACAGAGGAAGACATATGACCATAGAGACAGGGATAAGAGTTATGCAGCTACAAACCAAGGAACACAAAGGGTTGCTGGGAGCCACCAGATGCTAGAAAGAGGCAGGGAAGAATTCTTCCCTTGAGAAGGAGGACAACCATGTCCCACATTTTGATTTTTTTTTTTTTTTTTTTTTTTTACTTCTGCCTCTGTAACTCAGAATAAACTTATGTTGTGTTAGGTCACCAAGTTTTTGGTATTTCGTTGTGACAGCTCTAAAACACAAAAACAGGCAAAATCTGCCTCCCCACTTCCTCTTTAACCAAAGTCAAATGGGATGTTGGGTAGAACTCTAGTTATAATATATTACGTCCAGCTAAGTCATCAAAAACAAGGCCATTCAGCCATCTCTTGAAGATATTCCTCAAAAATGGCAGAGAGCATTTCCCCACCTCCAGTGAAAACATCTGTTCCCTTTCCCCAATGCTGAGACCTTTGATTCCTTCCATTTTTTTCCTTGCTTCCTCCACAAATATCCCCCAACCTGTGTCCCAATTCCCTGACTGTCAACTTTCCCTTATTCTCTTTAGAAATAAAAACCTTGAGGCCTCTGGCACAGCCATGATTTTTTTGACCCTTGTGTAGGATGCAGGTAGGAGTGAGGGTGGTAACAGTCTATAGAGCAGGAAAAATGAAGGTCAACAACGTCAGCTTGACCCTGGATGGCAGCTTGCCTTTCTTTCATGAGGAATCTAAATATTTTTATTTAAAAAATTAAAGCATCTTATACCCTAGAGTTAATCTCTGTCAGTATTTCGATAGCTTCTTGATATTATGGTAAAGAGTTATCTTTTCTTCTTCCCAACTTTATATTACGTTAAAAACACTCATTCTTTTGTCTTTTTCTGGTCTATAATGGGATGAAGATAGCTTATCCTGCCACAATATTCATTTATGATAATAAAAATATATAGATTCAATGAAGAACATTTTGAAGTATATAAAAGTGAAAAGCAGAAAATGATTTATTCAATCTCATTTACCTTGAAGTAAACAGTGTTGTACCCAGGGTATACATTATTTAGACCATTCAGAAACATTATTTTAATGGCTGTATAATATTTCCTTAACTAGATGGCTATATCATAATTTATATCACTGAGAAAATAAAAGCTATCATATAGGAGTAAAACCCTAAACTTTTTGTTTCCTGCTTGCAACTTATTCATTGGCCCTTACCCTGTTCCTTTATTTGTATTAGAGGGGACATAGAAGAGTTATAAACTTATTCCAAGTTTTATCTAAATCGATGTCCCAAACATCTTATTTTTTACCATAAACTCATGGTACTTCTTGATCACTTGCAGCCTTTCAAGTTTCCCATAATTTCCCCATCTGTCAAGGTTCTCAAAAGAGTTTTGTTATTATTATCTTGTATATGAGTTTGGCATTCATTTTTCTTTTTTAAATATAGAAAACTTAGCTTTATTAAGCTATTACAAAAACAAAACAATTACCATTTGAAGTACTTTGAGGACTTCATCCCAGACTCACTTGTTCTGTTATAGAAACTAATCTAGAAGTTTGGAAATTAAAAGATATAACCTAAGAGGTTATAACAGAGCAGGCTGGTAAAACATGATGAAAGAGCCCTCTCTTTCCCACCCAGTCTACCTGCACCTCCCAGCTCCTGTGCATTTTCACCGCATAGGTCTGCTAGCTTACAGAAGACGCATACAATGAAGGCAGGAATTATAGGCCTACTCAGAGGGTACTCAGACACATAAAGTTTTGGGGTAAATAATAAACTACAAATACCCTCTTGGTTAAGTTAATTCATCAAGTTAATAAAAGTCGTAGTATCTATCTTCTGCTGGTGACAACTTGTTATCTCAGCATAGTCTGTCTGAAGAAAGAACTGGTTCAGGTTGGGTTTTGGAAAAGGAAAAAGACTTTCATCAACTTTGCTCCAGAGTGGAAAAGGCACCAAGTTCTCTCCTATAGTTAGGAGCAGATTTTTTTTTTTTTTTTTTTTGAGATGGAGTTTTGTTCTTGTTGCCCAGGTTGGAATGCAATGGCACGATCTCTGCTCACCACAATAGGAGCAGAATCTTAAACCTGCATAAATTATTTTCAGTGATCAACATCTGTATCCTCAAACTGTCCAGCAACTGTTGGTGTGGTATCTACCTCCATCCCATCTTCATAATCTTATTGAGTCTTCTGTCCTGACCCCAGCCATATTATACTGGCTGCTCACAGATGAGAAAGCATTTCTTCTAATCTCTCCAATGTGGCTTGGCCTTCTGCTGTTAATGGGATAATCCTTCATAGGTGTAAGATTTAGGGATGTCCCCTTTTCCTCGTTCATGTGCTTCCACATCATATTCTTCTCCATCGTAGTCATCCTCATCCTCATCCTCAGGATCTGGATGCAAGGCCTGGCATTCACACATTGCAGTGAACATTGCCCCCAGTGCTGATTTATCACTAGGTACAAATATAAATTCAGTAATAAGTTCAACATCATCACTGTCTTCCTCTTCTTCATCAGCAACAGATTCTTTGGATTCTTCAAATTTGTCATTCACCGTAGCATACAAATGTTCTCCTAGACAGTCACTTTGGTCCCTGGATAATGCAAGTAAACTAATGGTGGGGTATTCCAGTGAGAATCCTAATCCAGAGCTATCTAACCAAGACAGGTGGCTCTCAGCGATATAAAGGGTACCAGTGCGGAGGACCTTCCTGTTCAGCACAGCCTTGGTGTCTGGCTGCTGCTGCAGGTGCCCCTCTGCTGGCTCAGGTAGCAGGAAACTATTTCGGCATGTATTTTTCAATGTACCACAATGTTAACATTACAGCACCAAAACTCCAACTCAGGTCAACAGAAACCTCACTGCAAAATCCAATGGTTACTTTTATAACATATCGGGTTTTATTTTTCCGCAGTATTTAAAAGAGTTTACTATGACCTTTGTCTTCAAATATTTCTCCCTCTTAGCTTCTATGGACAGCTATCTCAAAGTATTCCTATGACCTTTGTGTTGTCCTCCCCACACTAGACCCTTCATTTTCTTTGCTGACTATGTACTAGTATTTATAGGGCTTCAGTTGTGCTTATTTGTTTAGTTTCATTTGACATATTTCTATGAAATGTATTAATGTTTCATCTCACTAACCTAAGCCTTCTTCATTTGTAATATGGATTATTGAAACAATTCTCAGTGGTATTCCTTCTCCCAGTCTTCCTCAAATTAATCATCTATATTGCTGTAAGAGTAATACTTCTATGTTAATTAGACCACTAAATTACTCCCATGCTTAAAAAATGTTAATGGGCTCTATACCTTCTCTAGGATAAAAGCCAAATGCCCTCATGGATCTCTCTTGCTAGTCTTTACCCTTCGTCTTCATCTGGTCCCCAATTTGAACTCATTAACCATGCATCAGAATGCCTAGAGCATCCTTTTAACAACTTCTTTTTCCTCAAAAGTTTGCTGTAATCTGTCAGAGCTCAGATGAAATTTTATATAACCCTATTTCTACATCCAAAGTATAGGTTAACTATTTCTTCAGTGAGTTCATATGGCTACCCATTCATAATCATCATAACATTTTGTATACCATATTGCAGTTGACAATTTACAAGTCTATATTGCCCACCAGAATGTACATTTTTTTGAGGACAAGGACTTTGTCTTATCTTCATATCTAGCATGGTACCTGGTACAAATTAAAATTTCTGATAATTAAAAAAACTTTTAAATTGTTGTGGGCACATAGTAGGTATGGGGTATATTTTGATGGAAGCATGCAATGTGTAATAATCACATCAGGGTAAATTAGATATCTATCACCCAAAGCATTTATACTTCATATTACAAAAGATCCAATTACACTCTTTTGGCTATTTTAAATGTAAGATTAAATTATCAATTATAGTTACCATGTTGTGCTATCAAATACTGGATCTTATTCATTCTATTTTTTGGTACCCACTTGCTATCCCCACTTCCCTTGCCCCACTATACTTCCCAGCCTCTGGTAACCATTATTCTATGCACTATCTCCCTGAGTTCAATGGTTCTAATTTTTACCTCTCACAAATAAGTGAGAACATACAAAGTTTGTCTTTTTGTGACAGGCTTTTATCACTTAACATAACGACCTCTAGTTGGATTTTTGTTTATGGCAAGAGATAGGGAACTAGTTTTATTCTTCTGCATATGGATATCCGGTTTTCCCAGCACCATTTATTGAAGAAACTATCCTTCCCCAACTGTATGTTCCTGGCACCTTTGTCAAAAATAAGTTCACTGTATATGTATAGATTTGTTTCTGGGCTCTCTATTCTGTTCTATTGGTCTATGTGCCTGTTTTTTTTTTTTTTGCCAGTGCCATGCTCTTTTGGTTACTATAGCTGTGTAGTATTATTTGAAGTCAGATAATGTGATTCCTCCAGTTTTGTTCTTTTTGTTCAAGACAGCTGTGACTATACTGGGTCTTCTGTAATTCCATATATATTTTAGGATTTTTTTTTCTATTTCTGTGAAGAACGCCATTGGTATTTTGACAAGGATTGAATTGAATCTGTAGACTGCTTTGGGTAGTACGGAAATTTTGACAATATTGATTATTCCAATCCATGAACATGAAATACCTTCCCATTTTACTGTGTCCTCATCAGTGTCTTGCATCAATATTTTATAGTTTTTATTGGATCTTTCACGTCTTCAGTTAATTTCCAGGTATTTAACTTGCTTTGTGCCTATTGTAAATTGGGTTACTTTTTAAATTTCTTTTGCAGATTATTTGCTTTTGGCATATAAAAATGCTCCTGATTTTTCTATGTTGATTTTGAATACTGCAATTATACTGAATTTATCAGTTCTAAAAGCTTTTTGTGAAATCTTTAGGTTTTTTTTTTCCAAATATGAGACCATATCATTTGCAAACAAGGATAATTTGACTTCTTCCTTTCCAATTTGGAAATGTCTTTTATTTCTCTTGTCTGTTTGTTCTAGTAGAACTTTCAGTGCTATGTGGGATAACTGTAGTGATAGTGGGCATCCTTGTCATGTTCCAGATATTTAAGGAAAGGTTTTCAGTGTTTCTTTTTTTTTTCTATTCATTATGATACTAGCTGTGGATCTGTCATACATGGCTTTTATTATGTTGAGGTATGCTTCTTGTATAGCCATTTCTTAGGGTATTTATCAAGAAGGGATGTTAAAATTCATTATTTTTCAGCATCAATTGAAATGATTCTATGGCTTTTGTCCTTCATTCTGTTGATATAATGTATCACATTGATTTGCATATGTTGAACCATCCTTGTATCCTTGTGATGAATCCCAAAGATGATGACGAATGATCTTTTTATGTGTCGTTGAATTTGGTTTGCTAGTATTTTATAAGGTTTTTACATTAATATTCATCAGAGATAATGGCCTGTAGTTTTTTTTTTCTTTGATTTATCTTTGGTTTTGGTATCAGGATAATACTGGCCCTGTAGAATGAGTTTGGAAGTACTCCCTTCTCTATATTTTGGGATAGTTTGAGTGGGATTGTATTAGTTTTTTTTAATGTTTGGCAAAATTCAGCAGTGAAGCCATTGGGTCCCAGGCTTTTCTTTGGAAACTATTTCTTACAGCTTTGATCTCATTACTTGTTATTCATCTGTTAAGGTTTTTGATTTCTTCATGATACAATGTTGGTAGTGGTATGTGTCCAAAAATTTATCCACTTCTAGGTTTTCCAACTTATTGGCATAGAGTTGCTCATAGTAGTCTCAAATTTTTGAGTTATTCGTTGTAATGTCTCCTTTTAAATTTTTGATGTTATTTGAGTCTGTCTAAAACGTTTGTCAATTTTATTTTATTCTTTGTCTAAAGGTTTGTCAAATCTATCTTTTCAAAAGCATCTTTTTGTTTCATTAGTCTTTTGTATTGTCTTGTTCATTCAAATGTATGCTCTAATCTTTATTATGTCTATTCTTCTAAATTTGGATTTAGTTTGCTCTTGCTTTCCTAGTTCTTTAAGATGCCTTGTTAGGTTTATGTGAAGTGTATCTTTTCTGATGTAGGCACTTTTAGCTATAAACTTCCCTCTCAGTACTGCTTTTGCTGTACCCCATAGGTTTTGGTATGTTGTGTTTCCATAATCATTTGTTTCAAAATATTTTTCAATTTCTTTCTTAATTTTTTCATTGAGCCACTGGTCATTCAGAAGTATAATATTTAATTTTTATGTTTGTACAGTTTCCAAAAATTTCTCATTATTGATTTATTGTTTTATTCCCTTGTCATCGGATAAGGTTTGATATAATTTCAACATTTTGAGTGTTTAAGTCTTGTTTTGTGGCTTAACATGTAGTATATCCTTGAGGATATTCATGTGCTGGGGAGAAAAATGTTTATTCTGCAGGTGTTGGATAAAAAGTCCTGTAAATATATATTGGGTCTATTTGTTCCATGGTGCAGATTAAGTCCAATGTTTCCTTGTTAATTTTTCTTTCTTAAATAACCTGTCCACTGCTGATAGTGGAGTGTTGAAGTCTCCAGCTATTATTGTATTAGTCTATCTCTCTAGCTCTAATAATATTTACTTTATATATCTTGGTGCTTCATGTTGGGTGCATATATTTTAAATCATTATGTCCTCTTGCTAAATTGATTCCTTTATCATTATGTAATAATGTTCTTTGTCTATTCTTCATGTTTTAAGTGTATTGTCACTGGATATACTATTCTCGGGTAGAAGTTTTTTTGTTTGTTTTTTCTGTCAGCAATTTAAATATGTCATCCTACTCTCTCCTGGTCTATAAGGTTTCCACTGAAAAGTCTGCTGCCAGACATATTGGAGCTTTATTGTTTGTAATTTGTTCCTTTCCTTTGCTACTTTTAGAATCCTTTATCCTTGACTTTTGGGGGTTTGATTATTAAATGGCTTAAGGTAGTGGTCTTTGGGTTAAATATGCTTGGTGCTCTATAATCTTGTATTTGAGTATTGATATCTTTCTCTAGGTTTGAGAAGTTCTCTATTATTCCTTTGAATAAACTTTCTACCCCTAGCACTCTCTCTCTCTCTCTCTGCCTCTTCTTTAAGGTCAATAACTCTTAGATTTGCCTTTTGGGGGCTATTTTCTAGACCTTAGATGTGCCACATTCTTTTTTCTTTTTTCTTTTTTCTTTTGTCTCCTCTGACTGTGTATTTTCAGATAGCTTGTCTTCAGGCTCACTAATTCTTCTGCTTGATCAGTTCTGCTACTAAGAGACTCTAATGCATTTTTAGTATGTCAGTTATATTTTCAGCTCCAGAATTTCTACTGGATTCTGCTTAATTATTTCAATTTCTTTGCTAAATTTACCTGATAATATCCTGAATTTCTTCTGTGTGTTATCTTGAATTTCTTTGTTTCCTCTAAACAACTATTTTGAATTCTCTGTTTGAAAGGTCACATGTCTGTCTCTCTATTTGTCCCTGGTGCCTTAGGTGAGGTCATGTTTTCCAGGATACTCTTGATGCTTGTGGATGTTCATTGGTGTCTGAGCATTGAAGAGTGAGGTATTTATTATAGTCTTCATAGTCTAGGTTTGTTTGTACTTGCACTTCTTGGGAAGACTTTTCAGGTATTTGAAGAGACTTAAGTGTTTCCATCTATGCTTTGGTTACTGTAGCTGTATCTGAATTAGAGGGTACCCCAAGCCCAATAATGCTATGGTTCTTGCAGACTCACAGAGGTACTGCCTTGGTGGTCTTAGATAAGATCTGGAAGAATTCTCTGGATTACCAGGCAGAGATTCTTGTTTTCTTCCTTTACTTTTGCTCAAACAATGGAGTCTCTCTGTCCATGCAGAGCTGCCTGGAGCTGGGGGAAGGGTGACACAAGCACCCTTGTGGCCACCAATACTGGAACTACACTGGGTCAGACCTGAAGCTAGCACAGCACTGGGTTTTGCCCAAGGCCCACTGTAACTACTACCTGGCTAGCACTTATGTTTACTCAAGGCCCTAGGGCTCTATAATCAGCAGGGAGTGAAGCCAGCTAGGCTTGTGTTTTCCTCTTCAGGGTGGCAAGTTCCCCTGGTCCCAGGTGAGTCCAGTGACGCTGTCCAGGAAACAGGACAAGGAATCAGAAACCATATCAATCTACCTGGTGATCTATTTTACTGTGGCTGAGATGGCACCCAAGCCATGAGACAAAGTCCTTCCCACTCTTCCCTTCCTTTTCCCCAGGCAGAGGAGTCTCTCCCCACGTCTGCCACCACTACAGGCCCATGGGGAGTACTGCCAGGGTACCACTGATGTTCACTTAGGGCTCAAGATCTCTTCAGTCAACTTGTGTAAATGCTGCCATGCCTGGGACTCACTTTTCAGGATAGCAGGCGTCTCTCTGGCCCAAGGTAGTCCCAGAAACGCTGTAAGAGCCAAGGGAAGAGTCAGGGACCTCAGGGGCCTGCTTGGTGCTCTTCCTCACTGTGACAAAGCTGGTACCTCTGCTGCAGAACAAAGTCTCCTTTATTCTTCTCTCTGCTTTTCTCAAGCAGAAGGGAACTTTCTCTGTAGCTGTCACAGCTGGGACTGTGCTGGGTCATACCTGAAGCCAGCATGACTCAGAGTTTCATCCAAGGCCCACAGTATGTACTACCGGCTTACTCCTGCAGAATATTTAGAGCCTAAGGGCTCTTTAGTCAGCAGGTGATAAATCTTTCTTTTTTTTTAAATTTTATTATTATTATACTTTAAGTTTTAGGGTACATGTGCACAACGTGCAGGTTTGTTACACATGTATACATGTGCCATGTTGGTGTGCTGCACCCATTAACTCGTCATTTAGCTAGGACTTGGTCCTTCCCTTTAAGGAAACAGGTTCTCTGCTGTCCCAAGGTCTGTCCAGAAATGTCATCCAGGAGCTAGGGCCTGAAATAGGGGCCTCATGACTCTCCCTCCTTCCCTGCCCTACTGTGGTTGAGCTAGTATCCAATTTTCAAGAAAAATTCCTATTTACTCTTCCTTCTCTTCTCAAGCAGAAGGAAGAAGTCTCTTTTGGAGCTGCAGTGCCTGGGGTTGGGAGCAAGTCATGCAAGCAGTCCCTTAGCTTCCTTGGCTCATGTCTCACTAGGCATGTGTGCCCTCCCCAAGTCCAGTGGCCCCAAGCCCAGCACAACACTTGGTCTTGCCTAGAATTTGCAATCCTTATGGCCTAGATTGTCTTTCAGATTTATTTAAGACCCCAGAGTACTTTTGCCCATTGTGGTGAGGCTTGCCCAAATTCAAGTTCTGACTGCTAGGATGGGTGATTCCCCTCTGGCTAGAGCAGGTCGGAATACTCCTTCCCTAGGTTCCACCTGAGTTTTTTCCAGTGTTGCTTTCTGCTGTGCCACAGCAGCATTGTATTCCAATGCAAAGTCCCACAGTTGCTATCTCTACCTCCCGCAAGGTCACAGACTGTTTAGGGCATACATACCCCTATGACTATAGTCAGTCCAAGCTAAAATGCTTTCTCCATAGACTGAGTCCTAATTTAGCTTCATGTCTAGCCATTTTATGCAGCCTTCTTGTTTAATGCTTAAATATCCTCTGTAGTAACACTTTGGAATTCTTTATCCCTATTTTTTTCATAAAATTCTTCTAATATTAATATTTAGATTTTTAGACTTTTACTTTTTCTTTTTCTTCAAATTTATTTTTATATCTTATATCTGTATTTTCTGTCCATTCCTACTCTTAGCATGTGAACTTCTTACTCTAGGTATTTTTTTAGTAAAAATTCTTTAATGACATTTCATCATGTCAATATTTTGTTTTATAGTCTACCTTTGCCCTAATGGTTGCTTTTGCAGAGATTATTTTAATCAGCTGAAAAGTTTTCTCAATGTTTCAATAGTTTTAATAGGAACATTTTATAGATTTTCCTGTGGTTTTATGCTTATTTTTAAAAAGTTTTATTTTTTATGGACCAGAAATAACTGGCATTTCTGCATGGGGTGGAAAAGGTGTGAGCTATTTGTGTGGCTTACTACATTTTCTTTTTCTAGAAAATGATGTTTTTATAGGTACAGTAAAAGATAGTACCTTTGATTTGAGAGACAGTGTTTTAATACCATGACACTCTTCTGTTTCATTAGGATCCTTAATTTCTGCCATTTGATTTTTTTCTTTCTCATTTCCATGATGCCTCCACTTTATAACTTCCCTCTCTCCTCAGAGGTGATGCCTTTCCAAGACTGTTTCTCTACTCTTGCATATGCAAGCTCCTATCCTTTGATTTCCTAGCAGACAATTCTGATTCACAATGACTCAGTGTTTTCCCCAATCACTGTGGAACTCTCTGAGTGTGACTTTAGCTCACCACTGCTAGATCTTTGCTGCATTCTCATCTTTATTGTGTAGTTTCCTTCTAAATTTTTGCTTTGGAATGGGCTCCTGAGCTGGCTCTGCTGCTTTTGAGTTTCTGGTATAACAAATTTCAAATGGAAATGGAAATTTGTAATATTATATTTTCTCCTAATGGAATTGTAAATGTAAGTGACTATTAATGCTCCTTGTTGATTTTGTAGGACATGTGGGGGGATTTATATTTCAGTAACTTTTTTTTCTTTTCTTTTCTTTTCTTTTCTTTTTTTTTCTTTTTTTTGAGACAGTCTTGCTCTGTCACCAGGCTGGAGTGCAGTGCCACGATCTTGGCTCACTGCAATCTCCACCTCCCGGGTTCAAGCGATTCTCCTGCCTCAGCCTCCCAAGTAGCTGAGATTATAGGCGCCACCACACCCAGCTGAGTTTACAGGCGCCACACAGATAGTTTTTGTATTTTTAGTAGAGACGAGTTTCACCATTTTGGCCAGGATGGTCTCGATCTCCTGACCTCGTGATCCGCCCTCCTAGGCCTCCCAAAGTGCTGGGAAAACAGGTGTGAGCCACTGTGCTCAGCCTACTTATTTCTTAAACATCTTATTTTGAAATAATTACACAGATTTTCACAAAGGTATAAAGAAACATACAAGGGGATCCCAACACCCTTCACCAGACTTCCCTAATGTTAACATTTAGTACAATTATAGTACACCATCAAAATCAGAAAAATGAATTTGTTACACAACAGAATTTATTCAGATTTTACTAGTTATACATATGCTTGCTTATGCGTGTGTGGAGGGGTGTAGCTCACTGTAATTTCATTATATAACCACCACTACAATCAAGACTAGTAATTGTACTTCATAAAAATTCTCCCTCATACTACCACTTTATTACCACACATTTCCCCCACCCCTCAAATTCATAATCCCTGGAAACCATTAATCTATTCTCCATCTCTATAATTATCATGTTTAATGAATGTTGAACAAATGGCATCGTGTGGTGTCTCCATTTTGTTTCACTGAAATGCAGCTGGAATCACCCCAAAAGTGGTGGGAGAAATGTTTCCACAAAAGAGTACTTTGAACTGTCCTGTGATGTGGCTGTTTGAGACTCCAAAGAAAGAAGCACTAAACACCAAAGTAATCAGTCCAAAGCATTTATTAGGAGAACTTAGAGTGCTACAGCAATCCACATGATAGAGAGCAAAAGAAAAGGGATGTTCGATGTAGATACTATCTAGGTACTTGATACTACCATTCAATGGGTAAATGGCTACATACCTAGATACGTTTGCATCAAGAAGGCCGGGTATGGAATTTTTATGAGGGTTTAAGGAATTTGGCTCAGGGACAAAGCCAATATCTTTCAGTGTTTGGGGCAACAACCTAGATACCTTTATCAGTGTTTGAGAATGTTCAAGGCCTTGGTTTGGGGTCAAGCTTGCTGGAAAATACCTGCCACTGTCTAGGTCACAAAGCGGTCAAGGTACTCTGGGAATTTTTAGTCAGGACACAGAAAGTAGGAAGAATTGGGGAACCTTACAAGTTTCCTTTTATGATTGACTTTTTTCACTCAGCATAATTTCATTGAGGTTTATCTAAGATGTTGCATTATCAATAGTTTGTTTTTTTTTTATTGCTGAGTAGTAGTCCATGGTATGAATTTACTTTCCTTTGTTTAGCCATTTACCCATTGCATGGTACTATCTAGTACCTAGTTTTTGGCTGTTAAGAATAAAGTTTCTATTAACCTCTCTGTATAAAATTTTACATGGAAATGTTTTCATTTATTTGGGATATTCTCCAGCCAACCTAAAAAGTTATATCCACACTAAAACCTACACATGAAATTTTATGTCAACTTTATAATTGCAAAAAATTGTAGTGAACTCAGGTATCCTTCAATAGGTGAATTGATAAAATCTGTGGTATGACCATCTGGTTTTTCCAGAGTAGGCCTTAGAGCCTTAGTCTCACAAATGATCCTAAAATGACCCTGTAACTCAACTCTACCATTCATCTATGGTCTGAGAGCAGTCCTGCTACCCAGGGACCTGAAAAAGACATGACCATTCATGCCCCTAAAGGGAGGCCTCTTGACCTCAGACTGACTGCAAATCTTTAAGCAGTCCTATGACCCCACAAAAGCCTTGCTCAGACATTGTCCAAGTAGCCCTATCCACCCAAGTATGGGATAGGATAAACACCCATTTATGCCCACAGAGGCAGACCTACAGATCTTGGATTCAGCAGCTTTGTAACTGAAACAGCCCTGTAATTCAGATCCTGTCCTCTTCAACCATACTCCTGAGCCAATCTTGCCTGGCCAGAGTTCCAAACAGTGAATGAGCAGGAGCCTTCCAAGAGACCCAGATGGTATAACATTTATCCACAGGAAACAGGCCCATCATCTATTGACCCAACTGCATATCCTGAAGTGGACCTTTATCCCAGAACCACCCCTACTAACCAAAGTCCTGGAGGCAGTTTCATCTGACCAGGAGTCAATCAGGATCCATGCCTTCCTCTGTAATAGTACTGCCAAACACTGACCCCATAATGAACCACACTGTGGATCCACATGTAAAGATGTCATGTGACCTGGTTGTGACCCTGCTTGGCTATAAGCCTAGAGGCAATCCCATCATTCTAGAGACCAGACAGGAGAAGGCTTTTACCTGTCAATCTGTCAATCATCATAAAGACAGGAAGAGGTGTTTGTGCTTCAAATACATCAACACAAATATAAGGCTACACAGAGTACAATCAGGCAAACATGATACCACCAAAGGAAACAAAAACCTCCAATAACAAACCCAAAAGAAATGGAGATCTATAAATTGCCTGACAAAAATGTCAAAATAATCATCAAAAAACTCAATGAGATGCAAGAAAAAAACACTTAAAAAACTAAAATCAGAAAAACAATAAATGAACACAGTGAGGAGTTTAATAAAAAAATAGAAACCATAGGAAGCAACCAAATAGAAACCTTGGAGCTGAAAAATACAAATATAGAACTGAAAATTTTAATGGAAATCTTCAAGGGTGAACTTGATCATGCAGAATAAGAGGACAGTGAACGTGAAGACAGGTCATTTGAAATTAGCCAGCTAGAAAAATAGAAAAAAATTTTTAAAAAGCATATAGAGACCTATGAAACATCATCAAACAAATTTATACTTCACAGAAGTGACAGAAGGAGAAGAAACAAAGAGAGGAGCTGAAAGCTTATTTAAAGAAGTAATGGTTGGAAACTCCTCAAATTTTGGGAAGAATATGGACATTCTCATTCATGAAGTTCATAGGTCTCTTAGCAAGATAATCACAAAGGTTACCCTGTGACACATAATAATCAAATTGCCAACAGTCAAAGATGAAATTTTGAAAGTAGTAAGAGAAGTTACTCATACAGCAGAACATCTATAAAACTATCCAAATATTTCTTAGCAGAAACGTTGCAGACCAGGAAGAGGTGGGATGACATATTAAAAGTACTGAAAAAAAACTCACAGAACTACAACATAAGAATATTATATCTGGAAAAGCTGTTCTTTAAAAATAAGAGACTTTTTAATGATTGCCATTCTAACTGGCAAAAGATGGTATCTCATCATGGTTTTGATTTGCATTTCTCTGACCAGTGATGAGCATTTTTTCATATGTCTGTTGGATCATGAAAAAGTCAGGAAACAACAGATGCTGGAGAGGATGTGGAGAAGTGGGAATGCTTTTATATTGTTGGTGGGAGTGTAAATTAGTGCAACCATTGTGGAAGACAGTGTGGTGATTCCTCAAGAATCTAGAACTAGAAATAACATTTGACTCAGCAATTCCATTACTGGGTATATACCCAAAGGATTATAAATCATGCTACTAAAAGACACATGCACACATATGTTTATTGCAGCACTATTCACAACAGCAAAGACTTGAAACCAACCCAAATGCCCATCAATGATAGACTGGATTAAGAAAATGTGGCACATATACACCATGGTATACTATAAATCCATAAAATGATGAGTTCATGTCCTCTGCAGGGACATGGATGAAGCTGGAAACCATCATTCTGAGCAAACTATCACAAGGACAGAAAACCAAACGCCACATATTCTTACTCATAGATGGGAGTTGAACAATGAGAACACATGGACACAGGACGGGGAACATCACACACTGGGGCCTGTCAGGGGTTGGGGGACTGGGAAAAGGATAGCATTAGGAAAAATATCTAATGTAAATGGCGAGTTGATGGGTGTGGCAAATCAACATTGCACATGTATACATATGTAACAAACCTGTACATTGTACACATGTACCCTAGAACTTAAAGTATAATTGAAAAAAATAAAGGAGAGATAGACATTTCCAGATAAATCAAAGCTGGAGTTCACACCATTAGATCTGCCTTATAAGAAATGCTAAAGAAAATTATTTCAGTTTAAACAAAAGATTGTTAAGTAACAACATAAAAACAAATGAAAGTATTTACCTTTACTCACTGGTAAAGGTAAATATATGTAGCCAAATTCAGAATAATACTGTAATGGTGGTGTATAAATTTAACTCTAGTATAGAAGTTAAAATGTATTAAACATAGCTATTGCTACAAAAATGTGTTAATGCATAATACAAAAAGGTTAAATTATGGTATCAATAGTATAAACTTATGTGTGTGTAAACTAAAAGTGTGGACTTTTAGTATATGATATATCAATTTTGAGCTAATTATTTAAATAACTGTAACTCATTTTATGGAAACATCTTGATAACCATATATAGAAATAAAGGCTTCTATAGATACAAAAAATTAAGAAAAGGGAATCAAAGCATATAACTGAAACATAGCAAATCACAAAGGAAGACAATAAAAAGTATTACAAAAGCAGAAAACAGAATGAAAATAATGAATCCTTACCTATAATAATTACAATATAACTGAATTAAATCAAAAGAGAAAGTGGCTGAATGGATTTTTCAAAAAAGATTCAACAATATGATATAAAAGAGACTAGCTTTAGCCTTGAAGACACGTGTAGGCTGAAAGTGAAGGGATGGGAAAAGCTATTCCATGTAAAATGGTAAGTAAAAGAGAGCAGGGATGGCTGTACCTATATCAGACAAGATGGACTTTCAGTCAAAATCTGTCATAGGAAGCAAATAAGGTGACTAATAATAAAGGAATCAACTCATCAATAAGATATAAGAGTTGTAAATATATATGCACTCAACATTAGAGCACTTAAATATATAAAGCAAATATTGACAAAAATGAAGGGAGAAATAGCAATATAATAATAGTAGAGAACCTTAATACTTTCAACAATGTATAGATATTCCAGAAAGAGTATAAACAGCAGACTTGAACAACACTATACAAAAAAGTGAACTTAACAGATATATATAGAATATTCCATCCAACAGCAGCAGAATACACTTTTTTTCTCAAGCACACTTGGGACATTCATCAGAGTAGAACACAAATTGGGCCACAAAACAAGTATTAGCTAACTTAAGAGGACTTAAATCATACCAAGTATTTTTCTGACCGTAATAATGTGAAACTAGAAAATAACAAGAAGAATGTTAGAACATTAAAATATGTGGAAATTAAACAATACACTACTGAAATAGATAAAGAAGAAATCGAAAGAAAATCAAAAAGCATCTTGAAACAAAAACAGAAACACAACATACCAAAACTTATGGGATGACCAAAAGCAGTACTAAGAGGGAAGTTTAACAGTAAATGCTTAGATTGAGAAAAGAAAACAGGCCAGGTACAGCGGCTCACGTCTGTAATCCCAGCACTTTGGGAGGCCAAGGCAGGTGGATTGCTTAAGGCCGAGAGTTCAAGACCAGCCTGGGCAATATGATGAAGCCTCGTCTCTACAAAAAACAAAAACAAAAAAAAACTAGATGTGGTGGCATGTGGCTGTAGTCCCAGCTACTTGGGAGACTGAGGTGGGAGGATAGCTTGAGCCCAGGAATTTAAGGCTGCAGTGAGCCCAGATTGTGCCACTGCACTTCAGCCTGATCAACAGGTGAGATACTGTTCTCAAAAAACATAAATAAAATTTAAAAAACCTGAATGGCTCAATGATGAGTAAAGAAATGAATCAGTGACCAAAAATCACCCTACAAAGAAAAGCTCAAGACCAGATGATTTCACAGGTGAATTATAAAACGAAAGTAAAAAAGAATTAATATTAATCCTTCTGAAAATGTTTCAAAATCTTTAAGAGGAGGAAACACTCTTTTTAAAAAAATTTTATTAATATTATACTTTAAGTTTTAGGGTACATGTGCACAACGTGCAGGTTTGTTACATATGTATACATGTGCCACGTTGGTGTGCTGCACCCATTAACTCATCATTTAGCATTAGGTATATCTCCTAATGCTATCCCTCCCCCATTCCCCCCAACAACAGTCCCCGACGTGTGATGTTCCCCTTCCTGTGTCCATGTGTTCTCATTGTTCAATACCCACCTATGAGTGACAACATGCGGTGTTTGGTTTTTTGTCCTTGCGATAGTTTGCTGAGAATGATGGTTTCCAGCTTCATCCATGTCCCTACAAAGGACATGAACTCATCCTTTTTTATGGCTGCATAGTATTCCATGGTATATATATGCCACACTTTCTTAATCCAGTCTATCATTGTTGGACATTTGGGTTGGTTCCAAGTCTTTGCTATTATGAATAGTGCCACAATAAACATATGTGTGCATGTGTCTTTATAACAGCATGATTTATAATCCTTTGGGTATATACCCAGTAATGGGATGGCTGGCTCAAATGGTATTTCTAGTTCTAGATCCCTGAGGAATCACCACACTGACTTCCACAATGGTTGAACTACTTTACAGTCCCACCAAAAGTGTTCCTATTTCTCCACATCCTCTCCAGCACCTGTTGTTTCCTGACTTTTATTGATCGCCATTCTAACTGGTGTGAGATGGTATCTCATTGTGGTTTTGATTTGCATTTCTCTGATGGCCAGTGATGATAAGCATTTTTTCATGTGTCTGTTGGCTGCATAAATGTCTTCTTTTAAGAAGTGTCTGTTCATATCCTTCACCCACTTTTTGATGGGGTTGTTTTTTCTCGTAAATTTGTTTGAATTCATTGTAGATTCTGGATATTAGCCCTTTGTCAGATGAGTAGATTGCAAAAAGTTTCTCCCATTCTGTAGGTTGTCTGTTCACTCCGATGGTAGTTTCTTTTGCTGTGCAGAAGCTCTTTAGTTTAATTAGATCCCATTTGTCAATTTTGGCTTTTGTTGCCATTGCTTTTGGTGTTTTAGACATGAAGTCCTTGACCATGCCTATGTCCTGAATGGTAATGCCTAGGTTTTCTTCTAGAGTTTTTATGGTTTTAGGTCTAACGTTTAAGTCTTTAACCCATCTTGAATTAATTTTTGCATAAGGTGTAAGGAAGGGATCCAGTTTCAGCTTTCTACATATGGCTAGCCAGTTTTCCCAACACCATTTATTAAATAGGGAATCCTTTCCCCATTGCTTGTTTTTCTCAGGTTTGTCAAAGATCAGGTAATTGTAGATATGTGGCATTATTTCTGAGGGCTCTTTTCTGTTCCAATGATCTATATCTCTGTTTTGGTACCAGTACCATGCTGTTTTGGTTACTGTAGCCTTGTAGTATAGTTTGAAGTCAGGTAGCATGATGCCTCCAGCTTTGTTCTTTTGGCTTAGGATTGACTTGGCAATGCGGGCTCTTTTTTGGTGCCATATGAACCGTAAAGTAGTTTTTTCCAATTCTGTGAAGAAAGTCATTGGTAGCTTGATGGGGATGGCATTGAATCTATAAATTACCTTGGGCAGTATGGCCATTTTCACGATATTGATTCTTCCTACCCATGAGCATGGAATGTTCTTCCATTTGTTTGTGTCCTCTTTTATTTCGTTGAGCAGTGGTTTGTAGTTCTCCTTGAAGAGGTCCTTCACATCCCTTGTAAGTTGGATTTCTAGGTACTTTATTCTCTTTGTAGCAATTGTGAATGGGAGTTCACTCATGATTTGGCTCTCTGTTTGTCTGTTATTAGTGTATAAGAATGCTTGTGATTTTTGCACATTGATTTTGTATCCTGAGACTTTGCTGAAATTGCTTATCAGCTTAAGGAGATTTTGGGTGAGACAGTGGGGCTTTCTAGATTTACAATCATGTCATCGGCAAACAGGGACAATTTGACTTCCTCTTTTCCTAATTGAATGCTTTTTATTCCCTTCTCCTGCCTGATTGCCCTGGCCAGAACTTCCAACACTATGTTGAATAGGAGTGGTGAGAGAGGGCATCCCTGTCTTGTGCAAGTTTTCAAAGGGAATGCTTCCAGTTTTTGTCCATTCAGTATGATATTGGCTGTGGGTTTGTCATAGATAGCTTTTATTATTTTGAGATATGTCCCATCAATACCTAATTTATTGTGAGTTTTTAGCATGAAGGTTGTTGAATTTTGTCAAAGGCCTTTCCTGCATCTATTGAGATAATCATGTGGTTTTTGTCTTTGGTTCTGTTTATATGCTGGATTACATTTATTGATTTGCGTATGTTGAACCAGCCTTGCATCCCAGGGATGAAGCCCGCTTGATCATGGTGGACAAGCTTTTTGACGTGCTGCTGGATTCGGTTTGCCAGTATTTTATTGAGGATTTTTGCATCAATGTTCATCAAGGATATTGGTCTAAAATTCTCTTCTTTGGTTGTGTCTCTGCCAGGCTTTGGTATCAGGATGATGCTGGCCTCATAAAATGAGTTAGGAAGGATTCCCTCTTTTTCTATTGATTGGAATAGTTTCAGAAGGAATGGTACCAGCTCCTCCTTGTACCTCTGGTAGAATTCGGCTGTGAATGCATCTGGTCCTGGACTTTTTTTGGTTGGTAAGCTCTTAATTATTGCCTCAAATTCAGAACCTGTTATTGGTCTATTCAGAGATTCAACTTCTTCCTGGTTTAGTTTTGGGAGACTGTATGTGTCAAGGAATTTATCCATTTCCTCTAGATTTTCTAGTTTATTTGCATAGAGGTGTTTATAGTATTATCTGATGGTAGTTTGTATTTCTGTGGGAGGAGGAAATACTCTTAAACTAATCTTTAAAAAGCCAGCATCACCCTCAAATTAAGGCAAGAAAATAACACTGCAAGAAAAAATTATGGGTCAATATCCCTGATTAACAAAGACGCAAACATTATCTACAAAGTACTAGCAAACAAAATCCAATACCACATTAAAGGACTTGTATACCACAATCAAGTAGGACTTAACCCTGGGATGCAAGGGTGATTCAACATACAAAAATCGATAAATGTGATATGCCACATGAACAGAATTGAGAATAAAAAATCATATGGTCATCTCAATTGATGCAGAAAAAGTATTTGACAAAATTCAACATTGACAAAAACTCTCACCAATTTAGATATAGAAGCAATGTACCTCAAGACAATAAAGGCCATATGTCAAAAGCCCACAGTTAACATCATACTAAATGGTGAAAAGCTGAAAGCATTTTCTGAGATCAGGAAAAAGGCAAGGCCACTCACTTCACTCTCACCAGTTCTATTTAGCATAGAACTATAAGTCTTAGCTGGAGCAATTAGGCAAGAAAAAGAAATAAAAGGCTTCCAAATCAGAAAGGAACAAGTAAAATTGTCTGTTCGTAAATGACATCATCTGCAAACATACAGAATACCCTGAAGACTCCACTAAAAAACTGTTAGAACTAATAAGTGAATTTAGTAAAGCTGCAGAATACAAAATCAACATATAAAGATCAGTTGCATTTCTATATACTCATTACAAACTATCTGAAAAAGAAATAAAGAAAGCAATCTCATTTATAATAACATCTAAAAGAATAAAATACTTAGGAATAAATTTAACTAAGGAGGTGAAAATCTATTCACTAAAAATTACACAACTTTGAAAGAAATGGAAGACCCAAATAAATGGAATGACATCATGTGTTCATGGATCAGAATAATTAATGTCAAAATGTCCATACTACCATACATGATCTACAGATTAAGTGTAACGTTTATCAAAATTCAATTGTCATTTTTCACAGAAATAGAACAAATTTAAAATTCATAAGGAAACACATAAAACCTCAAAAGCCAAAGCAATCTTGTACAAAAAGAGTAAAACTGGAGACATTATATTTCCTAATTTCAAACTATATTTCAAAACTATAGTAATCAAAAGTAGCATAAAACAGACACATTAGGTCAATGGAACAGAATAGAAAGCCCAGAAATAAACACATGCATTAGTTAACCAGTCTTTGACAAGGGCCACAATAATATCCAATAGGGAAAGGATAGTCTCTTCAATAATAGTGTTAGGAAAAATAGATATCCACATGCGAAAGAATAAAATTGGATACTTTCTCACCATATTTAAAAAAAGACAAAAACACCTTAAATGTAACGTAATGCACTGGATTAAAGACTTAAAAGTAAGACCTGAAAATGAGGTAAGACCTATGCCTAGAAGACATAGGGGGAGATCTCCTTGACACTGGTTTTTGCAGGTTTTGGATTTGACACCAAAAGCACAAGAAACAAAAGCAAACATAAACAAGTTTGACTACATCAAACTAAAACTCTGCACAGCAAAGGAAATAACATAATGGAGAGACAGCCCACAGAATAAGATAAAATATTTGTAAACTATATATCCAGTAATGAGTTAGTATCAAAATAAGGAATTCATAAAACTCCATAGGAAAAGAAAAACAAATAGCCTGATTAACAAATGAGGACAGAATCTGAATAGGCTTTTTTTTTCCCCAAAAAGTCATACACATGGCCCACAGATACAGACTTACCTCAGAGATATTGCAGATTTTATTCCAGACCACCACAATAAAGTGAATATTGCAATAAAGCAAATTACAAGAGATTTTTTGTTTTCTTGTGTATATGTTTACAATATATTTTAGCCCATTAAGTGTGCATAGCATTATGTCTAGAAAGACTATCTACATACCTTAATTAAAAATACTTTATTGCTAAAAAAATGGTATCAATCATCTGAGACTTCAGCATATCATTATGTTTTGCTGGTATAGAGTCTTGCCTCCATGCTGATGTCAACTGACTGATCAAGGTGGTGGTTTTTGAAGATTAAGGTGGCAACAACTTTTTATAATAAGACAACACTGAAGTTTGTCACATTGATTGAATTTTTATTTTACAAAAGATTTCTCTGTAGCATGTGATGGTGTTTGATAACATTTTACCCAACGTAGAACCTCTTTCAAAATTGGGAGTCAATTTTCTCAAACTCTGCTACTGCTTTATCAATTTGGTTTATATAATATTCTAAATCCTTTATATATAATATAGGATATTATAAATATTATATATCCTTTATATATAATATAGGATATTATAATATTCTAAATCCTATGTTGTCATTTCAATGATGTCCAAGTCATCACTGGGAGTAGATTCCATCTCAAAAAAACAAAAACAAAAACGAAAACAAAACTTTCTTTGCTCATCCGTAAGAAGCAATTCCTCATTCATTCAAGTTTTATCTATCATTAGATTGCAGAAATTCAGTCACATTCTTGGGATCCACCTTTAATTCTAGTTCTTTTGCTATTTTCAATATATCTGCAGTTATTTCCTCCATAAAAGTCTTGAACCCATCAAAGTTATCTATGTGGTTGGAATCAACTTCTTCCAGGCTCCTATTAATGTTGATATTTTTACCTCCTCTCATGAGTTACAAATACTCTTAATGGCATCTAGAATGGTGAATCCTTTTCAGGTTTTCAACTGACTTTTCCCAAATCCATCAGATGAAGTACTATCTATGGCAGCTATAGCCTTACAAAATGTATTTATTAAATAATAAAACTTGAAAGTTGAAATTACTTCTTTTTTTGAAATTACTTCTTGATTCATGGGTTGCAGAGTGGATGTTGTGTTAGCAGGAGTGAAAACATTAATCTCCTTGAACATCTCCAGCAAAGGTCTTGGATAACTAGGTGCACTGTCGATGAGGAGTAATATTTTGAAAGGAATTTTTGTTTTCTGAGCAGCAGGTCTCAACAGTAGTCTTAAAATATTCAGTAAACCATGCTATAACCAGATACACTGCCATTCAGGCTTTGTTGTTTCATTTATAGAACACAGGCAGAGTAGATTTAGCATAAGAAGGCCCTGAGATTTTAAGAATGGTAAATGAGCACTGGCTTCAACTTAGTTACCAGCTGCATTATCCCCTAATAAGAGGGTCAGCCTGTTTGTTTGTTTGTTTTTTAATATTTGAAGCTTAGAAACCAGGCGCAGTGACTTCTCCTCTCTAGCTATGAAATAAAGGAATGGTAAATCCTTAAAATAGAGATTGTTTTGTCTAGACTAAAAATCCGTTTAGTAGAGCTATCTTAATCAATTATCTTAGATTGTATGGATAACTATAAAATTTTTTATTTATTTATTTATTATTATTATACTTTAAGTTTTAGGGTACATGTGCACAATGTGCAGGTTAGTTACATATGTATACATGTGCCATGCTGGTGTGCTGCACCCACTAACTCGTCATCTAGCATTAGGTATATCTCCCAATGCTATCCCTCCCCCTCCCCCCACCCCACAACAGTCCCCAGAGTGTGATGTTCCCGTTCCTGTGTCCATGTGTTCTCATTGTTCAATTCCCACCTATGAGTGAGAATATGCAGTGTTTGGTTTTTTGTTCTTGTGATAGTTTACTGAGAATGATGATTTCCAATTTCATCCATGTCTCTACAAAGGACATGAACTCATCCTTTTTTATGGCTGCATAGTATTCCATGGTGTATATGTGCCGCATTTTCTTAATCCAGTCTATCATTGTTGGACATTTGGGTTGGTTCCAAGTCTTTGCTATTGTGAATAGTGCCGCAATAAACATACGTGTGCATGTGTCTTTATAACAGCATGATTTATAGTCCTTTGGGTATATACCCAGTAATGGGATGGCTGGCTCAAATGGTATTTCTAGTTCTAGATCCCTGAGGAATCGCCACACTGACTTCCACAATGGTTGAACTAGTTTACAGTCCCACCAACAGTGTAAAAGTGTTCCAATTTCTCCACAGCCTCTCCAGCACCTGTTGTTTCCTGACTTTTTAATGATTGCCATTCTAACTGGTGTGAGGATACAAAATCAATGTACAAAAATCACAAGCATTCTTATACACCAACAACAGACAAACAGAGAGCCAAATCATGAGTGAACTCCCATTCACAATTGCTTCAAAGAGAATAAAATACCTAGGAATCCAACTTACAAGGGATGTGAAGGACCTCTTCAAGGAGAACTACAAACCACTGCTCAAGGAAATAAAAGAGGATACAAACAAATGGAAGAACATTCCATGTTCATGGGTAGGAAGAATCAATATCGTGAAAATGGCCATACTGCCCAAGGTAATTTACAGATTCAATGCCATCCCCATCAAGCTACCAATGACTTTCTTCACAGAATTGGAAAAAAACTACTTTAAAGTTCACATGGAACCAAAAAAGAGCCTGCATTGCCAATTCAATCCTAAGCCAAAAGAACAAAGCTGGAGGCATCATGCTACCTGACTTCAAACTATACTACAAGGCTACAGTAACCAAAACAGCATGGTACTGGTACCAAAACAGAGATACAGATCAATGGAAGAGAACAGAGCCCTCAGAAATAATGCCGCCTATCTACAACTATCTGATCTTTGACAAACCTGACAAAAACAAGCAATGGGGAAAGGATTCCCTATTTAATAAATGGTGCTGGGAAAACTGGCTAGCCATATGTAGAAAGCTGAAACTGGATCCCTTCCTTACACCTTATACAAAAATCAATTCAAGATGGATTAAAGACTTAAACGTTAGACCTAAAACCATAAAAACCCTAGAAGAAAACCTAGGCATTACCATTCAGGACATAGGCATGGGCAAGGACTTCATGTCTAAAACACCAAAAGCAATGGCAACAAAAGACAAAATTGACAAATGGGATCTAATTAAACTAAAGAGCTTCTGCACAGCAAAAGAAACTACCATCGGAATGAACAGGCAACCTACAAAATGGGAGAAAATTTTTGCAACCTCCTCATCTGACAAAGGGCTAATATCCAGAATCTACAATGAACTCAAACAACTTTACAAGAAAAAAACGACCCCGTCAAAAAGTGGGCAGAGGACATGAACAGACACTTCTCAAAAGAAGACATTTATGCAGCCAAAAAACACATGAAAAAATGCTCACCATCACTGGCCATTGGAGAAATGCAAATCAAAACCACAATGAGATAAACTTTTATTTTATAGAGATGTCTGTTTCCTTAAACCTCATGAACCACCTTCTGCTAGCTTCAAATTTTGCAGCTTCCTTACCTCTTACAGCCTTCATAGAATTGAAGAGAGTTACAGCCTTATTCTGGATTAGGCTTTAGTTTAAAGGAATGTCATGGCTAGTTTGACCTTATATTCAGACCACTAAAATTTTCTCCATATCAGCAATAAGATTGTTTCACTTTCTTGTCATTTGTGTGTTCACTAGAACAGCACTTTTAATTCCTTCAAGAACTTTTCCTTTTCATTCCCAACTTGGCTGTTTGGCAGAAGAGGCCTAGCTTTCGACCTATCTTGGCTTTAGACATGCCTTCCTTGCTCATCCTAATTATTTCTTATTATTTAGAGAGACATGGGACTCTTCCTTCCACTTTACTAGTTAGAGGCCATTGTAGGTTTATTTATTAATTGGCCTAGTTTCAACATTGATGTGTCTCTGAGAATAGGAAGCCCCAAGGCAATAGAGAGACACAGGAATGGCTGGTTGGCTGGTTGCTGGAGCAGTCATAACACACACAAAATTCATCTATTAAGTTTGCTGATTTATCTGGGCCTAGTTTGTGGTGCCCCCAAACAATTCCAATAGTAACATCAATGATCAGTGATCACAAGTCACCATAAAAGATATAATAATAATGAAACGTCTGAAATATTGCAAGAATTAGCAAAATGTGACACAGAGACACAGTATGAGCATATGTTGTTGGAAAATGGCACTAATATACTTGCTTGATGCACGGTTGCCACAAACCTTAGATTTACAGAAAATGCAATATCCGTAAAACTCAATAAAGTGAAGATCAATAAAATGAGGTATGGCTATATACGAAAAGGTGCTCAATATCACTAATCATCAGGGAAATGCAAATGGAATAACATTTCACTCCTGTCATTCTGGCTATAATCAAGAAAAGGATAAAAAGAGTTGAGGATATGGATGGATATAAGGGAACTTTTGTAGACTCTTGATGGGAATATAAAATGGTCCGGTCATTATGGAAAACAGTATGAAGGTTCCACACACAAAAAAACAGAAGTACCATAGAATCCTTCAATTCTACTTCTATGTATACATCCAAAGAAAATGAAATTATATCTTCCAGAGACATGTGCAATCACAAGTTCATTTTAATATTATTCACAGTTGCTAATATATGAAAACAGCCTAGTTCATGCTCCTAGATAGATGAAGAAAATTTGAGGGTGTGTGTGTGTGTGATTGAATATTACCAGCCTAATAAAAAGCAAATTCTGCCATTTCAACAATGCAGATGAAACTGAAGGACAACATAATAAATGAAATAAGCCAAACAGATAGACAAATATTCTATTGTCTAACATACATGTAGAATCTAAAACACTGAAACTCATAAAAACTGAGGGTAGCACAGTGGCTGAATAGACAAATATTTTATGATCTAGCATATATGTAGAATCTAAAACAGTCACTCTCATAAAAGCCGAGAGTGGAAAACTGGTTGCCAGGAGCTAGGGGATTCAGGAAATGGGGAGATGTTAGTCAAAGGATCAGACTTTCAGTTTTAAGATGAATAACTTCTGGAGACCTAGTGTATAGCATGGTGACTATCATTAATAGTACCGTATTATTTACTTGAAATTTTCCAAGAGAGTAGATATTAACTGCCCTCACCACACACACACAATGGTAACTGTGTGCTGATAGATGTGTTAATTTAATTGTGGCAACAGTGTATACATATATCATCACATTGGACACCTTGAAAGTATATGGTTTTTATTTGTGAATAATAATAGCTTAACAAAGCTGATAAATTCAAATAAAACAGGTACTACATGTATAAAATGTAATATTATCCAGCAATAAAAAGAAATTGAATTTTACTTAGTGAAAGAAGGTAGTCTGAAAAGGTTACTTAGTAGATGATCCTATTTATGACATTCCTGAAATAGCAAAGCTAGGCAGACAGGATAAAAGACTGACTGCCAGAGACTGGGAGGCATTGTGGGGGCCCGGGGCTGGGGAGTGGGTAGAAGTTTTAATAAGTGATGCAAAAGAATTTTAGAGTAAAACTATTCTGTATGATACTGTAATTATGTTTAATTAACATTATGCATTTATCAAAACACAGCTCTGCAACACAAAGAGTCACCCTTAATGTTTGCAAATTTAATAAAAGGACTCCCTTCCCCTAAGAATTGACCATATTGTCCTCCATCAAGATGTCCCTAGCCAGTCTGCCTTTGTCTGCCTCACTGTCAGAATCTTTTTACTGTGGTATGTTGAATACTTTTCTAGGTTATTTAGTTGTGTTTAGAAAGGAGGAACAGGGAAAAGTGAATCTTTTCCAACTTTTCTGGATCTAGAAATTCAGTAATTCAATTTTAAATTTTATTTTTTAATTATTGCCAAGATTTTTTCAAATATTATCCCTTTGAATCTTCTTTAAATTGTCTGCTCATATCTGTGCTCCATTTTCTATTGGGAGATTTATTTTCCTTGCTTTGACATAAAAATTATCTGTGTATTGTTTATTCTGTAGATTTTATAGATTTCCCAAGTGTGTTGGTTATCTTTTAAGTCTTTTTTTTCCACAGAAAGAAGCTTTTTGTTTATAGTATCTTTTATGTATGTTTTATGTAGTTTCATTAATTTTGTTGTAATACTTGACAATTTTCCCAAAATACTTTCTTCTAAATCAATTTTTTTGCCAAACTAGGTATCTGAGAAATAGCTCTCACATTTTCTTCTGGTTTTTAATATCTTGATTTTTATTTAGAAGAGTAATAAAAATCTGCAAAGAAGTACAACTCTTTCCTCTAGTAGAGAAAGGGAGAGTATATCAGGTTAGGTGGGGAATATAAATTTTAAAAACTATATTAGCCTTTCCCTGGATATTTTCATATGTCTTCTGGAGAATGTGTCGATCCTGCTTCTCTTGATGTGAATTATGGCAGATTATGAGAGCTATTACTGAGTATAATGTGTTATACAGGTAAATGTAGATGAACAAAAATAGTTAAGAATCACTGATCAATCTAATCCATTAATTTATCCAAATAGTTAATCAGTTGTAAAATTGTTTTGATTTTTTTCCTTAATCTCATGCTAACTTCATATTTATTTAATTTCTATATATGCGAAGATATGTTTTTCTGGATATTTTTTCCATACTACTGATAACATTCTACTTCTAAATCAGTACCCCAATTAACCTAATTATTTACCTTACTTGTATTTAATGTCTTATGACAGAATTTCCTTATTCCTCTTTTTTTAAATAATTGTATTAAAAATTCATTTAAATATAGCACTTTGAGTTTATTACTTTGATTTCCTGAGATCCAAACTAAAATAATTGTGAAAGAATAAAAATGCTATAAACCCAAGAGTGAAAAAATCCATATGGCAATGGAAGTGAACACAATATCATAAATAAAGAAAGTGAAAAGATAAATGATTATCAATATGGCAAAGCAGAAAATCTCAGTCTTAAATGAATGGTAGGGTAATACTATGACAGCTAATTAACTCTGCAGAATTCATGAGATATTAAATATTTGGATGTATTAATTTAGTGAAGGTAGGGTAGAGGTGCAGGGCAGAAAATGAAGGGAACTGGTCAAAGGCATTTCACCATGGAGCAGAATATCAGCCACATCCTGCACTAACAGATGATTCCCTCTTTTCCACCTACAGAACGGAAGTCAAATCTCTTAGGAAGCTGTGAGGGGATTCTCCCAGCAAATCTAGCAGCACAATATAAAGGAGAAAGAGGAGAGCATGGGATCCAGAAAACATGTGTTTCAACCTAGAAAGTGTTAAAAGTTTTAGAAAAAAGACTTGTACAGTAGGCCTGAACCATGAAAATAGAAAAGAGAGAATTCATAGATTCTCAGATAAATATGAGAATTCTGAAGAACAAATTGATATTCTTTTTGTAGTGGATCCAATGGAGCAGCTTGAAAATTTTACAGAACAGCTTAAAAGCATACACCGGGGGAAACAAATAATTAAACTTATTAAAAAACAAAAGCAGGAAGAAAAATCTAAGCACAAACATATAAAGGCAATATTTATCTACTCATGATATAAACACCAAGTTTATTGTATCTCAAATTATGACTATTATAAATGAACTATTACTATATTACGTTAAATGACAGCATGGTAGGTTGATTTATGTTTGTAGAATTACTAGATTCTTAACTGTCAAAGACTGCTATTTTGTATAGTATGACACTTAATACTTTTATAGCTGTGTTTTATTTGTTTGTTTGTTTGTTTGAGATTGAGTCTCACTCTGTTTCCCAGGCTGGAGTGCAGTGGCGTGATTTTGGCTCACTGCAATCTCTCTGCCACATTCAAGCAATTCTCTTGCCTCAGCCTCCTGAGTAGCTGGGACTACAGGTGCATGCCACTATGCCCTGCTAATTTTTTATATTTTTAGTAGAGACAGGGTTTCACCATGTTGGCCAGGCTGATTTGAACTCTTGACCTCAGGTGATCCACCCGCCTTGGCCTCCCAAAGTGCTGGGATTACAGGCGTGAGCTACTGTGCTGGGCCTCTTTTAGCTTTCTGATATGTACGTGTATTAGACTTTTTAAAAATAAAAACTTTTAGATATTCATACCTATTTAATATTCTAAATGAACTTTAACATTTTCTATAATAAAACCCTATTGGGATATAGAATTGAATTAAATTTAACTAAACTAGAAAAGTAATTTGTGAAGAATCAACATTTTTACAATATTGTCTTCCCTCCAGCAATTGTATATTCTTTTTAATTATCTGACTTCAGCAGAGTTTTACATCATTCTTTTCTTCATTATATGTTCTCTATTTCATGAATTGTTACCTAAGTATTTATCCTTATTTCTGTTATAAATAACCTTTTAAAAGATAACTTCAACTTTAGACAGGGAAAAAAAGAACACTAAATACTATATTACAAGCTTCAACTATTTTTAAACCCTATAATTTTTTAACATTTGTTCTCAGTTGCTTTACTACATATTTATCAACTCCAATTTTACTTATTTCCTTAGATTTTGTAAGTATAAAATAACATAACCTGCATGTGCTAATTTGGTTTCCCTACCTCTAATAGCTTTGTGTTATTTTGTTTTCAAGCCTTATTGCATTGCTATTAAACATGATGAAAATTGACATTTTAATCCTGATTCTAAGTCTATAGCAATTCTACACAATTAAATTATGAATTTACACTGAATTTTTAACTGTTTTCTAAATTTATACTGAATTTCTAGTTTGTTTTTTCGAGAAAAAGTTTTTGCCTACTTCCAGCTGAAGCTATCTACTTCATAGCAATGACATTTTTATTCTGTAGGATTTCTAATAGTCATCAATTTTCTTCCATACTAGCTGTATTGTTTAAAAGGATAGGATTCAATATCCATAGCTTTCTAGCAAAGAGGGAATGGTTTTGATTTTTTTCTGTGTAAAGCTTTCTCACTTTTGAAAACCATAAACCCTACAATATTTTGGGGCTCTCAGGCACATAGTAATATCAATTAGCTATTGTATTCCCACTGTCTATATGATGTGCATTCACATTCATTCGTTCACTGAACTACAATAAGCCAGGCATTATTCAAGGTGGTGGAGATACAGCAGTGGGTAAAAAGGCACTCTTAACTCATGGAGCTGACATACTAGCGGAGAGAGACAGAAAATGAACAAATAAATGTGTGAATAGTTAGTATTTTAGATGATAAGGGTTAAGGAGAACAAGGCAGAAAAAGCAGGAGGAGGAAAAGATGGAAGATAGATTTAATATTAATATATGGATCAGAGAAGGCCATTCTAATAAAATGATATTTGAAGAGCAAACTCAATTAAGGGAGAGAAAGAGCCATCCAATTCTCTGGGGAAAAAATAATGTGGACTGAAGAAATGTCTAAGGGCCTGAGCCAGCAGTGTCTGTCTGGATAGCCTTAGAGTGGATGGAGAAGGGAGACTCATGGGTCTATGTAGCTACTAACCAGATCACTGGGGCCATGTAAGGCTTTGGATTTTACTCCAAGTGGGATGATGTTTCATTTGGAATTACATTTTTCTTCATGTGATGCAAGTCTAAAAATCTGTGGCTAAATCCAAAGTTCAATTTTCTCTCACATAAAAATGTGGAGGAATACAATCCAAGGAAAGAATTTGAGCTCTGATCTGCAAAGTTCTCTGGGAGTTGAGCTCCTTCTAGTTCATGGTTCCAGTATCCCTCAGGCTCTAAGCAGCAGAATGGAAGAGGGAAGATGTTTGTAATACAGATTATATAGCAAACCACATTTTCTGTATGTAAAACTGGAAGGTGTTGGTAGAACTCACCTTATTTCAGTTCGAACATTTTTGCCCACAGTTACCAGTCTTGAACTTACCTGCAGTTTTATTATTAGTATGAGGTTTTTCTTTTTCCTTCCTCTTTTCTTTTCTTTCTTCTTTTCTTTTCTTTTCTTTTGTCTCTTCTCTTCTCTTCTCTTTCTTTTTTTTTTGACAGAGTCTCACTCTGTTGCCCAGACTGGAGTGCAGTGGTGCAATCTCGGCTCACTGCCACTTTTGTCTTCTGGGTTCAAGCGTTCTTCTGCCTCAACCTCCTGAGTAGCTGGGATTACAGGCACATGCCACTACACCTGGCTAATTTTGTATTTTTAGTAGAGATGGGGTTTCACCATATTGGCCAGGCTGGTCTTGAACTCCTGACCTCAAGTGATCCACCCGCCTCAGCCTCCCAAAATGCTAGGATTATAGGCGTGAGCCACTGCTCAAGGCCAGCATGAACATTTTCTCATATGGATGGATTAGGTTGATGGGGGTTCCAGAACTAAGTATGGTTGACTCCTTGACCTTACCTGCTGTCTGAATCCAGTTTGAAGAAAATGCTGGCTTTTTTGGGAAAAACTGTATCTTTCATTGAATCCTAACAGTTATCTTGGGAACTCTGTGGGATGGGGTATTGAACTGGAGCATTGAAAAGCATAGATACATTTTCCAGTTGGCAAGAGATTAGGGAAAATATAAATGTTAAATCAAATTGAGAAATAACTTCCATTGTTAAATAATAGAGTGGCTCTTTTGTTAGAAAAACACACATGAATACTTATCCACAGACCCTCACAAACACACATATAAGGCATTCTCTCATTTCCTGTGAAAAATCAAATGAAAATATTATAATTTACAAAGGAGTGAATGATTGACAGACTTCATCATTTCAGAAGTTATCTGACTCCTTAAGATAATATATAGGTATCTAGAAATATATTTTAGAGAAATACATAAAATATTAAAAATCATATATTCATATATATGTTCATATATAAAAAGTCTGATTATATAAAATATCTGAAATATATATATATCCAGATTGATGATACATATATAGATATATATAGAGAGAGATCCGCACACTAGGAGGTTCTCAGGTTTCCATTACTCACTCCAGGTGGCTCCCTGTGATAACTTATCCAGAAATTGACTACATGCCCAGAACTGGCATCCTTTTGAAAACAGCAGCTTTCCTCAGCCTTGAACTCGCTCTATATTCCATGGCTCAGTAAAATTTAAGTGTCATCCCTGTAGGGTAAGAGTGTATTAGCAAGTAAAATATTTTAAACCATGAATAAAGGACCTAAAGGATCTCTCACTTCTGCTTTTATAATAATTTAAACTTAAGATATTAATTTTAAGGTCACCAGATATGTCACAATAGTGTATCACATAATCAATGTTCTTGAACTTTACATTTAGATAATATACTAACTTTTCTGTTCCACTGAACTTGCTAAAAGTGTAACATACTTTTTTTTTTTTAAATTTGCTGTTTTCTTTGGATTTATAGGTTTGCTTCATTATTCTGACAACACCCTATGAAATTGTAAAAATGCTAAGGAGTCCATATATTTTTGCCAACTTTTCATATGAAAGAAGACCACTCCTGAATTCCTTATATTGTTGACAGTAGTAGAATGAACTATTATTTCAGATTATTCTCAGACATCAGGGAAGGGATGTTAAACTAAAACCAGCAAATTAAGAGGACTCCTGAACTTCATTTGAAATTGGCTTAACAGGCAAAGTGTGGGGGCAAGGTACTCATCAACGTAATGCCTTACCTTTACAGAGATGCCTTACCTTTACAGCTCATGATGAACCTGGAATATTTTCATTTGCCAGAACATAGCAAAATGTTTAAAGAATGATGAAGAGATGTAAAAGCATTTATGATTCAGTTTCAGGGAATTCCCACTTGCCAAATCTTGGATAACTTGAGCATATAATAAATAATATTTTTTAAATATAACTCACCAAATAAGAATTCATAAGTCCACCTAGATAGAAAGAATAGATGGAAGGGAGGAAGAGAGGAAGGGAAGAAGGGAGGGAGGGAAGAAGGGAGAGAGGGGAGGTAGGTAAAATCTTTTGTTACAGTACAATGGCAAAAAGTAAATGTGAAAAAGCATAGAATTAAAAATCACCATTTAGCAAACATAATCATCTATTCAGGCAAGGATCATCAGCCAGATGGTTTAATTAGATTGAAAGTTTGAAAAGTAACAGGGATTTACATAATCTCAAAGTATCTTCCCACAAGGTTCTTATTAGTTACAAAAGGAGTAGTAATACCATTATAGTAGAAATAACTGGCAAACATTATCTAAACCAAGTGATCAAAGTGAACATCACCAGTAAATGGGATAAATCAGCATCATTTGCCTCTTGATAGCATGCAATAATATCAGATCACTTTTGTGGGATACCTGCCAAACGCCTGATGCTACTCATGAGGAAACATCAGACAAATTGAAATTGAAGTACATTCTACAAAATTACTGGCCTGTGTCTTGAAACACATTAAATGACTGCTGAAGTGTTCAAGATTAATTTAGCAGTCTAAAAAAACATGACAACTGAATGTAATGTGGGACCTCATATTTTCTTTTGCTGTAAAGGATGTTATTGAGACAATCAGAAAATTCAGAATAAGGTTCACAGATTAGATAATAGGATTGTATCAATAGTATTATCCTGATTTTGAAAATAATTCCTTAACTATATGATAAAGACCTTGTTTTTTAGGAAAACCACACTGAGAAATTTAAGAATAAAGAGGCATCATGGCTGCAAGTCAGTCTCAATAGCTCAGAAAGAAATCATATAGATATGGATAGAGCAGAATAAAACAGATATGATAAAATAGTCATATTAGCATTTGTGAAACCTGAGTGAAGGACATAAGGAAAATTTTTGTACTATTGCAACATTTTTGTACATTTGATATCTGTTTAAAAAAATGGCAGCCTTCTTCACTGTCCTCCCCTGAAAACAAGTAGCCAGCCTACTACAGATTCTAAGTGAAGAGGCTGGCAAATGTACATCCTTTGAGTACAGATTGAAGTATTGCTTAATATAGTAGTCTTGACAATATAATTTCTTCGTCAAGATTGTTTACAACTCAAACCACAGAGTTTTCTATTATCTGCAAGTCTCCAGAAAATCATGGATCCTGTCAGTTTGGTCTTTCAGCAGAGAAAATCTTTCTCTAATGAATAAATTTTAGGGAAACAATAGAAGACAAAAAGTTGCATTTAGATTACAAAAAAAATAGATAGATACCGGGTACATGTCATTTCTGACATTTGTCACTAGAGTGATATCCAATTGGAAACCCTTTCTAAACTTATGTACATTTGATGACCTTCTCAAAATAGTAGTTGCTACTATAACAGTCATCCACTTAGTTTATATTAAGTAATATCAATTTATTAAACATTTATTAATTTTTTCCTTCACAGAGAAACCAAATCCATAGCATGAAAATTTGACACCTTGTTAAAATTAAGGCATGTAATCTTTCATCAAGGATGAATCTTTTAAGGAGGCATTCATTCAAATAATAAATGTAATCACTTATCTTACCACTTTAAGTTGTATTTATATCTCTCATTTCCACAGAAGTTTTGCCTAACTAAAAAAGAAGAAAAAAACTACCTCCCCATCACCCCCCCAAAAAAAAACTCCCCTGAAACAGGAGCAGTATTCCCTTCATTTTATTCATTAGGAAGTTAACATAAGAGAAATTTGACTTTCCCAAGAGCCAGTAGGTAAAGCCCTGTGTTAAATCCAGTTTTCTATTCCTTTCTTCTTGTTCTGAGAGTTGGTTTTGTTCCATTTCAAATCCTATTTTGAATATAATAATCATAATAACTATATGCTGTTGTAGACATCCACTTTTAATCTGTTTATATTTTGGTTTTTTAAATATAATTTTGAAGCTGAGAAGGCTGTTTAAGGAATGCAGCTATCTGTTAAGTATAAAAGGAGGTTATTTGTTGAATTTTGTTTATCTAAATGTGAAACAAATATCTGTGTTTCAGTTAATTACTACGTTACCCATCTGTCTGTATCTTGGCTTAAAAGATTCATATTCATATTAGATTAAAAATCTTAATCAGTTAGTTTGCATTCAATTTTGTTTTTTAAAAAGATGAGGGAATTGGCACATCAGAAGTCTTAAAATACAGAATGAAAAATTAGAGGCCAGCCCACATTTGTGTTCTTATTTACAGTACTTTATAGAATGTCATGTTTAAAATGTCATCTAAAAAATAGCATAACTAGTAAGAAAAATGGATATTTCATTTATAATTCTAGTTTAAAATTTAAAATGCTCTCTGTAATTCACATCTTTTTTTAAGCTTTTATCATGTTTTTTGACAATGTAGTTAAAGTCTACCTTAATTTTGAGGTAGCATCATGTCATTTATTAGAACATGTTATATTTGCAAGAGAAATAGCAAAGAAAATGTTAATATTGGCAAAAAATATTTTGAGTAACAATGCAATTTCAAAAATGAAAAAAAAGTAGAGTTCTTGAAAAATAAGTGTGCCACTTTTTTTTTTCTCAAAATTACCTGTCACCTTATAGCAGTAGAATTCTTTTTCATATCAGTACATTTCATGGAGCCCATCAATAAAGTAAATAATGGCTGAGTGTGGTGGCTCATGCCTGTAATCTCAGCACTTTGGGAGGCTGAGGCGGGCGGATTACCTGAGGTCATGAGTTCGAGACCAGCCTTGCCAATATGGTGAAACCCTGTCTCTCCTAAAAATACAAAAATTATCTGGGCATGGTGGCAGCCACCTGTAATCCCAGCTACTTCAGAGACGGAGGCATGAGAATTGCTTGAACCCAGAGGTGAAGGTTGCAGTGAGCTGAGATCGCACCACTGTACTCTAGCATGGGAGAGGGAGACTCTGTCTCAATAAATAAATAATAATAAAAAATAAAGTAAATCATATAATTAGTATAGTTTTATTTTATAAGTTAAAATTTGAAAGTCTCTTTTAATGTCAATAAAGGTCTTTGATATAATCAAAATTTCGCGAGTAGAATTCTGGATGATAGCTCATTATTCTAACTTGAACATCTAATTTGTTTTGCTGTTGTTGTTGTTATTCTGTTTGTAAAGCTTTAAAATTCAATTAAGATTGGGTAGTAATAGAATAGACATATAGTAACTGGGGCAAGGAACTGATCATCTGAATCCTGCCAATGAGTAACAAAGTCTATCTAAATGGTGCCAAGAAAAATATATCCTCAGCTGTCAAATAAATAAAGGAACATTTTGATACCAGCTGATGTTCTAACTTTTATCCTCAGAATAAATCTCTAATGAGCGATGTTGGATTCTAATGAAAACCTTTGTTTCATTTAACTTCCACTCCCACTCCACACTTACACCAAAATTGCTCTCAAGACGATCACTATCACGGCTTCCTGCCTTTGGGACACTCTATTCTGATTCTTTCCTTGCTATGCACATACATGCTACATTCCATATTTCCCAGTCATTTCTGCTGAGTCCTCCTTCTCTATTAAGTTTCTAACATTTAAATTTCCCACCTTTGGATGGGGTATACCCAGGATATTTTTTCAATTAAATTAATGTTTGCTTTCTACATAATTCCTTCATCCAGTATGTGATGTTAAATATCACCTCTGAGCAAATGACTTCCACAATTGTGGCTATCCCTGGTGTCTCCCTGGTATCCAACCTCATAATCAAGTTTTATCCAAGGAGGCAACTTCAACTCAACATGTCAGAAAAAAACCTCTTCATATTTTCATCTTCTATGCTGTTCTCTACCATCTCTGTTCTTCTCTGACTCTTTACACAACACCTGATCTAGCTGGAGGCTTAAGCACAAACATAGGAGTCATTCTCATTTATTCCTTTTTCTTACCTCTTGGTGACAATCATACTGCAAAGTCCTCTAATTTTACCTTCAAAATACATCTCTTACCTATTTATCTCTGCTGATGCCATGCTAGTTCAAGTCACTTCTCTTCTGGACACCTGCAGCTGCTTCATAACTCCTCCACTTATTTGCTGTCAGGGTCCTGGTAAGAAACAGATGGTACATCACGAGACGAGGGCGTCATTGAAGAATGAACAAGGGATGAGAAAACAGCATCTGGGCTAGCCCAAGGCCATATGGAGCAAGGAAAGGAAGTAGTTACCGAAATCTGGCATGAGCAGTGACTATAGGAAGTCTCCCCAACCTGGGCCACTGACGGCCTTAGGTATGGGAGCATGAGGAATGTCAAGCCTCAGCTCAGCAGATATGTTCTTGGGGGGACAAGTTTCCTCAATTTCTTTCTCCTTTCACTCTGTGAATTCTGCCATTGGCCAAATCCAATGGGAAGAGAGATGGCTAGGGTGTCTGATACTGTCTATAATGATCAGCCTTCCTGGATGGATAAAGGAGGAAAGTAGATTGGGAAGGCCAGGAATATCCAATATATTCTACCACAATCCTTTTCCTATACATTTAAAAATGCAACTTAAAAAAATACCATTCAGACCTTGTGAATCAAATACTTAAAACACCTGTTGCAATTAGAATGAAATTAAAAATTTTACCATGCCACCTTGTGTTTCTCTTTCCATTTAAACCTGTTCCTTCTCCCTCTCTTTTCACATGCTCGTGAACACACACACACACACACACACACACACACACACACACACTGCATTCCAGCTTCACTGGCCCAGAATGCAGATCTGTGCTGACTAAAAGTCCTTACACTTACACTTCCTCATGATCAGGATGCTCTTTCCTCCTCTCTAGCAAACCACAAAAAAATAAGTCAACATCTAGAGCAATCAATAGCAATTGACATCTATGATGAATAACAAACAAGGCAAGGTGGAAAGGGGCAGAAGTACTTTATTATTTTATATACCGTAGTCAGTGAAGAAGTCTCTAATAAACTGATGTGTGAGTAGAGACCTAAAAAGGGAGAGAGGGAGACATTCAGGAACACTCAGTGAATAGCATTCAAGGCAGAACAAATATAAAATTTGTGATATGAGAGTAAGTTTGTCATGTTTGAAAAATAAACTATAGAATGAATGGCTCAGTGGTGGGAGGGACAGCCATAAAAGACACATCAGAGAGGTGGCCAAGGCAAGATCACACAGGGCTTTAAAGGCCATTGAAATCATGTTGGCTTTTATTGTGAATGAAATGGGAAGTTATTGGAAGGTTTTTAGTGGGAGAATTATAGGACCTACCTTAAATTTTATGCAGATCACTGTCATAGCTGTGTTGAGAATAGGCAACAGGAAGACAGAGATGGTGGCTAGGTGACTGGATAGATGCCCACTGCTGTACCCAGGCTGGTGAAGACGCTAGCTCAGACAAGAGAGGTCACAAGAAGCACTTGAATTTTAAGTATTTTGAAAGAAGAGCATGCAGGATTTCCTGACGATTGGCTATGGAATTTGAAAAAAAAATGTCAAAAATGGCTCCAATGTTTCAGCACCAGATTGCAAATCCTAACATTGCTTTAGTACTTGGTTATATGCTCTTTTATAGATTTCAAATTGTTTTATGTGAACAGATATTTATCTCTAATGACATAGCCAGCATCCTGAAAGAGAGGACTCGATGGGGTTAGCCTCAATTGCCTAACACATTGTGTGGCACTTTGTAGACACTCTGTAATTACTTGCTAAATGGATGAATGTGTTTTTCTGTTTGTTTGTTTCTTTGTTTTTTTGGGGTTTATTGAGACAGTCTCACTTCATCACCCAGATTGAAGTGCAGTGGCATGATCTCAGCTCACGGCAACCTCTGCCTCCTGGGTTCAAGTGATTCTCCTGCCTCAGTCTCCCAAGTAGCTGGGATTACAGGTGCGTGCCATTGCCTGGTTAATTTTTGTATTTCTTAAGTGGAGATTGGGTGTCACCATGTTGGTCAGGCTGGTCTTGAACTCCTGACCTCAGATGATCCACCCACCTTGGCCTCCCAAAGTGCTGGGATTTCAGGTGTGAACCACTGTGCCTGGCCAGATTGCTTTTTCTTTTTGATGTCAACCTTGATGATGTACTAGTCCTGACATACTATTCAGGCTCTTAGATTGTGAAGTAACAAAAAACAAACATAACTTTTCAGGTAGTATCCAGAGAAGATATTATAATTAGCAGCTCTTTCAGGCTAAGAGAATTTTACAGTAGTAGAAACAGAAGGCTCTAAAAGTGAGTATGACTTTCATTTCTCCTAAAGTATCCAACAAGTACCAGGCTCAAATAAGTTACTGAATTGTTATTTGCTTGTATTTAAATGAAGTAGTTAGTATTAAGAACTTTAAAAATGTTTTTGACATATATTCCAGTGAGTTTATTTAAAATATTTTTTCAGCTTCTTTCTGGATCTCTACTTGTGAATCATACTTGATATTGACGTGGTTAAGGTACAACTGATACATATGTCACTCTGATCTGGTTAACAAAAAAATTGGCATTGTAGGAGAATATAACAGTAGATCAGAAAAAAAAAAGTATTCATAAAAAAAGTCTGGATAGTCTTTGGGGAACAAATGATTCAAATATTTTTAATCTAAGCAGGTTCTTATAACCTGTAGTGAAACACATGTATGTATCCAAAATTATTTTGAAAGATTTCTATGCCTACTTTGAGTTATTAAAAAAATCTACTTTCTACCTGAGGTTATTGAGTGAAGACAACTTGTTAATTGTTGACAGATTTTGTCCCATCTTTTAAAAAACCAGGCTTAAAAAAACTAGCTTTAAAAGCTACATATATAGTTATATACCTATGTATGTGTATATGTGTGTGTATGATTTTAAAGCTTCATAGTTATATACGTATACATAAAACATACACATTTATATATTTATATATAAAGAAGGAATATTGTGTTAATGGTTTTATTTTTTACATAATTCATACTTCAGAAATTATGCAGTTGACATTTAATTTTAGTTATAATTGAGCTGTTTAGACAAACAAAAAACCCTGTTGTGTAAATGAGCTTGAATTTAGTTATGTTGAATAGAAATTAATGATTCATAATACTTTTTTGTTACTCAAAATAACCTCAAGAATTTCAGTATAATAATCACAAGATCCTTGTTATCGAAATTACATATGGAATCATTAGTTATATTGACAATAAATGGTAAATAATTTCAATCTTCTTCTTATTATTTTATGACCAATTTTTTTCTGATAATATAATTACAACTAACTTTTGAATTTTTCAGTACACAATAACATATTTATCCTTTTTAAAAATTTATTTATTGGCCAGGCACAGTGGCTCCCACCTGTAATTCCAGCACTTTGGGAGACAGAGTGGGGCAGATTGCTTTGAGCTCAAGAGTTCGAGACTAGCCTGGGCAACGTGGTGAAATGTCATCTCTACTAAAAATACCAAAATGAGTTGGGCATGGTGTGTCACATGCCTGTAGTCCTAGTTACTTGGAAGGCTGAAGTGGGAGAATTGCTTGAGCCTGGGAGGTAGAGGTTGCAGTGACCTGAGATTGGGCCACTACACTCTAGCCTGGGTAACAGAGATCCTGTCTCAAAAATAGCAAAAAATTAAAAATAAAATTGCATTTCTTTTCATCATGCAACTGATTGTTTTCAGTGTTATAGAAGTATGAGGGAAATGTATTTAGTTCGATTCACTGTTTACTATTGATTAAAATCCTGAGATTTAGTGAAGTTACATATTAACTTTGATTTTTATCCTATAGAGATCAGATTATTTCTGTCTGGTAGAATAAATAATTTCAAAGCTTCTAGTTTATTGCCTTTTGAAATTCATCTAGTTTTTAGATCAGCAATTTTATCTTAATATTGCCTATCAATATTGAGCATCTCAAATGCTTTGGGGACCAGTTGTGTGTGTGTGTTTGTGCACGTGTATGAGTGTTAACAACAAAAATTTATTTGAAGGCAGGCAGTAGGTTAGATTTGGCCACAGGCTGTAGTTTGCCAATCCCTGCGGAATAGCTTTCCATTGGAGCACAAGATTTTTATCAACCATCTGAAAAATAGCTCCCGTTGTCCAGGTTTTCTCCCCTGCTACCAGGCAGTTAGGGTAGTTTGGCTTTCTCCTAGACATAGGAGCTCAGAACTCAGTCTCTTCAGGGGAAAGACATAGTGACCGGGGTCCCCATGACTTTTAGACTCCACATCACCAAAGCACTTTGGGACTGATGTCTGTATCTGCTCTTCTCTCCCCATCTCAGCCATACTGAAGGCAGGGGCATTGTCCAGCTGTTTGGAAATATCTTTAAGTCAGTTTTAACATATTACTACTACTTTATTAAATGAACTGAATAAAATATTTGACATGTTTTTAATTTGCCTAGGACTCATGATCTTACATATATAAACTTATTCTGTAACAGCATAAAGAAAATCAAACTTTTAATATAAAGAATCTGTAAAATGCATAATCTCATATAAAATACACTCCTAACACAATAGCCACTCTTTTCATTTTGACTTTTTTTTCTCTATTGGGTTGAATAGTATCCTCCCAACATTCATGCTTACCTGGGACTTCAGATAATGACCTTTTTGGAAATAGTATCTTTGCAGATATTAATATATCTTATACATAATATATAAATTATATGTATAATATCAGATATAGTTAAGGATTGTGAGATGAAATCATCTTGGATTTAGAGGGGACTGTAAATGTATTCAGTGCTTTACTTATAAAAAGAGGAGAAAACGTAGAGACACAGGGAAGAAGCCCATGTGTACTTGAAAGATTAAAGTTGTGACACCATAAAACAATGAAAGCAAGGAGCCATCAGATGCTTCAAGAGGCAAGAATGGATCCTCCCCTCACACCTTCCGAGAGAGCATGGTGCTGCTGAAAGCTTGATTTTGGACTTCTGGCCTTTGGAACTGTGAGAAAATAAATGTCTATTGTTTTCAACTGCTTAGTTTGTGGTAATTTGTTATGGTAGCTTAAGGAAACTATACACTATCATTTTGTCTTTTTATTTTCTATGATTCTCTTTATTGTCACAGTAAAACCTGGGGGCTTTCTAAATCTGTGAAATAATCCCATGTATTTTAAGACAGTCAACTTTTACATTTAAAATTGACCTCTACCCATTCTCTTCAAATAAGATTTTATGATGTCAAGCTTATAATTGTAAATTCAGACCTAATTATACAATTTTCTTTTTTATTAAAAAATTAGTTTTCATAATAGAGAATCCAAAAATAAAGCCATATACCTACAACCATCTGATAAGTTGACAAAAATAAGCGATGCAGAAAGGACTCTCTATTCAGAAAATGATGCTGGGATAGCTGGCTAGCCATATGCAGAAGAGTGAAACTTGACCCCTATCTTTCATCATATACAAAAATTAAGATGAATTAAAGATGTAAATGTAAGACCTTAAGCAACAAGAATCGTAAAAGAAAACTTAGAAAACACCTTGGGAAAGAATTGATGACTGTCTTCAAAAGCAATTGTGACAAAAAAATTGACAAGTGAGACCTAATTGAAGAGTTTCTGCACAGCAAAATAAACTATCAAGAGAGTAAACAGACAACCTACAGAATGGGAGAAAATATTCTCAAAACATACATCTGAAAAAGGCCTAATATCCAGAATATATAAAGAATAAACAATTAAGCAAGAAACAACTAACCCCATTAAAAATGGGCAAAAAAACATGAACAGACACTTCTCCAAAGAAAACATACACATGGCCAACAAACATGAAAAGAATGCTTCACGTTACTATTCATCAGAGAAATGTAAATCAAAACCACAATAAAAGAACATCTCATGCCTGTCAGAATGGCTAATGTTAAAAAGTCAAACATATGCTGGCAAGGCTTCAGAGAAAAGGGATTGCTCATACACTGTTGGTGGGAACATAAATTAGTTCAGCCACTGTGGAAAGCAGTCTGGAGACTTCTCGATCTGAAAACCAAACTACCATTTAACTAGCAATCCCATTATTGGGTATATATCTAAAAGAAAACAAATCTTTCTATCAAAAAGACACTTGCAATCACATGTTTATCACAGCACTATTCACAATAGCCAAGACATGGAATCGACCTAGGTGCCCATTTTAATGGTGGATTGGATAAAGAAAATGAGGTACATATACACCATGGAATACAGCCATCAAAAAGAAAATCATTTCCTTTGCAGCAACGTGGATGTAGGTAGAGGCCATTATCCTAAGCAAATTAAGGTGGGAACAGAAAACCAAATACCACATGTTCTCACTTAAGAGTAGGAGCTAAACATTGGGTAACTGTGGACATGCAGATTGCAACAATAGACACCAGGTACTACTAGAAGAGAGAGGAAGAGGAGGGCAAGGGTTGAAAAACTATTAAGTACTAGGCACAGTACCTGGGTAACAGGATCATTGATACCCCAAACCTCAGCATCATGCAATATACCCAGGTAACAAACCTGCAGTTACCCCCTCAATCTAAAATAAAAGTTAAAAAGTAAATAAAAAATTAGACCTTTTCCAGTAGTAGTGAAAATAGTTTTCTTTAATATCATTTCCATTATCTGTAAACTAGTCTCTCTTATAAAAAATACTTCAATTTCTTTAACTCTTTTCTTATTTTTGGAAATTTGCATTTTATTTGCTATTATAAGTGTTGTCATGTACATCAACTTTTGCTTGCCTATTTTCTTAAACGGATATTCAAAGAAATGGAAAATAGTCAAATGTATGAGCATTTTTAAGTCTCTTAATTCACGTTGAAAAATGCTGTTTCCTCATACACACCCAAGAGCATTCAGTATTAACATTTTAAATGCCAATTTATTTTGTGAAAAATAAAATTGTATTACTTAAATATGCATTTTCTAATTACCAGTAAATTTTAATTTTAAAACATTTATTAGTGATATAATTATTTTTAAAGTTTATCTGCTTCTTGCCCATTTATGATTTGGAGTCTGTATTAGTTTGCTAGGGCTGTCTAACAAACCATTACAGACTGGATAGCCTAAACCGGAGAACTTTGTTGTTTCACAGTTCTGAAGGCTTCAGGTCTAAGATCAAGTTGTAAGCAGGTTTGGTTCCTTCCCAGGGCCGTGAAAGAAAGATCTGTTCCACACCTCTCTCTCCTAGTTTTCAGAGATTTGCTGGCAATCTTTGGTGTTCCTTGGCTTGAAGATACATCACCACCTCCACTCCTCCATCTGTGCCTACGTGTTCACATGGAGTCTTCCTTGTGTACATGTTTGTATCTAACTTTCCCTTTTTTTCATAAATGCTCCTGTAACATTGGATTAGGGCATACCCTAATGATCTAATTTTAATTTATTTACTCTGTAAAGATTGTTTTCAAACAAGGTCACATTCTCAGTTAATAGGGGTTAGGGCTTCAACATATCTTTTTGTTGGGGGGGCCATGGGAGTGATGATTAAACCCAGAATGGAGTCTGAGTGTTTTACTTTCCTTTTTAAAATGTTAAAGACATTATAACTTTGTAATATTTTTGCAAATGTATTTTTGCAAAATATCTTTGTAATATTTTTGCAAATACATTGTCCAGGATTGTTACTTGAATTTTGTAATTTAAAATTGTTTTTTAATTTTTATTATTGCCTCTGCTATCTTGTTTGTATGTATTTTACTCAAAGAATTCTTATTTTTGTGTGGTCAAATTCATTTATGTTTTCTTGCTTTATCAATTGATCGTTAAGTGGAAAGTTTTATCCTACAGAGATTTAAAAATTAATTCGTTTTCCCCTCTCTGTTAATAAAAGTATAAGATTTTTTTACATTTTTTTCTGTTTTTTTTTTTTAATAATTTAAGTTCTAGGGTACATGTGCTCAATGTGCAGGTTTGTTACATAGGTATACATGTGCCATGTTGGTTTGCGGCACCCATTAACTCGTCATTTACATTAGGTATTTCTCCTAATGCTATCCATCCCCCTGCCGCCCACCCCACGACAGGCCCTGGGATGTGATGTTCCCCACCCTGTGTCCAAGTGTTCTCATTGTTCAATTCCCACCTATAAGTGAGAACATGTGGTATTTGGTTTTCTGTCCTTGTGATAGTTTGCTCAGAAAGAAACTATCCTGCATGCATCCCTGTCCAGCTGCATCCATGTCCCTGCAAAGGACATGAACTCATCCTTTTTTATGGCTGTATAGTATTCCATGGTGTATATGTGCCACATTTTCTTAATCCAGACTATCATTGACAGACATTTGGGTTGGTTCCAAGTTTTTGCTATTATGAATAGTGCCACAATAAACATACGTGTGCATGTGTCTTTATAGTAGCATGATTTATAGTCCTTTGGGTATATGCCCAGTAATGAGATCACTAGGTCAAATGATATTTCTAGTTCTAGATCCTTGAGGAATCGCCACACTGTCTTCCACAATGGTTGAACTAGTTTACACTCCCACCAAAAGTGTAAAAGTGTTTCTATTTTTCCACATCCTCTCCAGCATCTGTTGTTTCTTGACTTTTTAATGATTGCCATTCTAACTGGTGTGAGATGGTAGCTCATTGTAGTTTTGATTTGCATTTCTCTGATGACCAGTGATGAGCGTTTTTTCATGTGTCTGTTGCCTGCATAAATGTCTTCTTTTGAGAAGTGTCTGTTCATGTCCTTCGCCCACTTTTTTTTTTTTTTTTGAGATGGAGTCTCGCTCTGTTGCCCAGGCTGGAGTGCAGTGGCATGATCTAGGCTCACTGCAAGCTCAGCCTCCTGGGTTCATGCCATTCTCCTGCCTCAGCCTCCCGAGTAACTGGGACTACAGGTGCCTGCCACTGCACCCGGCTAATTTTTTGTATCTTTAGTAGAGACGGGGTTTCACCGTGTTAGCCAGGATGGTCTCGATCTCCTGACCTCGTGATCCACCTGCCTTGGCCTCTCAAAGTGTTGGGATTACAGGTGTGAGCCACCGTGCCCAGCCCCACTTTTTGATGGGGTTTTTGTTTTTTTTTCTTCTTGTAAATTTAAGTTCTTTGTAGATTCTAGATATTAGCCCTTTGTCAGATGGGTAGATTGCAAAAATTTTCTCCCATTCTGTAGGTTGCCTGTTCACTCTGATGGTAGTTTCTTTTGCTGTGCAGAAGCTCTTTAGTTTAATTAAATTCCATTTGTCTATTTTGGCTTTTGTTGCCATTGTTTTTGGTGTTTTAGTCATAAAGTCCTTGCCCATGCCTATGTCCTGAATGGTATTGCCTAGGTTTTCTTCTAGGGTTTTTACGGTTTTAGGTCTAATATTTAAGTCTTTAATCCATCTTGAATTGATTTTTGCATAAGGTGTAAGGAAGGGATCCAGTTTCAGCTTTCTACATATGGCTAGCCAGTTTTCCCAGCACCATTTATTAAATAGGGAATCATTTCCCCATTTCTTGTTTCTGTCAGGTTTGTCAAAGATCAGATGGTTGTAAATGTGTGGTGTTATTTCTGAGACCTCTGTTCTGTTCCATTGGTCTATATCTCTGTTTTGGTACCAGTACCATGCTGTTTTGGTTACTGTAGCCTTGTAGTATAGTTTGAAGTCAGGTAGGGTGATGCCTCCAGCTTTGTTCTTTTGGCTTAGGATTGACTTGGCAATGCATGCTCTTTTTTGGTTTCATATGAACATTAAAGTAGTTTTTTTGCAATTCTGTGAAGAAAGTCATTGGTAGCTCGAATGGGGATGGCATTGAATCTATAAATTACCTTGGGCAGTATGGCCATTTTCACAATATTGCTTCTTCCTACCCATGAGCATGGAATGTTCTTCCATTTGTTTGTGTCCTCTTTTATTTCATTAAGCAGTGGTTTGTAGTTCTCCTTGAAAAGGTCCTTCACATCCCTTGTAAGTTGGATTCCTAGGTATTTTATTCTCTTTGTAGCAATTGTGAATGGGAGTTCACTCATGATTTGGCTCTCTGTTAGAATCCCACATAATAATAATGGGAGACTTTAACATCCCACTGTCAGTATTAGACAGATCAATGAGACAGAAGGTTAACAAGGATACCCAGGACTTGAACACAGCTCTGCACCAAGCAGACTTAACAGACATCTACAGAACTGTCTACCCCAAGTCAACAGAATATACATTCTTCTCAGCACCACATCACATCAAAATTGACCACATAGTTGGAAGTAAAGCACTCCTCAGCAAATGTAAAAGAAAAGAAATCACAACAAACTGTCTCTCAGACCACACTGCAATCAAATTAGAACTCAGGATTAAGAAACTCACTCAAAACTTCATAACTACATAGAAACTGAACAATTTGCTCCTGAATGACTACTGGGTAAATAACGAAATGAAGGCAGAAATAAAGATGTTATTTGAAACCAACGAGAACAAAGACACAACATACCCGAATCTCTGGGACACATTTAAAGAGGTGTGTAGAGGGAAATTTATAGCACTAAATGCCCACAAGAGAAAGCAGGAAAGATCTAAAATCGGCACCCTAACATCACAATTAAAAGAACTAGAGAAGGAAGAGCAAACACATTCAAAAGCTAGCAGAAAGGCAAGAAATAACTAAGATCAGAGCAGAACTGAAGGAGATAGAGACACAAAAAAACCCTTCAAAAAAATCAGTGAATCCAGGAGCTGGTTTTTTTAAAAGATCAACAAAATGATAGACTGCTAGCAAGACTAATAGAAAAGAGAGAAGACTCAATAGACTCAATAAAAAATGATAAAGAAGATATAACCATCGATCCCACAGAAGTACAAACTACCATCAGAGTACTGTAAACACCTCTGTGCAAATAAACTAGAAAATCTAGAAGAAATGGATGAATTCCTGGATAGCTACAACCTTCCAAGACTAAACCAGGAAAAAGTCTAATCTCTGAATAGACCAATAACAGGCTCTGAAATTGAGGCAATAATTAATAGCCTACCAACCAAAAAAAGTCCAGGACCAGACAGATTCACAGCCGAATTCTAGCAGAGGTACAAAGAGGAGCTGGTACCATTCCTTTTGAAACTATTCCAATCAATAGAAAAAGAGGGAATCCCCCCTAACTCATTTTATGAGGCCAGCATCATCCTGATACCAAAGCCTGGCAGAGACACAACAAAAAAAGAGAATTTCAGACCAATATCCCTGATGAACATCAATGCAAAAATCCTCAATAAAATACTGGCAAACAGAATCCAGCAGTACATCAAAAAGCTTATCCACCACAATCAAGTCAGCATCATCCCTGGGATGCAAGGCTGGTTCAACATATGCAAATCAATAAACATAATCCATCACATAAACAGAACCAATGACAAAAACCACCTGATTATCTCAATACATGCAGGAAAGGCCTTCGACAAAATTAAACAGCCCTTCATGCTCAAAACTCTCAATAAACTAAGTATTGATGGAACGTATTTCAAAATAATAAGAGCTATTTATGACAAACCTACAGCCAATATCATACTGAATGGGCAAAAACTGGAAGCATTCCCTTTGAAAACTGGCACAAGACAGGGATGCCCTCTCTCACCACTCCTATTCAACATAGTGTTGGAAATTCTGGCCAGGGCAATCAGGCAAGAGAAAGAAATAAAGGGTATTCATTTAGGAAAAGAGGAAGTCAAATTGTTCCTGTTTGGAGATGACATGATTGTATATTTAGAAAACCCCATAGTCTTAGCCCAAAATCTCCTTAAGCTGATAAGCAACTTCAGCAAAGTCTCAGGATACAAAATCAATGTGCAAAAATCACAAGCATTCGTATACACCAATAACAGATTTTTTTTACAGTTAATTTTGCCTATCAGTTAATCTGAAACTTATTTGGGATCCTTTTCAAAGATAATTTTCCTAGGCATATTTTCATGTGTTATACTTGAACAAAATCTTAATGCTCTAAATTTAATATTTTTGCTTCACTCAGTATCAAATACAAGGTTCTTTTCATTATCCTAAATCATAACTCTTTATGTTTCAGCTGATTATATTATATGATGTCTAATAGGGAAGTTCTGTATCTGTCACCATTTAGGTGTGTGACTTTCAGTAAGACATTTACCTTCTCAGGATTTTGGTTCCATCATTTGTAAAATAAGAAAAATAAACAGTATTTCCACTGATATCTCTCAAGACCTAAAATTTTATGATTTTACCTAATGAGTGTCTTGTAAAATAGAAAGGGTGCATTCAAGTATAGCCAAACACAGAAATAGGATATTAAATATTATGAAGGGTGATAGACTGAGAGTCATAAGATAGGTTGTCTAATTTCAGCTGTTTTGGTGTACATTTTCAGGAAAGATATTTATTCCTTTTAGAGCCTCCATTTCTTCCAATTTAAAGTAAATGGAATTATTTAAAATATGGTAATCTAAGCAGGTTAGAAATGTCTTTGGAAATGTGGAAAAAATAACTTCATAGCATTGAGTGCTTCAGTGATCATTATGGAATGTTTGATGGATAAATGAAACAGATGAACAATAGATGGGAAAACATCTTTCGACACTTTAAGGATTGAGTTCATATTTCAGCAAAGAGCATTGCCAATTTGATTGTACTTTCTCTAGGTTTTCATATTTACTGTAAATATGTTTCTTCAGCCTTGTGACAAATTGGCCAAATATAAAAAAGAATAAATGAAATCTAGTGGTCAGATTATTTCATGTCTGTCAGAAAAGCTATTACCAATTTTGAAATTAAAAATTCATAATGCGTAGGTTTCTTCCAGTTACTCAAGGGAAAAGATATAAATACAAATCAGATAAATTATCCAAATGGATGTTCATTCTATTTTTTTGCCTTGTCACCATTAAAAACAACCTTAAACTTCTTATGTGCTCCTCATTAAAATCCTAACCTTGAGTAGTACCTTCTGTGTGGTTCCAAGGGGAGAATCTCAGTGTCATTGCTCTATCAGTGATGTCAGGCAAGTCACCTCCTGTGGTGGAGCTGACTCTTCCCCCTCTTTTTCTCTCATCAAAGGGGTAGTTCAGTTAAAAGCCCTTAAAATAGAGTAAATATGATCAAGTGGAAGAAAGTTTGGTGCTTATGCTGTATTAGAGTTTCTTCTTTCTCACTTTCTTTTTCCTAGCTCTGAGATTTTATTTCCAAAATTATTTTTCTTATTTTCATCTACCCATGTGAAGTAATGGGAAGAAGACTGGAAAAACCATGTAATGCCTGTGTTTTTTTATTCCTTTGTTTTACCTTGTACATGACCTTTTCCTTAATCAGCATGAGACCCATTGTTTTGTATGGTTAGTGGATTGGGGATAGAAACTAGAATTTATTGCCGGAAAAATGCAAAAAGAAAGACATAATTCATTTTTAGTTTCAGACACCCAAAATAGGATTTTCAAAACTCCAAGAAAATTGGCTTGGATTCCATGATTGTATGAATACAACTTCTCATCTGTTATATCAATAAATAGACTTGAGACAGAATTTTATGTAAGGAAGGTTGTGGTCAAAGAGAAAATAAAATCATGGCTTCAATGGATTGAGAAAATAGAAAAACTGGTTAAATGTTGGGATTATCACTATTTGGGCTAAATTATAGGATAATGGTTTCTAAAAACTTATAGATTGTTAAGAGTGAGTTGAAAAGCACAGTTCTCTGCATTTTCTATGGAAAGCCACAACCTCCAGGCAAAGCCCTGGCTGGGAGTCCTTCCCATCTCTGCAGGAACGTAGTGGTATTAGAGGAAGGCAGCTCTGCAAGAGACTCTGGAGCACTGCTCCTTCTTCCCCAGGGTTAGTGTGTGGTGCAGATCCCAAAGCACTGCAAACCCCACTGATAAATGTAGAGGAGTGCAGAGACGGCTGGTGGGGAAGCAGAGACCTGAGGTTGCAGCAAAGGGAGAAAAACAGCCACAGTATTTAGAAACAAATACTCTTGCATTAGGGCAAGTTTCTCCCAAAGGCCAGCTGGGGCCATTCACACCAATGCACCCCCAGGAGCTCTGTCACAGAGCATCCTGAAAACACCACAGACAGTTGAGGCCTCCACCCCAACTAGAGCTGCAAATTCACATTAGCCAAATCCAGGATGAATTTAGCTTTTGTGTTGCCTGAAACTTAAAGATTTTTGGAGTATTTTTAGAAAAATAAGAACATTAGGGGTAAAAAATCAGGAATGAAAATGAACACATTCTGAATGAAAAAACTGATTTACAAAAAAATTAAGTTTCAAAAGTTGTCAAAAGTCTTTAGAAAATAGAGGGGGAATGGATATAACTAATTATTATAATTAGCTGCCTGATTCAACCCTATATTATATTTTCTCTCTACATTATTGGATGCTTACATTTTAATTGCCTCATCATGATTTTGGAATACCCCTCTACAGAGAGAATACAAAAGAAAGTGTCTTTCCTCTGGCAAGGTTAATAGAAATTTTTTATGAAATTATCAATTTAAAATTCTTAAACTGTCAGTTTAGGAAAAGTTTCTTTCAGCTTCACAACTTATAATTAGTAATGTCATGTGCATTTTTACCATTGCTGTCAAGTTTGGAAAGCCCTCTGAAGCTTCTGTCCTATGTGAGCTTTAAAATTTCAGGACATTTCAAGTTTCCTTAAATACTCTTTACACTGACTACATTATTCCTAGAAGCCTTTCAAGATTGCCAGCAATAATTTAACTTACACAGCAGTGACTGCAAACTACAAAAATATTACTCCAAACTTACACTGCATATATTCTCAGCTAAATATCCCCATAGGCTAATTGCAGAATTTCCCATGGCCACTCCAGTGCTACTAAACAAAAGGGAGACTATGACAGAGAGGAAATCAGAGTGGAAATGGACAGTCATTTTCATTGGTTGAAGTTAATATATATTAATTTTGCAAATTTTATAAAGCTGTTTCAGCTTGTGAATAGATTCCAGATCCCTGGAAGAGATTCCAGAGTCCCTGCAAAGAGAGATTTCGAGGCTTAAACTTATGTGATTTTCCCAGTCACTCCAGGTCTGTCTTGGAGAGGAGCCCCCAAATTTGGAGAGGAGCAAAAGAACAGGGCATTCTGAGAGATCTGAATTATCTAAAAGAGAAACGTTTAAAATACTTCCAATTTATTCTAGTGGACCAGTGTTACATTGGAATGAATGTGTTCTTTGCTACTTGTTTCCACCACTCTCTCCCTCCTAGCTGCCCCAGAGGTAGAGGATTGGGTGAACATCATATCTGTACATTGAAAATAAACAGCTGTGTTTTCTTTGTGCTTCTGAATATAATATGAATAAATGTGGGACTCTATTACACATATTTTGCAAGTTAATATTTACTTTTAATGTGATCACAATATTTAGTTGTATTCACACTTTTTGGAATTTTCTGATTTCCTTTTTGTATTTGTTACTATGAGACCTGTAGCATAAAGGCTTTAAATTGCTATATCAAAATTGCTTGATATAATTCTAATGTGAATGTCAAAGGTTGGTGCCCAATAACACATCAGGAGTGTGATGAGAACTGGATTCCAGGTGCAAAATTCTAATAGTTCATTGTCCTTTGCAACTACTCCATCTTCTTTCCTCCCCAGACTCATGAGCAGATCGAGGTAAATTCATGATGTAGACCAAGTTGTTTCTCCAACTTCTCTTTTTGCTACCCTGAACTTATCTGTGTTGTAGACTTGACAGCTAAGTTAGACTCCAAAATATACAGATGAACTAGTAAAATCACATTGATTAATCCTAGTAAGTTTTCAAGTTGGGTTGCTGACTTAGCATATTCCCTTCATTATGAACATATAAGGAGGACAGGAGGAGAGGTCAATAGCACTATAGGGATGGATTTAATTAATAAGTGTTGAGTATCACATATATGTTCTTATTTACTGAGCACCTACTTTCCCCAGTGATAACAGAGCAGAAAATAAAACTGTAAAACATGTAGTTTTGTTTGGGAAGGGTGTGATGTTCAGGCAAGGCCTTCTAGAGCAGGCATTATCTAGGTTGAGATTTGAAGTGGAGGAATTAGGTAGTAGGATAATAGGTGATTCAAGGCAAATGGAATAGCATTTCAAAAGTGTGGGGGTGGGAACATTCACATTTTCAGTTGAGAAAGAAAACCTGAGCTGCAAGGTGGACATTAGATTGAAGGGGGTGATTGCAAAACAATTGGAAATGGACTTTTTTTTACTGAGGAAGGTGTCCTTAGTGGTTGGTGGAAAGGGTTAGTCCTTCTCACTCCGTAGAGACTTGAATACTTGATTAAATAAGGAGAGAGCAGAGTAACAGTTATATCTTGCCACTTGATTACCATAATTCTCCTCTAAACTCGAAATCTACTATTTGTATACATTCAGAGTGAAAAAAAAATGGTTAGGTTTTGTTCATAAACTCTAATTTCCCTTGACCTTGGTGATTTACATAGTTTCTATAGCATTTAAACAGGTTAATACTTTTCAGAAACTAACTTGGAAAAAAGCCTATCTTAGGTAGACACTTTCATATGTTATCTCACATAATCCTTACAAAAGGACGCTGAATCATCGTGGGTCTTTTCTAGATTAAAAAAAGAGGCTTAAAGATCTTGAGCTTGAGGTTAAACTAACACATAGAAGAAGAGAGAGAATCTCAACTCAGGTTATCCACATTAACCTGTCTAATAAAGAAAAATGTAAATTTTGGACAAAGTTTAATTTAGTTCAGTACCACAAAGCAAGCCCCTAATACTTTTTTAGTGTTTCAAATGCATGTGCTTATGAACTAAAGAGCATTCATAATAAATTTTTAGTTTAATAATTTTCAAAATGTTTACATTTTGACTGCACAATCTCAAATTCAAAAGAAATATTAACTAGGGAAAATGCATTATGTATACAAGGCTGCATCCCAAATTTCCAGTTATTTTGATGTGGTATGTACTGTGTCTTCAGAACAATCAATTAGACTCTTCCCTCCTGATGTGAATATCTGAATACAAATTAAAAATGAGAAGCATGTATACAACATCAGAATATAGATCAAAACCATTCCCCAGGTTAGTTTATAATGTTCCATTTAGGACATGATTTTAATCAGAGAAAAAATTACACGTACTCATGATAAAAATGACAAATACCTGCATCACTTAGGAAAAACATAATCTATAGATTAGGAGATATGTTGGAGATGGCTCAGATAAATGATATAGTGTAATATTTAAAGGCACATATTAAGGAATCTCATATAATGTATGCTATTGTAATCCACTTCTTTGATCAATGGAGAAGTACATATTTCAAATAGAAATATAAGACTCAGCAGCCCACTGTACATAAAGCACCTGACCTCATGCCCGTCATGCAGTAGTCATAATAGTTAATTTCCTTCTTGTATAACAGATGGAGAAAGCATTTCAAAAATCATCTAAAACCAAAGCAACCACCAAATGTGTTTATAAAGCAGAAGTTATAGATAGAATTATATTATGATGGAGATTATAGAATTCTATTGTGATGGAGATTATTAAAGTTTAGACATATTTTATATTAACTTGATTTTATTAAAGACTGCTTGAAACAATATTAAACATATACATTTACTACCTTGTATATGTATATTGCTGCCTCTTATGTGTATTTGTTTTTACATGCCTCTGATTTGAAGGGTAGCTGAATTTAAAAGACTCTTTTTTTTTTAACTTTTGACTGTCTTTCAAGCCACTCAAAGATTTCAGTGAGTATTGATAGGCCCATCTGTTATATGATCCTGGGGAATTCATTTCCTCTGATTTTGTTTCTTCACCTGCACAGTGGTGGTATTATTACTTCCATGCTAATTAATTATGTGACACACTTAGCATGCTGACTAGTATAAAACAACCGTTCACTAAATGGCTGCCCTTAGTGCTTCAAATTGGTTCAGAAATAGTCTAGCGTGCATTTGAAATTTACCATATTCTTCTAAAACTATTGTTTTAACAATAAACTGCCGAGATTATGCCACCTATGTTGAATAAAACTAACCCTGACAGCCTAGCCACAATTGATTGGATCAGAATTAAAATTCATGATTCAAAGATAATCACCAGTATCTGCTCTGGAAAGAGGCCAATCCATGCTGATGTGGCCAAGATAAAACTCTGCCCATCATCTGTCTGCATAGTGAATGGTGACAAAATAATCATTTTTAGGATCTATACTAAGTAAAGAGAAGGCAAGTCACTTGATCTCATCCTGCATAGTTTGATGCATATTTCACTCATCCAAACTGAGACCCGAATGCAGGATGACAGCATAGAGACATAAGACATTTTGGGGCACTCTTATAACGATTGTCCTGTACCAAACCCTACTCTCTTCTCTACCTTACAGCTTTTTGCAACATATTGGTATGTGGTACTTACGTAGTTAGGTCTCAAAGAAGAGACTTCAGACATGAAATGAGATTGGGTGGAACAAAATGGGGAACATGAGATATTCCCATTAATAGTGGAAACACATAATTTAGGTTTTGGTAGTAAATAAAAAATAAGGCTATCACCTGATTATGCTGTTGTTTCAGGTGACATACCCAACAAAATCAAGGCTTTGGGCCACAGAGTAGACATATTAGAATGCTTTGGAGAGATTATAATGTGAAAGAATAACAGGATACACTAAAATTTTATGGTAACCCTATGTTACCTACATGAATACATTCTAATGATAGACAGCTAACAAAATCGAGGACCATTATCGTGTCAGATATGCCTACAGATTACCCAACAAACAACCTCTCCATTTTTACATTTTTAGGACATTTTTGGCCAAAGATTAAAATGTGAGATAACCATTTTGCCTGCTTTATCTGTGACTAGGTTATGGCCAGGCATCTTAACCCATTGTAGCTAAAGTCTGGTTTGGGATGTGAAGGGCTATCTGTTTGGGTTATGGGAAAGTTTCTTATCCACAATTATATAAATGCTTAATAACCCTTTCCTTAGAAGGAATGCTATATTGATTGTCATGATGCTTGAAACAGCAGTAACAATCTTCTGACTGTTAAGGGGCAAGCCTAAAGCTGTGCTGAGTATGATAGAAAAGGAAGATGGGAAGACATTTGTTCTTCAGTGATGCTGCTGAGCTCTTGGAGTAACACTGGGAGCTCCCTTACCCCAGACCTTGGTTGTATAAGGAAGCAAAGTCCCATTATGGAAGCTCATTTAGTTAAGTTTCAGACCTTTGTACTCAAAGGTATCCTAACTGGTACAACCATGTCACTCTGTGGAAGAAAACACTTTCAGCTTGAATTTAGTGCTGGCACTGCTGTACTCCAGGCAGTGCAATAGCATAGTGCATAGAGGGCCATGTACAGGTAAGTTGAATTCCCAGTTGCCTTAAATTTTCATGGCTAGGGCTCTGACTGGTAGAAATTTAGAATTTTGATCACTTAAGTATAAACTTTTAGAAGGCTTAAGTGAGCTTTATGGTTGAGATGTCTGACACATCAGGACATTTCTAATCATTTTTTTTTTACCACATAACCCCACCTACCACCCTATCTTCCTTTTTTTGCAGTTATAATTATCTTCCCAGTTATGAGACATATCCAGTAACTAGGGTGGAAGTTTGTCACTGACCTTAGAATCACTATGCAAAACCATACTCAGAAGGAGCAAAAATGTTTCCAGGATGAGTTGTATAAGCTGTCAGTATATTGACAGAAGCTAGAAGAGATGGAATGGACTTCGATTTTAAAGATGCTTTGACTAGGAGACAAGAGCACATATTTGGAGTAATTTGGAGTATGCTTCATTTGGGTTTTTCTTTTTTTTTAACTCATTGGAAATACACATTAAAGCACAATGGGCAGATCTGAAAAGTTTTAACAGGTTGCTGGTTTAAGCAATTATGTACAATTATACTAAGCCCTGGTTCATGACTACTGTGAAGAGCCAGAATTTGGCATAATTTGGGCAAAGAGATTCAATGGTTTGGGGAGAAAGGATTTATATAGTAGGTTTATTATTGAATCTAGCTGCTGGAGCCACGTTATGTTTCCTCCACAATGTTTCCAACCCGTTAGTGACTAGAAGGAGAGGCTTATAAAGGAAAGACTCTGAAGAGCTAAATGGGCCTCTTTTCCATTCTCCATGTGCAGGAAAGGCTATAATCACAACCTCTGTTGTTGATTATAGTGGAAATGGTCAGAGTCAGTAGACACAGGTAGTGACTATCAGCAAAAGCAAAAAGTGGAGATGGTAATCCAGTTTTGGGGAATGACAATGCTGGAGACATTTGGTTATGACTTACAAAGCATGAAAGAAAATTTAAAAGTATTCCTTAATATTCTATTTGATCTGTATGAGAGAAATTGCAATGACTGATAAAAGTGGGAGCTGTGATTCTCTCATACTAACAAGATATGACCTCAGCAGTGTAGACACACAGCCTTGGTTCAGGTTGCATGTGTGGCTCCATCTTCTACTTGTGGGATTTGGGGCCTCAGATTCTTCAGTTGTGAAAAGAAGATAAGAACACTACTCAAAACAGTTGTTGTGAGATTAGTGATAATGTGTAAAAAATACTCAGGAAATTTCTAGGAATAGTAAATATTAAGTTTTGTTATTATGATGTGGATACTTGGTCTCCTTGGTTACAATGAGACTAAAGATTGAAGGCCAGAAAATGAAGATCCCTTGATAAAGGCTACTATAATGGCTTTATACATACCTTGACTGTTTTACTTTGTCTTCTTCAAAAAGTCAAAAAATTATAAAAGAATATGATCATTCTATAGAGAATGTTTTAGAAGTTTTCAGACATTTACCACACTGGCCCACTGGAAGCTAACACTGTTAAGCAATAAAGAATTGAGACTTAGCTTATCTCACAATAGATGGGACAAGTGGTTCATATTTTATGCGGTCATCATATCCCAAATTTAGGAGTATATACTTAGAAAGGATATTTAGTAATTAAAAATAAGATCAAGCTGGTAATTCCCTAACTATGTAGTAAATGATAATGAATGGAGTTAGGATGTTGATTATCAGGAGGATGCCATTGGTGCTCCTCCTATCTGTGAAATTTTTAATCAAAATAATATTCCTTCTCCCTCAAAATTCTTAAGATTTTAATCACCAGTGAAGATTTTCCAGACATGGTGATTCTATAAGCTCTCTCTTATTTCTCAGGTTTGATCTGGGTAAAACATATTGAAAGTTCTGGAATATTGCCTCACTTTATCCAAAATTTAACGTAAGTTCTTTCTAGAGGTGTTTAGAGACCTTTTTATGGAAGCTGACTAAATACCACACCTGTATATGGCAGGGGCAGATTTCTCTCACGAATTAGTCATGAAGAATATGGACCACATCTTCACCCCAGGACATGATGCTTCTCCATGAATGCTTGGCTGTATGGAATAGAAGGTGGTAAGAATTCTAAATTTTTTAAAAAAAAGATTAATAGAAGTTAGAAATAAAGCCTATGGGAATATATACCCAAGCAAAATTCTTATCAGTCTAAAGATACAGCATAAATTTAATTCCCTCCAAAGTTAAGGACGGCTTTTAGTCCTTTTAAACTAGAAGGTAGAATAACATTTAATTGACCCCTTATTTTGGAGTTATCTTATTTTTCTTTGTAGAAATGCTTCACTGCTTAACAATTTATTTTGGCTGTTCTCCTGTACTTCACTGAACATACTTTATAGAACCACTGAAGAATTTTAAGTTGGTTCAGAATGAAGTATGAGCTGTCCTTCCATTTATTCCCCAAAGTATTGCTCATTTTCAGAGGCCTGAAGTCTTGAACAGAGCTTAATTCCCAAGTGGTAAAATCCCAAAGGACTTCCGGTTGTGTTCCCTAAAGTTTAGGCACAAAGTTAGACATCTTGCAGCAGAATGACACTTTCCTTCTGAGGATGAATATTTGACTTACCACAAGCCTCTAGAAAACAAATGCCTAGTCATGAGATACAAGTGATCCCAAGACATGGGCTGACCATGGTGATCCACCAAACCACAAGTTTGAATATGACTAGATGAAGTCCACCATTAAATGGAAGTGGTCTGTTTAGGATTGAGACTCTCGATACATTCAGTGAACAAATTCTCCCTACATATTCATTGCCTGTATAGGGATCATATTGCCATTCTTCTCTCAACTTATGTCTGTGGATTTGTAGAATATTCTTTCTATTCAACTTAAAGAGGATTGAAATCTTAAGGGATATTTCTAGGGAATTCTGCAAAGCATGCTAGCACTATACACAAATGTATTCCTCTAGCATTAGAGCACTCATAAGAATAATCCTGAAAGGTAATGGAGTAAGTAAATCTTTCCACTCAGCAGAACTTCAAGGAGGACATTTTGTAGTTTGCTGTGCCTGAAAGGAAGCCTAGATTGAGACCCACATTTACTTTGATTTGGAGACAGTGGCAGACAGTTAGCTAACTTGTCAAAGGCTTAGAAGTATAGTTGGAGGGTTTGTGTAGGGTTTTAGATAAGAACAATATGGATTATGCTTTTAAGAGAAAACCCAGAGACTAGTCATTTCAATGGAACATTGTTAACATTTGAAATGATCAGATGACCCACATTTGGCAGTACTTTTTTTCCTCAGCTAGCTCATTTCCTTGCAGTGAACTCAATAAATAGTGATGAAGATGAACAGGGACTATGATTGTGTCTAATTACTTGTTCTCTTATTACTATGGTAATTCTGTCTACAGCCAAATTGGAGGGCAAAATTTATTAAAGACAGCTTTGAATTGTTGATAGAGTACCATACTTTATTGAAAAATAGCTGCTGATGGCATGTTGATTACATCAGATTTTGTAGCATTGCTATGACACTTATTTACCCTCACTGGAAAATAGTATTTGTTTCCTTAGGTTTTGGGGGAACAGGTAGTATTTGTTAGATGAGTAAGTTCTTTAGTGGTGATTTGTGAGATTTTTGGTGTACCTATCACTCACACAGTATACATTGAGCCCAATTTGTAGTCATTTATCCCTCACACCCTTCCCACCCTTTCCTCCTGAGTCTGCAAAATCCATTGTGTAATTCTTATGCATTTGCATCCTCATAGCTTAGCTATTACTTATGCTTGAGAATATACGATGTTTGGTTTTCCATTCCTGAGTTACTTCACTTAGAATAATAGACTCCAATCCCATCCAGGTTGCTATGAATCCCAATAATTCATTCCTTTTTATGGCTAAGAAGTATTCCATCTTTTATATATGTCACAGTTTCTTTATCTGCTCACTGATTGATGGGTTTTGGGGTTGGTTCCATATTTTTGCAACTGTGAATTGTGCTGCTATAAACATACGGGTACAAATATCTTTTTTGTATGATGACTTATTTTCCTCTGAGTAGATACCCAGTAGTGGGATTGCTGGATCAAATGGTAGTCTACTTTTAGTTCCTTAAGGAATCTCCACACTGTTTTCCACAGTGATTGTACTAGTTTACATTACCACCAGCAGTGTAGATGTGTTTTCTGTTCACTGCATCCATGCCAACATCTATTTTTTTTTATTGTTTTGATTATGTCCATTCTTGGGGGAAGAAAGGTGGTATCACACCCTGGTTTTGATTTGTATTTCCCTAATCATTAGTGATGTTGAGAATTTTTTTATATGTTTATTGGCCATTTTTATATTTTCTTTTGAGAATTGTCTATTCATGTCCTTAGTCCACTTTTTGATGAAATTGTTTTATTCTTGAAAATTTGCTTGAGCTCGTTGTAGATTCTGGATATTATTCCTTTGTCAGAGGTATAGATGTGAAGATTTTCTCCCACTCTGTAGGCTGCCTGTTTATTCTGCTGATTGTTCCTTTTGCCTTGCAAAAGCTCTTTAGTTAATTAAGTCCCACCTATTTATCTTTGTTTTTATTGCATTTGCTTCTGGGATCTTGGTCATGAAATCCTTGCCTAAGTCAATGTGTAGAAGGGTTTTCTAATGTTGTCTTCTAGAATTTTTATAGTTTCAGGTCTTAGATTTAAGTCCCTGATCCATCTTGAATTGGTTTTTGTATAAGGTGAGAGATGAGAATCCAGTTTCACTCTCCTATATGTGGCTTGCCAACTATACCAGCACCATTTGTTGAATAGGATGTCCTTTCCCCACTTTATGATTTTGTTTGCTTTGTCAAAGATCATTTGGATGTAAGTATTTGGGTTTATTTCTGGGTTCTCTATTCTGTTCCATTGGTCTATGTGCCTATTTTTATACCAGTACCATGCTGTTTTGGTGACTATGGCCTTATAGTATTTTGTTAAGGATTTTAGCATCTATGTTCATCAGGGATATTGGTCTGTAGTTTTCTTTTTTGGTTATATCCTTTCTGGTTTTGGTATTAGGGTGATGCTTGCTGGCTTCATAGAATGATTTAGGGAAAATTCCCTCTTTCTCTATCTTGTGGAATAGTGTCAATAATTCTTCCTGGAATGTCTGGTAGAATCCTGCTTTGAACCCATCTGATCCTGGAGTTTTTTTGTTGGCAATTTTTTTTTATTACCATTTCAATTATTGGTCTGTTCAGGATATCTAATTCTTCCTGATTTAAGCTAGGAGGGTTGTATCTTGCCAGAAATTTATTCATTTCCTCTAGGTTTTTTAGTTTATGTGCATAAAGATGTTCATAGTAGCCTTGAATGATCTTTTGTATTTCTGAGGTATCGGTTATAATATCTCCTCTTTCATTTCTAATTGAGCTTATTTGCATTTTCTCTTTTCTTGGTTAATCTTGCTAATGGTCTATCAATTTCATATATCTTTTCAAAGAACCAGCTTTTTTTTTTTCATTTATCTTTTGTATTTCTTTTGTTTCAATTTCATTTAGTTCTGCTCTGATCTTGGCTATTTCCTTTATTCTGCTGGTTTTGAGTTTGGTTTGTTCTTCTTTCTCTAGTTCCTTGAAGTGTGATCTTACATTGTCTATATGTGCTCTTTTGGACTTTTCAATGTAGGAATTTAGGGCTATGAACTTTCCTCTTAGCCCTGCCTTTCCTGTATCCCAGGGGTTTTTATAGGTTGTGTCACTATTATCATTCCATTTGAAAAATTTTTAAATTTTCATGTTGATTTCATTGTTGACCCAATAATCACTTAGGAACAGATTATTTAATTTCCAGGTATTTGCATGGTTTTGAAAGTTCCTTTTGGAGTTAATTTCCAGTTTATTCTACTGTTGTCTGAGAGACTACCTGATATAATTTAAATTTTCCTAAATTTATTGAGACTTTTTTGTGGCCTATCATATGGTCTATCTCGGAAAAACTTCCATGTTCACTGATGAATATATATTCTGCGTTTGTTGGGTCGAATATTCTGTAAATATCTGTTAAGCCCTTTTGTTCCAGGATATAGTTTAAATCCATTGTTTATTGTTTCTTTGTTGACTTTCTGTCTTGATGACCTGTCTAGTGCTGTCAGTGGAGTATTCAAGCCCCCCACTATTATTGTGCTGCGTCCATCTCATTTCTTAGGCAGTAGTAATTGTTTTTATAAATTTGAGAGCTCCAGTGTTAGGTGCATATATATTTAGGATTGTGATATTTTCCTGTTGGACAAGGCTTTTATTATTATATAATGTCCCTCTTTGTCTTTTTTTTTTTTCTTTTTTGAGATGGAGTTTGGTTCTTGTTGCCCAGGCTGGAGTGCAATGGCACGATTTCGGCTCACTGCAACCTCTGCCTCCCAGGTTCAAGCAATTCTCCTGCCACAGCCAACCAAATAGCTAGGATTTCAGGCATGAACCAACACATCTGGCTAATTTTGTATTTTTAGTCAACATGGGGTTTCACCATGTTGGTCACGCTGGTCTTGAACTCCTGACCTCAAGTTATCCACCTGCCTCAGCCTCCCAAAGTGCTGGGATTACAGGTGTGAGCCACTGCACCCGGCCCACTCTTTGTCTTTTCTAACTGCTGTTGGTTTAAAGTTTGTTTCCTCTGATATAAGAATAGCAATTCCTGCTTGCCTTTGGTGACCATTTGCATAGAATGTCTTTTTTCACCCCTTTACCTTAAGTTTAAGTGATTCCTTAGGAGTTAGGTGAGTCTCTTGAATGCAGCAGATAGCTGGTTGGTGAATTCTTATCCATGATGCAATGCTGTATATTTTAAGTAGAGCATTTAGACCATTTACATTCAACATTAGTATTCAGATGTGAGGTACCGTTCCATTCATCATGTTATTTGTTGTCTGTATACCTTGTTTTTTTTTATTATTGTATTTTTGTTTTATAGATCCTGTGAGATTTATGCTTTAAAGAGGTTCTGTTTTGATGTGTTTCCAGGTTTTGTTTCAAGGCTCAGAGCTCCTTTCAGCAGTTCTTGTAGCGCTGGCTTGGTAATGGCATATTCTCTCAGCATTTGTTGGTCTGTAAAAGATTGTATCTTTCCTTCATTTATGAAGCTTTGTTTCACTGGATACAAAATTCTTGGCTGATAATTGTTTTGTTTAAGGGAGCTGAAGGTAAAGCCCCAATCCCTTCTAGCTTGAAGGGTTTCTGATGAGAAATTTGCTGTTAATTTGATAGGTTTTCTTTTATAGGTTACCTGGTGCTTTTGTCTCACAGCTCTTAAGATTCTTTCCTTTGTGTTGACTTCAGATAACCTGATGATAATGTGCCTCGGCAATGATCTTTTTGTGATGAATTTCCCAGATGTTCTTTGAGCTTGTTGTATTTGGATATCTAGGTCTCTAGCAAGGCCAGGGAAGTTTTCGTTGATTATTCCCCCAAATATGTTTTCCAAACTTTTATATTTCTTTTCCTCAGGAATACCAATTATTCTTAGGTTTGGTCACTTAACATAATCTCAAATTTCTTGGAGGTTTTGTTCATTCTTTCTTACTCTTTATTTCTAAATTTGCTTCCTGTGGCCATGTTGCATTTGCCTATGACATAGACTTATTCTCTCATGTACCACTAAGTTCTTCCATCAATGCAATTTCTGTTTGTAGAACTCATTTCACAGAAAAGAAGTAAAGCAATCAGCTGACGCTTGTGAAAGGAACTACTCCTATTATTTTCATACCATGGATAAGTAGTCAGCCTTATACAATGATAACTTGACCTATTGAAAACTTATTTGCACTTTCCCTCAATTAACCATACTAGACTGAAGATCTGCTTTGTCTTATTTTGTGTGGTATATGATCTGTGACAATAATTTATATAGAATGCTGCCTCTTCCATAGCTAAATGCATAGGTCTAGAAATTGAGGAGGAGGAAGAGTAGTAGCTTTTAAAATCTTACCTGATATTACGATTTTTGAATAATTCTATTTTAATCCCTTCATTCTGAGACCTTAGGCATGAAAGTGACAGTATCCAAAGGAGGCAGACATATTTTATATAAAATATGAAAAAGGTTTTACCAAATTGCCACCTGTGGTTAGCATCTGTCAATCTTGGACTACTCATGTCATGATAATAGCGAAAAGAATCATTACCACCTTGAAAGGGACGATAGGTCTGATACTCCAAAATAGAGCTTGAAAAAAATCATGGATGAACTAAAGGATTATTTGGGCACTTCCTTTTATTTCCTGCTGAAAGTCATTAAGAAAATACGATATCTCTAGACCTTTTAGAAATTATGGTTTGTGCTATTCTGTGAAGCAAGGGTCCTAGATCAACTGAGCAATTAGCTAAATAAAAAAGAGAAAGAGAATAAAAGTCTAATATTAAAAATGGCCTTGCGGCAAATTGCATATATGAGGTATTATTTTAAAAATTAGAAAGCAAATGAATATAACCAGAGAGAATAGATTTTATTTACTTTTAGTTTAGTTTTATTGTAAATTAACAAATTATAGTTGTATATGAGAGTAAATTTTAATATTAGACATTATCTTCAGAATAATTTAAAGATATTATCTTTGTAGAAGTAAGCCATAATTTTGGTTGCTATCAGAAGTGACTTTGGTTGGGCATGAACTAGCAATATTATAATGATAAATTGACGATGATGCTTTTGGAAGTGTAGACCTAGAAAAAAAGATGCTGAGCCTAGCAATTGGGAGATTTAGTGCAGGAGACAATGAAAATACCTGCCAGTTACAATGCTACCTTTTAAGGAAAACTTCTAAATGGTGCTCTTTGTTTAAGCAACTGTGACTCTTGTCACATATGTGTTGACTGAATTGAAATCCATTGTCCTAGTCAAAAGTAATTTTGAAGGCATCAATGTGGTAATAAAAGTGAAACAATTTTTTTTTTTTTTTTGAGACAGAGTTTCACAATGTTACCCAAGCTGGAGAACCGTGGCACCATCTCAGCTCACTACAACCTCTGCCTCCCGGGTTAAAGCAAGTTTTGTGCGTCAGCCTACTCTGGTAGCTGGGACTACAGACATGTGCCACCATGCCTGGCTAATTTTTGTATATTTAGTGGACACAGGGTTTCACTATTGTAGCTTTACAGGACAAATATAATCTGACAATTTCCAAATTCCTATGTCCAGACACAAACTACAAAGCCTATATTTTCAACTGCCTACTTGACATTTTCATTTGGATGTCTAATAGAAATCTCAAACTCAACATGTTTGCAAGGTTGGTCTCGAACTCCTGGCCTCAAGTGATCTGCCTGCCCCGGCCTCCCAAAGTGCTGGGATTACAGGAGTGAGCCACAGCATCCAGCTTGTGAAACAATTTTTATCCAACACAGTTTTTTTGCATTGCTTGGCTTCAATATCATACAGGTTCTCTTTACCCAGTGGCAAGGTGGCTGGAAATTGATCACACCTTTCTCCATGAAACCACTCTGTCCTCATTTGCCTCCTACCTTACTGGTTGCTCTTTCCTTGTCTTTTTCACTTGGTCTTCCATGTCTCCCCAACCTCTTATTTTTGAAAGATCTAAGGCTTATATCTTTCCCCTAAAAAGGAAAGATCTAAGGATCTAAAGGAACACATCTAAAGATCTGTTCTTTCCTCTCCCTTTTATAATATTATTCAGTATTGTAGCTTTACAGGACAAATATAGTCTGACAATTTCCAAATTCCTACATCCAGACACAAACTACAAGCCTACATTTTCAACTGCTTACTTGACATTTTCATTTGGCTGTCTAATAGAAATCTCAAACTCAACATGCCCCAAATCGATGATCCACCAAGTCTGCCCATAAGATAGACTTCCCCATATCATTTAGTGACTATTCTATTATTACATATACTCAAGTCAAAAATTTTGAAATTCTTCTTGGTTCCTTTTTATCATATATCTCATTCAGCACATCAGAAAATCTCCTTGGATCTACCTTCAAAACTTACCCTGTATCCCTCAGTTTCTACCATTTCCAACGCTGCTACTCTAATCTGAGCTTCAATTTTCTCTTCTATCTTAAAGTTTGTTCTCAACTTAGATGTCAGGGTGTTCTTTCCGAAATATATCAAATTACATTCCTCTTCTACTCAATATCCTGCAATGCTTCCCATTTTACATATGGCAAAATCCAAAGTCTGTAAATGGCCTACAGAGCACCACATGTTTTTCTCCCATTGCCTCTCCAACCTCAATTCTATCTGCTGTACCACCCATTGAACATTTTGTAACAACCTAATTGGCCATTTCACCATTCTTTGAACATTGGTTTATTCTTGCCTCAGGAATTTTATGGTGGCAAATATTTCTGCATGCTATACTTTACACCCATTTATCTGCATGGCTATTTTCTCTTTTAAGTCATTGCTTAAATGTCTTTTTTTTTTTTTTTTTTTTTTTTTTTGAGACAGAGTCTCGCTCTGTCGCCCAGGCTGGAGTGCAGTGGCGCGATCTCGGCTCACTGCAAGCTCCGCCTCCCGGGTTCACACCTTTTTCCTGCCTCAGCCTCCTGAGTAGCTGGGACTGCAGGCGCCCACCACCAGGCCCGGCTAATTTTTTGTATTTTTAGTAGAGACGCGGTTTCACCGTGTTAGCCAGGATAGTCTTGATCTCCCGACCTCGTGATCCGCCCACCTCAGCCTCCCAAAGTGCTGGGATTACAGGCGTGAGCCACTGCGCCCAGCCTTAAATGTCATCTTTTTAATAAGACCTATCCTGACCACCAATTCTGCTTACCTTGTCCTATTTTTTCATTTTCATGGCTCTTGTTCCATGAAAATGTTTCAGTTATTACTTATGCATTTTATTTACTGTTTATTATCACTCCATGATTAGAATGTAAACTCCATAAGGAATGACCATTTACCCTATTTGGTTCACTGATTTATGTCAACAGACCAGACCAGAGCCCAGCATATAAAAATACTCATTAATATTTATGTAATGAATGAATGAATAAATGAATGAATGAAGAGCCTGAAGTTCAAGAGAAAAATGTTGTGCTTTTCCTGACAATAAAGTCTCTGGGAAGAATTCTAGTCTCCAAGATATGGCTACATGGTTATATCTAAACTAATTGAAGGCCAGGGATTTTGGCCAGGTCTGGATCACATGACCACTTCTGGCCAGATGGTGGCAGGATAAACTCTAACCAAATTAAGTAGCTGAAATGATGTTACTATGGAAGAGGGAAGACGTGATGCCCCAAAGAAGGGAATCTGGACAACCAACTACCTGTGTAGTCTGTGAAGGTCAACTACTTCTAAAGTGGCTTAAATGAAACTTTATCCAAAAAGGAAATTTCACGTTGACTCATGAAAAACATATTCAATTAAATTATATCCCCTGAAAGTAAAAGTTGTAGATGAACAAGGAAAATAAAAAAACAAGGAAAATAAATGTTGTAGATGAACAAGGAAAATAAAAGTCTTCGGTGTTAACTTAAACTATTAGTTGCTGTTACTGTATTAATTTTCCATGGAGCCTGTGTATACTCCAGAAACACAGAGTGCAGGATAACAATATGGCCAGAAATATCTATGTTCATCAAGGATATTGGCATGCAGTTTTCGTTTGGTTGTGTCTCTGCCAAGTTTTGGTATCATAAAAATCTTGAACAAAATACTAGCAAATCAAATCTGGCAGCACGTCAAAAAGCTAATCCACCATCCATGATGGAGTAGGTTTTATTCCTAGAATGCAAGGTTGGTTCAACATATGCAAATCAATAAATGACTTACCACATAGAAAGAACAAAACCAAATAATATGTAGGTATCTCAAAAGAAGCAGAAAAGTCTTTCAATAGAATTCAACATCCTTTCATGTTAAAAGCCCTTAACAAACTAGGAATCAAAGAAACATACCTCAAAATAATAAGAGCCATCTATGAAAAACTCACAGCCAACATCAAATTGAATGGGCAAAAGCTGGAAGCATTCCTCTTGAGAACCAAAACAAGACAAGGATGCCCTGTCTCACCACTCCTATTCAATATAGTACTGGAAGTCCTAGCAAGTAAGTCAGGCAAGAGAAAAATGTAAAAGGCATTTAAATAGGAAGAGAAGAAGTCAAACTATTATTGCTGTTTGCAGATGATAAATTTTCTAACTAGAAAACCCCATAGTTTCTGCCCAAAAGCTCCTAGATCTGATAAACAACTTCAGCAAGGCTTCAGGATACAAAATCAAAGTAGAAAAATTAGTAGCATTTCTATACACCAATAATGTCTAACCTGAGAGCCAAATAACACAATGCCATTCACAATCACCACAAAATAAAACAAAAAACCTAGGAATACAGTTAATCAGAGAGGTGAAAGCTCTCTATAACAAGAATTGCAAAACAGTACTGAAAAAAATCAGAGATGACACAAACAAATGGTAAAATGTTCCATACTCACGGATAGAAGGAATCAATATTGTTAAAATGGCAATACTTCCCAAAGCAGTTTTGCAGATCCAATGCTATTCCTGTCAAACTACAAATGACATTTTTCACAAAACAAGAAAAAACTATTTTAAAATTCATATGGAACCAACACAGAGCCCAAATAGCCAAGGCAATCCAAAGCAAAAAGAACCAAACTGGAGACATCATATTAGCCAACTTCAAACTATACTAGAAGCCTACAGTAACCTAAACAGCATAGTACTGTATAAAAACAGACACATAGACCAATGGAACAGGTTAGAAAACCCAGAATAAAGCCTCACATCTATAACCATTTGATCTTCCACAAAGCTGACAATAATAAGCAATGGGGAAAGGGCACCCTATTAAAAAAAAATGGTGTAGGAACTAAAGAAAAAATTGACGATTAAACCTAAGAGCTTTTGCACACACACACACACACACACCAAAAAAAAAAAAAAAAAAAAACTATCCACAGAGTAAACAGACAACGTACAGAATGGGAGAAAATATTTGCTAGCTGTGAAAGGTCTAATGTCCAGTATTAATATAAGGGTCTTAAATTTACAAAAAAAAAACCTGCAATAAAAAGTGGGCAAAGGACATGGACACTTTTCAATGTGACCAACAAACGTATGAAAAAAAAGCTCAATATCATTGATCATTAGAGAAATGCAAATCAAAACCACAATGAGATACCACCTCACACCAATCAAAACTGCTATTACTAAAAAGTCAAAAAATGGTGAGGTTGTGGAGAAAAGGGAACGCATATGTTGTTAATAGAAGTTTAATTTAGTTGAACCATTCTGGAAAGCAGTATGGTGATCCCTCGAAGAGCTAAAAGTAGAACTACCATTTGACCCAGCAATCCCATTACTAAGTATATGCCCACAGGAATATAAATCATTCTACCATAAAGACACATACCTGTGAATGTTTATTACAGCACTATTCACAAGAGCAAAGACATGGAATCAACCTAAATGCCCATCAATGACAGATTGTATTAAGAAAATGTGGTACATATACACCGCAGAATACTACACAGACATGAAAACCAAGATTGTGTATTTTCTGGGAACATGGATGGAGCTAGAGGCTATTATCCTTAGCAAACTAATGCAGGAACAGTAAACCAAATACCACATGTTCTCATTTATAAGTAGGAGCTAAATGATGAGAACTCATGAACACAAAGAAGAGAACAACACACTCTGGGATCTACTTGAGGGTGGAGGGTGGGTGGAGGAAGAGAAGTAGAAAAAAATAACTAATGGGTACCAGGCTTAATACCTGGTTGATGAAATCTGTACAACAAACCCCCGTGACACAAGTTTACCTATATAACAAACCTTCATATGTACACTTGAACCTAAAATAAAAGTAAAAAAAAAAATGGTGTTGGGATAACTGGCTAGTGATTTGCAGAAGAATTAACCTGGACCCCCATCTTTCATCATATAAAAAAATTAACTCGAGATGGATTAAGGATTTAAGGATCGAAATGTAATACCAAAAAGCATAAAAGTCTCTAGAAGAAAACCTAGGAAATACCATTCTAGACATAGATTCTGGCAAATATTTCATGACAAAGACTCCAAAAGCAATTGCAACAAAAGCAAAAATTGACAAGTAAGACCTAATTAAACTAAAGGGCTTCTGCACAGCAAAAGAAACTATCAATGAATAAACAGACAACCTACAGAATAGGAGAAAATATTTGCAAACTATGCATCTGACAAAGGTATAATATTTAGTATTAGTATAAGGAACTTAAATTAACAAGTAAAAACCAAATAACCCTATTTTTTAAAATGGACAAAGGACATAAATGGACACTTCTCAAAAGAAGACGTACACATGGCCACCAAGCATATGAAAATATGCTCAGCATCACTAATCATTAGAGAAATGCAAATCAAAATCACAATGAGAATTCATCTTATACCAGTCAGAATGGCTATTATTTAAAAAGTCAAACAATAGCTGCTGATGAAGCTGCAGAAAAAAGGGAACACTTATACACTGTTGGTGGAAATGTAAATTTGTTTAATCACTGTGAAAGCAGTTTGGTGATTTCTCAAAGAACTTAAAACAGAACTACCATTTGACCCAGCAATCCCATTACTGGGTATATATCCAAAAGAAAACAAATATTTCCACCAAAAAGACATATGCACTCACATTTTCATTGCAGCATTATTCACAATAACCAAGATCTGGAATCAATCTAGGTGCCCATCGATGGTGGACTGGATAAAGAACATGTGGTACATATACATCATGGAATACCATGCAGCCAAAAACAAAGAAATCATGTCCTTTGCAGTAACATAGATATCAAGAGGCCATTATCCTAGTCGAATTAACACAGGAACAGAAAATCAAATACCGCATGTTCTCACTTATAAGTGGGAAGTACGCATTAACTATGTATGAACACAAAGTAGAGAACTCTGGACACAGCAGTCTATTGAAGGTGCAAGGTGAGAGGAGGATGAGGACTAAAAAACTACCCACTGGGTACTATACTCATTACCTGAGTGACAAAATGATCTGTACACCAAACCCCAGTAGCGTGCAATTTATCAGTGTAACAAACCTGGACATATATGCCCTAAACCTAAAATAAAAGAAGAAAATAAAAAATAATGTGGCCACAGACAGTAATATATACTTTACTATATTAAATATATATCTAGGTAATAAACACCCAGGACTGAAGATAAACCAAATGTCCTTCTCCCTTCAAAACTTAATGTTCTCAAGATATTCTCCAGATTATGTTTTACGGTTTAAAATAACTGTTGATTCATAAAACAAGTTCTTAGAGACCAAAAAAGAGACTTAGACTCCTACACAATAATACTGGGAGAAGTTAACACCCACTGTCAACAGTAGACAGACCAACAATAGAGAAAATTAACAAAGATATTTAGGACTTGAACTCAGCTCTGGATCAAATGGACCTAGTAGACATCTACATAACTCTCCACCCCAAATCAACAGAGTATACATTCTTCTCAGCGTCACATAGCATGTATTCTAAAATCGACCATGTAATTGGAAGTAAAACACTCCTCAGCAAGTGCAAAAGAACAGAAATCATAACAGTCTCTCAGACCATAGTGCAAACAAATTAGAACACAAGATTGAGAAATTCACTGAAAACTGCATAACTACATGGAAGTTGAACCACCTGTTCCTGAATGATTACTGGACAAATAATGAAATTGAGGCAAACATAAAGAAGTTCCTTGAAACCAATGACAAAGAGACAACATGCCAGAATCCCTGGGAAACAGCTAAAGCAGTGTTAAGAGGGAAATTTATAGCACTAAATGCTCACAACAGAAAGCTGGAAAGATTAAAATCAACACCCTAACATCACAATTGAAAAAACTACAGAAGCAAGAGCAAACAAATTCAAAAGATAGCAGAAGACAACTAAGATCAGAGCAGAACTGAAAGAGATAGAGACAAAAAAACCCTTCAAAAAATTAATCCAGGAGATGTTTTTTGAAAAGATTAACAAAATAAATGGACCACTAGCTAAACTAGTAAGAAAAGAGAGAAAAAATGATGAGTTCATGTCCTTTGTAGGGACATGGATGAAATTGGAAATCATCATTCTCAATAAACTATCGCAAGGACAAAAAACCAAACACCACATGTTCTCACTCTTAGATGGCAATTGAACAATGTGAACACATGGACACAGGAAGGGGAACATCACACTCTGGGGACTGTTGTGGGGTGGGGGGAAGGAGGAGGGATAGCATTAGGAGATATACCTAATTCTAAATGACGAGTTGATGGGTGCAGCACACCAGCATGGCACATGTATACATATGTAACTAACCTGCACATTGTGCACATGTACCCTAAAACTTAAAGTATAATAAAAAAAAAGAAAAAAGAAGAAAAAAAAAGAAAATAAACAATAGTGAAATAACAGCAAAAAAAAGAAGGAAAAGAAAAGAGAGAAGGATCAAATAGACACAATAAAAAATGATAAAGGGGAGATCACCACTGATCCCACAGAAATACAAACTACCATTAGAAAACACTATAAACATCTCTACGCAAGTAAACTAGAAAATCTAGAAGAAATGGATGAATTCCTGGACACATACCCTCCCAAGACTAAACCAGGAAGAAATCGAATCCCTAAATAGATCAATAACAAGTTCTGAAATTGAGGCAGTAATTAATAGCCTACCAGAAAAAAAAAAAAAAAAAAAGCCCAGGACCAGACGGATTCACAGCCCAGTTCTACCAGAGGTACAAAGAGGAGCTGGTACCATTCCTTCTGAAACTATTCCAAACAGTAGAAAAAGAGGGACACCTCCCTAACTCATTTTATGAGGCAAGCATCATCCTGATACCAAAGCCTCGCAGAGACACAACAACAACAAAAAAATTCAGGCCAATATCCCTGATGCATATCGATGTGAAAATCCTCAATAAAATACTAGCAAACTGAATCCAGCAGCACACCAAAAGCTTATCCACAACAATCAGGTCAGTTTTATCCCTGGGATGCAAGACTGGTTCAACATACACAAATCAATAAACGTAATCTATCACATAAACAGAACCAACGACAAAAACCACATGATTATCTCAATAGATGCAGGAAAAACCTTAGATAAAATTCAGCATCCCTTCATGCTAAAAAGTCTCAATAAACTAGGTATTGATGGAACATATCTCAAAATACTAAAGGCTATTTGTGATAAACCCACAGCCAATATCATACTGAATGGGCAAAAACTGGAAGCATTCCCTTTTGAAAACCGGCACAAGACAAGGATGCCCTCTTTCACCACTCCTATTGGCCAGGGCAATCAGGCAAGAGAAAGAAATGGAGGGTATTCAAATAGGAAGAGAGGAAGTCAAATTGTGTCTGCAGATGACATGATAGTATATTAAGAAAACCCCATTCTCTCAGCCCTAAAACTCCTTAAGCTGACAAGTAACTTCAGCAAAGTCTCATGATACAAAATCAATGTGCGAAAGTCACAGGCATTCCTATACACCAACAATAGACAAGCAGAGAGCTAAATCTTGAGTGAACTCCTATTCACAGTTGCTTCAAAGAGAATAAAATACCTAGGAATACAACTTACAAGGGATGTGAAGGACCTGTTCAAGGAGAACTATAAACCACTGCTCAAGGAAATAAGAGTGGACACAAACAATCCTATTCCATGCTCATGGATAGGAAGAATCCATATTGTGAAAATGGCCATACTGCTCAAAGTAATTTATAGATTCAATGCTATTCCCATCAAGCTTCCAGTGGCTATATTTGCAGAATTAAATAAAATACTTTAAATTTTATATGGAACCAAAAAGCACATATAGACAAGAAAATCCTAAGCAAAAAGAACAAAGCTGGAGGCATCCTGCTACCTGATTTCAGGCTATGCTACGAGACTACAGTAACCAAAACAGTATGGTACTGGTACGAAAACAAGATATACAGACCAATGGAACAGAACAGAAACATAAGAAATCACACCACACATCTACAACAATCTGATCTCTTCAACAAACCTGACAAAAACAAGCAATGGGGAAAGGATTCCCTATTTAATAAAAGGTGCTGGGAAAACTGGCTAGTCATATGCAGAAAACAAACTGGACCACTTCCTTACACCTTATACAAAAATTAACTCAAGATAGATTAAAGTCTTAAATGTAAAACCCAAAACCATAAAAACCCTAGAAGAAAACCTAAGCAATATCATTCAGGACATGGGCATGGGCAGTCTTCATGACTGAAACACCAAATGCAATTGCAAGAAAAGCCAAAATTGACAAATGGGATCTAATTAAACTGAAGAGCTTCTGCTCAACAAAAGAAACTATCATCAGACTGAACAGGCAACCTACAGAATGGGATAAAATTTTTGCAATTTATCCATCTGACAAAGGGCTAATATCCAGAATCTACAAGGAATTTAAATTTACAAGAAAAAAAAAATCCCATCAAAAAGTGGGCAAAGGATATGAACAGACACTTCTCAAAAGAAGACATTTATGCAGCCAAAAAACATATGAAAAAAAGCTCATCATCACTGAGGTCATTAGAAAAATGCAAATCAAAACCACAGTGAGATACCATCTCATGCCAGTTAGAATGGCAATCATTAAAAAGTCTGGAAACAACAGATGCTGGTGAGGATGCAGGGAAATAGGAATGCTTTTACACTGTTGGTGGGAGTGTAAATTAGTTCAACCATTGTAGAAGACAATGTGGCAATTCCTCAAGGATCCAGAACCAGAAATACCATTTGACCCAGCAATCTCATTACTGGGTATACACCCAAAGGATTATAAATAATTCTACTATAAAGACACATGCACACGTATGTTTATTGCAGCACTATTTACAGTAGCAATGACTTGGAACCAACCCAAATGCCCATCAATGATAGACTGAATAAAGAAAATGTGGCACATATACACCATGGAATACTATACAGCCATAAAAAAGAATGAGTTCTTGCTCTTTGCAGGGACATGGATGAAGCTAGAAATCATCATCTTCAGCAAACTAACACAGGAGCAGAAAACCAAACACCAGATGTTCTCACTCATAAGTGGCAGTTGAACAATGAGAACACATGGACACGGGGTGGGGAACATCACACACTGTGGCCTGTCAGGGGGTAGGGGGAAAGAGGAGGGAGAGCATTAGGACAAGTGCCTAATGCATGCAGGGCTTAAAACCTAGATGATGGGTTGATAGGTGTTGCAAATCACCATGGCACATGTATACCTATGTAACAAACCTGTACATTCAGCACATGTATTCCAGAACTTAAAAAAGAGTGTTTTTTAAAAATGATATTTCAATGATTATCTTACTTGGGAAAAAGAGGTCATAAGAAAGTATACAATGGATATAGCTGGAATATAACCTTTTAATAAAGGCATCAGATAAAATGTATTCATTAGCAGATGTTTCCCTATTTGTTTTAGTTTCGATAAAATTTGCTTTATTATTCAAGATACAGCAGCTGAACAAATTAAAAAATAGATGTCCTTTTAATAAGTTAGTCTTACGTGAATTAGCCAAATAGGATTAAGCTACTCATCCTAAAATATCAATCATAGATAACAGGGGCCATGGAAGACAAGCCCCTGATGCTGATATTAGAAGTGAAATGAAAAGATTAAACAAGGAGTCAGCAGACTTTTTCTGTAAAGAGCCAGCTTTGATTTATAGGCCCTACAATTTCTGTCTTAACTGCTTAACGCTGTTGTAACATGAAAGAAGCCACAGATGTTATATAAATGAATGGCCATGGCTATTTCAATAAAACTTTCCTTAAGACACTGAAATTTGAATTTCACATAATTTTCATGTGTTAGGCAGTATTATTCTTCTTTTGATTTTTTCTCAACCATTTAGAAATTTTAAAACCATTTTAGCTCATAGGCCATAAGAAAACAGGCAGTGGGCTGAATTTGGTTTGCCAACCCTTGTACTAAACCGTGGATTTGCTCAGGCTCAGAATGATTGCACATCCTACTTGTTTGGACGATTTTTCTAACTTGAAAAGATATAAGTTTCAGACATATGCAAGTAATGGTCCAAGATGAGTCGCTGGTTTTCCATCTTAATCCAGTTGTATTCTTTCCAGAGAAAAATGAAAGCAAGATGGGAGATTAAAGGATACCAGTAGTTGGTAAGATCACAGGATCCTCAACCCCTCAATCCATAATACAGATCTTTTGTGTTGAGCATGAGTATTGAGTGCTTATTTTGATCGGCCATATCAGAGGCTTTAGCAGGTCTTTAATCCTCAGGCTGACTGTGAGACCTTTGAGAAAAATAGGCTCATTTCTGGTTTTTTAGTGTTTAAATCATACAATTCCTTGCTTTTAAGTATGATAAACATAAGTAAAAACTAGAGCAAAATATAAACAGTGGTTATCTTTGACTGTTGGAATTATGGTTCTAAGTTTATTTCTTTGTTTTTGCTCATCCGTATTTTTATCTTTATGCAATAAACATTTATTGTTTAGTAAAACATAATCATTAAAATTTAAAAATTTTAATTGACCAAACTCATTACACTCCAAATATACCACTTTTCTTTTGGCATTTTTGAAAGTTAGACATCTTCCATACATATTTAATGAAATGATGTTTTTCTTTGCTTGAGAGAGAAAAAGAATGCTCATTCAGAGGAAAGCCAGGAAAACATTTTAACTTGCAAATGCCATCTGCACAATAAATTAATTTTTCCTTATATCTTAGGCTAAATTGAAATTAATCTCAGCAAAGGGAAAAACCTCACCTGAATGTAAAAACATAGTCTATTAAGTTTTTTCAGAAGTATTTTTTCAGGTATTTAATTTCCTTTTCTTAGGAGTCAAGATGTGTGAAGCATTTATCTAGGCACCATGAAAGAGATAAGGACAAATAAGACATGGCCTCTCTTGTGAAAGGAGTTTTCAATGTCCTGAATCATGATTGATTAATTAGGTAGTTCATGTGAGCTTTACAAGTGTTATTGTTTCTAAGCTGTGAGAAATGAAACTACAGATAATTTCTTCCTTCCTAGAGGAGCAACTAATGACTAACACCTTTTATTTTCTTTGCTGTATGAAAGTTTTTGTTTTTAACCTGGTTTATTTATTTGTATCTTTGTATGGAAAGTAAGTATCAAGTCTTAAAGTACATGTCTGTAGGTAGTGCTTTCTGATGTTGATAAAAACCATACTAAAATAGGGATAATAAATAGAAATAAATATAATTGAAATTCTAACAAAAAGCTTCATTCCATTAAACGGTAAACAGGCTCTGAAAGGTGTATTTCACTTATTTATTTGGTCTAATCTTTTTGTTTTGTGAGATAAAATCTTGAGAACCTGAGTGGTTTAACAATTAGCTTTGGGTCAGATTGATATAATAGAATGAGAACAAATATGTCAATTAAGAATATGTACTTTAATAGCAATTATCTCAGTGACAGGATTAAGGATGATTTTTAGGTTGTGATTTCTATTTAAAATCTCTTCTAGCTTAAGCACATTAATTTTTTAATAAAAATACACTATTATAAAACAAGATTTACAATTTCAAAAAAGTATAGTGAACATATCTTTTTCTTTTTTCTTAAAAAAATTATCTCAAGAAAAGGAGAACAAAGAACAGAAATATGAATTCTGGATTCAATGAAGCCAGGGGAATTCTATAACACTCTTATCCCAATGCATGATGATGCAAGGCAGATGGGAGAAGATAAATATTTACCAATGTTCTTGCAATTGTTGGGGTGGTTTGGTGAGAATCATGGCAATCTGCTCTATGGAACCACAGAAAGGCCCAGGAAGTTGGTGTAATATTCAGTATAAAATTTGTGAATGTTTGGGGGCTAGGAAATTCCATAAAAGACTTTATTAGGGATAGTTGTACCCTTTGGGTTTCCGCTGTAAACAAACATAGCTGACTCCCCTTGTTTAACCCCAAGGAGACTATGTGTTTAATCTCTGAAGAAAACTGACCAGAGAAGTTCTAAATATAAAGAAGGTAAGCACACAGGAAGTCAAGGAGCAAAGTGGACAGGGAGAAATTAGGTAAATGTGTGCATACAGAATAGTGTGAAAACTTCCTCTGTCTTTCAGAAGGTGGCTTTAAAACTGCTTGTGATAATACTGGAGAATCCTTCTCTGGAAAAGCTGAACAACCAAAGGAAACAGGATTTATAGATATTGACATAGGATATCCTTAGTGAAAAGGTAGCTGTTCACCCTGTCATCCTGCAGGGAAGCTTTCTAGTCCAGGAGCGATACCCACTGACAGAGCTACCAATTCAGTTTGGTGTCTCGATCTTAAATATATCCACACAGTCAAAAATCAATCACCAGTCAAATGAGGAAATTCTTTAACACCAAAATAGCCACATAATAAGTAAACAGAGAAAATACTTAGGGAAAAAAAAGAAAATGTAAGTCAAAGCAATTGTATATACTATCCTTAGAAAGGTAAGAGAAAATAGAGCATTCATTAAAAAAAGCATAAAAAGGAAAATTACAAAAAGAAAACTTTGTGAATTAAAAATACGATATCTAAAATAAGAAATTTAGTATAGGAGATAAAAGATACAATCTAGGACCTCTTTAAGAAAATAGAAAAAAACAAAAGACAAAGATTAGAACAATAACACAGGCCCATATATGACTCCTGACTGGCAGCTCAAAGGAACATGAAAAAACGAATCTCCAGGTATCCCTTGGCCAGAGGAAGGGGGAACTATTTGTTTTTAATCTCTTTATGCCCAAAGCTTGCCTCCTTTTCTCACTTTTCTATACTGGTACTGAGAATTCCCATTTTCTTAACTGAATATTCTGGCATGCATGAATCACAAAAATTAATCTTAATACCAAATAGTAAATTTCTCTCAACTCTACATATTCAGGTTTTAGTCTGGGGGCATCAACAGTCATAGGTTTGGAACTTCCCCCAAAAGTAATGATCAGATCTCTGTTTAATAGTGCATATTTATAGATGCCTATGGAAATATAACCAATTTCCTATTTCAAAGGTGTCTGCCAGAACTCCAAATGAGGCTTTTCCAATGTCAACAATTTTACTATCTAATCCTAATCAGGCAACTTGCTATTTTAAATGCAAGCAAGCAATTTTCTGTAATATCAATAATTATCTCTAAACCATTGGTAATGTTTTTTACAAACCCAATTCAATAAAAACAGAATCATAATTTTCAACTTAGAATAAAGGTACTGAGAAAATATAATTTTTAAATTTTATGTATCACTAATCAATATTTCCCTGCCAACCCCCATGCATTGGGTAGTAAAAAAATTAGTTGTTAATCCTATCCAATTTAGAAATAAGTTCATATAAAAAAATTTAAAAGGTGGCTTTTTATAATGCTAGCCTTTCTTTGAAATAATTCTAACCTGTCATATTTCTCGTCTTCTACCCTTCATGATCAGCACTTTCACAAGATGACTCCTGAGCAGTTAGGAAGAAGTGTGTAGCTTTTATAGCCTTATGGGGGAGGGGAAAAGTAACAGTTATAGGGTTTGTGTATTCTGGCTCTTTGTCACATTATATTTTCTAAAAATGGCCTAAGATATAGCCAATCTCATAAAATGTTCTTCCATATGACATTGACACATAGAAACGCCTCCATCAAAATGTGTCATCTGTGTTCCCTTTTCTTTAACCAGGGTATGCATTTGAAACTACTTCAACCTATAGAATGTGGTGGAGATGATGCCACGTGACTTCCATGGTTAGTTCATATAAGGCAAGAAGTCTTCCTCCTGGTTCTCTTGATGTATGTCCATAGAACCTAGCCACAATGTGGTAAGAAAAATTAGGGCACATTCTTCAAAGGTCACATATAGGTTTTCCAAGTGACAGTCCAACTAGGGCCTCAGCTGACAGCTGACATCAGATGCCAGTCATAGGACTGAAGGAATCTTCAGAAGTTTCCATCTCCATGTAGGCAAGCAGTCCTTTTCATGGCAAGAATAACACTGTCTTGAAGTGAAATTGCCATAATGCCAGTATTTGACTCCTACATACCAATGTTCTTGCAGAGAGGTCAAGAAACAGTACCTGTAGCATAGATAACCCCTCATAAAGATGTTTCTCGAACCTCTCCAATGGTCAGAGTTTCACAAGAGTGTCTATGACCTGAGCAGCTTCGTTTGTTTACTAAAAGAAGCTTGCTATAGAAAAGGTACTTTCTGGAGGGCAAGTTCAGGGATTCATTTTCTCTCAGTGGCCTAAGGTCTCACTTCTGTTTTAAGTCCCTGTTAAATGTTTCTCTCTGAGGGAAAAAAAAGAGAAAATTTCAGTCTCCAGCCTACAAGTGTTCCGTCTGAGCCCTAAGAAAGATAGTACAAGCAATTGTCACTTCTGTGCCTTGTCTGAATTCCTAACACTCAGAAACTGTGGAAGCAAAAAGAATAAAATACCTAGGAATAGAGCTAACTAAGGAGGTAACAGATCTTTACAAAGAGAACTGCAAACCACTGATCAAAGAATCAGAGATGACACAAACAAATGGAAAAACATTCCATGCTCATGGATAGAAAAAAATCGATACCATGAAAATGGTCACACTGCCCAAAGCAATTTGTAGATTCAATGTTCTTCCCATTAAACTACCAGTGACATTCTTCATAGAAATAGAACTATTTTAAAATTCATATGGAACTAAAAAGGAGTCTGAATAGCCAAGACAGTCCTAAGCAAAAAGAACAAAGCTGGAGGGATCTCACAATCCAACTTCAAACTATACTGCAGAGCTACAGTAATAAAACAGCATGGTACTGATACAAGAATAGACACATAGAAAAATAGAAAAGAATAGAGACATCAGAAATAATATTGCACGCCTACAACTATCTGATCTTTGACAAACCTGACAAAAACAAGCAATGGGGAAATGATTCCCTATTTGATAAATGGTGCTGGGATAACTGGCTAGCCATATGCAGAAGATTGAAACTGGACCCTTTCCTTATACCATATACAAAAATTAAGATAGATTAAGACATAAGCTTAAAACCCCAGAAGACAACCTATGCAATACCATTCAGGACATAGGCAGGGGCAAAGATTTCATGTTGAAGATGAAACAAAAGCAAAAATCGATACACGGACTCTAAAGAACTGCTTCACAGCAAACAAAACTATCAGCAGAGTAAACAGACAACCTACAGAATGGGAGAAAATTTTTGCAAACTATGCATCTGACAAAGGTCTAATATCCAGCATCTGTAAGGAACTTAAATTTACAAGAAAACAAAAAAGTCCCATTAAAAAGTAGGCAAAGGACATGAACAGACACTTATCAAAAGAAGACATACATGTGGCCAATAATCTTACGAAAAAAAGATCAACATCACTGATCATTAGAGAAATGCAAATCAAAACCACAATGAGATACCATCTCACACCAGTCAGCATGGCTATTATTAAAAAGTCAAAAAATAACAGATGCTGGTGAGGTTGTGGAGAAAAAGGAATGCTTCTACACTGTTGGTGGGAATGCAAATTATTTCAACCATTGTGGAAGACTGTGGGGATTCCTCAAAGACCTAAAGACAGAAATACCATTCGACCCAGTGATCCTATTCCTCAGAATATACCCAAAGGAATATAAATTGTTCTATTATAAAGATACTACATGTGAATGTTCATTGCAGCACCATTCACAATAGCAAAGACATGGAGTCAACCCATATGTCCATCAATGATAAACTGGATAAAGAAAATGTGGTACATATACACCATGGAATACTATCCAGCCATAGAAAAGAATGAGATCATGTCCTTAGTAATGACATGGATAGAGCTGGAGGCCATCATCCTCAGCAAACTAACACAGGAACAGAAAACCAAATACCATATGTTTTCACTTACAAGTGGGAACTAAAGAATGAGAACACATGGACACCTAGAGGGGAACAACACACTGGGGCCTACTGGAGGGTGGAGCGTGGGAGGATGGAGAGGATCAGAAAAAATTACTGATGGGTACTAGGCTTAATACTTGGGTGATGAAATAATCTGTACAATAAATCCCCATGACACACATTTTACCTATGTAACAAACCTGCACATATACCCTTGAACGTAAAGTTTTTTTAAAAAAAGAAACTGTGGAAAATGGTGAATAATTATTTATACAATGAAGTGTAATTTCTGATATAGCAACAGAAAGTAGAAAATAGGCTTCCTTAGTTTAGTAGCTGCTTCTCCAAACAACACATGCATTGAAGTTTATGGCTGGTCATGGCACTGGGCAGTTTCCTAACCTACTCAGCCTTACTTGGTCTCCTTTGGATACTGCGGACACTCCCTGAGGGCTGGCTGTGACTTCCATTTAGCCCTATTCCTAATGAAAATATACATTTTCTAAGGGCTTTATCTGCTTGTTTCATATTGATCCTTTAAACAACCATAAGAGGTTTCTATAACAGGTATTATTAATCCAACTTTAAAATGACAAAATAGGTTTACAGAGTCAATGCATCAGGAGACTCCAGTAATAGGTGACATTGTGGGCATTTGACTCCAGATCACCTGACCTTACATTTATTGCTTATCCATCTGTTGCCAATTTGTAATACTTAATATATCAAAATACTGTATTGTGATATAGTAAGGTCCCTGCTACTTGCCTTATTTTTTTCACAGATACAATTTCTTATCAATAAATTTTCTCATCCATAAATTCTTACCAACTGGACTTTAACAGCTTAAGTAATGAGAGAAAAGCCTTAATAATGTGCATGATTAATAATGGGTGCAGTCACGTATGTTTATTGCGGCACTATTCACAATAGCAAAGACTTGGAACCAACCCAAATGTCCAACAATGATAGACTGGATTAAGAAAATGTGGCACATATACACCATGGAATACTATGCAGCCATAAAAAAGGATGAGTTCATGTCCTTTGAAGGGACATGGATGAAATTGGAAATCATCATTCTCAGTAAACTATCGCAAGGACAAAAAACCAAACACCGCATGTTCTCACTCATAGATGGGAATTGAACAATGAGAACACATGGACACAGGAAGGGGAACATCACACTCTGGGGACTGTTGTGGGGTGGAGGGAGTAGGGAGGGATAGCATTAGGAGATATACCTAATGCTAAATGATGAGTTGATGGGTGCAGCACACCAGCATGGCACATGTATACATATGTAACTAACCTGCACATTATGCACATGTACCCTAAAACTTAAAGTATAATAATAATAATAATAATAAATTCAAAAAAGAATAATAAGGGGTGCAGAATTTGCACTTCTAAGAGTTTATCTCAAGAAAATAATGAGGAGTGTGTAAAAATATTTAGTTTAAGAATGTTTGAGGACTAAAACATCAACATTTCAAAAATAGTTTGATAACTAAATCAATTATGATCCAATGCAGATATCAAAATGAATGATGAGTGTCTTTGACAACATATCAATAAGTTAAAAGGTTTATAAAACATTATATAGGACTTAGACGAGAGGAAATAAAGAGTTGTTTAATGTATATAGAGTTTCAGTTTTGCAAGATGGTTCTGCAGACTGGTTGCACAAAAGTGTGAATGCATTTTAACACTACTGAACAGTACATTTTAAAATGGTTAAGATATTTTGTTATGTGCATTTTACTACAACTTAAAAATGTATATACTGCATTACATCAGTTTTGCTATGTATCTATATCTACATACATAAAATTCAGAGGTATGTCTGCCAAAATACTAGCAAATATTTTCTCTGACATTGAGAATATAGATTGCATCTTCTTCTTCATTTTGGTTTTCTCTATTTCATATGACATCTATTAATTGTGTATTAATAAAACAACCATGGAGATATTTTAGAAAGTAAAAAAAAAATTTCTATGAAGAAAACAATTCTGTGTTTGAAGGCTCTAATTTGTTAGAAAGGTCTTCCTAAGTTATATTTGTGAGCATAAAGCTGGTTCTCAGTATTGCTTTGTTTTCCTTTTAGTGTCCCTAGAATCTATGGTGATGACTCCTCTTTCATTTCTGATGTTAGTAATTTGTAGCTTCTTTCTTTTGTGTTACTCTGTTTAGAAGTGTATCAGTTGTATTGATCTTTTCAGAACCAGCTAATTTTTTTGTTTTTCTCTATTTTTTCTTACCATTAATTTCTCTGATTTTTATTATTTCTTTGCTTCTGTTTGCTTTAGACTTCAACTGATCTTCTTTGTGTTTTTTCCTAAAGTGGAATCTTCGATATTTCTTTTTTTAAATATGTGAGTCTATAGATTTTTCTCCAAGCACTGCTTTTGCTGCATATGACAAATTTTGATACATTGTATTTTTATTTTCATTTAGTTCAAAATACTTTTTAATTTCTTTTGATACTTTCTTCACTCATGTGTTATTTAAAAGTAGGTTCTTTGTTCTACAAATACTTGGATAATACACTAGCTTTCCTTTTGCTATTGATTTGGAATTAATTCCACTGGGTATGAAATACATACTTTGTAATATTTCAATTCTTCTATATTTGTTAAGGTGAATTTTAAGGTCCAGGTTTTGGTAAATCTTAATAAATGTTCCACGCCAGCTTGAGAAGTATATGTATTCTGCTGTTATTAAATCAAATATTCTATAAATGTCAGATCAAGTCAATTAACTGTTTTGTTCAAGTCAAATAAATCCTACTGATTTCAGCCTGTTTGATTTATCCATTACTGAAAGAGCAATTTTGAAATCTCCAACTATGAAAGTGGATTTGTCTATTTTTCTTTGCATGTTTTACCAGTTTTTGTGTCGCATTTTTTTTCTACCTTTTTTTTTTTTGAGACAAGGTCTCACTAAGTTGCTCAGGCTGGCTTCAAACTCTTGAGCTCAAGTAATTCTCCTGCCTCAACCTCCTGAGTAGCTGGGATTTCAGGTGTGTGCCACCACAGCTGTCTTACATGGTTTTAATGACCTATTGTTAAATGCACTTGTATTAAGAATTACTATGTCTTCTTGGAGAATTGACTCCTTTATTATTATGTAATACCCTTCTTTATCTCGGATAATTTTGCTTGTTCTGAAGTCTGCTGTGTCTGAAATTAATATAAGTATTTCAGCTTTCTTTTGTTAGTGTTAGAGTGCTAAATCTTTATCCAACCCTTTATTTTTACTATATCTGTATCATTATATTTAAGGTAAGTCTCCTGGAGTCAACAAATACTTGGGTCTTTTTGTTTGTTTGCTTACTTGTTTGTTTTTAATTCACTCAGACACTCTACATCTTTTAAGTGGTATGTTTGGATGACTCACATTTGGTATAATGATTGATATAGTTGGACTAATATCTACTATATTTGTGACTTTTTTCCATTTGTTTTGTTTCTATTTTTTTTTGTCTTTCACTATTTTTCTGCTTTCTCTGGTTTTAATTGAGCGTTTTATATGGCTATATTTTCTCTATTCTCTTAGTATATCAGTTATACATGCTACTTAATAAAAAATTAATGGTTGCTCTACATTATACATTTTGAATGAATCTTAATCCACTTTCGAATAACACTATTCTGCTTCACATTTCATGCAGATATCTTTTAATAGAGTATTCCCAATTCCTCCTCGTCACTGCTGGCCTTACTGTCACTCATTTACTTAACCATGTGTCAAAATCGCACAACACATTATTATTATTACTTTTATTATTATTACTATTACTCCTTTAAACAGTTATCTTTTAGACCAACTAAGAATAAGAAAAGTAAAATATTTTCTCTTATGTTCATTTCTTCTTCTCCGAAGTTCTTCCTTTCTTTATGTAGATCCTCATTTCTGACCTATATACTTCCTTCTCCCTGAAGCATCATTTCTTTTAACATTTCTTGCAAGGCAGGTCTGGTCTGCTTGTTTGTTTGTGTTTTCTGAGAAAGACTTTAGCTCTCCTTCATATAGATAATTTATCTGGATGGAGAATCCTATCCTGGTATGGTCTCCCGCCCCCTCCACCCCACATCTTAGGACTTTAAATAATTTATCTGGATGGAGAATCCTATCCTGGTATGGTCTCCCGCCCCCTCCACCCCACATCTTAGGACTTTAAATATTTTATTCTACTCTCTTTCTGTGTGTATGGCTTCAGATGAAAGTCTGTTGAAATTCTTTTCCTCAATCCTCTATAAGTAGGTATCTCCCCACCTTCCACTCCACTCCACCCCACCCCTTGCCAGCTTCTTTCAATATTTTCTGTTATCTTTCGTGTTCTGCAATTTAACATGATGTGCCTAGGTGTAATTTCTGTGGGTGTGTTTATCCTGCTTATTATTCTCAGAGCTTCCTGCATCTGCTATAATTCTTATCCTTGTTCCTCTGTAAGTAAAGTATTTTTCTCCTACCTTCTTTTAAGATTTTTACTTTGTCTTTGGTTTACTGCCATTTGAATATAATATGCCTACCTACAGATTTTTGTGGTATTTGTCCTTCTTAATATTCTCTGAGCTTCTGAGATCTATGCTTTGATATCTGTAATTAATTTTGGAAAATTTTTGGCCAATATTACTTCAAACATTTCTTTGCCTCTGTTCTCTTCCTTCTCCTTCTGGTATTCCAATTATGTGTATTTATACCTTTTTTGATTGTCCTCCCATTCTTGGATATTCAGTTCTGTTTTTTTTTGTTTGTTTGTTTTTGGTTGTTGTTCTTTGCATTTCAATTTGGGAAATTTCTCTTGGTGTGTCCTTAACCTCACTCATTCTGCATCTATTTCCAGTCTACTGATAAGCCCTCCAAAGACATCTTAATTTCTCTTATTGTTTTGATTTGTAGTATTTTCTTTTGATTCTTAGTTTCCATCTCACTACTAAATTAGCCATCTCTTCACATATATTGACTATTTTTTCTTTAGAGGTCTTAAAATATTATAGTTATTTTAAATTCTCTGTGTGATAATTCCAAAATCTGTGTCATATCTGAGAATTCTTCTCTTTGCTTTGTCTTCTCTGCTTGTATTTTTTCTTGCCTTTTAGCATGTCTTTTAATTTTTCACTGATAACCACACATGATGTATTAGATAATAGGAATTGAGTAAATAGACTTTAGCATAAGGTTTTAAGTTGATCTGTCTAGGAGTTAGACTGTTTTTAATGTTTGTTGTAGCTGCAAGTGCCAGGGTCTTCAAATTACTCTAGTGCCCTTGCTTTTTTCTCTCCTCCTGTCTTTGGAATTTTCTGAGAGCCTCTTCTTAAATACAGTCTGTGTCTTGCAGATCTTTCAGCTTTAATCCACTGTGATTGTATTGGAGCTCTTTTAATACAGTGGTAAGGTATAGGGAAGGGGAAGATTCTACAGCATAATCTTATAATTAAATCTCAGTTTGTTACTAGATCTGTGTCCATGGGTTGTGACTTTTACAAGTGTTTATTGTAAAAAACACACTTATAAAGAGTCAATAAGAGGGGAAATGTCTTCCTTCCAGATGGGTAAGGATCTGATAAAGTATTTTCCCATGAAGAATACACCTTCATTATGGAGAATTCTCAGGATGCACTTCACAAAGATGAATTTTCCTCTCTCTCAGAGACACAAGGGAGTCTTTCTGGTTCTTTGCTCTGAGGACCTGGTGGGTTTCCTGGAGGTAAAATGCATGAAAGTGTAGTGGTGCCTCTAAAACTGTGGCCCCAGGAGTTTCTTACTCTCACACTGGGTCAAACTCAGCCTCCAGCAATTTATCAAAATTACCATTGAAGTGTTCCCAGCAGTTTATAGTTCCTGATTTTCTGCTCCAAGTAAGCAGATATCTGCTGTGTCTCTCTGGGTATGCCTTTCTCTTTAGATTTTGTCCTACAACCTCCGTATCCTGTTGGGGCCAAAACGAGTTTTTGATTTTCAACTTTTAGCTTTTTCTAATGGTAAGATCAGAGCTGAAACTAGAGGTCTCCTGGTGATTTTTTTATAGATCATTTACTTATTTTGAATTTTAACTAATGCTTGCCTGTGTTTTACTTTCTATAGTTTCAAAAGGTTTGTTCTTGTCTGGGAAGTACGCAATAGAAGTCTAATATTCTCTTTTTCCTTTGCTTTTTAAAAATCTTTTTCTTGTATTTCAATAGGTTTTTGGGTAACATGTGATGTTTGGCTACATGGATAAATTATTTAGTGGTGATTTCTGAGATTTTGCTGCACCCATCATCCAAGCAGTGTACCCTGTACCCAATGTCCAGTCTTTTATGCCTCACCCCCCTCCCACTCTTGCCCCAAAGTCCCCAAAGTTCATTGTATCATTCTTATGCTTTTGCATCCTCATAGCTTAGCTCCCACTTACAAGTAAGGACATACAATGTTTGATTTTCCATTCCTGAGCAATGGTCTCCCCTTCCATGTAGGTTGCTGCAAATGCCATTATTTTGTTCTTCTTTATAGCTGAGTAGTATTCCATTTTATATGTGTATATATATAAACATACATACACATATATATTCATATATATATACACACACACACACCCCACAGTTTCTTTATCAAACCCTTGTTGATTGATGGACATTTGAGCTCATTCCATATTTTTGCAATTGCAAGTTGTGCTGCTATAAACATTGTGTGCAAGTATCTCTTTCGTATAATGACTTATTTTTCTCTAGGTAGATATAGTAGTGGGATTGCTGGATCAAATGGTAGATCTACTTTTAGTTTTTTGGTTTTTTTTTTTTTTTTAAGGAATCTCCATACTGTTTTCCATAGTAATGTACTAGTTTACATTCCCACCAGCAGTGTAAAAGTGTTACCTTTTTACCACATCCACATCAACATCTATTTTTTGATTTGTTGATTATGGCCATTCTTGCAGGAGTAAGGTGCTATCACATTGTGGTTTTGATTTGTATTTCCCTGATAATTAATGATATTGAGAAGTTTTTCATGGTTTTTGTTTTTGGCCATTTGTATATCTTCTTTTTTAATTTTTTTTTTTATTATACTTGAAGTCCTGGGATACATGTGCAGAACATGTAGGTTTGTTACATAGGTATACACGTGCCATGGTGGTTTGCTATGCCCATCAACCCGTCATCTACATTAGGTGTTTCTCCTAATGTTATCCCTGCCCTAGCCACCCACCCCCAGACAGGCCCTGATGTGTGATGTTCCCCTCCCTGTGTCCATGTATTCTCATTGTTCAACTTCCACTTTAGAGTTAGAACCTGCAGTGTTTGGTTTTCTGTCCTTGTGATAGTTTGCTGAGAATGATGGTTTCCATCTTCATCTGTGTCTCTGCAAAGGACATGAATGCTTCCTTTTTTATGGCTGCATAGTATTCCATGGTGTATATGTGCCACATTTTCTTTATCCAGCCTAACATTGATGGGCATTTGGGTTGGTTCCAAGTCTTTGCTATTGTGAACAGTGCTGCAATAAACATGAGTGTGCATGTGTCTTTATAGTAGAATGATTTATAATCCTTTGGGTATATACTTCTTTTGAGAATTGTCTATTAATGTTCTTAGCCCACTTTTTGATGGTATTGTTTGTTTTTTTTCCTTGATAATTTGAGTTCCTTGTAGATTCTGAATATTAATCGTTTGTTAGATGCATAGTTTGTGAAGATTTTTACAAACCATTTACTCCGCTGATTATTTCTTTTGCTCTTTTTTTTCTGTTTACTCTGCTGATTATTTCTTTTTCTGTGTAGAAGATTTTCAGTTTAATTAAGTCCCATTTATTTACCTTTGCTTTTGTTGCATTTGCTTTTGGGTTCTTGGTCATGAAGTCTTTGCCTAAGTGAATGTCTACAAGGGTTTTTCCAACGTTATCTTCTAGAATTTTTATGGTTTCAGGTCTTAGATTTAAGTCTTTGACCCATGTTGAGTTGATTTTCATATAAGGTGAAGATGATGATCCAGCTTCATTCTTCTACATGTGGCTTGCCAATTATCCCAGTACCATTTGTTGAAAAGAGTGGCCTTTCCCCACTTTATATTTTTTGTTTTTGTTTGCTTTGTTGAAGTTCAGTGTACTGTAAGTATATTGCTTTATTTCTGGGTTCTCTATTCTGTTTCATTGGTCTATGTGCCTATTTTTATACCAGTACCATGCTATTTTAGTGACTGTAGCCTTACAGTGTAGTTTAAAGTCAGACTTGTTCTTTTTGCTTAGTCTTGCTTTGGCTATGTGGGCTCTTTTTTGGTTCCATATGAATTTTAGGATTGTTTTTTCTAAACAATCTTTCTGTGAAGAATGGTGGTGGTTTTTGATAGGAATTGCATTGAATTTGTAGATTGCTTTTGACAGCATGGTCATTTTCACAATATTGATTCTTGCTATCCCAGTCAGTGTAGTATCTAAGTCTTGTAAAGCATCTTTCCATAGGTCTTCAGAAGTCTGTTGGTAGATTTAGGTGTCCACACTCATTGCACACCTTTGCTGCCTTTACCACTGCTGTGTTATAATATATATTGGTTTTCATTCATGTTTCCTGGTTCATAACAGATATAGCCCTTGTTACAGTCTTTTATTACAATGTTGAGTGTGTTGGGTCTCAGGGGCAGGCCTCAAGAAACAGAATCTCCTGTTTTCCTCTCACTTGCTCCAAGGCAGGACTCTAATCTTCCCCCACCTTTCTGATTGTAAGACTTAAGATCCTTCAGAGAGGGTCCCATCCTGTACACTTAGGGAAGGAATGCTGACATCATGAAGCTTCATAAGAACCCAAGAGACTGGGTTCAGAGAGCTTCGGCATATCTGAACGTGTGGAGGTTCCTGGAGGGTGACGCACCTGGGGAGGGCATGAAAGCCCCATGTTCCTTTCCCTATCCCTTTAAAATATCCTCCTTAATAAGCCAGTAAACATAAGAAAGTGTTCCCCTGAGTTTTGTGAGCCCCTCTACCAAATTAATTGGATTCACAAAGAGGATTGTGGGAACCCCAACTTGAAGCCAGTTGGTCAGAAGTTCTGGAGGCCCAGACTTGTGACTGGGGGAAAGAAAGGGGTTCTCTTGTGAGGCTGAGCTCAACCTGTGGGATCTGACACTATCTCCAACTAGGTAGTATTGGAACTGAATTGAAGAACACCCAGTTTTTGTCTTCTGTGTGGTGTGTAGGGGACAACCTCCTATACCTTTAGTTACAGAAGTCTTCTATGTTGATAATTGTTGTGATGGTATGAGAGCAGAAGAAAAACACGGTGGGAGAGAATTTTTTCCCTACACAACTACTGATTCTCAAATTCTCGTAAGATAAAGTCAGAAATAAATTACAATAATGGATAAATCTAATGCTCATTTCTTTTAAAATATGCCATAGAGTCCTAGCATACACAGTGCCACATATCATACTTGTATCTGAACATGCAGCTTGACTGCAGGTCCTTAGATCCAGTGTAAATATCCTCCTAAGCTCAGGTGTTGTGTGACTCCAATTTCTTGCTTCATTGCTTTAAACCAGATATGTCCCAAAGCCTCAACTAGTAGGTCACAAATGTATATGGTAAAAATTTATTTTTATGGTGTATCTTTATCTTAAATATGGAATGATGGAAAACTTTATGAATAAGATAATTAGATATCTGAGGTTTAGTGAAGTTGATTGAAAAGATTTTAAAGATTTTGAGCTTTAGCCACATACTTCCAAGAGGAGTTGTAACTGCCCCATCCAGTTTTTCAAGTTCAGTGTCTTTTCTTCTTCATATTATACACATAACTTAAAAGGCGATTATTGCCAAATTTAACTTTAATGTCATTTTTCTTTTGTGTGGCAACATTAATCTTATTCCAGATTATTATTCTTATGCTTTCCTTCTGGACTTTCACATCATTCCTCTGTTATCACATTCCTTCCTAATGATCTTTTATAGGTGTCCTTTAAAAGTCTAAGCTCATCGGTCCCATGGGATTTCCCTATTTGTCTTTTTTATATGTACCCCAGTGTTTCTCTCAGATTCTTTTTTTTTTTTTTAACTGAATTATTTTTTCCTTTTTCCTTGAAGAGTTTCTTAGTCTTGAATTACTTTCCGTTTTGGTGTCTCAGGTCATGAGTTCAGATGTACTTTCTCAAGTTTTTTCCTTTTTTAAAAAAATTTTGTCTAAAGTCAGGCCCAGAGTGAGAATTAGAGTAACATTGTGCTATTTCTGTATAAAGTAAATAGAAACTGGCTGTTTTAAAGAAAGGAGCAAGATGAAGCTAGAGTAAATGTTGTCATTGCCTAATTGCCATATGTAATATTTTCTTGATTGGTTTAGCACAGGGTTTTTATAGAAAATGGTGTTTTCTCTGATTTTTAATTCTATTTGTGAAATACATTAACAGATGAAAGCAGCAACAGAATGACCTCCGATATGGAAAAATATCAGGGATTCTGGATTCCTGGGAGAGTAAGAAGTTTGAATTATTTAAGGTTTTAGGTATAATAAGCAGATTATATATACTTAGAGATTTTTGACAGCTGACTCGGGTCAAAAGATTACACAAGGAAGTTCTGGAATATTAAAGCTTGAAGGATTTCTAGAGTTCATGTAAGAACAAAATCTTCTGTAGATAGGAAAAACTAAGAGACCATTTGCAAAAATGCCAGATTAATTCCAGGTGTCAGTTTATTATAACTAGGTAGTTTGTGCCTTTCAATCAAACTCTATATTTTTATAAAATAAGGTGATTGTTATGAAATATATAATTTATGCAATTGAGTGACTTCAAGTTTACCAAAATACAGGTTGATCAAGCAAAGCTAGGTTTATTCCTACCACCATCAGAGGAACACCATTTTGACAGCCTTAAAACTTTCTCCAAAGGGGTGTAGTGGTCAAGAAGGATATTTATAGGGTGTAAAGGCCTGAGCTAGAAATTTAAAGCCCAGTTTAAAAGCAAGAGCTGATCGGGATTTAGCAGATTTTATCACATAGTAGCTTGGACTTCTGAGCACAATAAGGGAAGAGTCTTCAAATAGTAAAAGCTGTTAGTCTTGATAAATTAGCTTTTTTTTTTGGTTAGTTCACAAACATATTCTTAGTGCAAATATTCCTTGAAGTAAGTAGCTAAATTATTTTTGCTTAATTCCAGTGTTTTTTAGCATAGAAATGGTAACGTATACCCGGTCCCAATATAATTTAACACAGAGACCAAATTATATTTATTTTAGTTCTCACTACATTCTCGAGAGTTGCTGTACTCCAGTAGTTCTCAAGCTGAGCTACACATCAGAATCATGTATGCCACTCTAAATATTTACAGGTGTAAAGGCTCCCCTGAAGATATTCATTCAGTAAGAAAGGCTTCTGTATGCTTACAAATCTCCATACTTTATTCTAATAAGAAACCAGAGTTGAGAATTTCCAGATATTGCGTAAACCTTAGGCATGGCTTAGAGTTAACTCATGGGTCATGGAGGCAAACCAGCCACTATAGAGTGTGCTAGCATGGCCAAGCCCATTAGGTGCCGACATCCATAAATTTGAAGATACATTTGCAAGTAGTAAGAGAAGTACCAACACTTATCACAGTCTTATCCAACTGGCCTGGGGTTCTCCCACTGGCACAGCAAAGCCAAATGCTGACATGGAGATATCGGTAAAAATGAGGCATTTATTGCTGGGCACCAAGCAAGGGGAACCAGGCAGTTCATGCTTCAGACCTGTATTCCCAGGTAGCTTACAGGTAAGGACTTCTTTTTTTTTTTTCTTTTTTTTTTGAGATGGAGTCTCACTCACCCAGGCTGGAGTGCAGTGGCGCCATCTCGGCTCACTGCAAGCTCCGCCTCCCGGGTTCACGCCATTCTTCTGCCTCAGCCTCCCAAGTAGCGGGACTACAGGCGCCTGCCACCACGCCCGGCTAATTTTGTTTCTGTATTTTTAGTAAAGACGGGGTTTCACCGTGTTAGCCAGGATGGTCTCAATCTCCTGACCTCGTGATCCGCCCGCCTCGGCCTCCCAAAGTGCTGGGATTACCGGCGTGAGCCACTGCGCCGGGCCACAGGTGAGGATTTTTAAAGGCAGGGAGGCAGAGGCTACAGGAAAAGTTATAAATCAATACATGGAAGGTATACATTGGTTTGACCTGAAAAAGCCAGACATCTGAAAGAGAGGGCAGAAGGATGGGTCACAGATGGATTCAAAGATTTTCTGAATTGCGATTGGTTAAGGATATAAAATGTTGCCTAGAATTTGGGATCAGCAGAAAAGAATGTGAGCTCAGGCGGGTGGGCATGACCTCCTCTAGGCCCCTCAGGAGGAAATTACAAATAACCAGTGGTCAGAGTTCAGTGCTCAGTTTCCTCTTATCTGAGGTCTACGTGCCAGCGAATCTTCTGTTTGGTGGGATCCGGGTTTCTGAAGAACACGTTGGGGACTATACGTTAAGATGTTATCTTCAGTTTCTACAGGGAGCTGAAAATTTTCTGATTCTAACTTCCCTGGCTATTGTTTTAAGATACTATTTCCTTCTTGTGTATTCAGTTGTTCATTTACTTCTCAGAGCTAGCTAGGTGCCTGATATTTCCTTTGAAGGAGCTCAACATTTTTTATTTCCAGGAGACACTTCAGCTCCAGTAATATATGCTATCACTGGCATTCTTTCTTCTAAAAATTCTTTTCTGTAATGATAATGATAAATTACAGGTGGGTGCCTTCTATAATTTATTTTTTAGTAAGCATTACAGAGTTGATATTAATCTAAATATTCCTGAGCAACTATCATTTTCCCCTTTTATAACTAACATTCATCCACTTCTAACATTTTTATGAGCATCTGAAATGATATTTCAGTTTTTCTTCTTTTAGAATCTGATGTATTTCCCCATTCTTGAAGATCAACTACATAAAAATAAATAATAAATGAAATCTCCAGACTTTCAGAAACAATACATAAACTATGGTCAAATGCTTTCTTATTGTGTTATTACATATAATCGGCACCTAAAAAATCTGTTGAATTAAAGCTAAGTGACTCCGTTTAATGTCTGAAGTTCTCCATAAGCTAGCTTTTCACATCCTTTTCTTTGTCGTATGATCTACAATAGTGAGGCTGAACTTGCTGCATATAGAAACTATTTTCTGCCCATAAATGTTATCCAGGTTGGAACATGTTACACTCTCGTTGGAGGGTATAGTTTTTCAAATCTACAAAGCACTGAGATTTAATTCTGTGAATGAGGGTTGCTAACGGCCCATTCAGTTCAAATTAATTAGTAAGCATCTAGCATATCTTCTGGGAGGGGAGCTTAAGGCAATTTAGAAGCTGTCTGCCAGAGAACTTGCTGGTTGGGAAAAGACAATTACAGAATTTTCATTCAGACTAGAGGCTTCATGCTGCTGCATAATTTTTGTCTCCTGTTTTGCCAAGAGGAGGGGGAAGAAACGTGGATGTCAGGGGGAATACAGCAGGGATGCTTGGTGTTGAGCAATCTAATTTAGAATGCTAAAAAGACAACTTAATGCCTACTCTCTGATTAGGATGGAATTGATCAGCTCTCTCCCTAGAGAGAAAAAAATGAAAGAAAGCTACCTTTAAAAAGTTGGGAAGAGGTTCTGGAGTTTTGGGAAAAGGCAGGCATGGAAAACATTAAGAGATAAGAATGAGTTTTATTATAAAAGGTGTTACATTTAAATATAAAAAGAAGAATATGGTTAAAAAGAAATGAGTGAAACAGAAGCGTTCCAAGGTATAAATATTTTTACAAAATATATTTAACTTCTAAATTAATTGTTTAAAAAATTAGTAATTGTGTTTGTTTATAAATGTCTAAGTATTGTAATGAAAAAGAAAGCTAGCTTTGTTAAAGGCAAAAGAGTGATTTACTAAAGCTTTTGACACCTTATGTGGCAGACCAGGTCTCACTAATACAGGCCTTCATTACAACTGTCCCAGCGCTGACTGAGTAACTAGGTCAAACATTAAAAGCTGATTGAGCCAGTGCCCTTATACAAAGGCTGGAATGTAACAAAAAGCCCACAAAGAGTTTTGCCTAGGCTTTTCCTGGGCCTTGAAGCGTGACAAGATAACAAAGGAATTCTTAACAGCATCCTTTAAGAATTAAACAAGTTTTATTGGGGGTCTGAAGAAACTTCCCAGGCCTGCACAAACAAGTTTATTGGGGCCTAAAGGAACTCTCAAAACCTTTATGATTTAGTAGGAGAAATGATAATGGTAATCACCCCAGGATCAAGACCCATTTAGATTAAGTAAGCTTACTGAGGCTCCAGGGGAAGTTCTTCCAGACTCAGACCTCAGTTATAGGTTAAAAGAAGTTAATCATTTATGTCTTTAGACGAATGCACACTTAGACGTAGACATATAGCTTAGAAGGTATATAAGCTCTGGAGAAGTTTGTAATATTGAGTTGGTCTGGCAATAATTTCTAGGCCTTCTCCCATAACCGGTTGCAGAAAATAAAACTTTCTTCATCTGCATCTTGTTATTGGGCCACAAGAAATAGCAGCCCAGCCCTCAGTTTGGTCTGGGAACACTTGGACATTCATTGGTATCTCACTTTTCTATGAATCCCCCACGATGCCTGTTATAGAGCTTTGCACTTAGTGGAAGCTCAATACACATTCTTTCTTATGTATGTACA